>NC_000009.12:69470552-70095552 GCF_000001405.40 Homo sapiens
GAGAAACCTAAGTAACTAAACCAAAACTGTGAGCTTGTCCTGGGCTTTGAGCCCAAGGGTTCATGAAGGTTTATGAGCCCTGGTAACCCTTTCCCAGGCAGTGGAACACAATGACTGTTTACGCACAGGATCCAAAGTCCAGACACACCCTCAGAGAGATGTCTGGGCGTTCTCTGGCCTCCAGAAAAGCCTCCTTCAAGGAAATGGCGATGCACCCAGGTGGACCCTCAGCATCACCTCTAGCCAGAGAGTGAGTGCCTCTTTGTGAATGAGAAATGATGCCTGATTTGGTGCCCCATTTGGATGGTACAGTCTCCAGCTGGAGTGCAGAGCTTGGCGGAACTTTGGCCCCACCTGGCCTTAGAGTAGGTGCCCTTGTGCAGTGAGTAACCTGCACAACCATGTGTGGCAGCCCCACAAAGACACCGGTTTCCAGAGAGAAGTATGGTGCCAGCCTGCCAATTCATAGCCTGGGTCTGCACTGCCAACTGTGGGATCTTGGGCAAGTTACCCTCTTGATGCCTCAGTTGTCTCATTATAACATGGGGATAATAATAAAACTCACTTCACAGGATTGAAGTGAGGATTCAATTAGTTATTACATGGGAGGTGCTTAGAACAGAACCTGGCAGAGTAAGCATGCAGTAACTGTTACTATTACTAGCTCATCCACGTAATAGATGAAAATTGCTGGGAAGGTTTTTCTTATTAAAAAAGACCAAAATTTCTGCCTTAGTTAATGTTCATTCCCACTTGAATTTTTCTTTTTGAATGTATGAAGTGCACAGAGACAGAATAAGGAGACTTGGGTTTTGGATCCAGTGTGACCACTGCTAAGCTGCATGACACTGGGTAAAGCCCACAGCTTCGACTCCAATTTCAGAGTCCTCATCCACATAATGAGCAAAGACGTGAGGAGGATTTCTGAGAGGCTCCCAGCTATCATTCTTTGAGTCTAAGATCCTAAGACTGCTAACATTGTGAATAAGTGACTTTGTGGCCTTTCTTCCCTTCCATTGTCTTATATCTCAGTGCTTCATATGCCCCAATGCTAAAAGATTCATGAATGACTCAGTGCTCAGTATTTTCTTTTCAGCTCTTACCTTCAACGTAGGTTGGGAATGAAGCCAAGCTTTTTCTTGACTGTAATAAAGACAAAGAGGTTTCAAAAAGAGCAAAGCATAATGAAATATGAATTAACACAATCATCCATGCAACATGAAAAATAAATACATAATCAGTGGCAGTTACCAATTATTGATCATTTTTAGTTAGAGAAAGTAAAGTGCAGATAAACATGCATTTATTAGTAAAGGTTACCTAAAACCCAGAATAGTCCATTCATATTTTAGATAATCTAGAAATCTTACATTTCACAATCAGAGAGGTATTTGCCAACTAAAAAACAATCCCACAGACAAGTCTCTAACAACAATAAAAAGGGCACAATTTGTATTCTTAAGGATCTGCATTTCCATGTGAAAAACTGATTAGTGAAAGCACCAATGCTATGATTATAGCTGAAATTAAGAATTCTCTCAGAGAAATTTATTTTACTCTTTGCCACAGTGATCTCTCACTGTGCTAAAAATGTGTGCTAGAGTTTTTAAAAATCTCTTCATCTCCTACTGATTTATTTTAGTTGAAAAACTCCATTATATAAATCATTATTGTGTGTTATCTGAATAAGAACACAACAAAGGAGTAAATTAAAAACCCTGGAATTTCTTTTGCACCTCAGAGCAAAGGTCAGCGTTCTCACAGCACTGTTGGAAGCAGAGATGATGAGCTAGACACCTTTTAGAGCCTGACTAGATGGCAGCTTAACTGCCTGCTATCAGAGGAGCAAAACTCACCATACGTTCCTTTCAGAAGCAGATGTCCTAGATGTAACACTGACTGAGATAAGAGAAAAAAATTCACCCCTGCTTCCACCAGTAGTAGAATTTGTAGCTAGTGTGTCTGGACCAGGGTGATACAAGCATCACAGGAGAGTGGAGAGCTAGTGTTAAAGACAAGTCCCTAAAATGGGCAGAAGGTAAGGTTTGCATGGCCAAGAATTCCATTGCTGAGAACCTACCCGGTTCTTAGGTGATTATTTAAATGCATGACTTTAAGAGGAAAGATATCTGGCACTGAATAGCTGTTGGATAGGCTGACCTGCATAGAGGGAAGACTCTGGGGTGCCTGGCAGGCTGGATGAGGAAAGCGCCCTGGGTGAGTGTTGGGATGTCATGGGGAGCAACTCCCTAACCTAGCACTTGACACAGTGCTCTTTCCTTGGAGGATGGGAATGGCAAAGGGATGATAACTTGGTTAATACTTGGACAACAGTCTAAAAATAGTAGTTTTAATTGTTTTGTGAAAAATTGGGGCAGTTGAAGAAACCTAGTTGTAAGACTCCAGCTCAATTCAGGATAATGACAATTCAACACTAATCACACAATAATACATTGTACAGGGCAGCTTTTCAGTAAACCTGCTGCATGTGTGCTCACTGGGATGAAATGGTTCTGCACACCAAAGTGGGTGGGTTTCTAGTGCATCAGGAATGAAAAGTTACTGGCTAGTAATGCATTTATGAGAAAATGCACACCAAATAAAAGCCAGGATATGTGGATAGGGGGAAAGAGAACTCCAGTTTCAGCAGTGCTTTACGTTAATTTTATTTTCCACTTACCTAAGTGAGAAGATAGGCCCAGTTGAGAGCCAACAGCCAAATCTGTCTAATTCAGGATGGTTTAAAGAAAAGAAAAAAACCCTCATAACTTCATGGTATGCAGATGGAAGCTAGCATCTTCATAGGGGCCTAAAACTTTTAAGTTATTATTTCCCAACCATTTCCCTACCCTTGTCCCAAGTAACTATAGCCTGGGGTAATGAGAGTTTGTTTAATCAGAATTGCTTAGCCTCCAGGTATATCTAAGAAGTCAATTCACATTTTCTTGCTCTATTTTGATACTTTTCTGAATGCTAGACAGTGTCCAGATTTTAGCAGAAGCTACAAAAGAATTACTTTGGTCTATAGCTCTAAAAGCTGCAGTTTTATTAAGAGCTACACCAACATGGCACATGTATACGTATGTAACTAACCTGCATGTTGTGCACATGTACCCTAAAACTTGAAGTATAATTAAAAAAATTAAAAAAAAGATAAGTTTGAAAAAAATAATTTGGCAAAATAAAGTTTACCATCTTTAAAAAAAAAGCTGCAACAGAGGGCATTTGGTACATTCACTTATTCTCTATGCATGAGCTCATGACTAGCTTTCTTAGTCTCTGGGGTAGTAAATTTTTTTAAAAAGAGTTTTGTGAAATGAAAGAATCTCTAATTATTACACACAAATAGGATTTTCATCATCATTTCTAAGGATATATAGAAACATGAGCCAAGTCTTGTAGGAACTGAGAAACTAACAAATTTGCCTTATTATATCTAATGCATAATCAAATGCTGAATATTTAGATGTCTGGTTAGCCCTTTATTTCACATGTGGACTGAGATGAACATCAGTTGATCCTTAACTTTCAAGAATAAATAAATAAAGTTGCATTTAAAAAGCTAAAGGCTAAGATCTTTGGGGTTTGGGTTTGGGGGTCACACAAATCGACTCGTGCAGAACTTGGAGGCACAATTGGACAACTGGAACAATGACAGACAAGGTACCTTGTCCATGTAGTCTGTGACCTGCAAACACTTTCTACTCCAGCAGTGGCAGATCTTGGCAGTTAAGAGCACGGGTTCCCATGAGTTCTGGATTTGAATCCTGGCTGACCACTTGTGAGCTCTACAATCTCAGGTAAGTTATTCAACCTCTTAGCTTTTTCAACCAGCAAATGAGGACAGTGATACCTACCTCACAGAATTATTTTAAGAATTAAATGAGACACTATCTGTGATTTTTCTCAGCCCAGTTCCTGGAACATTGTCAATGCTCAAGAAACGATAGTGCTCATGACTGTTATCATCAGGGCACCTGTCCTTCTTTTCTTCTTACTATTTGTTCTCACCCAACCATGTGATATAAGAATGAAGCAAACTGTGGAACGGTGGGAACAGCAGAAACTGTGCCCTTGTCACTTGTGCTCCCAATGGCCAAGTGTCTGAGGCTCAAGACCAGAGGAGACCAAAGTATATTTCTAGTCTAAATTCTAATGTTGGTGTCATTTCAGAGAAGGTCTATGTTTGTTTGTTTGGTTTAATATGAACAGATTAATAAAAAATACTTTTCCTTTGTGTAAATATTTAATGGCAAATATATGGTATTCAAGGGTGCCTTAAGGGTAAATTTTAACTAAGACTCCCTTTAAAAGCGATCTGCCACTCAGTTTAAACAGAGATTTCTTTTTCATTGCATTTAACATAAAATTATCAGCAAAATGAGGGAAAAGGAAACCATCGTTCATCATGTGGTTTACCTCTTTAACACATCTCCTCAGTGTTGATGAGAGAGCAGCTATATTTAGAGTGAGCTGAGCCCACACACAGATTATGGCGCAGACCAACATTTACCTGATGTTGGCTCATTAGCAGGTGTGGGTGGCAGTTCACTAGGTGTAAAAGGACCCTGGGTACGGGGGAAGGCAGTGTCTCCCCTCTGGGGCTGCCCTTTCTCAGACCCAGACACCTCAATGGGAGAAAGCAGCATCTTCTCACTGAAATGCTCCACATAAGCAAGGCGACCACAGAATTTGTTGTCCAAAAGGGATACTTTAGAGCTGCACTGTCTGGCAGTCTGCAGCCACACGTGGCTATTTAAGTTAATTAAAATGGGATAAAATGAAAACTTCAGTTCCTCAGTTACACTGGCCACATTTCCAGGGTTTGACAGGCACATGAGGCTAATGACTACCATAGTGGACAGAGCAGAAGTGGAACATTTCCAGCACCGTGGAAAGTTCTCGCAGGCGGCACTGCACCAGCAAGAGAGAAGGGCGCTCATAAGATGGGCTGCCTGGACAACAGGTGTGAACTGGAACCACACCCTAGGTAAACTGGGAATGTATGGCCACTCTATTCTTACGAAAGATATCTCATTTGGGCCTGAAATAAAGGGTATTTAAGAAACTAACACATTTCCCAAAGCACACAGCAACTGCAAGCCCATGGCATCAGCAGGCATGTAACGCCAGGAGGAAAGATGCTGTACGTCGAGTTTTTGGTGTCTGAGGTCAAGTGCTGTTCAACAGAATTTCCTGCAGTGATGCAAATGCTCTGTAATCCACCCTGTCCGAGCACTTGAAATGTGGCTACTGTGCTTGAGGAAATAAACTTTTCATTTTATTCATTAATTAGGCACCTGCAGCCAGTGGCTATCAAACTGGATGACATGGCTTTAACAGGTGAACTGCACACTGGAGAGGAGAAATCAGGATTGTTCTCACCAGGGTAATGTGGGTCAGGAGCGCTGTAGGATGCTGTATTAGGAAGCACAGAACAGTATTAGAGTAAAGCAAAATGGCCCAATGGCTTTGGTAACAAAACAGCACCCTACCTCTTTATTAGTGGACGCTTCCACAGGGTCACTGGGGTGAAGAGATGTGCTTGATGACTCTGCACCCAAGGGGGAGGAGCTGCCAGGAGACGGAGACTAGAACACAGCAAGAGGAAACACAGTGAGAACTTGAGAGACTCGGCAGACACTTGGCTGGGGGAAAGGGGCCGGGAGAGAGAAGCAAAGCAGAACACAATCGAACAGACACTGCAGTGGGGAGAAAACCTCTTAAAAAGGAGCTGCCAACTGTACATAAAACACTTGTGGTTTTCAAGCTTTCTTTTTCAAGTCCTGCCATGCTTTCAAAGGAGCTTTCATAGCTATGGGCCGTTTTTCCCCTTAGGCCAAATGTTGAAAGAAAATACAGAAAAGGTTGAAATTAAAAAATCCTAAATGAATTGAGCTAAGGATATTACACAAACATGTTTAAAACATTTTTTTCTTACTGATGAAGCCAAATATTTAGGGTACCGAATGTCTTATAAAATTGCCTGCCCCAAATGAAAAAGTAAAAATTAAAACACACATTTTTAAAGAGGTAGCTGGGCCTGATTTTGATGGCTAGAAACCATACCACCTGTATTTTCCTAGTCAATTCAGATTTCAAATATTTTGTCTGATTTAGTCTACAGGCTATTGAAAATTCAGAGACATTTCAGCATTTTAACATCCAAACACTACCCTGGATGCTCTTAGAACAGTTCAAAAATCCTTTGTCAAACGGTGTATCGGAAAATAAGGCTTAGAAAAATAGGCTCAGGGAGAATGGCCTGGTTGGGTGTGGTATTGCCTGGGCTGATGGGACCCCAGCTCCCTGTGCAGGCAGGCCCTGCTAGACGTGTATAGGAAGCTCCCAGGTCAGTGTACACAGAAGGTGCTCCATAAACATCTTCTGAATGGATGGGCAAATAAAACAAGCAAGCACAGGGATGGGACTGATACAGACCCGGAAAACACTCCCCAGCCTATAGCCAAACATTGTTGTGTGCTTCTGAAATCTTGGGAGATGAAAGGAATCCTCAGGTGAGCCACAGAGATGCTTAAGAATTCCACAGCAGGGGGCGGCGGAGCCAAGATGGCCGAATAGGAACAGCTCCAGTCTACAGCTCCCAGCGTGAGCGACACAGAAGATGGGTGATTTCTGCATTTCCATCTGAGGTACTGGGTTCATCTCACTAGGGAGTGCCAGACAGTGGGCGCAGGTCAGTGGGTGCGCGCACCGTGCGCCAGCCGAAGCAGGGCGAGGCATTTCCTCACTTGGGAAGTGCAAGGGGTCAGGGAGTTCCCTTTCTGAGTCAAAGAAAGGGGTGACGGACGCACCTGGAAAATCGGGTCACTCCCACCCGAATATTGCGCTTTTCGGACCGGCTTAAAAAACCGCGCACCACGAGATTATATCCTGCACCTGGCTCAGAGGGTCCTACGCCCACGGAGTCTCACTGATTGCTAGCACAGCAGTCTGAGATCAAACTGCAAGGCAGCAGCGAGGCTCGGGGAGGGGCGCCCGCCATTGCCCGGGCTTGCTTAGGTAAACAAAGCAGCCTGGAAGCTCGAACTGGGTGGAGCCCACCACAGCTCAAGGAGGCCTGCCTGCCTCTGTAGGCTCCACCTCTGGGGGCAGGGCACAGACAAACAAAAGGCAGCAGTAGCCTCTGCAGACTTAAATGTCCCTGTCTGACAGCTTTGAAGAGAGCAGTGGTTCTCCCAGCACGCAGCTGGAGATCTGAGAACGGGCAGACTGCCTCCTCAAGTGGGTCCCTGACCCCTGACCCCCGAGCAGCCTAACTGGGAGGCACCCCCCAGCAGGGGCACACTGACACCTCACACGGCAGGGTATTCCAACAGACCTGCAGCTGAGGGTCCTGTCTGTTAGAAGGAAAACTAACAAACAGAAAGGACATCCACACCAAAAACCCATCTGTACATTACCATCATCAAAGACCAAAAGTAGATAAAACCACAAAGATGGGGAAAAAACAGAACAGAAAAACTGGAAACTCTAAAACGCAGAGCGCCTCTCCTCCTCCAAAGGAACGCAGTTCCTCACCAGCAACAGAACAAAGCTGGATGGAGAATGACTTTGACGAGCTGAGAGAAGAAGGCTTCAGACGATCAAATTACTCTGAGCTACGGGAGGACATTCAAACCAAAGGCAAGGAAGTTGAAAACTTTGAAAAAAATTTAGAAGAATGTATAACTAGAATAACCAATACAGAGAAGTGCTTAAAGGAGCTGATGGAGCTGAAAACCAAGGCTCGAGAACTACGTGAAGAATGCAGAAGCCTCAGGAGCCGATGCGATCAACTGGAAGAAAGGGTATCAGCGATGGAAGATGAAATGAATGAAATGAAGCGAGAAGGGAAGTTTAGAGAAAAAAAGAATAAAAAGAAATGAGCAAAGCCTCCAAGAAGTATGGGACTATGTGAAAAGACCAAATCTACGTCTGATTGGTGTACCTGAAAGTGATGGGGAGAATGGAACCAAGTTGGAAAACACTCTGCAGGATATTATCCAGGAGAACTTCCCCAATCTAGCAAGGCAGGCCAACGTTCAGATTCAGGAAATACAGAGAACGCCACAAAGATACTCCTTGAGAAGAGCAACTCCAAGACACATAATTGTCAGATTCACCAAGGTTGAAATGAAGGAAAAAATGTTAAGGGCAGCCAGAGAGAAAGGTCGGGTTACCCTCAAAGGGAAGCCCATCAGACTAACAGTGGATCTCTCAGCAGAAACCCTACAAGCCAGAAGAGAGTGGGGGCCAATATTCAACATTCTTAAAGAAAAGAATTTTCAACCCAGAATTTCATATCCAGCCAAACTAAGCTTCATAAGTGAAGGAGAAATAAAATACTTTACAGACAAGCAAATGCTGAGAGATTTTGTCACCACCAGGCCTGCCCTAAAAGAGCTCCTGAAGGAAGCGCTAAACATGGAAAGGAACAACCGGTACCAGCCGCTGCAAAATCATGCCAAAATGTAAAGACCATCGAGGCTAGGAAGAAACTGCATCAACTAACGAGCAAAATCACCAGCTAACATCATAATGACAGGATCAAATTCACACATAACAATATTAACTTTAAATGTAAATGGACCAAATGCTCCAATTAAAAGACACAGACTGGCAAATTGGATAAAGAGTCAAGACCCATCAGTGTGCTGTATTCAGGAAACCCATCTCACGTGCAGAGACACACATAGGCTCAAAATAAAAGGATGGAGGAAGATCTACCAGGCAAATGGAAAACAAAAAAAGGCAGGGGTTGCAATCCTAGTCTCTGATAAAACAGACTTTAAACCAACAAAGATCAAAAGAGACAAAGAAGGCCATTACATAATGGTAAAGGGATCAATTCAACAAGAAGAGCTAACTATCCTAAATATATATGCACCCAATACAGGAGCACCCAGATTCATAAAGCAAGTCCTGAGTGACCTACAAAGAGACTTAGACTCCCACACTTTAATAATGGGAGACTTTAACACCCCACTGTCAACATTAGACAGATCAACGAGACAGAAAGTCAACAAGGATACCCAGGAATTGAACTCAGCTCTGCACCAGGTGGACCTAATTGACATCTACAGAACTCTCCACCCCAAATCAACAGAATATACATTTTTTTCAGCACCACACCACAGCTATTCCAAAATTGACCACATACTTGGAAGTAAAGCTCTCCTCAGCAAATGTAAAAGAACAGACATTATAACAAACTATCTCTCAGACCACAGTGCTATCAAACTAGAACTCAGGATTAAGAATCTCACTCAAAACCGCTCAACTACATGGAAACTGAACAACCTGCTCCTGAATGACTACTGGATACATAACGAAATGAAGGCAGAAATAAAGATGTTCTTTGAAACCAACGAGAACAAAGACACAACATACCAGAATCTCTGGGACGCACTCAAAGCAGTGTGTAGAGGGAAATTTATAGCACTAAATGCCCACAAGAGAAAGCAGGAAAGATCCAAAATTGACTCCCTAACATCACAATTAAAAGAACTAGAAAAGCAAGAGCAAACACATTCAAAAGCTAGCAGAAGGCAAGAAATAACTAAAATCAGAGCAGAACTGAAGGAAATAGAGACACAAAAAACCCTTCAAAAAATTAATGAATCCAGGAGCTGGTTTTTTGAAAGGATCAACAAAACTGATAGACCACTAGCAAGACTAATAAAGAAAAAAAGAGAGAGGAATCAAATAGACACAATAAAAAATGATAAAGGGGATATCACCACCGATCCCACAGAAATACAAACTACCATCAGAGAATACTACAAACACCTCTACGCAAATAAACTAGAAAATCTAGAAGAAATGGATACATTCCTCGACACATACACTCTCCCAAGACTAAACCAGGAAGAAGTTGAATCTCTGAACAGACCAATAACGGGAGCTGAAATTGTGGCAATAATCAATAGTTTACCAACCAAAAAGAGTCCAGGACCAGATGGATTCACAGCCAAATTCTACCAGAGGTACAAGGAGGAACTGGTACCATTCCTTCTGAAACTATTCCAATCAAGAGAAAAAGAGGGAATCCTCCCTAACTCATTTTATGAGGCCAGCATCATTCTGATACCAAAGCCGGGCAGAGACACAACCAAAAAAGAGAATTTTAGACCAATATCCTTGATGAACATTGATGCAAAAATCCTCAATAAAATACTGGCAAAACGAATCCAGCAGCACATCAAAAAGCTTATCCACCATGATCAAGTGGGCTTCATCCCTGGGATGCAAGGCTGGTTCAATATACGCAAATCAATAAATGTAATCCAGCATATAAACAGAGCCAAAGACAAAAACCACATGATTATCTCAATAGATGCAGAAAAGGCCTTTGACAAAATTCAACAACCCTTCATGCTAAAAACTCTCAATAAATTAGGTATTGATGGGATGTATTTCAAAATAATAAGAGCTATCTATGACAAACCCACAGCCAATATCATACCGAATGGGCAAAAACTGGAAGCATTCCCTTTGAAAACTGGCACAAGACAGGGATGCCCTCTCTCACCACTCCTATTCAACATAGTGTTGGAAGTTCTGGCCAGGGCAATTAGGCAGGAGAAGGAAATAAAGGGTATTCAATTAGGAAAACAGGAAGTCAAATTGTCCCTGTTTGCAGATGACATGATTGTATATCTAGAAAACCCCACTGTCTCAGCCCAAAATCTCCTTAAGCTGATAAGCAACTTCAGCAAAGTCTCAGGATACAAAATCAATGTGCAAAAATCACAAGCATTCTTATACACCAACAACAGACAAACAGCCAAATCATGAGCGAACTCCCATTCACAATTGCTTCAAAGAGAATACAATACCTAGGAATCCAACTTACAAGGGATATGAAGGACCTCTTCAAGGAGAACTACAAACCACTGCTCAAGGAAATAAAAGAGGATACAAACAAATGGAAGAACATTCCATGCTCATGGGTAGGAAGAATCAATATCGTGAAAATGGTCATACTGCCCAAGGTAATTTACAGATTCAATGCCATCCCCATCAAGCTACCAATGACTTTCTTCACAGAATTGGAAAAAACTACTTTAAAGTTCATATGGAACCAAAAAAGAGCCCGCATCGCCAAGGCAATCCTAAGCCAAAAGAACAAAGCTGGAGGCATCACAATACCTGACTTCAAACTATACTACAAGGCTACAGTAACCACAACAGCATGGTACTGGTACCAAAACAGAGATATAGATCAATGGAACAGAACAGAGCCCTCAGAAATAACGCCGCATGTCTACAACTATCTGATCTTTGACAAACCTGAGAAAAGCAAGCAATGGGGAAAGGATTCCCTATTTAATAAATAGTGCTGGGAAAACTGGCTAGCCATATGTAGAAAGCTGAAACTGGATCCCTTCCTTACACCTTATACAAAAATCAATTCAAGATGGATTAAAGACTTAAACGTTAGACCTAAAACCATAAAAACCCTAGAAGAAAACCTAGGCATTACCATTCAGGACATAGGCATGGGCAAGGACTTCATGTCCAAAACACCAAAAGCAATGGCAACAAAAGCCAAAATGGACAAATGGGATCTAATTAAACTAAAGAGCTTCTGCACAGCAAAAGAAACTACCATCAGAGTGAACAGGCAACCTACAAAAATGGGAGAAAATTTTTGCAACCTACTCATCTGACAAAGGGCTAATATTCAGAATCTACAATGAACTCAAACAAATTTACAAGAAAAAAACAAACAACCTCATCAAAAAGTGGGCAAAGGACATGAATAGACACTTCTCAAAAGAAGACATTTATGCAGCCAAAAAACACATGAAAAAATGCTCATCATCACTGGCCATCAGAGAAATGCAAATCAAAACCACAATGAGATACCATCTCACACCAGTTAGAATGGCAATCATTAAAAAGTCAGGAAACAATGGGTGCTGGAGAGGATGTGGAGAAACAGGAACACTTTTACACTGTTGGTGGGACTGTAAACTAGTTCAACCCTTGTGGAAGTCAGTGTGGCGATTCCTCAGGGATCTAGAACTAGAAATACCATTTGACCCAGCCATCCCATTACTGGGTATATACCCAAAGGACTATAAATCATGCTGCTATAAAGACACATGCACACGTATGTTTATTGCGGCATTAGTCGCAATAGCAAAGACTTGGAACCAACCCAAATGTCCAACAAATGATATACTGGATTAAGAAAATGTGGCACATATACACCATGGAATACTATGCAGCCATAAAAAATGATGAGTTCATGTCCTTTGTAGGGACATGGATGAAATTGGAAATCATCATTCTCAGTAAACTATCGCAAGAACAAAAAACACCGCATATTCTCACTCATAGGTGGGAATTGAACAATGAGATCGCATGGACACAGGAAGGGGAATATCACACTCTGGGGACTGTTGTGGGGTGGGGGGAGGGGGGAGGGATAGCATTGGGAGATATACCTAATGCTAGATGCCGAGTTAGTGGGTGCAGCGCACCAGCATGGCACATGTATACATATGTAACTAACCTGCACAATGTGCACATGTACCCTAAAACTTAAAGTATAATAAAAAAAAAATTAAGTCAAAAAAACAAAAAAACGAAACAAAAAAAAAAAAAAAGAATTCCACAGCAATGGTCCTCTGAGAGGAAGGCTGCGCTGCTTCACAGTCTGTTGGCAATGTTTGACAAAAGGCATAAAACACAGAGAAAAACTAAACAGAGATGTATTCTCTCAGGAAGTGTGGGGATGCGTGGGGAGGTAAGTCCTGAGCAAAGGAAGCAAAATAACCCTATTGCTTGCTTGAACCCATGTCTGATCTCTCGGGACCAGCCCCCTTGGGGGAAACTGATGCACAGAGACATCAGCAAAATATTTTCATGGAAAGGGATAATATTGCACACAGCAATGGTGCTGGTGTTGGGGCTGAGGGGGCACGCTGATAGACAAGGGGGAGCTTGGTGAGCATAGTGTGAAACAAACAAACAAAAAAATCTTTTCCAAAAAGTCTGAATTATGGAAAATATAAAGGGCCACAAATGAACAGAAAGATAATGCAGTGAAATTCATTTTAATTCAGATGAAGAAGTTGTATGATCCCAGCCTAATGCTGTGAGGCTTGAATTTGTTTCTTGTGATCCCATACACCTGATTCTAGGCAGGGAGGTCAGGACAACGAACAAACCCCTTAAACATTCACATGCAGACATCAGACACTCTGTGGGGAAGCCAAGAGGGCAGGCCCAGGGTAACAGCTGGCATAAAGAACCCCAGACCCCACAGCCCCTGGCTGCAATAAAGTAGCCCCACATGCCTTCAAGAAGAAACACACACAACTTTTATTTGGCACCAAAGAGAGCTGGTGGGTACTTGCTGATTTAGCTCTCTGGCTGACTCCAAATTAATGTAGTAAAGTCTTCATGAGAATTTAATGCCTTTAAATTTCCCCAATCTGAAGAGCTTCTTTGGATATGTACGATTCTATTTTTTCCCCCAAGTAATTTTCTGTCACAAAGATTTTAAGGGTCTGGCCCCCAGGGAAACTGGTGCAGCTGGATTTTCTTTAATTGCATGGTTTGAGGGCTGTATCACACCTTCATTAAAAACAATCCTCCAGAGAGTCTCACATTTCCTATTTCTCAATTGCTCTAAATCTTCTAAAAATAAATTCTTTACAACATTATGGGGACCTGATGATCTTAGGATGATGTAAGAAGACAGGTTATACAGAGAGCAGGGGCATGGAAGAGGGAACCCGGACCCCACAGTAAAGTGAGGTGACTGCTGCTGAGTACCCATATGGAACAGGGGGAGGAGGCACAAATGAGCCTGCTGTGGGCACTGCCCTTGCAGAGGCTCTGGCTGGACCCACACCAACCTCATCAGGGACCACTTCCCTGCAGACCCCGGGTGCTCTTGCCTTTGGCACATGCTTGAGCTCATTCGAGTTTCCTCCTATTTGCATGTGCAATTAATGACCTCCACTTAGAAAGTTCACCCTCATTCTTTCCTACATTCAATGTTCAGCTCAAAAGCACTCATCTTGCTGAAGCTTCCGCAGACCCTATTCACAGTACATTCCTTTTCTCCACAGCCACGTGCCATGCTGTGTAATCATCTGTTCACGTTATGCCCCTTCTCCCCCAAGAGCTCTCAGGAGATAGGGACCTTGTCTTGTTCATGTTCATCCTCCAACTGCCTCGCCTTGGGTCTTGTAAACAGTAGGCACTCAATAAATGTTTACTGAATAAATGGCTTCAGTTTATTCAGCTTTACAATGTTTTCCAGCTTGCATAGGAAGCAGATATGTTACAGATGCACCCAATGCTTTCTTCATTTTTCAGTGGTCAATGGTAGGCCCTTTTCTGACACAGCATCCCTCTAGTGTTGTGTGTAGAATATTCAACATGCAGTTTTTTTAAACTGAAAAACTTTTTTTTTTTTTGTAGAGACAGGGTCTCACTATGTTGCCCAGGCAGGTCTTGAACTCCTGGGCTCAAGCAATCCTCCTGCCTCAGCCTCCAAAAACACTGGGGTTACAGGTGTGAGCCACTGTGGCTGGCCTCAATTTGCATTTTGAATTCGAGAAATAGTCTTTGCCTTTGATGACTGTCACCTGGGCTCCAAGGACACTCTTGATGCAGAAAGCTGTCCCCAAATGAGAGAGGACCCTGTCTAATGGAAGCCTAAAAATCTCCACACCATTGCCTAAATGTCAAGGGTGGACAAACAGCTTCAAAACAGACATGGCCGCGTGAAGCCTAAACAATGGTGTTAGTGTTTAACTCATCTCAAATGTCTGCTTTACAAGACCTTTGTCCATTACGTCCAACTTCCACCTTGATATACTCTTAAAAATGGAGGAAAAAAACAGAAATTACATAATACTATTAACTTTCAAAGAATAATTTGGAGGCAAAATTTAGGCAATGAAATGTGATAGAAAAAGTAAAATTATTGTCACATATATCTCTGTCTGGAGACTCACGCCTTCTGGGCTACTGGATGGATATCCAATTTTAAGCAAATGAGACATGTGCTTGTGAGGGTAGGATGCAAATGCAGGGTCAGGAGTTCACAAAGGTAAGGGCTGAACCCGGACGTCTATCTAGGACACAGTGCGCAGAGATGACTCACCAACAACTCCCAGTTCTACATAATTACAAGGTCTCCTTAAGCTAACAACTCATCTTCTGCAGAAAATGTTCTAGCAGATTCTCTACAGCTACCATCTAAGTTTTACCACCACAGCTTTGGGATTCCACAAAGCAAAGCTTTCAGCCTCAAGACCAGGTTCCTAAATCCCAGACAAGAAATGTATCATCCTGTCCATTGGCAATGGAGCCAGAAGTGGGTAAAGGATATAAAAGTATCCCAAGGCAAAGCTGATCATTCATTTTAATTCTTTTTTTTTTTTGAGACAGAGTTTCACTCTTTTTGCCCAGGCTGGAGTGCAGTGGTGCGATCTTGGCTCACTGCAACCTCTGCCTCCTGGGTTCAAGTGATTCTCCTGCCTCAGCCTCCCAAGTAGCTGGGACTAGAGGTGCACACCACCACACCCAGCTAATTTTTGTATTTTTGGTAGAGATGGGGTTTCATCGTGTTGGCCAGGCTAGTCTCAAACTCCTGACCTCAAGTGATCCGCCCGCCTTGGCCTCCCAAAGTGCTGGGATTACAGGCATGAACCACTGCCCCCGGCCTCATTTTAATTCTGACTGAACATCTCTCTTAGGGGCAAAGACAGCACTTCTCGTGGTAGCGGGGAGACATACAAATAGCTCCTGGAACTTTCAGGCTGTTTGAAGGGAAGAGAAGCACCACCACAAGTCATTATTATTTATTTGTTCCTTCGACAGACATCTCAGTGCCTATCTGTGTTCCTAACACTGGGCCAAGAAACAAAGAGGAAGGAGACCTGTTTTCAGAGAATGGGAGGAGGCAGATATGGAAAAGCAGGTCCCCAGCAGGTGGCCAGGATGTTGTTCTGTACAGTGGGGACACAGAGGTAGTGGTCAGTTCTGCAGGAGGGGAGGGGTGTGCATCAGGCAATGCTTTGTGGGGGAGGTGGTGCTTCAGCTGAACCCTGAACACCATGTGGTCTTCACAGAGTAGTATGGGACAGGAAAGCAGAGGAAGATACTGGAAACACAGGCAGGGAGGAGGAACAGCACAGCTCTGGCAGGTGAGAAATGAGGCTGCGGAGCCGGGCTGGGACTAGCAGCTGGAGCCCCATGGAGGATAGCACAGGGTGTTACCAACAGCCACAGCTCAGCTCCTACTCTCTGCCCCGGGAGTAGATATTTTTTTTTTCTTCTTTTCTTTTTTTTTTCTTTTTTGTGAGTCACTGGCCTGCTCCCCTCATTGAAGAAGCCTAATACTGGCATTCAGAACTATTTCCTGAGTTGAACCAAAAGATCTAAAGGAGTGAGAGATTGAGTTACCACTCTCGCCCCTTGGAGATCTGCAGAAAGAAACTTTTACAAGTAGGAAAAGTGGATAGGATGATAATAAGAATCCCCCAAAGCTGGAGGTAAAGGCTTCCTGCCTCCTTCCAAATAGATGATGAACAACATTCTATTCTAGAAAGGCCTGAGGACTGAGGCAGGATCTCAGAGAGCAGGGCCATGATGTGGAGAGGAATTCAAGGATCCTGACAAAGTTTTGGAGAAATTCTAGTCAAGAGACACACAAAAAGTGAGTTCTATGTGGGCCATTCATTCAATACTGAAATGCTGACAGTGTCCAAATAAACCCAGATCCCTGCCTCCCCCCAAAAATGCCTGGTCTTTCAGGGGAGACAAACCTATAAGTTACAAATACAGGGTGACTTCTGTAAACAGTGGTCACTGTCTCAGTTGCTGCAGGAAAACAAAAGTTTTAATGTCACAGAAAGTCACAAATGAGCTGACTACTTGTAATGTGCTAAGTTTGAGTGTGTTCCCTAGAATTCTTGTGTTAGAAACTTGGTCCCCACTGCAGCAGTGTTGAGAGGCAGAACTTTTGGGAGGTGACTGGGTCATGAGAGCTCTACCCTCATGAATGGATTGATGCATTCAAGGATTGATGGATTAATGGGTTATTGAGGGAACGGGTTAGTTATCGTGAGAGTGGAGCTGTTTTACAAGTCAGTTTGGCTGTCCCTCGTGAACCCCCTTGACAGGTGATGTCCTGCACTGCGGATTCCCCACTAGCAAGAAAACCCTTACCAGAAGCAGCCCCTCCAACTTGGACTTCCCAGCCTCCAGAATTAAAAGAAAACAGACTAAGACACAACATTAGTGCCTACCTGAACAGTCCTCCACCCCAAACACTAGCATCTACTTATCTGGTCCACATCTTTGTCAACTGGTCTTCTGTTGACTGTTGGGACCATCTGGCATTACAAGGCAAAAACAAAACAAAAACAAATAATAGCAAATAAAGTGCAGAGGTGCAAATATTGCAAAAATAAATAGATGGATAGTAGAACTGCATAAAGTTGAAGAGGGGAAAGTTGGAGTCTTTCTCAAACCAGCTGCTGACAATGGAGAAACTGGCGGGGTTGCACTGGTTAGAGAAGGAGTGATGAATGGAAAGAGTGGTAACATTAGAGGTGCTTCCAAAGAGAATGACAGGAATATCAAATAATTAAGAAAGGCTCTTAAGAAAACTGAGTCAGTCCTTAAATATTTTTAATGAAATGTTTCTCTTCATGATTGAGATGACCCTTTCTGAACATGCTACAAAAGTCACATGTGATTTGAAGGTTATTTTGTGTGATTCACTGACTTTTTTTGAAAAAAAAATATAACTAAGATCAATACTATGTCATATAAAATCAGTACTACTTCTCTGTTCTAAGAATTCGTGTACAGTTGGAACTACAACCTAGATGTTGATAGTCAAAGAGTAAACTAAGGTTATATTTATATTTTTTAGTATTGCTTTCAAGGTAAAGTTCTAACTGAATCACTTCTTACCCATACTTTGAGAATGGTGGTCATCATTTCAAATGAATGAATGTTCAGCAGCTTTTTGAAGGTACACATATGCAGGGATTCCTTAGAGCACCTCCGCTCCAGTGGCCGAAGTGTGGCATGATGGCTGCCAAGACGGGCAAGGGGTGGAGAGGCCACCTACACTGGCTGGGCCAGAAACCCTTCTAGTGGAAGAGACACAGAATCATGTCCTGTCACAGTGCTTGGGATTTGAAAGGCTCTGGAATAAAGCTTGTTAATAATCAACTTCAGCAAAGTCTCAGGATACAAAATCAATGTGCAAAAATCACAAGCATTCTTATACACCAATAACAAACAGAGAGCCAAATCATGAGTGAACTCCCATTCACAATTGCTTCAAAGAGAATACAATACCTAGGAATCCAACTTACAAGGGATGTGAAAGACCTCTTCAAGGAGAACTACAAACCACTGCTCAATGAAATAAAAGAGGACACAAACAAATGGAAGAACATTCCATGCTGATGGATAGGAAGAATCAATATCATGAAAATGGCCATACTGCCCAAGGTAATTTATAGATTCAATGCCAACCCCATCAAGCTACCAATGACTTTCTTCACAGAATTGGAAAAAACTACTTTAAAGTTCATATGGAACCAGAAAAGCCCGCATTGCCAAGATAATCCTAAGCCAAAAGGACAAAGCTGGAGGCATCACACTACCTGAATTCAAACTACACTACAAGGCTACAGTAACCAAAACAGCATGGTACTGGTACCAAAACAGAGATATAGACCAATGGAACAGAACAGAGCCCTCAGAAATAATACCACACATCTACAACCATCTGATCTTTGACAAACCTGACAAAAACAAGCAATGGGGAAAGGATTCCCTATTTAATAAATGGTGCTGAAAACTGGCTAGCCATATGTAGAAACCTGAAACTGGATCCCTTTCTTACACCTTATACAAAAATTAATTCAAGATGGATTAAAGACTTAAATGTTAGACCTAAAACCATAAAAACCCTAGAAGAAGGCAACCTACAAAAATGGGAGAAAATTTTCCCAACCTACTCATCTGACAAAGGGCTAATATTCAGAATCTACAATGAACTCAAACAAATTTACAAGAAAAAAGCAAACAACCCCATCAAAAAGTGGGCGAAGGACATGAACAGACACTTCTCAAATGAAGACATTTATGCAGCCAAAAAACACATGAAAAAATGCTCACCATCACTGGCCATCAGAGAAATGCAAATCAAAACCACAATGAGATACCATCTCACACCAGTTAGAATGGCAATCATTAAAAAGTCAGGAAACAACAGGTGCTAGAGAGGATGTGGAGAAATAGGAACACTTTTACACTGTTGGTGGGACTATAAACTAGTTCAACCCTTGTGGAAGTCAGTGTGGCGATTCCTCAGGGATCTAGAACTAGAAATACCATTTGATCCTGCCATCCCATTACTGGGTATATACCCAAAGGACTATAAATCATGCTGCTATAAAGACACATGCACACGTATGTTTATTGCAGCACTATTCACAATAGCAAAGACTTGGAACCAACCCAAATGTCCATCAATGATAGACTGGATTGAGAAAATGTGGCACATATACACCATGGAATACTATGCAGCCATAAAAAATGATGAGTTCATGTCCTTTGTAGGACATGGATGAAACTGGAAACCATCATTCTCAGTAAACTATCGCAAGGACAAAAAACCAAACACCGCATATTCTCACTCATAGGTGGGAATTGAACAATGAGAACACATGGACACAGGAAGGGGAACATCACACTCTGGGGACTGTTGTGGGGTGGGGGGAGAGGGGAGAGATAGCTTTAGGAGATATACCTAATGCTAAATGATGAATTAATGGGTGCAGCACACCAGCATGGCACATGTATACATATGTAACTAACCTGCACATCGTGTACATGTACCCTAAAACTTAAAGTATAATAATAATAAAATTTTTAAAAAAAAGCCCTAGAAGATAACCTAGGCAATACCATTCAGGACATAGGCATGGGCAAATACTTCATGTCTAAAACACCAAAAGCAATGGCAACAAAAACCAAAATTGACAAATGGGATCTAATTAAACTAAAGAGCTTCTGCACAGCAAAAGAAACTACCATCAGAGTGAACAGGCAACCTACAGAATGGGAGAAAATTTTTGCAATCCACTCCTCTGACAAAGGGCTAATATCCAGAGTCTACAAAGAACTCAAACAAATTTACAAGAAAAAAGCAAACAACCCCATCAAAAAGTGGGCAAAGGATATGAACAGACACATCTCAAAAGAAGACATTTATGTAGCCAAAAGACACATGAAAAAATGCTCACCATCACTGGCCATCAGAGAAATGCAACTCAAAACCACAATGAGCTACCATCTCACACCAGTTAGAATGGCGATCACTAAAAAGTCAGGAAACAACAGGTGCTAGAGAGGATGTGGAGAAATAGGAACACTCTTACACTGTTGGTGGGACTGTAAATTAGTTCAACCATTGTGGAAGTCAGTGTGGCGATTCCTCAAGGATCTAGAACTAGAAATACCATTTGACCCAGCCATCCCATTACTGGGTATATACCCAAACGATTATAAATCATGCTGCTATAAAGACACATGCACACGTATGTTTATTGTGGCACTATTCACAATAGCAAAGACTTGGAACCAACCCAAATGTCCAACAATGATAGACTGGATTAAGAAAATGTGGCACATACACACCATGGAATACTATGCAGCCATAAAAAAGGATGAGTTCATGTCCTTTGTAGGGACACGAGTGAAGCTGGAAACCATCATTCTCAGCAAACTATGGCAAGGACAAAAAACCAAACACCGCATGTTCTCACTCATAGGTGGGAATTGAACAAAGAGAACACTTAGACATAGGAAGGGGAACATCACACACTGGGGCCTGTCATGGGGTGGGGGGAGGTGGAGGGATAGCATTAGGAGAGATACCTAATGTAAATGATGAGTTAATGGGTGCAGCACACCAACGTGGCGCATGTATACATATGTAACAAACCTGCACATTGTGCACATGTACCCTAGAACTTAAAGTATTATTTAAAAAAAAAAAAAGAAAATCAATCAACTCCTAAGACAATGGGTTTAGTCCTCAAAGCCACCATTATCTGCTTTCCTATATTAGGCTCCATTTTGAAAAGTATAGTGCAATTCCAGGGAACACAGTTACATACATAGTTACATTTCATTTATCCCTTGAATTTTTTTTTTTTTTTTTTGAGATGGAGTCTTGCTTTGTTGCCGAGGCTGGAGTGCAGTGGTGCGATCTCAGTTCACTGCAACCTCCGCCTCCCAGGTTCAAGCGATTCTCCTGCCTCAGCCTCCCGAGTAGCTGGGATTAAAGGCATCCACCACCACACCCAGCCAATTTTTGTATTTTTAGTAGAGATGGGGTTTCATCATGTTGGCCAGGATGGTCTCGAACTCCTGACCTCAAGTGATCCAACTGCCTCAGCCTCCCATAGTGCTGGGATTACAGGCATGAGCCACTGCTGCGCCCAGTGCCTTGAAATGTTTTTAATTTTATATTGTGGCCTAACAAGGTAACTTATGTTTCAGGATAGGGAGGTTATTAAATGCTTAAGGCCCAGCGTCTGGCAGATCAGAGTCTGGCTACCACTGATGGCTCTGAGCCTGGGCACGTCATCCATCCTCTTTGATACTTCCTGAGAAATGGGGAAACAGCTAGCACCCACCTCCCGGGTTGCCATGAGTATTAACTGGTGATAATGCACACTAGTGGTACTTTCAGTGCCTGGGCACCGGCAAAGCATTCAAGTCTTTTTATGATCTGAACAGTTAGAAAAGTTATTTCAGCCCTCTGGGAGAGTGCTCACAAGGACAACAAACACCCACGGGGATGTTTTCTTCATCTCGTTTCCTTCCTTATTAAAATTTTATTCACGGGTAAAATTGAAAAGCAAAAAGGCTCTATAAAATCAAACCAAGATTCTACATTAATTCATAAGCTCCAACACTCTTAATGGTCTAATTGGTAAGAAGAGCTCATTACTGGCTAAGGCTGGGGGGTATATACAACTGCTGTGTGCAACTTCTGGCATGTCCACTATCTCCCGACCAAGACAGTATTTCCAAATGTAAGAGTTGAGGGTGATGCTATTATAGTGATTGATTTACATAAGAGAATCAGGGCATACGTATGCCTCTACTGTTAATTTATAGCATAGTTCACACACGGCCTTGGCACACTGCTGATTAGGACACCTGGTGAAATACCCCAGCAAGCCCTAGCCAACTTTAATGAGTTCCAATACTTGTTGGCCTCTTTCCTCCAACGAAACTCGGCAACAGAAATTCATGGTAATGAAGGGCAGGAGAACATAATTCTTTAAAAATTACAGAGTTTTGCCAAATCCATCTGAGACTCAGTTATTCAGTAATTTCACGTATGTAGAACGACACAGAGAACCTGAGAATCAGGTGTTGGGTTTTTATTCTTTAAGTGACTAAGCAGCCAATATGCTGCATGAGACTACAGCACCAAGAGCTCATGAACTTCTTCACCAGACACCTGTCATTAAGCACCTATTTACCCTCATTTAAAATGCAGGTTTAACAAGCCCCGAACAAGTCATTCCTCAGTTCAAAAATCTTCAGTCATTCTTTTTTGCTTATAGAACACATTCTAGACTCTACCTTGGCACTTAAGGCACTCCAAGGGTTGGCCTTAATTCTTTTACTATTTTTTTCCCTCTTCTACTTCCTATTCTCTTTCTTCAATCCAAACTGAACTACTTTCTGTTCCCAGCATATCACCTGCGTTTCTGCTCAGCGTCTTTGTTTATGCTCCTGTCTGAACTCCTCACATACAGGAAGCTCCAGCAGTCCAACCCCATTTCAAATAGTACTTTTTTCATACAGCCTTCTTAGATCTCTTAAGGGAAAGGAAAGCCCCTCTTGTAAGAACTATCTGCATGCATTGTGTTTGTACCATTCTTAAGGTGCCTCACTGTCTCCCTTCTATTTTATAAAGATATAATGCTACAGGACAGTAATCATATTTTAAGTACAATATTTTAATAAGCACCACGAAGGCAGGATTTATCATTAGCTTACGTTTCCTCTCCAAGTGCCTCATACAGAGACCCCATAAAATATATAGTAGGAGTTCAATAAATATGTTGAATAAATGGAAGCATGCATAGACACCCATTTTGTATCAGAGGAAAAGGAAGCAAAAAATAGGTTTATATACAGAGTGGGTCTGAACACACGCAGCATTACTTCTCAAGGTCCACTGTCCTCAAATAGCTTTGCACTTACGCTTACTGGTTTATCCAGCTTTACCTCTTTTCTCACACCAATGTACATTGTTTCCCTCACTGATCCAAGTTGTTTTAGATTAACCTTATTCCACATTAGAATTGTTTTTAAAAACCCCAAATATATGATAAGTTTTTTTTTCTTGCCCCAAGACATGTCTGTGCTTCTAAGAATCGAAACTGGTTAAGAAATCCATAATTATTCAGTCTCAATTTAAACTATATTATCAAAGCACATTTGTATTTCTTTAATGTGGTGAAGTAGAAAGTTATCACGGCATTGTAGGGGCATAATTATGTCATTAAAATGATAATAGCCTGGGCTTAATGAACTGTTTTATATATATATTTATAATGGATTCAAGTAATACCAATGAAACATTTTGAGATAACCATCAGCTAAAATATTCTAACCATTTTTGTTCTCTCTTTTCCCACAGGCAAAGCCCTCCTGTTCCCAGCCCCAAGTCGGTTAAACCCATGTTAAATCTATAGGTTGAAGACCTGGATCATTCGAAGCCCAGAGCCTTGCACAGCAGCGATCTGCTCCAACAGAGGGTGATGTCATCATCCGAGGCCACACAAATAATGCATTTCTCACCATCAAAAAGCTTCTGAAGCCATGTTCTCAAAGGCAAAAAATAAATAAATAAATAACCAATTAACTACACCAGTGTAAGGGTGAAACAAGTTCTTATCTGATAAAACTGACTTATAAACACAGGTTATCTCTTCCCCCTTTGAAACAGCCTCACTGTATTTAAATGAAATGCGCTACAATTTGGAAAAATGGAGTCTTTCATTCATTTCCACATTTAAGTCCATCCATTCCTTGATGGTGTTCCCACACTCATTCCCAGACCACTGGCCCTTAGCTCTGTGGGAGAGAAAAACCAAAACCACTTTTAATTCCTATTAAGAGATATAGCTAAGAGCACAAGGAGATTTGCTGTAATAGCACACTACCTGCTAAGAACAGTCATAGTGACCATTTACAGAAGGCTTACTATGTGTGTCAGGCACTGTACAAGGGTACATTATACTCATTACCTCACTGACTAGCAAAGCAGTTCTTACATGCAAGGCACTAATCTCCACTCATTTTCATTAGCATCACAGAAGCACAAAACACAACACAGAGCATGGAATTGGAGGTACACTGCCCAAAGTGACTCATTTATTAGAATGTGGAGAATCAGAATGCAATGCTGACGGGGAGAAAGCAAGGAGCACAACCCCTTTCCAAGCACCTTTTCTGAGTGGTCGAGCAGCCTTTGCTCTGTCCTTACCATCTTGGACTTCCAAGCCCCAGGCAAACCTGATTCCACTGCCTCCTGTCTGGGGTAATGCACACTCCCCCTCTCTATTCTTGCTGTACTAACTCCTACCGTCAAGGGAAATGCAGAGACCAACTTATAACCTGACAGGATGAGAAAAAGAAAATAAAAAGCAAAACAGCAAATGTGATTTTGAAGCCTAGGATCCACCTACCTCTCCTTCGTGACACTCAAATCGGTACATCCAGAAGTTCTCCATCTTTCCGGGTGCTGTTTGGGCAGCTGGGCCAGCTCTAGTGCCTCCACTTGAGAGCCGAGGCTAAGTCCTGACCTCAGTACTCGTGTGAGTTGTTTCCAGTGTTGTTAGATACCCGAGTCAATCATGCAACTGGTAACAGGAGATGTGACCACCTCCCAGGGTGTCCGACCCTCACATTAACCCCTCGCTGCCTGAATGGTCCAGGCAGTCATGCGTCACTGCTGGGCATCAGCAGCTGATGTTTCTGAGAAGGGGCTGGCCTACCCCTTCTGGCAGCAGCACCTACTATTTCTGGAGAAAATAAACTCGGCTCTGAATTGCTACCAGAAACTTTCACACACCCCAAACTCTGCTACGTTTATAGAACCTGTGAAAAAGCATCCAGCTCATGTGGAAGGAACGGGTGGGAGTTGGGGGAAAAGAGGCTCTCTCAGGACCTGCATCAGGATGCACCTGGGCATGTGGTGCGAGCCTGGAGGACACTGAGGCCAGCTAGGGGCCGCACCTCTAGGCACGGGAAGTCTCTTCACCTTTACCGAGGGCCTGAGACAGCCTCATGCTGCAGTCTGAATAAGGGGTATGGCAAGCCAGCGACACCAACACAGAAAAGGGCTGCCTCCAGGGCCAATACGGTTTGAACCAAACCAACAGATAATCCTACATTGGGCTCAAGAGCTGGACTATATATGCTGGTTCAGACCAGACCAGAGAAAGGTCAAGACAAACATGGCAGAACTAAGCTGGATGGAGGAGCTCTTGGAAACAGAGGCAGCAGTGTGGTTCTGAAGGCAGGAGGCAGACAGAGAGACCTCTGCAGAGAGACGCCCCCAGAGCTAATCAGCCTCTCAGTGATCTGTGGCGATGGGGAAGGATGTGGATGCATGAAAAGCGCTCATCTGAATAGATGACTTTAGCCTTCTCTCTCATCAAACCCTTTATCAGACATGCTGACAGGTCTCTCTGTGAGCCTACCTGATTGGCTAATGTGCTATGATAGGACCAAAAGGTAGAAAAAAAGAGACACAAAGGGCCTGTGAACAATCCACAGCTGGCAAATCCTCCCATGCTAGTTGACAGTTTGCTGTGCTGTGGACAAGCTCTGCAGGCCAAAGTGGGAAACGGGGCCAGAGAGAGGGTGTCCTCAGGCACTGCCCTCTCTCTCCTCATTGTTCTGGCATTTCTGACCACTCTTGTTGGCAGTCCGATTGCACCTACTCTAATCCGAATCAGTGGGATGCAAGTCCCATAGCTGCTAGCCACCATTCTAGAAAGCCCTTTCTAAATGGTGAGCACTGCAGGAGGTATCTCTTCCTACTTTACAGCACTGGGCATCTCTCAAAACACTTTCTTCCGTCTATTAATTATTTAAAGAGAGAAAATCTTGGGGTGTTGATTCTCAAGAGTCCAGACTGAATATTCCTCACCATTTAACTCTCCCTAGCCCATGGTGCAGCCATTTCCCCCATTATCACTCTTGAAAATTGCACTGGTTTCCATTTATGAACTGCTCAGAACAGGCTGGGTGAAGCTGTTTAGAGTGTTCACTGCTGCTGTGAAAAGCTGCAACTTTTTCAGTTATTACTCAGAAATGACCAGCACACGTAAGACTTAAAATCACTAGTCAGACTCAAATAAAACTGCCAGGCCTTCTGGAAAGTTATAGAAAGCATCTACCCAGTGTCTTATTGGTACAAAAGAACTTAGAATTCTTTCTCTGGCTCTTCTGTTTTTATTCTTTCTTCCCTTTCATGTTCATTCTGCACCTGAAACCTACTTAATTATTCACCACCATCTTCTCCATGACTCATCAATAATGGATAACACCTGCGATGGAAAACTCCCCCAGCAGCACAAAGGCGGTTGAGATGGAAGCATGAAGAGGAGGATCCACATGCCTCACCCAAGGGAGAAACCAAGCACTGAGATGCCAGCCTGTCTCAAGGCCTGCACTCTCCTGTGCGGCTCCCCTACACCACCAAGACCCCTTAACTCTGTGCTTCCCAAACATTTTGCACCATGGCACACAGGGAAATGTTAATATTTGTACAATACACTGGGCCACACAGAGGGGACCTGGAGGCCACGATGAGGCTGCACAAGGGTTGAAGACAACGTGCCCAGTGGCCCAGGTCACTCTCCATCCCCAAAGTCCGAGAGTATCATCAGCACACTGCTTGAAAAGCTCTGCCTTAACTTATGAAAGGGTCTTTACAGCAAATTCTTTTGACAATGGCAGTCCCTTGGGGATAAAGTTAAACTCCTCCT
Organism: Homo sapiens; assembly: GCF_000001405.40. Lineage (NCBI taxonomy): Eukaryota > Metazoa > Chordata > Mammalia > Primates > Hominidae > Homo > Homo sapiens. The sequence continues at coordinate 69,497,648 of NC_000009.12, forward strand.
TCTGAGCAGTCCACCATGGACCTGCTCTTTCTTCAGGACAACACCTCCTCTTTTCCATTTCCACAGCCTGCCCTAGTCCCAGCTTTTTCTGACATAGCCCCCTGCACCATCTCTGTGCTAGCTCTCACACACCTTCCCTTTTACGCCACTTTGGTTTCATCGTCCATCGGTCACTTCGGGATCTGCAAATCTGCCTCATCTCAGCCAGACAACAAAACAAATGCAGCCCAGGAGTTCGGAATGGTTGACAAGGTCAGTGGGAGAGGACAAGGCCAGCAGCTGCTCTGCCCTAAATTTGAAGCCCAGTAGCTCTTTGCTGGCATGGAACGATGACAGATACCAAATGTGGAAGGCAGAGTTCTCAGATGGCTCCCAATCATCTCCACCTCCTGGTATTCAGCCTCTTGGGTAATCTCCTCCCTGGGGAGGGAGCACGGCTGAGTGACTTACTCTAAGCAATAAAATACAGCAAAGGTGATAGGATATCACCCTGTGACTGGGTTACAAAAAACCATGACTTCCATCTTGCTACCAGACTCCATGACCTTCTTATCCTGCATACTTTATGAAGCAAGATGCCAAGTGTCAGACAGCCCATGTAGCAGAGAACTGAGGACACCTCTGGCCAACAGTCAACTGGGAACTGAGGCCCTCAGCATCAATGCCCATGGGAAGCTGAGTCCTGCCCCACAAGCATGTGAGCTTGAGATGACTGCAGGCCACCTGACCCCCTGATGGCAGCCTCCAAGAGACCCTAATGGAGAGAAACTGTGAGATAGTCAAGGAAGGTTGTTTTATGCCACTAAATTTTGGGGAAATTTGTTACACAGCAATAGATAATTAAGACACTAAATAAGGATTCAGATGAAAGGCTTAAGAGCAGAGGAGGCTTGAAGGTCTCGCTTGGGGCTTGACAAAGGACTAGCTTAGATTGTACACTCTGCACCAGCAGAGCCTGTCTGTGTCAGTCAGAGCCTCTATCTGTCATTGCTGTATCCCTGGGGTCTTGCACAGTGCGTGATCTATAGAAGGATCTAACAACGTTTATTGAATGAGTGGATGATAAATTGTAAGATGCACTTTCAACTTTTGACCTAGAACAGTAGTCACAAACTCTCTGTAGTTCACTGGCAAAATAAGGAACAGCATAGCTTTGAGGCCATATTTCTTATTCCTTTATGTAGCTAGTGTTCAATGAAACACAAAGGTATCAGCAGAGAAACAGCTATGACAGCTCAGCTTAATCACTTTGCATGGCAGACGGTTGAGAACACATTTATACCTCTGATACCATTTGCTTGTGTAAGAAGTTTCCCATCCTTTTCTGAGGTCTGCCTGGAAAACACACTGGGTTCCATTTCTGCTGTCCCAGCAGCGGGTCCTTTGGTTCTAAGGTTATGCTTCTGAATAAGCTTCTGGGATGTTGACTTAAAGGGTATGCCAGCCCCATTTTTCTAAACAGTCTGGATCATATAAGAAAACAAAGTTGGTTTTAGAGCCAACACTGGAATGTATACTCTTCTGCAGCAGGTAAGGGAAAATCGGAGATAAGGATGCCTGGAGTTTTCTTCCTCTTAACAGCACAAATGGAGACAGACTGGGGCTAACTATCCTAGAACCACCCTTCTTCCCTTCCCTAGGAATACATCACATTCCAGCCAAGAATTGATCCACTTGGGGAAATAGGGTTCCAACTGAACACATATTAATCCTAAATTCTGTCTACTTGATTTCAGATCCCATTTCAACTTCATCCCTTGCTAACCGGATCCTGGAAAAATTTTGTCTGTTCAGAACTCTGCAAGGTGTAATCAGCAAGAGGAAATCTCTCAGTTCAGAATACCTTAACAAGAATCCTTCACAAAAAATGGCATCCTTTGGCAGCAAGACAGTTCTTTTCGCTCGCCCTTGTAAGCTTGACAACACAACAGCAAGGTCGACAGGATAAGAGGCTCTAACAAGTCTTAATGAATTAGCATGTGCACTTGACCTTGGTCAGTAGTTTCCTAGCAACGGTCCAAAAAAAAAAAAAATCCATGTCGGTGGCATGCTGAATTCAGGGCAGGGAGAGGGTAACATCAAGGCAATCAAGGCCCCAGATGAAGCCATGAAGCTCCTACACCCTCACTGCAACATTTTTCTTGAAATTAAAAAAAAAAAGTGGATGTAAAAGTACACATGATCAGGGCAAGAGTTCACACCAAGCCCTTACTTCTCAGGATTTTGACAATACCTCCATCTCAGCAGGAGAGTGGCTGGTTTCTGATTAAGAAGCATTAGTGCTGAAATGGTTTCCTGCTTCAAAATACTTTCTCCAGTGGTCTCTGAAATCAGGAGTAGAATGCCAATAAAAGGTAAATGTTATCTGGAGGGGCGGTGCATGTTGCCATTATCACTAATTAGCAGTTTAGTTTGATTTAATCAGACCAACCCTGGAAGGAAAGGCTGACGGTATAATGCTGCTTAAGGTGGAAGCTGAGAACTAGGGTCGCCTGAGTGCCTGACCAGGATGGGCAGCCCAGTGGGGGATCTGAATGCTGAGGACAGCAGAAAGGAAACACTAGCCTAGAGAGGGTGAGGAAGGGCTACTAAAGGCCAGCCCCCTAATTCAGATCGCCAGTAACCAACCCCAAATGTTAAGTGAGCTTTGACTTCCAAATGTAACTGGCACAACAAACTTGTGATTCTTGTTTCACATTTCCATATAGGACTCGATATCTGCAAAACCATTTTCTCTCACAGCTTCCCTGGGACATAAACCTGATTAACTCATTTTACTGATGAGGAAACTGAAGGCTGGGAGGAAAGCAGGTGACAAACTCAAGGTAACTGCAGCAGATCGACTGTGAGCCAAATATTTACATACGATGGACACTCTGAGCAGCGCATCTGTGTGACTTGCTCTGAGAGAGATACAGGAGAACGATGAGACACCGACAGTGAATTACAGAGGCAACAGGTTAACTCACGCAAGAAAAGCGGAAAATGAGATCCTAAAGAGTTGAGTGTTAAACTCTGGTCCACAGCTTAAGCTAGCACTTACCAATTTTGACTGAATCTTATTAACACCCGTGCCAAGACCCAACCTCCAGAGGCTCTAATCAAGAAGTCTGGGGCCTTGAAATCTATGTTTAAAGAGCGAAGCCCGGACTTTATCTAATCGGAATGTGACCTGGATAGAGGCGAGATCCGCATGATTACAAGCATGGGGTAGAGGCCAGTCCAGAGAAGCATAAAGACATTTAGCATTTTTCATTTTAAAGATGATCACATTTATAGCCAAATCGCATTTCATAATTCTCCCAGGTCACAAAAAGTCTATTTTCAGCTATTCCTTCCGGGTAAACTGGGGCCAAAATGTTCAGACTGACTCCAATTCTCCTTCAATCCATTACCAGACTTGTTTACTCACTTTTTGGTGTCCCACGGGTAGGGTCTGACCAAGAGGTCAGCTAGGCATGTCAAGCTGAATGTCTGTTGTCTCAATATGAGAAACAACAGGAGAAAAACTGCAAGTGGAACTCTTCAGGGGAGTGAAGTGGCCTGTGTCTAAACAGAAATCCTCCTCTCTTATCGCCGCTCTTAAGAAAGCAGTCAGCGAAGACTGTGTTTCAAAACAAGTGGACTGAGAAACTACATTTTTGGACTCAGAACATGTTGCCAGTTACACTTGTAATGGAAGTATTTTTCATTTTAAAGATGATCATGTTTGTACTCAAATCACATTTCATAACTCCCAGGACAACATGGGCTCCAGGATACAACTGGGTTACATATGAAATTCAATTATCTATGATATATCTGTTCCTCTCCCAGCACCTTCCCTTCTTCTCCAATATGGCCCCAGTACACGTATCACAGAAAATATGAGTGGCTGGGCATGGTGGCTCATGCCTGTAATATGACACTTTGAGAGGCCAATGCTTGAGGCCAGGAGTTTGAGACCAGCCTGGGCAACATAACAAGACTCTGTCTCTACAAAACACACACACACACACACACACACACACACACACACACACACACACACACTAGCTGGGCATGATGGTATGCACCTGTAGCCCTAGCTAGTAGGTAGGTTGAGGCAGGAGGATTCCTTGAGCCCAGGAGTGTGAGGCTGCAGTGAGCTAGGATTGTATCCTTGCACTCTAGCCTCGGTCACAGAGTGAGATTGTCTCTAAAGAGTGCATAGTCGGGGCAGAGGACACAATTTTTCTAAAGACTACTGGGCAGTTTATTGAGCATACACTTATTCAGCAAGCATGTCAGACACCCGAACTGTGGCCTATGAGCTGCAACTCTGACTAGCAACTGACAACAAAATTCTCTCTAGCTAAATCGTCCATTTATTTCCCTGTTGTTTGTCCCATCACTTCTTGGCACAGTTTCACATATATACTGTCTGGTGAGACAATCCATCAAAAAGTTGAGAAAGATTCCTCTTGGGAGAGGGGTCAGGCAAAGTGAAAAAAATTGGAGCCCAGAGGGTTAAAAAAGATCAATCTTCTCCATCAGTTTCTTTTATTCCACAGAACACACAGTAACTGGAAAACGTGCCTTCTGGTGTGCAGATCACCAGACAAGTTTTGCTCTGGTGATTTCTAGATGGTGATGGTCTGATGTCAGTGGGGGAGACACCTGCCAGGCAACACATCTTGCCTAGAGCTGAACCGACAGGTGAAACTCTAAAGACAAGCTAAAATAATTGGAGGCAATACTTCCAATCCAGGTGGTGAGATCAAAGCAAACATTCTCCCATCTCTTTTTGTTTTTTTTTCCTTGATTGAAATGAATCATTTGTTCTTCAAATGGGATTTCAGGGTGAAGCCTTTTCATTTTAAAGGTGTACCAGTAAAATCATTAAATCTTTAAAAAAATTACTCCGGTTGCATTAGGTTCTCACAGTTCATAGAAAAACGTCTCATTTTGTTGTTGTTATTGACAACTAAAGTCTCCTAGAGCATTATTCTCCACTGACAGAAATGACACTTTACTGTGGATTCTAAGTTGCAGAATGGGCCATTAAATGCACCCTGGTAAAAGAAGACATCTCAAAAACATTTCATTTTTGAAGTAAAGACCATTTACCTACATAAGTATACAAACCTGAGGAGAAATGAACGCATCACACTTCACCTCAGCAAGCATCACTCCCACTGCAGTTAGTATTCCTGCTGCTATCCTTCCCACAAATGTTCTGTGCTTTCCAAACTAAGCACACTATCAAGCCCACAGCTCCTGAACTCTTCAGATTTTTCATTGTCAAGTTGTAAATTCACTTACCAATTAGTGATCTTCACCTTAAGTAGTACAGCCCCGGCCTTGACCTACTTTTTATTTCTTTACTCTTATGTGTGTCACATAAGCCAAATGCAAGTGTGTGTGCTTAACACAAACACCGCAGGAAATTAAAAACTTAGTGCACTCATCTTACCATATAACATAGTTAATAAAGCAGTTGTTTCTTAGAAATTGTGCACAAAATGTACAGAAGTGTTTGCCTTTCTCTGTGTTTCCAGGAAAGCAGTAACAATGAGATGGTTCCTTTGGTCAGTGAGTCATCTCTAAAGGATTCCTACTCTTGCATATTTTTCAATTAAAGCAAAGAAATACATGAATATAATTTTAAAAGTCAAACGATATCATGCAGTTTATGGCAAAAATTGAAGTCTTCCCTGTCCCTCCCATGCCATGGTCCCGCTCTTCTAATCTTTTTCCCTGGAATTTATTTCCATATTCATAAATAGCATGTTTATACTGCCTCACCTTGGTTTTTCAATTTTAGATATTATTTCCTGGCTCTACTATAAGATTTACCTCTTTCATGTTACATGCACCCTCATCCTCTCAATATTACAATTTCTGGTTAATCAATATTCAGTGCTTGTGTTCTGAAGACTATACTCTTCCCTGCTGAGCTACAACGCATATTATTATTGCATTTCTTGCCAATATAACAACTGCTTTTACTGAGGTAAATAATGGAATTGTTTTTCCGTTTGCTTAGTCTTCTATGGACTGATCAATAATTTATGCCAAGCTCTCCTAAAACCATCTAAAACTCCTGGTGGCACAAATTTATCAGGAAATCTCTCAGTTCCACTCTTTCTAGAGACTGCCTAACTGGAGCCCTCTGAGCGGCAGGCCACATGGGATTGGTGGTTGGACTTCTGCATGGTTGTGATCCTGGGATCTCCTTTCCTGTCACCTGGAGATTCTCTCTGCTGCATTCCCAGGTTGGGTCCCCCGTTTCCTGGATCTTGCATCTTTTTTCTTGGTTTATGCTACCATGCAAGAAGAGCAATCCTCTGGTAGTTTCCTGAGAAAGGGTGCATATGAGGTAAATTTTCTGGGACCATGCTTGTCTAAAAACACCTTTATTGTACCTTCAAACTGAACTGAAGATAGACTGGCTGTAAGTCTCCCAGTTTCCAGTATTGCTTGTGAAAAGTCCAACATCATTGTGTTTCCTGATCATTCTTGTTTTTATTTCTCTGAAGCCTGTAAAATCTTCTCTTTCTCCCTCCTGTTCTGAAACTTCTGTGAGTCTTTTCTATTTCATTATTCTAGATAGGTACCCAGTAGACTCTTTTAATCTGGAAGTTCATGTGTTCTTTGGCTCCAGGACATGGTCTTTCATAATTTCCCCTTCTGTTTTATCTTTGTTCCTACTACTTTCCACCTTTTTGCCATACTTGTTTTACTGTTTTGAAGAGTTCCTCAATTTTGCTGTCTTGATTTCTCCAAGCGACTTTCCATTTGCTTTATGTCTTTGTCTTTCATGTTAGAGATGTTCTTTAAATGTCTGATGATCCTTGGCTGTTCACTCATATTTAAGAGTAAATCCCCAAAAAGCCTATTGGAAGACCATGTACTTATGATGCAAGAGCCGTCACTATGGGGTGATCAGGTGGAAAGCCAGGTGGTATACTAGGAAACCCCCAAACATTAGTATCTGTAGTATTTTCTCTTGGGCCTGTTACCTCAGAGAGGAATACACTCATCTGTTGGGGACTAGGGATCCTGAGTGGGTTGGATTCTAAGCCTGACAACTAAGAGTTGTAAGGTATTCTCCGGGTCTCACTGCTTAGTGGGCCGTGTGTTCCCCAGGGCACCTTGTTTCCATTTCCAACTCTTGCCATGTCCCCAGTTTCAGTGCTCCTCTGGTTCACCCTTTCCTTACAGAAGCCTCCCATCTTCTGCGGGGAGGAGGAGTCGCCTAGCTTCATGCATTGGAGAAGGCATCACAGGAAGTTTAATGTCTCCTGTGACAGGCTTCCAAATAATCCTCTTCTTTTTCAGCCATACCCCTCATATTTCTGCCACCTGAGGTATCTGTGTCTCTAATTCTTGGGCCTTTGTTGGGGGGCGTCTACCGCACACATCCTCACAAACACTTGGCAGAAGAGAGAAAACAGAAACCTCATCAGTGTGTTAGTCAGGATGGACCAGGCTGTGCGGTGATAACAAACCACCCCAAAAATCTCTGTGGCTTAAAATGATAAAGGTTGATTCCTCTCTCAGAGTACATGTCCCAGGAAGCCCTACCCATTGTGGTTTCAGGAGACCTGTGCTGACAGGCGCACAGCCATCTTGTGAGGCTGCTCCCTTAACATAAGGCTTTGGGGTTTATTTCCACTGGGGAAGAAAGCATTGTCTTAGCTGCTCCCGCTTGGAAGCAACTTCAGGGCTCACGTTTCCCTGGCCACGCTTAACTTCTAGAGGATGAGGAAGTGCAGTCTTCTCCATGTTTGAAAAAATAAGAGAACTGGAAATCCTGGGGCACACTAACTCCTCCATCACAGCCAGTTACCACTAGGGTGTTGCCAAATTTTGTTGTGCTCATCTGTTGCTGTTTCCTCTGTCAGTGTTTGTGCTTTTTATTATTTTACTGCAATTCTAGGATGGAGCAGAGATAAACGCCATTTCAAGCTGTACACCACACCACTTAAAGTAGCCAAAACCCTCCAACTTACACTGTGTGCTTGCTAACATCAATCTCCCTGAGTCTACTGTGACTCTGTTCTCGAATGATTCTGTTGCCTATAGACAGATCAGTAGGCTGTGGATTTTCAGAACTGGTCTTCAGGCCGGGTGTGGTGGCTCATGCCTGTAATCCCAGTATTTTGGGAGGCTGAAGCAGGTGGATCACCTGAGGTCAGGAGTTCAAGACCAGCCTGGCCAATATGGCAAAACCCCGTCTCTACTAAAAAATACAAAAATTAGATGGGCATGGTGGCATGCACCTGTAGTCCCAGCTACTTGGGAGGCTGAGACAGGAGAATTGCTTGAGCCTGGGAGGCGGAGGTTGCAGTGAGCCAAGATCGCACCACTGCACTCCAGCCTGGGCAACAGAGCAAGACTCCATCTAAAAAAAAAGAAAAAGAAGAAAAAAAAAAGAAAAGGAGGAGGAGCCAAGATGGCCGAATAGGAACAGCTCCGGTCTACAGCTCCCAGCGAGAGCGACACAGAAGAAGACGGGTGATTTCTGCATTTCCATCTGAGGTACTGGGTTCATCTCACTAGGGAGTGCCAGACAGTGGGCGCAGGTCAGTGGGTGCGCGCACCGTGCGCGAGCCAAAGCAGGGCGAGGCATTTCCTCACTTGGGAAGTGCAAGGGGTCAGGGAGTTCCCTTTCTGAGTCAAAGAAAGGGGTGACGGACACACCTGGAAAATCGGGTCACTCCCACCCGAATATTGCGCTTTTCGGACCGGCTTAAAAAACCGCGCACCACGAGATTATATCCTGCACCTGGCTCAGAGGGTCCTACGCCCACGGAGTCTCACTGATTGCTAGCACAGCAGTCTGAGATCAAACTGCAAGGCAGCAGCGAGGCTCGGGGAGGGGCGCCCGCCATTGCCCGGGCTTGCTTAGGTAAACAAAGCAGCCTGGAAGCTCGAACTGGGTGGAGCCCACCACAGCTCAAGGAGGCCTGCCTGCCTCTGTAGGCTCCACCTCTGGGGGCAGGGCACAGACAAACAAAAGGCAGCAGTAGCCTCTGCAGACTTAAATGTCCCTGTCTGACAGCTTTGAAGAGAGCAGTGGTTCTCCCAGCACGCAGCTGGAGATCTGAGAACGGGCAGACTGCCTCCTCAAGTGGGTCCCTGACCCCTGACCCCCGAGCAGCCTAACTGGGAGGCACCCCCCAGCAGGGGCACACTGACACCTCACACGGCAGGGTATTCCAACAGACCTGCAGCTGAGGGTCCTGTCTGTTAGAAGGAAAACTAACAAACAGAAAGGACATCCACACCAAAAACCCATCTGTACATTACCATCATCAAAGACCAAAAGTAGATAAAACCACAAAGATGGGGAAAAAACAGAACAGAAAAACTGGAAACTCTAAAACGCAGAGCGCCTCTCCTCCTCCAAAGGAACGCAGTTCCTCACCAGCAACAGAACAAAGCTGGATGGAGAATGACTTTGACGAGCTGAGAGAAGAAGGCTTCAGACGATCAAATTACTCTGAGCTACGGGAGGACATTCAAACCAAAGGCAAGGAAGTTGAAAACTTTGAAAAAAATTTAGAAGAATGTATAACTAGAATAACCAATACAGAGAAGTGCTTAAAGGAGCTGATGGAGCTGAAAACCAAGGCTCGAGAACTACGTGAAGAATGCAGAAGCCTCAGGAGCCGATGCGATCAACTGGAAGAAAGGGTATCAGCGATGGAAGATGAAATGAATGAAATGAAGCGAGAAGGGAAGTTTAGAGAAAAAAAGAATAAAAAGAAATGAGCAAAGCCTCCAAGAAGTATGGGACTATGTGAAAAGACCAAATCTACGTCTGATTGGTGTACCTGAAAGTGATGGGGAGAATGGAACCAAGTTGGAAAACACTCTGCAGGATATTATCCAGGAGAACTTCCCCAATCTAGCAAGGCAGGCCAACGTTCAGATTCAGGAAATACAGAGAACGCCACAAAGATACTCCTTGAGAAGAGCAACTCCAAGACACATAATTGTCAGATTCACCAAGGTTGAAATGAAGGAAAAAATGTTAAGGGCAGCCAGAGAGAAAGGTCGGGTTACCCTCAAAGGGAAGCCCATCAGACTAACAGTGGATCTCTCAGCAGAAACCCTACAAGCCAGAAGAGAGTGGGGGCCAATATTCAACATTCTTAAAGAAAAGAATTTTCAACCCAGAATTTCATATCCAGCCAAACTAAGCTTCATAAGTGAAGGAGAAATAAAATACTTTACAGACAAGCAAATGCTGAGAGATTTTGTCACCACCAGGCCTGCCCTAAAAGAGCTCCTGAAGGAAGCGCTAAACATGGAAAGGAACAACCGGTACCAGCCGCTGCAAAATCATGCCAAAATGTAAAGACCATCGAGGCTAGGAAGAAACTGCATCAACTAACGAGCAAAATCACCAGCTAACATCATAATGACAGGATCAAATTCACACATAACAATATTAACTTTAAATGTAAATGGACCAAATGCTCCAATTAAAAGACACAGACTGGCAAATTGGATAAAGAGTCAAGACCCATCAGTGTGCTGTATTCAGGAAACCCATCTCACGTGCAGAGACACACATAGGCTCAAAATAAAAGGATGGAGGAAGATCTACCAGGCAAATGGAAAACAAAAAAAGGCAGGGGTTGCAATCCTAGTCTCTGATAAAACAGACTTTAAACCAACAAAGATCAAAAGAGACAAAGAAGGCCATTACATAATGGTAAAGGGATCAATTCAACAAGAAGAGCTAACTATCCTAAATATATATGCACCCAATACAGGAGCACCCAGATTCATAAAGCAAGTCCTGAGTGACCTACAAAGAGACTTAGACTCCCACACTTTAATAATGGGAGACTTTAACACCCCACTGTCAACATTAGACAGATCAACGAGACAGAAAGTCAACAAGGATACCCAGGAATTGAACTCAGCTCTGCACCAGGTGGACCTAATTGACATCTACAGAACTCTCCACCCCAAATCAACAGAATATACATTTTTTTCAGCACCACACCACAGCTATTCCAAAATTGACCACATACTTGGAAGTAAAGCTCTCCTCAGCAAATGTAAAAGAACAGACATTATAACAAACTATCTCTCAGACCACAGTGCTATCAAACTAGAACTCAGGATTAAGAATCTCACTCAAAACCGCTCAACTACATGGAAACTGAACAACCTGCTCCTGAATGACTACTGGATACATAACGAAATGAAGGCAGAAATAAAGATGTTCTTTGAAACCAACGAGAACAAAGACACAACATACCAGAATCTCTGGGACGCACTCAAAGCAGTGTGTAGAGGGAAATTTATAGCACTAAATGCCCACAAGAGAAAGCAGGAAAGATCCAAAATTGACACCCTAACATCACAATTAAAAGAACTAGAAAAGCAAGAGCAAACACATTCAAAAGCTAGCAGAAGGCAAGAAATAACTAAAATCAGAGCAGAACTGAAGGAAATAGAGACACAAAAAACCCTTCAAAAAATTAATGAATCCAGGAGCTGGTTTTTTGAAAGGATCAACAAAACTGATAGACCGCTAGCAAGACTAATAAAGAAAAAAAGAGAGAGGAATCAAATAGACACAATAAAAAATGATAAAGGGGATATCACCACCGATCCCACAGAAATACAAACTACCATCAGAGAATACTACAAACACCTCTACGCAAATAAACTAGAAAATCTAGAAGAAATGGATACATTCCTCGACACATACACTCTCCCAAGACTAAACCAGGAAGAAGTTGAATCTCTGAACAGACCAATAACGGGAGCTGAAATTGTGGCAATAATCAATAGTTTACCAACCAAAAAGAGTCCAGGACCAGATGGATTCACAGCCAAATTCTACCAGAGGTACAAGGAGGAACTGGTACCATTCCTTCTGAAACTATTCCAATCAAGAGAAAAAGAGGGAATCCTCCCTAACTCATTTTATGAGGCCAGCATCATTCTGATACCAAAGCCGGGCAGAGACACAACCAAAAAAGAGAATTTTAGACCAATATCCTTGATGAACATTGATGCAAAAATCCTCAATAAAATACTGGCAAAACGAATCCAGCAGCACATCAAAAAGCTTATACACCATGATCAAGTGGGCTTCATCCCTGGGATGCAAGGCTGGTTCAATATACGCAAATCAATAAATGTAATCCAGCATATAAACAGAGCCAAAGACAAAAACCACATGATTATCTCAATAGATGAAGAAAAGGCCTTTGACAAAATTCAACAACCCTTCATGCTAAAAACTCTCAATAAATTAGGTATTGATGGGATGTATTTCAAAATAATAAGAGCTATCTATGACAAACCCACAGCCAATATCATACCGAATGGGCAAAAACTGGAAGCATTCCCTTTGAAAACTGGCACAAGACAGGGATGCCCTCTCTCACCACTCCTATTCAACATAGTGTTGGAAGTTCTGGCCAGGGCAATTAGGCAGGAGAAGGAAATAAAGGGTATTCAATTAGGAAAAGAGGAAGTCAAATTGTCCCTGTTTGCAGATGACATGATTGTATATCTAGAAAACCCCACTGTCTCAGCCCAAAATCTCCTTAAGCTGATAAGCAACTTCAGCAAAGTCTCAGGATACAAAATCAATGTATAAAAATCACAAGCATTCTTATACACCAATAACAGACAAACAGAGAGCCAAATCATAAGTGAACTCCCATTCACAATTGCTTCACAGAGAATAAAATACCTAGGAATCCAACTTACAAGGGATGTGAAGGACCTCTTCAAGGAGAACTACAAACCACTGCTCAAGGAAATAAAAGAGGATACAAACAAATGGAAGAACATTCCATGCTCATGGGTAGGAAGAATCAATATCGTGAAAATGGCCATACTGCCCAAGGTAATTTACAGATTCAATGCCATCCCCATCAAGCTACCAATGACTTTCTTCACAGAATTGGAAAAAACTACTTTAAAGTTCATATGGAACCAAAAAAGAGCCCGCATCGCCAAGGCAATCCTAAGCCAAAAGAACAAAGCTGGAGGCATCACGCTACCTGACTTCAAACTATACTACAAGGCTACAGTCACCACAACAGCATGGTACTGGTACCAAAACAGAGATATAGATCAATGGAACAGAACAGAGCCCTCAGAAATAACGCCGCATATCTACAACTATCTGATCTTTGACAAACCTGAGAAAAATAAGCAATGGGGAAAGGATTCCCTATTTAATAAATGGTGCTGGGAAAACTGGCTAGCCATATGTAGAAAGCTGAAACTGGATCCCTTCCTTACACCTTATACAAAAATCAATTCAAGATGGATTAAAGACTTAAACGTTAGACCTAAAACCATAAAAACCCTAGAAGAAAACCTAGGCATTACCATTCAGGACATAGGCATGGGCAAGGACTTCATGTCCAAAACACCAAAAGCAATGGCAACAAAAGCCAAAATGGACAAATGGGATCTAATTAAACTAAAGAGCTTCTGCACAGCAAAAGAAACTACCATCAGAGTGAACAGGCAACCTACAAAATGGGAGCAAATTTTCGCAACCTACTCATCTGACAAAGGGCTAATATCCAGAATCTACAATGAACTCAAACAAATTTACAAGAAAAAACCAAACAACCCCATCAAAAAGTGGCCGAAGGACATGAACAGACACTTCTCAAAAGAAGACATTTATGCATCCAAAAAACACATGAAAAAATGCTCATCATCACTGGCCATCAGAGAAATGCAAATCAAAACCACAATGAGATACAATCTCACACCAGTTAGAATGGCAATCACTAAAAAGTCAGGAAACAACAGGTGCTGGAGAGGATGTGGAGAAATAGGAACACTTTTACACTGTTGGTGGTACTGTAAACTAGTTCAACCATTGTGGAAGTCAGTGTGGCGATTCCTCAGGGATCTAGAACTAGAAATACCATTTGACCCAGCCATCCCATTACTGGGTATATACCCAGAGGACTATAAATCATGCTGCTATAAAGACACATGCACACGTATGTTTACTGCGGCATTATTCACAATAGCAAAGACTTGGAACCAACCCAAATGTCCAACAATGACAGACTGGATTAAGAAAATGTGGCACATATACACCATGGAATACTATGCAGCCATAAAAAATGATGAGTTCATGTCCTTTGTAGGGACATGGATGAAATTGGAAATCATCATTCTCAGTAAACTATCGCAAGAACAGAAAACCAAACACCGCATATTCTCACTCATAGGCGGGAATTGAACAATGAGATCACATGGACACAGGAAGGGGAATATCACACTCTGGGGACTGTGGTGGGGTGGGGGTAGGGGGGAGGGATAGCATTGGGAGATATACCTAATGCTAGATGACGAGTTAGTGGGTGCAGCGCACCAGCATGGCACACGTATACATATGTAACTAACCTGCACAATGTGCACATGTACCCTAAAACTTAAAGTATAATAAATAAATAAATAAATAAATAAAAAGAAAAAAAGAAAAGAAAAGAAAAAGGACAGGTTTTCATTATCAATATTTTTCAAGAAGGGGATTGGGAGATACTTCTCAGGCATATATTTAGAAAAGTGAAACTCCTTACTAGAAGAAAATCACATAAGTATTTTTTTCAAATGTTTAGAACACAGTTATTTTCTCTCAGTGCTGAGAGAGTGTTCAGTAAACTCTTATGGATTAGCAATCCCATTTTCTCTCTATATACAACTCACCAGCAAACAAATGCCAGTTTGCTCCAAGAAAAAAGCACTTAAGTTCTGGGGGAATTAAAAGTAGTGTTAAAAACAGATTTAGCAATTAGCAACGGTGGCTGACAAATGGCAATACAGGTTTTTTTGTCTCCTTTTATTTGCTTCATTATAGTTTGTGATCTTGCCATTTTGAGAATGCAAATACTCAAAATTCTGCTTTTGTAAGAATACCATTTCTCCAGGTCTGCTGACCATAATCACAGTGAGATACCTCTTTTTGTTAAAACTTTATCTGTGCTAATAAAAGATTTAGTTAAATCTTATATCCACAGCACTTACATGGGGAAAGTGCCCAGATAATACATTTTTTCCTTTAAATCAGTAGTTCTCAATCTTTCACATGCTTACGAATCTCAGGGAAAGTTTACAAAACAAAATAAAATAAAATGAAACAACCAGATCACTGAGACCCACATCAGGTATTCTGGTTTGGAAACGAAGGGCAGTAACTTGCATTTCTAATAAGTACCACCCAGACAGACTTCAGATCACATGGTTTTAAAACACCTTTCCATTTTCTATAACAGCATACATGGAGAACTAGTGTTCAGTAAATATTTTTTGATGCTGAGATGGAAATCAACAGAATATAATATCATTATATTCTCAGTAGACCATTAAAGAGGCAGCAAAGGAAGGTCTTTCCTATAAATATGGCATGACAGATTAAATACAACCCACAAATAGCTTAAAAATGACTGCTGGAATACTTTAAAGCACAGGTTTTCAGTTTCACTTTATATTAACTATTCATAACCCAGTGATCCATATTGATTTCTTAGCATCAAGCTGATTTTCTGACATGGTTGGTTCCTAAAGCATCATACAATGTTCTATAATTAATTTCACCTTTTGAATGAAACAGCATGCAAGAGAATTAAGTTGTTCTCCTAGTTCAAATGAATAAAAGCCAGCCTCTAACCCTACCATAGGCTGTACTGTGGGCTCACTGTGAGGCTGCAGGGGCAATTGGTTAAGCAGGTCATTTCAAGGAGCTGGTGCACTGGAGAAAGCTGAAGGAAGAGGCCAGCATCTGGACCAACTGTGCCTGCAGCTTTTTCCTCTGGTGGCTTTCCAGGTTTCTAAAAGGATACAGAAGCCAGCCTTTTGTCAACTCCCTACTTTTGAAAACCTGCTCTATTTCCACCTCATTTGCAAAATGCTTGCTGCAATCCCTCCTAGCTGGGAGGAATCTGGAGACAGCTGGAGGTCAAGGAGAATTCTACACGTGAGTGCACTTATTTTTCACTAAATCAGAAGCCTAGAAAACAAAGACAGGACATGTCTGAGCTCACTGACCCAATGCTGTCCCCTTGCTGGGGAGAATGAAGTTCCCTTCCCTACTGGTTTCCAACCTTTCCTAATCGGCTAACAGAAAATGCTGACTATTCCTTAAAGAGGAGGTGAATGCTACCACTCTGACCTGCGTAGCTCTTTATGTGTAAGTAAAATGAACAAATACCTTACAATAATGGTTTCTCACTCCAAAGATATATATTGAGAAATGGCCTGGTGCAATCATAAAATGCAGAATTAAATGAAATTGAATATAAGCTCTTGACCCTTATCTTACTCCAAGATCCATTTTTAAATGAAAGGCTTCAAAATTATTCAAGAGTATGGAAAGGGAGAGTAGAAGCAGAGAGAATCTTTATAGCAAACGAGTCAGAGCAAAGGTTAGTCTTCCTGATATATTCTGAACAGATTGTGACACCTAAGCTTGCCATGTTATCACATTTCTTAGGTATTTCAAAAATGGAAAATGTCAATAGTGGCATCAGTTACTTTGTGTAGCTCTTCACAATGAAACACAATTTGCTTTAAAACAGAATACATATCTTTTGTGAAGTGGGAAGGATACCCTGATACCACCAGATGTGAAAAATTAGGCACCTACCACAATGAGGCATAGGGTGGGTGAAAAAAACTGCAGAGCCTGGGAGTGGTGTTTCACATCTGTAATCCCAGCACTTTGGGAAGCCAAGGCAGGCAGATCACCTGAGGTTAGGAGTTCAAGCCCAGCCTAGCCAACATGGTGAAACCCCACTCCTACTAAAAATACAAGATTAGTTGGGCATAGTGGATGCGCCTGTCATCCCAGCTACTCAGGAGACTGAGGCAGGAAAATCACTTGAACCTGGGAGGCGGAGGTTGCAGTGAGCCGAGATCACACCATTGCACTCCAGCCTGGGCAAAAAGAGTGAAATTCTGTCTCAAAAAACCAAACCAAAACAAAAAAAATTGCAGAAACCGGCCAGGTGCTGTGGCTCACATCTGTAATCCCAGCACTTGGGGAGGCCGAGGTGAGTGGTTCACTTGTGGCCAGCGGTTCGAGACCAGCCTGGCCAACGTTATGAAACCCCGTCTCTACTAAAAAATACAAAAATTAGCTGGACGTGGTGACACCTGCCTGTAATCCCAGCTACTTGGGAGACTGAGGTAGAATTGCTTGAACCTGGGAGGCAGAGGTTACGGTGAGCGGAGATTGCATCACTGCACTCCAGCCTGGGTGACAGAGCAAGACTCCGTCACAAAACAAAACAAAACAAATAAACAAAACTGCAGAAACCCCTGGCGGAAAAAGGCTTGGAAGGCTATCCTCCAAAGAGGGCACACTACCCATCCCAGATCTTCAAGGGATTGATATAAGGCAGTTCTCAAATTGTCGTCCTGGGACCAGGAGCATCGCATGAGAACTTGTTAGTGACAACGTTGAACTTTACCTGAGAACCAGAGAAACAAAATGAAGAAATACCCCCAACCTTTTGTGTTCTGGGAAACTCCTTCTTTTCTGACACAGAGCAGGGATAGGGATGCTCCTCTTGTTTTCCTATGACAAGGCCAGACGCAGACCCTCCACATTCCCATTCTTTCTTCACAAACGATCAGCTGAACTGCTTGCTAACCAAACTTTGGTTAAGTGTCTCTCCTTCCTCCAGGTGCGTGAACTTTGGCCAGCATACAACCACTCCTGAGAAAACGCTGGTCTCAGGTGGAAACATTCTCTGATCCACAGCACATTCAACTCCCACCCTTTTCATGCCACTTTCACATACCCTATTCTTTCTACTTGGCTACTCCTCCCTATAAAACAACTTCCCCCTTGTACCTAACTCTAGAGACCCTTAAAGATCTTAAGGTCAGAGGTTCTCATATGGCAACAGTCCTTCCTCCCTAAAACGAAACAGTATCTTTCTCCCCTTTGCAATAATCCTTTCCAGTGAAGTCTCTCCTTCCTCAAGCATGGCTTGTTTTTTATTTGGCATTAGAAATACAAATTCTCGGGCCCCACTCCATACTTTCTGAATCAGAAACTGGGGGGGGGGGGGGCGGGGGGTGGAGGGCGATGTACCCAATAATGCATTTCTCACAAGGTCTCCAGGCACAGTGTGGGAAGCACTGATTTGAGGCCATCCTGCTAAGAATCTGATGAGTGCATTCAACACTTTAATTCTCTCCCGCTGGCGTTTGACAGTTTAGGTGCAAGCTGTTTCTGAGGCTTACGGTGGAAAAGTTCTTAGCGTCCCCACAGACTACTTCCCGTAAAGTCACTACCCAAGGGCACACAAGGCCATGGGGCGCCATCTTCCCTCCCACCGCGTGGGGCCGAGGAAGCCCAAACCCGCACCTACTTACATCTCCGTCCATCGGCCTCTGGTCGTCACAGTCCCTGGTGGGGCTAATGTCCTGGCGCATGACCCAGATGGGCTCTTTGGGCTCGTCGGGGGTGTAAGGCGAACGGATGGTCCTGGTTTTCACCTCCTCGATGGCCTCCTTGATGTCCTTGATGGCCAGCGAGATGGCATCGCGCTTCTCCTTGCTGTACCGCTGCCCCGCCTCGCCGCCGCCCGCGGGGCCCACCGCCCGCTGCTGCCCCGCCGGCGCCTGCAGCCCGGGGCTGTCGGGGCGACCCCCGGCCGGGGTAGGGGGACGCTCCAGGTCCTGCTCGGCCTCAGGCATGTCCTCGGCTGCCTTGTCGAGGCTCTGCGAGCTCATGCTCTGCTTCACCTCGGCCACTATCTGGTCGATGTCCTCCTCCTGCTCGTAGCTGTCCATGCGCGGGTAGGGCGCGAACTCGGCCTCCTTCTCGGGGCTGTCGGACTCGCCGTCGGAGCGCTCGTCGTAATGGTGCAGCCGCGCGCCCAGGGCCTCCTGGCGGTACGCGGCCGCCTCGTCGCGCTCCTGCTCGTAGAGCCGCAGGCCGTCGCGTGCGTCCAGCTCGGGCGCGTCCCCTATCTCCTCGTACACGTGCTCCTGGAGGCCGCCGTAGTCGGCATAGGGCTCGGAGTAGGGCTCGTCCTCACCGCGGTGGAAGAGCCGGTGCGTGTAGACGTAGCCTGAGTAGGCCGCATTCATGGCTTCCTCGTGCTCCAGCGAGTGGAAGTGCAGGTGGTTGGGCAGCGCGCGGCGGTGCGTGGCCTCGGCGTGCTCGGCCTCTGCCTGCTCCGTGTACTCCTCGGCCTCGGGCCGGTACTGCACAGCATAGGCGCTCTCGTCCTCGGGGTCCTGCGCGCGCTCCGCATCGTAGCCGTCGCGGGCCGCGGCGATCACGTCGCCCTCGGCGGTGTCCGTGTGGTTGTGGAAGCCGCTCTCCGTGCTGGCTGAGCGCGCCAGGCATTCCCCGCGCTCCTCTTCCTCCTGGCCGAGCTGGGCGCGGAGGTCCTCGAGGGCTCGCCCGCGCTGGTGGCGGCCCACATAGTGCTGCTGCTGCGGCGGCTGCTGCTGTTCCTCTTCCACCTCGGGGTGCTCCAGGTCGGCCTCCACCGACTCGTTCACCTCCCCACCTGCCGCCTCGTCGGTCACCTCCACCTCCGCAGACCCCTCCAAGTGGTTCATGGTGGGAGTCGGAACGGCTAGGAGAGAAGCTGGGCCCGGCTCACTGCGCTCTCATTTTGCTCCACTGGGCTGGAAAAACAAGAAGGGGAGAGGCTGTCACGTGGTGCAAACAGTCGTTATGAGCTGAGTATTCAGATAACCATAAAAACAACTGCTATTGATTCCTTTTAGTTCTGGGTCAATTAAAAAAAGACTGCAAATTTAAGTTCAATCTGACAGCACATACATAGCACGCATCATAATTTGTAATTACATATCTACTTGTTTAATTGCTTATTGCCTTTCTCCGTTCCCACCCCTCACACTGAGCGCCTCAGGAACGTTTTGTTCTCCACCACGCATACGATTCAGGTCCCATTTCTGATGCATCTGAATAAAGAGTACTACTAAATTGAATGGGCCAACTGACACATTTTCCATCTGCTAACAGATAAATCTCTCCAAATTAAACTAGGATCCTACAACTTTAGAAATCACTCTTTACATCAATTTCAAAGAAACATAATCTTGAACACCTTTTGAAGCCATTCTGAGAGAGGCTATCAGCCAGCAGTGGGGTCCCGCCCCGGTTCTGTCATTACTGACTTTGTGACCTCAGGCAAGTGGCTTAATTTTCTGGACCTCCACGGTGTGACTGGACTCATTTCCTACATGCAGGATGTTAACAGCTATTATATAGGGTAAAAAAGACTCGGTGGTCAAGTAAGTTTGGAAAATGCTGAGTTACAGTTGACTTTTCATTGTTAATATCCAGAAGGAGGAAGATGCAGGACACAGGGTTTCCCTAACTTGTTTGACCAGGAGACACTTTTTCCTAGAGGCCAATGTTACATAGCAGCTGGTTTCTAATAGTTAGGCTTCCCTATTGCGCACTCAGCATCCAGGATACAACCAACCACGGAAGACAATATTAGGGGAAAATATCCAACACAATACAACAATAAAAAATAATGCAAGTAAAAATACAGTATAACAACAATTTATATAGCATTTATATTGTATTAGGTATTATGAGAAATCTAGAGATGATTTACAGTATATGGGAGGATGTGCATAGATCATATGCAAATACTATACCATTTTATAATGGATTTTTATATCCACTGGGGTCCTGAAACCAACCCCCATGGATACCAAGGGAGGACTATATTCACTTTCCCCATGTAACCTGAATCTAAAATTCTAAGATTTTATGAGTTGCCATTATAGCTAGAACTGGATAACAGGTGTAATTTTTTAAAAATATGGGTAGGTCTCTTTCTATTTTCAGAGAAACTTGTAGCTCGAGAGAAAGATTTGGTTTCAGTCTCTCTCAATTCTTCTTATCACAAAATAGCTTTATGGTATAATCTGTGCAGTATATAGAAATAGACACAAAGAATGTAAACAACCACAACAAAACAGGCAGGACCCCTATGATTTTGAGATCCCTATGGTAAATAGGCTCAACAGTATGTGTAAACTTGCTATTATGTTCTTTTGGAGAGCCTTTCTTACAAATGGACACAATGGATGGGAAGTGAACTCTTAAATATGATAACAGACAACCCCAGGAGGACCAGGGACATCTGATGGACTCTCTAGTAGTGAGATGCATTATATTCTACTCAACTCCCCATCACAACCACAGCAATTTCCTTCAAGCATTGATGACCATCCCAATAACAAAGGAGATCATTTTGGAGCTACCAAGTCCACATTCAAGCAGAAGTATCATGTCTTCCCCATTCTTTGATGGATCCACCCCTGACTGATTCTCGCTAGAAGAAAAGAATCACGGTTTACAAGAGATGAACAATCTTTATTGCTTCGCTACTTGACATAAGTCCCACTTGATACAAATTAGACCCAACCTCTTTTGAAAAATTTTGGGCTCCTCCCATTAACTCCTGAGAACAGCGACTGTGGACTAAGTATAAGAAAGTCTCCAAAAGCAAGTATGAATCTCCCTTCAAACCTTGATGGATGGTTAAGGCTGTAAACCAGCAGCAGGGTGGGGTGGGGAATGATTAGAAGCTGTTCCACCTCAGATCATGAGGCATTAGTTAGATTTTCATAAGAGTGCATGACCTAGATCCTTTGCATGTGCAGTTCACAATAGAGTTCATGCTCCAATACTGGTCCATGGCCCAGTGGTTGGGGACCCCTGCTCTAAACAGAAGCAGCAAGTGTTGCTGCTACGGGCCTCCAGTGGATTATAAGAAACACAAAACAAATATTCAATTCAATACAACACATGGACAAGAACATCATACCCAAGTTGCCTTCATAAGGACTTTCTCAAAAAGACAACAGATAAACCTTCATTAAATCTACATTGGGTTCTTAAGGTACAAATCTAATTCTAATAAACACAAAGTGAGCATTCACAGAAAGGGATAGCAAACATATCACAGACTTTCTTGGGTTCTGTTACCCAGAGGTGTCACAGTTGTGTGTGGTCAGCGTAAGAAAAACAGTAACAAAAACCACAGAAAGTACCTGAATGACCAACAATTCATGATAACCATATGTGGAACTGACCAAAATGCTGCCTTCAGGGAAAATGGCTGTTCTTTAGCTTGATGAAAATCTATTGACATATGTATTAAAAAGAAATTTTAGCTTATTCTGGGTTAAAATCGGTGAATGGTGCCCTCTTATAACCCATGTATTGATTCAAAGGAAATGGAACTTCCTTGCGTGTATATACACTAAACTGTGGTAAAGGAAGTTCTCTGGTGGGGCAGGGGGTGGTGGAAGATAGTGTTAATGTAGTTTTGGTACAATAGATCTTTTTGTTCACTAAGTACCTTCTCCTTATACCCCCATCCACAGACCTCACGGGAGTATTTACACATACAGTGTTTGTATTTTACACACCATCATGTTTCCAAGAATATGATTTGGGTTGTGGTATTGCAACATGTTAATGAATAACAGACATTGACTTTGGGGGTTTCCCTAGGACAAAAAGGCAATTGTCAACTTTTAAGGAAGGAGCCGAAGTTGATGCTTAGGTTTATCCCTACACACAAGAGGACTGTTCTCCATACGCTGGCAACTTTGGGAGTGGTATTTATAAAAAACATTTAAGCTGCTTTTTAAAAATCCTAGGTTATTGTGGGAGTATATTATTGGTACAAAATTTTTGAAAAGCAATTTGGCAAGATGAATTAAATTCTTCAAAAGGTAACATACCTTTTGCCCCAGTAATTCTACATATAGAAGTCTAAAAGAAAAAACTTGAATGTGGACAAAAATGTTTCTCACAGTATTTTCTTCAAAAGCAAAAATTTTAAACACCAAATATTAAGCGCTAATATTTATTAGGTACTGATAAGTACAATGCTAATCATATTAGGGTTATATTGTGATCAGAAAGATGTGGGGGTTTTCTCTCTGGGAAGCTCCACCTGGAGTTCCCATAACACTTCAACTCAGCCAGCCACAGCTGAAGAAATCACACCTCCTCACCTTCCCTACCCACCCTCGCTCTCAAACTGGGTTCCCTCCTGTATTTCCCATATGGGCAAATGGTACCACCAGCCACCCACTGAATCATCTCCTTCCCTTATCTCCCTCCTCAAACTGATGCCAGAGTCCACTGTCTTAATAACTCTTGGATCAGTCTTGCTGCCACTGCTTTGTCTTGGTCTGTCTTGACTACCTGGTTGTTTCCTTGACTCTGATTTATCAGCCCCCTCCAGTCCATCCTCCCCACTGCCAGCCTGATGATCTTTAAAAAATACAAATCTGAATCCCATAACCCTACTCCTCAAACTCTTCAGTGATTCCCTTCTAGGGCACAGTATAAATGCTTAGCTAACTATGTCCCAGGTACTACTAGGCATTTTCCACGTGACACATTTAACCTTCACACTAGCTAATGAAGAGTACTGCCATTATCAGCTCTTCTGAAAATGAAGAAACAAGTGATTAGAAAGGTTAGGTGATTGTCCCAGGTCACACATCTGGTAAGGGAGGCCCCCTGACATTTGATCTTTGCACTCTAGCTCTGGGGTCTGGGCTCTTGAGTCCTATTCCTGGCCAACAAAGACCTTGGGATGCTTCACCCCTTTAGTCCATCTCCACACTTCATCCCGCACCCTGCATTCTAACAGCCAAAGTCCTGGTGTTGGCCCTAACTGCCCTCCCTATTCATGGCATATTTTAACCTATAACTTTTCTTTGGTGAATCTTTCTTGTCTTCCCCAGGCCACATTCATACTTGATGAATGTTAATTAGGTGCCAGCCTCCAGGCACATTCGAGGCACTGGGGCAGAACAGTGAGCAAGCCAGAGGAGGCTTCCCTGCTTTCAGGAAGTCCCCATTCTAGTGCACTGGGTCGGGGGTCAGAGGGAAAAAAGGGCAGACAATAATTATGTAAGTAAGTAAACAAGATAACTTCATAGGGAAACATTTTATGAAGGTAATACAAAACAGAGTAACGCCATAGAAAATGACTGAGGAGAGGACATTATGTAGATATTATTCAAAGAATGAGATATTTGAGTTGAGGTCTGAATAATCAAGAAAGAGGTGGCCTTGTGAAGATCTGAGGGCAAGGGCTTTGAGGTGAGAAAGGATCAGCTGTGTTCAAGGACAGAAATAATGTTTGTAGGCAGGTGTGGCGTGAGTAAGGGACAGTGTGATGGGCGATGAGGACAAAGAGATGGAAAGGGGCTGAGTTGGGCAGGGTCTGGTACATCATGGTAAAGGATGTGGATTTTATTTCAAGTGTGGTGGCATGCTACTGGGGAGTTTAAGCAGGGGATTGATAAGGCCCAACTAAGCCTCCCTTTGTGCCCGCTGTGCTTTTTCTCTCTCTCCCTTTCCCTTTCTCTCTCCGTCTCACACATACTCACACCATTTTATACACACACACACACACACATATATAAATTATATATATATATATGTGTGTGTGTATATATATAAAATTTATCATGGCTTCTATCATTCTGAGTGGTAATTCTTTGTAAGTATCAAGTCCTTAAGAAAAAGATGTTTTGTCATGTATCTTTGATTTTCTGATGCCAAGCACAGAGGGTATACAGAAGGTGGTAAAGGAATTTTTAGTAACTGAAAAAGGAAAAATCTTTATCCCCCACCCCTCCCACCCAATAGTTGGGGCCTTATAGACTTCTAGACATTGGCATGATCAGCCTTTGGAGAAGAACTCATTTCTTCTTTCTATCTTAAATCTTTGCTGCCCTTATTCACTCATGCAAACTCCTTCAACTTCTTCTAATGCTTTAAGTGCCTAAAGAATGCAAATGATTCAACATTCTCCTGCATCTGAGTGTGTTAATCCAATGGGCATTTATCAGACATGTACCAGTCACTGTGCAAGGCAAAGGGGATGTAAAAGTTTCTAAACTATGGTTTAGGGCAGACAGCTCTGACAGTTATGATACCTGGTGATAAGTGCAAAATAGAAATATACTCAAGATACAAAAGCAGCCCAGAGTTAAAACAATGACAACAATTGTAACACCTTGTGACTCATATTAAGTGCTGCTGTTCTTATGGGTTCTGGATTTCATGAGCTAGTGAGCATCCTAAGCAAGCTTAGGAAAGAAGTGACATCATCTAATAAATGTCCTTGATGATGACCCATGTGCCTCTGGAGGAAGACAGAGGCAAATAGAGGAAGAGCGGCTGATGGAAGAAAATCTCTCTTCCTCTACAAAAAAGTTGGATGACCTGGAAGACACATGCAGAATAGTCCCCTCCTCAGGGACACCTGCAAAACATGAAGAAGGGGTGCTGTGGCATCCTGGCTACAGGATGAGGGTCTCCACGTTACCAGTGGTGAAGCACAGATGGCTTTCTGGTCTATGGTTCTAGAATGTTCCACAGCTTGGGTGGAAAAGGTGAACAAAAAGAGGGAATTCCACTTCAGTGCACCATTTAGAAATAGAATAGTTCATGATTCAGCAGTTGAATCCAGGTATCTCATAATGTGTAGCAGAGGCTCGTGTTGATTTGGGATTGATAGAAGGGGAGGCTGTAAATTACTTTAGTTGCTCTTTCCTTAAGCAATCATTGATGAGCATTTCCAATAAACTGTCCCTTTTAGCATATTCAGAAGTAGTGTTAGAAGAAGGGTCAGACATAAGGCAAATGCAATGTAAAAAAGAGCAAAAGGCATCATACCATCTTAACACAGAGAGAAGTTTGTGTACGTCAGTGATAGAGAACAAAGAAGAGCATTACATAATGATAAAGGGTTCAATTCAACAAGAAAGCTTAGCTATCATGTATGTGTATATATATATATGTATATATATATATATATATGTATATATATATATATATATATATATATATATATATAGACACACACACACACACACACCCAACATTAGAGCACCCAGATTCATAAAACAAGTTCTTCTAGACCTATGAAAAGACTTAGCCATACAATAGTAGTAGGGGACTTCAACACCCCACTAACAGTGTTAGATCATCAAAGCAAAAAACTAACAAAGAAATTCTGGACTTAAATTCTACATTTGACCAATTGGACCTAAAAGACATCTACGGAATACTTCACCCATTAACCACAGACTATACATTCTTCTCAACTGCATGCACATGGAACATACTCCAAGATCAAACACATGCTTGGCCATAAAGCAAGTCTCCATGAATTCAAAAAAATCAAAATTAAAATCATACCAGCCATATTCTTGGATCACAATGGAATAAAATAGAAATCAATACCAAGAAGATCTCTCAAAACCACACAATTACATGGAAATTAAGCAACTTGCTCCTAAATGACTTTTGGGTAAATGATGATATTAACTCAGAAATCAAAACATTCTCTGAAATAAATGAAAAGAGAGACACAGATACCAAAATCTCTGGGATGCAGCAAAAGCAGTGTTAAAAGGAGAGTTTATAGTGCTAAATGCCTACCTCAAAAACTTAGAAAGTTCTCAAATTAACAATCTAACATCACACCTAGAGGAACTAGAAAAACAAGAACAAACTAACCCCAAAGCTAGCAGAAAAGAAGAAATAACTAAAATCAGAGCAAGAATGAAGAAAATTGAGACCCAAAAATCTATACATAGAATCAGTGAAGCCAAAAGTTGGTTATTTGAAAGGATAAACAAGATTAATAGACTGCTACCTAGGTAAACAAAGAAAAAAAGAAGATCCAAATAAATACAATCGGAAATGACAAAAGTGACATTATAACCAATCACACAGAAATACAATAGATACTCACAGACTATTATGAACACCTCTATACACACAAACTAGAAAATCTAGAGGAAATGGATAAATTCCTGGAAACACACACTCTCCAAAAATTGAATCAGAAAGAAATTGAAACCTTGAACAAACCAAGTTCCAAAACTGAATCAGTAATACAAAAAAAAACAAAAACCTACCAACTGAAAAAAAAAACCCTGTAACAGATGGATTCACAGCTGAATTCTACCAGATATGCAAAGAGCTGGTACCAATTCTACTGAAACTATTACAAAAATTATGGAGAAGGGACTCCCTAACTCATTCCACAAAGCCAGCCATTATCCTGATACCAAAAACCTGGAAAAGACACAGTGGAAAAAGAAAACTAGAGACCAATATCCTTGACAAACATAGACACAAAAATCCTCAACCAAATACCAGCAAACTGAATCCAACAGCACATCAAAAAGTGATCCTTGATCAAGTAGGCTTCATTGCTGGGATGCAAGGTTGGTTCAACATATGCAAATCAATAAATGTGGATCACCACATAAACAGAATTGAAAACCAAAACTATATGATCATCTCAACAGACTTGGAAAAAGCTTTTGATGAAATCCAACATCCCTTCATGATAAAAAGCCCTTAAGAAAGTAGGCATCAAAGGAACATACCTCAAAATAATAAGAGCCATCTATGACAAAACCACAGCCAACATCATACTAAATGGGCAAAAACTGGAAGCATTACCTTTGAGAACTGGAACAAGGCAAGGATGCCCACCGTCATCACCTATTCAGCATAGTTTTGGAGGTCCTAACCAGAGCAATCAGGCAAGAGAAACTAATTAAAGGCATCAAAATAGGGAAAGAAGAAGTCAAAACTCTCTCTTTTCCCTGACAATGTGATTCTATATCTAAAAAACCCTAAAGACTATGCCAAAAGGCTCCTAGAACTGATAAATAACTTCAGCAAACTTTCAGGACATGACATCAATCTACAAAAATCAGTAGCACATCTATGCACCAATAACGTTCAACCTGAGAGCCAAATCAATAACTCAATTCCGTTTCAAATACCTGTGCCCCCCACCCCCCAAAAATCTAGGAATACATCTAAGCAAAGAGAATAACAATCTCTACAAGGAGAACTATAAGACACTGCTAAAAGAAATCATAGATGACACAAACAAAGGGTAAAATGGATTGAAAGAATCAGTATCATTGAAATGGCCATACTACCCAAAGCAATTTACAGATTCAATGTTATTCCTATCAAACTACCAACATCATTTTTCACAGAACTAGAGAAAACTATTCTAAAATTTATACGGAACCACAAACGAGCCTGAATAGCAATCCTAAGCAAAAAGAGCAAAGCCAGAGGTATCACATTACCAGACTTCAAACTATACTATAAGGCCACAGGGACCAAAACATCATGGTACTTGTACAAAAACAGACACATAGAGGAATGGAACAGAATAGAGAATTCGGAAAGAAAGCTACACACCTACAGCCATCTGATCTTCAGTCGAAGTCAAGAAAAATAAGCGACGGGGAAAGGACTCCTTGTTCAATAAATGGTGCTAGGATAGCTGCCTAGTGATATGCAGAAGAATGAAACCAGACCCCTATTTTCCACCATGCAAAAAATTAAGGTGGATTGAAGATAAATGTAAAATACCAAACTATAAGACTTCTAGAAGAAAACCTAGAAAACATCATTTGGTCTTGGGGACACCACATCAGCCTTGGGAAAGAATTTATGATGAAGTCCTCAAAAGCAATAGCAACAAACACAAAGATTGACAAGTGGAACATAATTAAATTAAAGAGCTTCTGCACAGCAAAAGAAACTAACAACAGAGTAAACAGATAACCTATAGAAAGAGCGAAAATATTTGCAAACTATACATCTGATAAAGGTCTAAAATCCAGAATCTATAAGGAAGTTAAACAGTTGAACAAGCAAAAACCAAATAACCCCATTAAAACGAGGAAAAGACATGAACAAACACTTCTCAAAAGAAGACATACAAGTGGCCAAGAAACATATGAAAAAATGTTCAATATCACTAATCATCAGAGAATTGCAAGTCAAACCCACAATGAAGTAGCACTTCACCCAATCAGAATGGCTGTTACAAAAACTCAAACAACAACAGATGCCAGTGAGGCTGTGGAGAAAAGGGAACATCTATGCACTGTTGGGTGGAATGTAAATTAGGTTAGCCACTGTGGAAAGCAGTTTGGAGATTTCTCAGAGAACTACAATTCGACCCAGCAATCCCACTGCTGGGTATACATCCAAAAGTCAATTGTTCTCGGTAGAATATTGTTCTACCAAAAAGGCACATGCACTTGTATGTTCATCACAGCACTATTCACCATAGCACAGACATGGAACCAACCTAGGTGCTCATCAATGGTGGGCTGGATAAAGAAAATGTGGGACATATACACCATACACCATGGAATACTATGCAGCCATGAAAAAGAGTGAAATAATGTCCTTTGTAGCAACATGCATGCAGCTGGAGGCCATTGTCCTAAGCAAAGTAATGCAGGAACAGAAAACCAAACACTACATGTTCTCACTTACAAGTGGGAGCTAAACATTGGGTACTCACGGACATAAAGATGGTAACAATAGACAGTGGGGACTACTAGAGTGGGGAAGGACAGAGGAGGGTATGGGTTGAAAAATTACTGGGTACTATGCTCAGTTTTGAGTGATAGTATCAGTCACATCCCAAACCTCAGCATCATGCAGTATACCCAGATAACAAATCTGTACATGTACCCCCTGAATCTAAAAGTTGACATTTTAAAAAATTGTGAAAAAAATGTTAATATAAATGACTTGAACACATGGTACATTTATTAATATTATTATTTCCTAAATAAGGCTATGTAGGGTTGGAAAACAAGCAGTTAAGCTACTTTTGATCTATTTTGAAATGAAGCTGGGTATAGATCAATTAATCAAACAACAAAACACAAATACTGAACTATGCATAGGCCAATATATGTGGTATTTTACTTACTATATTTCTAGCCCTCACAACAGTCCCAGTGGGAATTATTATCTGCATTTTCTGATTATGAAGCAGAAGCTCAGGCAGCTTAAATAACTTGTCCAAGGTCACTTAGAGCTGAAAGGGGTGGAGGAGGTAGATCTGCCTGGCTCTCACTGTTTGTGCTCTTCCTATTACATTACACTGAGCCCATAAAGTGATACAATTGATTTTTTTAAACAAACATCTAAATTGGTGTAATCCCTTTTAGAATAGTCACCTTGGCTGACTCTATACTTACTCTATACTTACAAGTTCCAAGGGCACTGTGTTTGCTGAAAACACTTTGGCCACTCCTATATTGGAAGTGATTTCGAAGTTAATTTTTGGGCTTTGAAACTACCAGCAAATCACTTTCAATATTCTATAATCATTTTTTGTTATATCTGATTTTTTACCTTAAAGGGTATCATCCAGGTAATATCATGCTAATATCATGCACCTTATTTAGAAGATTTGGCTGTGAACGCTTTTTGATGTTCTCCAAATATCAAGTATATCCCTAAAAGATGAAGATGTGCATCAAACCAAGATTATTAAAAAGACTCTGGCATAAGCTCTGAAGTTAATTCCAAAAGATGGCTTTAAAAATTGCTTTGGCTAGTGGCCACATCTTTAATATAAGCCTTCATCCTCACAGAGAAAATAAAAGGACAGAAGCCAATTGGGTGAATATATTTATATTATTGTGTGATGACTACAGAATCAGGTTCATTACTTTTATCCCACCTTGCAGTCTGTATAATTTTTGCTAACACTAACCAGGCAGGAAAATTAATTCATCCACTTGGATTAATTCAGTAGTGCCAACCACAAAGCTCTGATCACAGCCCAGCCTTTGATTAAAGAGAAAATTTTGAATTTATGCAGACTTTCTTATTGTCTAGCACTTTAACAATCCAATCATTCATTTATCATTCTGATTCCAATAAAATACATGAAATAAGCTTAAGGCAATCACTGAAACTCAGAGGGGAGATCTTGCAAATTTTACAGAAAACTCAAGAGACAGTCTCTGGAAATTAAAGCCAATTAAAAGTCTATCTGAATTTTTGTGAAATGCCTTGGTATAAAATCAAAAATACCTACATAATTCATAATTTATTGAAGGTTATACAAACTTGGTATTTTTATTCTGTTACAATCCCTTTTTTATGCTCCTACACAACTTCCTTTCTACTGTTATCTCTATTGCTACACTACACTAAGTGGGGGCGAGGGTATTAAATCACCAGGTACAATCAATCTGTACCATTTTCACACACACACACACATACGTACACACACACACAACACTACAGTATTAAGGATAGTAAGTCTCTAAAATCAGTTAAGCTATGTTAGTTTTCAGAGGCTCATTAATTCACACTGCCAAAGGAGATGAAAACAGTGATATCAGGCAAATAACGAATTGAACAGTAATTCATTAAAATGTAGTCTTTTTTTTTGAGACCACATCACTTCAAATTTACTGCTATTGTTATGTTTACAGATTATTTGGCTCATTAAAAGTCAGTTAACTTGCCTGTCTCTATTCTCTCAAGTTTTCTGTAGCTTCTTCTAGCATCTTCCTTCTCCAAATTTATACCAGAATATCAGCTGCAATCCTAATTATGAAGCTTCAGATTGAATTCTTGTTCCTGAGCTTCTTTGTATTCATAGATCAGGAAAGCAGCAAAGACTATGCTGGTCATAATCCTCAAACATATTTTTGGTTATGCCTCAAATCTGCTATGCTAGGGCTATACTAAATGATTAAAAGCAGCCACATTCAGGAAGGCTCACTTCCTGACAATTCAGCTTCACAACTCCCAAAGAACAAAATCCACTAAGCAACTATTAGGTAGCAACAATGGAGATGCCTTAAATTTGAATTTGATGAGCCAGAAATCCCATAATGATTCAAAGCCTCCCAAGACAATCAATTCTCTAAGTTCAGTCATGTTAGCAAAAAGTGAACAGGAAAAGAAATATAATGTGGGGAAAGGCAAAAACTATTTTTTCTTAAAAATGACAAGTCGATAATCTGGAAACCCATAATAGTTCATTGGCCGTGTTGATCAGAATGTAAAGAGATATGGTATCTGCATTTATACTCTTCTAGTTCACTAATTTCATTTTGGCTCCCAATAAGGGAAGATCAGTAAAATCCAAATGTGGTTTTGAAGATCCACAACCTTTCAGTCACCTCAAGGGAAGACATGAGCTTCCAGAGAAAATTCTTTTTAATTTGCTTTATTAAAAATAATGTTCATCTTCAGATTAAACAGACCACCTATAGAATAGGAGAAAATATTTCCAAATTATGCCTCTGACAAAGGACTAATATCCAGAATCCACAAGGAACTCAAACAACTCAACAAGAAAAAAGCAAACAACTCAATTAAAAACTGTGCAAATGACATGAGCAGACATTTCTCAAAAGAAGTACAAGTGGCCAAGAAACACATGAAAAAAATGTTCACATCGTTAATCATCATCTTATACCAATCAGAATGGCTATCATTAAGTCAAAAAACAACACATGTAGGCGTGGATGTGGAGACAAGCAAACACTTATACACTGTTGGTAGGAATGTAAATTAATTCAATCTATATGGAAAACAGTATGGAGAGTTCTCAAAGAACTAAAAATAGAACTACCATTTGACCCAGCAATCCCATTATTGGAAATCTACTCAAAGAAAAAGAAATCATTATCATATTAAAAAGACACATGCACTTATATGTTCATTGCAGCACTATTCACAATAGCAAAGTTATGGAATCAACCCAAGTGTCTATCAATGGTTGACTGGATTAAGAAAAAAGTTGTGTGTGTGTATATATATATATATATATATATACACACACACACACACACACACACACACATGCAACACTATGGAATACTATGCAGCCATAAAAAAGAATGAAATCATATTCTTTGTAGCAACATGGATAGAGCTATAGTCATTATTCTAAGTGAACTAACTCAGAAACAGAAAACCAAACTCCTCATGTTCTCACTTACATGTGGAAGCTAAACAGTGGGTACACACGGATATGAAGATGGAAACTATAGATACCAGGGACTCCAAAAGAGGAGAGGGTGGTAAAGGTGACGGTTGAAAACCTTACCTATCTGGTACAATGTTCACTATTTGCGTAATGGATACACCAGAAGCCCAGTCCCCACCAGTATGCAGTATACCCATGTAACAAACATACACATGTACACCCTACATCTAAAATATAATTTTTTTAAAGTAGTGTTGATCTTACTGAAGACAGCATAGGGAAGACTGAGGTGGGAGATTATATCACATACCACACCACTTATCCTCCAAAAAAAGTCTGTATTGGTTAAATTTTCCAAAGTCTTTCTTCTCAGTCACCAGCCATAGGGTTGCCCCTCTATCCTACATAGTCGTGAGTCTTAATGGTTCATGTCTCTCCCTTCTGGATCATCACAGTCCAGAAAAAAATGTAATGTGAGTCACATATGTAATTCAAAATTTTCTAGTATGCACATTAAAATTTTTTTAAAAAGAAAATTTTAATATTTTATCTAATATATTCAAAATATTATTTCAACATATGATCAATATAAAAATTATTATTGAGAAAGTCTACATTCTTTTCTTCCTACAAGGTCATCAAAATCCATAGTGTATCTTACACTAGAGCACATATCAATTTGGACTAGCCCCACTTCGAGTTTGACAGTTACACATGGCTAGTGGCTACCATGACAGACAGGACAGTTCTAGTCCTTCCTTCTAAGCCTCCTAAACTCTTTCTTTTCTTTTGCAGAATAATTTGGCTGTGTCAGCTCTTCCAAAAGTGCGTACCATCACCCTCCTTCATCACCCTGTTCAACAAAGAAAAGACCCTTCAATTATCAGAATTTTCTCTCTTAAATAATAGGACATTATGAACCAAGTCCTACACTGCCTGGTCCTCAGTCTCCCAAGGGGCCTGGCTCCATTATTCTTCCATCCCTCATTCCTTACCCCTGTCCTCTAATTTCAGGTCTCAATGGGCCCCTCACTGTCATTGCACCTGCTCCTTCCCCTCTCCAGCACTCCAGCCTTGTCCTCCCTTTTGCCTTATGTGTCCCACAGACAATCCTCAGTTGCATGACCACAGCTCACCCACTGCCCCTGCCCTTCAGCACTCATGGCCTCTGTAGGTAAATCAGTAGGAGAAGTTGCCCAAAGATTTCTTAGACAGGCAATGAGGCTCAGGTGAAGCCAGGGAAAGTAAAAACAGAGAGAACTCTTTTCTCTCACTTGGAGGAGGAGTTGGAAGAGGAAAGAGAACCCTAGGAACTGGGGAATGGAGTAAAAGGCAGGAAAGCATAGTGGTTAAGAATGCACACTGAGTCAGACTTCAGACTGAGGTTCCAATCTCAGTTCCAGCACTCACTGGCTATGTGACCTTGGGCAAGTCACTTAACCTTACTGTGCTTCAGTTTTCTCTTCTCAATCTGGCTCATACTGCAAGAATTAAATAAGCTAATGTAGCTCTAAGAACAAGAATTTAAAAATATACTTGTCAACCCATAGATTGCACAACACAAAGAGTGAACCCTAATGTAAACTATGGACTTCAGGTGATAATGGTTTATCAATAGGTTCATCAATTGTAACAAATGTACCACTCTGGTAAGAGATGTTGATAGCTGGGGAGGTTGTGTGTGTGTAGCAGAGGGGGAAGGGGGAATATGAGTACTCTGTACTTTCCATTAAATTTTTCTGTAAATCTATGCTGCTATACAAAATAAACTGTATATGTATACATTCCATTAATTAAAATATACAAGTGAGACTGCTTCACTTTAACAAAACTAACCTTAACTGAAGCTTAAAAGACATGTAGGTGGGCCACAAGTTGGCCACTGTCCTATCACTGGCCCAATTCTAAGACCCAATGAGTCCAAGTGTGGGTGGCAGGAACCTGACTGG
Organism: Homo sapiens; assembly: GCF_000001405.40. Lineage (NCBI taxonomy): Eukaryota > Metazoa > Chordata > Mammalia > Primates > Hominidae > Homo > Homo sapiens. The sequence goes on from NC_000009.12 coordinate 69,532,434, forward strand.
CATGGGAGGTCGCTTCCCGACCACCTGGCACAAATATCGCCCTGTGACATCTGTGTGTGTTAACTGCTATCTCTGGAGCCTCCTGCCAAGCCCGTCCCCACACTCTGGGCTTCTGGCTCACAAAGTGCCTGCTCATGCATTGATAGCACTAGGCTCACATCTGCTGCTGTGACTTCCCAGCATGCTGCAACCAAGCCTCATTATTTCAGTGTGTGCTTTGGTGAGTTGTTGAGTGGCTCTGCTTGCCCACCTCACAGCAGCCTGCTTCAGTGTACAATACCAAACCTCTTTGACCTTGTGTTACTCATACCCATCCACATCCAACTCAGGAAAATCACACTTCTAAGTAGTCAAGCTGTTTGCAGCCCTTGATTTGCAATCATTAATTCTTACAACCTTTCTTCCATCTATAAAATTGGTCCATGAAGGGTAATTTGAAAGTATCCATCAAAATTACCACTCAGAGGAATTTACGTATATACTCATACTTCATACATAATTGTGTGAAATAACTTAAGTACAAGGCTATTTAAATGACTAATGCACAGTTTGTATTCACAAAAGACCAAAAACAACTAAAATGCCCATCATTAGGCAATTGGTAAAATAAATTATGTTGTGTCCTTGGATAGAATCCTATGATACACAAAGAAGGTGATCTGTATAACAGATATAGAAAGAACTGCCCTGATCCATTAAAGCTCAGATCATCATGTAATAAATATTGCTGTGTATGTATGATGGAGGGGACAGGATATATATGTATTAAAATCTCTGAAATGATAAGTAAGAAATTAATAACAGTGGCTATTTCTTTTGGAGGCAGGGAAGGAATGAGAACAGTAGATTGGGGACTGGGATGGGATAGAGGCTTTTAAGCATATTCCTTTTTGTACATTACGATGTTTGAACCATGAGCCTATTAAAAAAACCAAATACATAATAAAAATAATGACCCATTCTGCCTACTTTATGGGAGTGGTTGTTGCTTTGTAAACAGTAAAGTGCCTGAGAAAATTTACCTTCCTGTCTTGCTGAGGAAGGGCTTTGAGGAAGGGCTGATGAGCTGAATCCCTGCAAAACCTTTCTGTTCAGCTGCTGAAGGAATTTTCTCACCACATTTCAGGTTTCTTGCTGCCATGTTGGTACTCAACTTCTGTTTACTTTAAGCCTTGCTATTCAAGAGTGATGTCTCTGTTCACAAATTGCAGGGGTGGGAGTGGTAAAAAGGACTCTAAGAGTTGTTATACTTTTGTTGGAACTTCTAGTCCAGGCTGTGGTCATTCACATCTGTGCTCCAGAAATTCAATACTATCAGTTCACTGATGGATATGATTCTAAAGTAACAGAAATATAGAACTGAAAGCGTTGGCAAAGCCCAACAAGTTCTATATTTTACAGAGAAGAAAACCAAGGAGTGGAGTGATTGCATGGCTTGTCCAAACTCATGCATGTGTTAATGGAGCACTAGAGAGCTTGTTGCTGGGTCTCTTTCTGCACCTCCTTCCACTGTCCCACCATAATCCCAATGGATTCATTTACAAAGAGGACATGACATCCAATTATAGAAGAAAGATCTACTAAACAAAAGAAAATAATTACAACAAGATGCTTAGAAAAATAATGTCAAAGCAAGGGAAAGTAATTCAAAATATGCAAACAACACAAAGCAAATCTGATTCGTCCACCTTCTTTTCTACCTAAAGAACACTTGAATTTCCAATGTTCAGCATACACATGCCCTTTCTGAGGAGAGGGCAAGGAGGACCTGCCATTTATATATGGCTATTTGGATACAGAGTGTGGCAGAACTGAGTTCCTGCCCACCAAAAATTGAAGCTCACCCTTCACAATACAGCATTGGAACTACATTTATAAACTCTCCTTGCGTCTAGCTGGGACCATGGTTAGTTCTATTCAAAGACATAAAAGTGGAAGTGAGGATGTCATTTCTGAGCTGGGTCATCTAACCAATGAGTTTGCTTTTTCCATGTTCTCTTTCACTATAAATGCGGAGGACTCCGAGACCCAAAAGATATCAGAATCTCCAGAAGGAAGTATCCTGGATCCCTGAATCAACCACTTGGAGGAAAACTGTGTTCCAACCAGAAATGACCTGCATTGGATTACCACTGTTAGGAAGTTAAGTTTTAATACAATAAGCCAATAAAATTTTGGAGTTGGTTTATGTTATTCTAAATCAATGCACAGGAACATTTCACTGGGACCTGAAAATGAGCCTAACTCTCAGCTTTAAAAAAGAATCACAAGTATCATGAGAAAAATATCCCCTTTTCACTGTTTCTGTTTCTCTTCTAGGGGCTCTTCTAATTCTTCTAGGGGTTACTTCCATAACTCTATACGATATATCACAATTTATTGACTTAATTTAGGCAATATCTATTGACTTCCTACTGTGAAAGATGAGGATATAGCTCACTTAATTTCTCCTTTTCTCTCCCAATGTTTAATAATTATATTTTTATTCGTTACATTTGTAATTTTAAATACTATTTTTATAATTAGTATATTGACTTCTTTTTCCGTAAATGACACATCATCTGGTCTTTCTACTTTATCTTTCCCCTTCTACCTCCCACCTGCTGTCAACTACAATTTTACTTTTTATATTTGTCAAAATAACATGTATTTTATCATCTGCCAACACAATCAACACTCTGATGCTTTTTTCATAGGTTGATTTGAAATCCTGAAACTCAATAAAGAACCATTACTTGATTATGACTATGTAAATAATGTTCACCTGTGTGCCAAGGAATCACCTGCAGATTTTGTTAAAATGCAGATTCTGGCTGGTGGGTCTTGGGTGAGGCCTGGGATTCTGTATTTCCTCTAAGACTCTAGCTGATGCTCCTGCAGCTGGTCTGAGATCACATGGAAGTAGTTTCCAGCATTCAGTGGTGCTAATGATAAGCCTGGTACTAACCTAACTCCTATCCCTTGGTAGTTTTTTCTCTCTGGTACCTTTCAATATGTTTTTCTTATTCTCAGTGTTTGGAAATTTTTGGAAGATGAATCAAGGTGTTAATCATTGTCCTGTGCACTTGGTAGGCCACTCAATCTGAAGAGCTGTGTCTTTCTTCAGCTTTGGGGAATATTCTATTATTTCTGTGATCGTTGCCTCCCTCTGCCTCCTGCCCTTTTCTCTGGTTTTACTTTGAGACTCCTACTGGTCAGATGTCAGAGCTTCTGGAATGATCCTCTACTTTTCTTATCTTTTCTCTGTTTCTATCTCATTCTCTTTTTGTTGTATGCTCTGTTCTATTTCCTCATCTTATTTTTCCCCAGGCCCCCTCTATTGAATTTTTGGCAAGCCTATGTCTAATCTCTAAAAGCTAAAAGCTCTTTCTTTTCCTATTATCTGTTTTTGTATCACTTTTAAATAAATATTATGCCTTTTTAGAGTTCTCTGAACACATTAATGAGAGCTCTTCTTTGTTTGAAGTGTCCTGGTTTGCCTTTGCTTCCTCTGGCTCACTTTTTTCTGTGTATCTTGGTCTCTCTCTTTCATGTTGCTATTTTCCCCCACATATTTGGTGATTCTATTCATACTTAAAAATAAAGGATTAGGTAGATGGCGTGCAGTTTTTTGTTTTTTTTTTTTTGATGTTGTACAAGTAAGTCTGTTTCTCTTCATTTATTCTGTTTCATAATGTCACAATTTACTATTGCTTACTCATTCTCTTATTCATAATCATTAGGTCATTTCCACATTTTTTCCTATGCAGTGTTTCAATGAACCTCCTCATAGATTATATCCTTATGAGTGAGTACAGTTATTTATATGGAACCCCTAAAACTGACAATGCTAGTTGAAAGCAGTACACATGAAAAAACAAGTTTTTATTATGGAAAATGTCAAATATATGAGAAACTAGGGAGAATGGTGTAATGATTCTCCTTATTTGCTTGAGAGGATTAAAGACATGATGATGGCCAGTCTTGATTCCTCCACACGCCTGTTCATTTGCCCCATCCTCTTGTATTACGTTGAAGCAAATGTCAGAAATCTAATAATTTCATCTGAACTTGTACACATTTTCTATAGCGGTAAAATATATATAACATAAATTTTACCACTTGAACTACCTTTAAATATACAATTCAGTGGCATTAAGAACATTCACATAGGCTGGGTGCAGTAGCTCATGCCTGTAATCCCAGCACTTTGGGAGGCTGAGGCGGGCAGATTGATGGAGGTCAGGAGTTTGAGAGCAGCCTGGCCAACATGAAGAAACCCCATCTCTACTAAAAAAAAAAAAAAAAAAAAAAAAAATTAGACAGGCGTGTTCGCACACACCTGTGATCCCAATTATTCAGGAGGCTGAGGCAGAAGAATTGCTTGAATTCAGGAGGCTGAGGTTGCAGTGAACTGAGATCGTGCCACTGCACTCCAGTCTGGGTGACAGAGCAAGACTCTGTCTCAAAAAAAAACCACAAAAAAACAAAAAAAATTTACATAGCCCAAACCCCTCCTTTATGTGATATATGCATGTAGCCAATCTGCACGCCTCTCCTGAATCTAAAAGAAAAAAAGGCAAAAAAGAACACTCATGTTGTTATGCAGTCATCACCACTACGCACTAAGATATATATATATATGTATATATATATACATATATAGTGTGACTTCTCCCAAATCTTAGTAATTTCCCCCCATCTCCAAAGAACTTCTATTTCTCTACATGTGACCATCAACATATTTTTCTTTTTTTCTGGGTAGGAAGAGGGCAGGAAACAAACATTCCTCTCTTTCTTTCCCAAGTTCTGAACCAACAAAGAAACATATAGGAGTCACACAAATGTAGATTTTAAAATATCGTCTGAAAAGCTGAATTGGATGATGTGTCTTTAGCTCTGCAATCAAACTGTCTTACGAATACTTCACCTCTGCACTAAGTAGATGATCCCACCTTTTCACTGGGACAGCTGTCAACCATCACAGGTGCACAGCCTGTCTAGGGAAGCCTATATGGCTAGGAGCACATGGGGATCCATCCTCAATTCAGGCAAGGAGAGCTGGAAAAAGAGGACCCAGATGGCACTGGCCAACAGACCCACTTCCTTTCCCAAATTCTCTCACAATCCTCTTCTGGAAAGGAGGGAAGGAGGGTCGGGGAGAGAAGTCAGGAATATTCTTTCAAAATAAGTCATGAGGCAGGGAAATGGGGCTTCCCTAACAGATGTTATCAATTTATTTAATTGTTGTCAATCTGGTAAGTGATGTTTTAACTTGAATTTCTCTGAAAACCAATAAGGTGGCCCTTTTTCACAAGCTTATTGGCCACTGCATTTCCCTTTCTGTGAACTGCCTGGTTTTCTACTGAGTTGTTTTTTTTTTAAACACTTGCCAGGAGGCTTTTTAACATTAAGGGTATTAACTTTTTGTCTGTCACATTGTTGCAAATGTTTTCCCCCAGTGTATCATCTGTCTTTTGACTGGCTTTATAGTTTCTCTTTCCATAGAGAAACTTAAAAGTTTTATTTAGTGATGCCACTTAGCAAAGATGAGGACTGTTTTGTTGTGATAAAACACAACAGAATCTTGGGCACCCATGTTTATGGAAAATCCTACAAAAGCCCATTGAAAAAGGCTGGAGCCTTGAAAAAAAAATGCACTAAAAGACTTGCTATAATAGTTTTTATCTCTTTCCCTTGGTTGACAAGGGTAACCTCACTGAAACCTATTAGTAGTTCCCCAGTTATCCATGTTTCATCTGGCCACTTGCATGGGCAGGAAATTCTAAAATCAATTTAAGCAATTTGGGGAGTGAATGAGGTCACTTCAAAATGATTTTAATCTACTGTGCTAATTGCACCTAAAATGCCTGCACACATTTCTCCAAATTTAAAATTCTAATTACGGGTTGACATCTTTAAACATCTTGGTGATATACCCTGGAGGGGGTGGAAAATCTGTGCTGATTTTCCCTACTGCATCTGTAGGTGAAAGGATTTGCTGGCATCCCAAATCCATGGAACTTAATAAGGACAGAAAGGTACTTAGTGCTTTCCTGGCCCTAACACCCTACTTATTTAGGAGATGAGAACTCAAGTGGCTATTCCAACTCTCTCTAGGAGCCATCCCCAACTTCCTTTCCTATAGCCTAGTCTGGATCAGTGGTTTGTGTTACTCATCTGTGCCTGGCACACAGTAGGACCTCAAACAAGTTTGCTGAATGATGAGTTATTTGAGGTTACACACATAGGTAGTGTCAAAACTGTCCTGACTCCTGATCCAAGACTCTAAACTTCTATAAACTGCCCAGACTTTGGAGTCAAAAAGATTCTACTTAGAGTCCTAGCTCTGGCACTTACAAGATGTGTTTTTATCAGCAAGGTTATTAACCCTTCTGGACTGTCCCTTGATTTCTTTGTTCCCTTCTGTTCTGTCTTAAGCCCATTCCAATCGGGCTCCCATCCCTTCTGCTCCACTGAATCAGCTTTTGTCTGGGTCACCAGTGAGTTCCATATTGCAATATCTTGTAGTCATTTTACTTAACTACTGGGCAGCATTTGATACAGCCTATCACACACTTGTTCTCAAAGCACTCTTCTCTCCAGGCTTCCAGGCCACCACTTTCTCCTGTTGCTTCCCCATCTCATTGGCTGGTTTCTCTTTATCCGTCAGACCTCTCAACACTGGAGGACCCAGGCTCAGTCTTTGGACTCAACTGTTAAGTATCTACACTGTCCTCCCAGGTGATCACATGAAGGCTCATGGTTTATCTACCGTCTATACAATGGCAATTCTGAAATTTACAATGACAGCTCAAACTGTTCCCCTGAGCTCCTTTAGACATAACTGTGCCTCCTTAATACTTCACCATGGATGTCAAATTATCATGTGTTAAAACAGACTTCTGATTTCTCATTCTAAACCTGTTCTTTCCACTGTCTGCCTCATCATTCTTCTTCCAGTTGCTCAGACAAAACCTTGGCATTATCTTTTAATCCTTTTTTTCATACCCTATATCAAGTCTGTCAGCAACTCTTGTTATTTCTACTTTCAAAATGGATCAAGAACCAACTAAACACTTTTTATTCCTTCCATTGCAACCACCAGCATCTTTTCTTACCTGGACCATGTCAACAGCTTCCTAATTTGTCTTGAGATTTCCAAAATCTCGCCAAAGTGTAAGTTAGATCACGTATCTCCTTGAATGATTTCTCATCTCACTCTCCCTCGCACCTCTCACCTCAGCGTCTACGCTCCTCCTGTCCTTATTTTCACAGTCGCATTAGCCTCCTTGCTACTCCATGAAATGACAATACCTGCTTTGCACTCTCCTTTCCCTCTGCCTCTACTGATCTTCTCTCAGATAATTCACTGGGCTTATTCCTGTCTCTTCTGCATGTGTCTGCTTATATGTCACCTTATTAGCCGGGGGCAGTGGCTGACACCTGTAATCCCAGCACTTTAGGAGGCTAAGGGTGGCGGATCTACTGAGGTCAGGAGTTCAAGACCAGCCTGGCCAATGTGGTGAAACCCTGTCTCTACTAAAAATACAAAAATATAGCCAGGCATGGTGGTGTGTGCCTGTAATCCCAGCTACTTGGGAGGCTGAGGCAGGAGAATTGCTTGAACTCGGGAGGCGGAGGTTGCAGTGAGCTGAGATCACGCCATTGCATTCCAACCTGGGCAACAGGAGCAAAACTCCATCTCGGCAACAACAACAACAACAACAACAACAACAACAACAAAAGTCACCTTATAAGACATGCTCCCTGACAACTTATCTAAAATAGTAATCTCCATCACTATCTGCTTACTTTTTCTTCATAGCACTTTTTACCTGATATATTACATATTTATTTATTGTTGGTCTCTCTCCCCCACCATGACTGTGTCCCTAGTGTCTGGAATAGTGTGTGATACTTAAGAAGTGCTCAGTACATTTTTTTTTAAATTATGGTAAGAACACTTGGCATGACAGATACCCTCTTAATAAATTTGTAACTGTACAATAGAGTACAGTATTGCTAAGTGTAGGCACAATGTTGTATGATGGATCTCTAGAATTTACTCATCTTGCACAACCAAAACTTTATACCTGTTGAATAGAAACTTCCCATTGTCCCCTCCCCTGCAACCCCTGACAACCACTACCTACTCTCTGCTTAGGTACATTTGACTATTTTATTATTTATTTAGTTATTTTAGAGACAGGGTCTCGCTCTGTCACTCAGGCTGGACTGCACTGGTGCTATCATAGCTCACTGCAGTATTGATCTCCTGGCTCAAGCGGTTCTCCCACTTCAGCCTTCCAAGTAGCTGGTACCACAGGCATGAACTACCGCACCCGGCTAATTTTAAATTTTTTTGTAGAGACTGGGTCTCGCCACATTGCCCAGGTTGGTCTTGAACTTGAACTTTCGGCCTCAAGAAATCCTCCCAACTTGGCTTCCCAAAGTGTTGGGATTACAAGCATGAGCCACCACGCTCAGCCTTTGACTATTTTAGATTCCCCATATAGGTGAAATCATACAGTATTTGTTTTTCTGTGACTAGCTTATTTCACTTAGCATAATGTCCTATAGGTTCACATGTTGTCACGTATCACAGGATTTCCTTCTTTAAGGCTGAATAACATTCCACGCATGTATATATCACATTTTATTTATACAGTCATCTATTAATGGACATTTAGGTTGTTTCTACACCTTGGCTATTGTGAATAATGCTACGATAAATGTTTTGCAAATATTTCTTTGAGATCTTGATTTCAATTCTTTTGGTGAGTTTGACTGAGATTGCTGGATCATAAGGCAGTTCTATTTTTAATTGTTTTAGGGACCCCCCCCCCCATTCTGTTTTCTATATCAGCCGAACCATTTCACATTCCCACCAATAGTATACAGGGGTTTCCAATTTCTCCACATCCTTGCCAGGACTTGTTATTTACTGGTTTTGTTTTGTTTTTGTTTTTGATAGCGGCCATCCTAACAGGTATGAGGTGATATCTCATTGTAGTTTTGATTTGCATTTCCTTAATGATTAGTGATGTTAAGCATCTTTTCATATACCCATTGACCATCTGTATGTCCTCTTAAAAGAAATGTCTATTCAAGTTATTTGCTCTCTTTTTTGCATTTTTTTTTTTTTTTGGTTTCTTGCTGTGGAGTTGTAGGTCAGTAAATACTTTTGAGTGAATGAATGAAGAAATCTCTATTTTAAAAGAACTAAATTAAATTAATGTATGTAAAGCAGTTAATGGAGCATTAGTATGCTGTGAATTACTCAATAAGTTAGTAATAAAAACCTAGGAAAAAAATGAGAGAAACATTTGACAGCAAAGGTTCCCAATAAAAAGAGTAAATACACTATAGAAAAGCAGTTTATTTCCTCTTGAATTAATAAGTAATTTATTAAAACTTTAAAAGTAATTTATTAAAATTCAAAAGTAATTTATTTCCTCTTGAAATAATAAGCATGTTATTTTTAATTTTCTTTTTAGTTTCAATTCAGCATGTGTTTGGGACTAAGGTGAACACCAATTCCCTTGGACCATCTGAGTTAATACCTTTTTTCTTTTAAAAATTTTACTTTTATAAAAATAATTTTTTGAAAATAGTTTAAAAATATATCTATTTATAAGGAAACTAATAAACATGTCCAAAATTATATAATTTCTAAAAATTAATGACTATGTTCAGAGCAGTTTTACGTTCTCAACAAAACTGAACAAAATGTATGGAGTTCCCATATACATCTCCTCTTCCCTACCCTGCATACACTTGCCTCCCCCACCATTAACATCTCCCACCAGAGTGGTGCATTTGTTGCAGTCAATGAACCAAGACTGGCACATCGTTATAAAACAAAGTCCATCGTTTACTTGGGAGTTCGCGCATGATGTACACTCTATGGGTTTGAACAAATATATAATGACATGTATCCACCATTATTGTTCCATACAGAATAGTTTCACTGCCCTGGTTTCTTTTACTTAGTAATGTGCATTTAAAATTCCTCCATGTCTTTCTCTGCCTTGAGCGCTCATTTCTTTTTAGCACTGAATAATATTTCATTGTATGGATGCTCCACAGTTTATTTATCCATTCACCTATCGAAGGACATCTTGGTTGCTTCAAAGTTTTGGCAATTATGAATAAAGCTGCTATAAACATCCACAAGCAGGTTGTGTGTGGACATAAGTTTTCAACTCATTTGGGTAAATAGCAAGGAGTGTGATTGTTAGATTGTGTGTATGGTAAGGGTATTTTTAGTTTTGTTAAGAAACTGCCAAAATGTTTTCCAAGCAAAATTATAGAATTTTAATTATGTTTAATGCCCCCTTTTATTCTCAAAAGTGTCCAAGTGTGGGTGATAAATGGTCACTGTACTTAAAAAGGATAATTTCTCCTGAATTACAGAAGGACAGTATTTCACCCTAGTTGTATTTCGTTGAACCAAATCAAAATGAATCACAAATAGCAATTAATCTTCTGAAGACTACTGGGGAGAGAAGAGAGGGCAAGTGAACCAGTTCTCGTTTTCCTTGCAGGAGAAATCAGCACAATGAGGTTAAGAGGCTTCTGCAGGCCCCAGCCAGCCAGCTGCAGAGTAAGAGTGCAATCAAAATCGCTGCAAACTCCATTTACTGTGCCATCCTCTCAAGACCAAAATCTTCCTTTATTGTCCAATTAGTTAGGGTTCCTTAGTTTCTAAGAACAGCACTCAATGGATTTAAAACAGACTGGCAGGCCTGGGAGGGGCCGTGGCCCCTAATTGGAGGGAGCCCCTGGCAGTTCTTTGAGCCTGGACTGCGGGCTGCTGGCAGCTGGCCCTCCACTTCCACTCCCTGCTGTGCTGGGATTTCCCCCCCCCCCCCCCGGCCTGTCCTCCACAGCCTGCACTGCACTTGTGGCTCTGCTTGCTGTTTTGGTTCCCTACTCTGGGGCAGAGCAAGGAAACCTGGAAACCATTAGAAAGTAAAGCATTATAGGTCTGAGGAAGTACTTGATTTTGTACCCTGCTACCTTTCCAGACCGCCACTGATCTGGCCCCCTGTACTTAAAGAAGAAATAGCTCTGGGAGCAGTCCCTCAGTTGTGCTGACATACCAAGTGCACAGGCTCTAGGCTGAGAAGGTCATGCCAGTCAAAAGCACTGCAATAGCATTTCATGTTCCTGGGACTCTTCTATGCGCTTAAATATTATTTAACCCTTATAAGAACTCTAGGAACTAGTTGTTATATTACCCACCTTCAATTTAAGGAGGAGGAAACCAAGGAACAGAAAGGCTGAGTAACTTTCCCAGGGTCACAAAGCAGATAATTGGTGGGGTTAGGATTTTAACTTGCATCATATGACCTGTTCCAGAATCTGGTCTTAATAATGAAGCCATGCATCTCTCCAATTTGCTAGCAATGTCTGAAATTTCCCTGCTTAACCTAATGGGTTAATTGGATCACTCTGCCATCATTGCTTCCATTCAAAGGAGTATTTTGCACAGTATAAAAACAAATTAATTTGGATCCAAATAATTTGACATAAATTGTAGGCCTCTCAAACTCAATTTCCTTCTGGATAAAACAGGCATAGATTCAGTATCCACATTTGTTGCAAGAATAAAATTATGTTTATAAAGTGTGGAGTGCTCGTATCAAGAAACTGCGTAGTAATACTACCTTCTACTACTCTTTTTTGTTATTATTATTTTTAGGCTGAATTTAAACTTTCCTTCCTCAATATCTATGAAAAGAGTTTGCAAACAGTACCTGCATATGTAAGGTACCATTAAGGGATATTTTAAAAACACTTCAAAAGCATTTGCTCACATTTCAACAATCAGCATGCAAATTACAAGTCATGCTTAAATATTTCTTATGGCACATTGCAAAGGACCTTCCCCTGTCACTCTTTGATGGCTGAGTTTCTGTTACTGAATATAGCTGAAAGTAATACAAAGTCAATTTAAATATTATCTATCATTCAGAATGGCTTTCTACCAATTTATTATACATGCATATAACATACTCCCATGCAGTAAGATGTCTTTAGACAGGTTCATGATAATATAAGAAAATAAGGGAACTAATAAAATAAAATTCATGTGCAGAGCTTTCTGTTGAACATCCCAGCCAATCCTCACTACTCATACAGACTTTTAGTCCATACCTAACCTTATACACAGGGTCCTTCATTATTTTGCATAATAGGGACTCCTCCCACAAAAGAATAGCCTTACTATTGATATTGAAGACATATGATGACTAAAACATATAACTAATTTGGTAACATACTGAAAGAATTTAAATTGCATGAATTTTAAGAGCTTCTACAACACATATGCTCAAAATATACCATTTATTTTCAGTCTATAGAGAATGCTTGTTATCTAGGTAGATGGTTTCAAGGAAGGATCCCTTCAGTAAATATAAGTCTCCACCCACCCCCCTGCACCCACCATTCTCTACCCAGGGAGGGCCTTGGCCCACCGGTTAAAATCCAATGTATGGTTCTTCAATGAAGCTAGAAGACACTCTTGGGGGTTCTGTTCAGCTTATCAGAGTTCTACCTTCTCTAGAATTGTTTCTCCACTATCCACATGATCCTAGGACCTGTTTCTTCCCCCTGGCCTTAGCCAATTGACTAGGGGTAGACCCCTCACCCAGAATAGGTCATAGTTTTCTACAGAAATTTAGAAATGGGACTAAGAGATTTCAATTCTCATCTGGGCTGGTTTCATGAATGGAGGAACAAAACTACCTTAGGAGTTGTGACTTAGCCAGACTAAACAAAATGGGCTTGATAGATGATGTGCTAGCCGGCAAAGAAAAATTAAAATGGAGAAAGAACGGACAGATGTGGGAGACTGGGACAAAAAGCCAAAACCAAAATCAAAACACACAAAAAACAAGAGCTGCCTAGATTCTTGCTGGCTTTCCAGTCCCTCATATGGCCAGGCTGCACCTCTGGTTCTTGGAACCTGTAAGACACTTCCCAATTCTTTATATCTTGTCCCCATTTTCTTTCCTCTTTAAGCTAGCTTGAGTTAGTCTCTACTACTTGAAACTGAAAATTCTAGCCAATATAAACAAGAACACAGGATCACATCAGGCAGGGAGACACCTGCTAACTCACGGAAGATGCTTGCAGATAGTCATAAAGCGTTGGATTTTTTTGTTCTTATTATTTATCACATGTTCAATCTGTCTCTCCCTCTGGATTCTAAACACGTTGATGTCAGAGCCTGAGCCTATTCTGCTACAATTTGTAACCGTCAGGGTGACTTTTAAAATGCACATATGTAAGAAGTCTTCTTTACTATAAAGTCATCACGCATTCATGATGATGATTTTATAATGTCCTGAATCTTCTCATTTTGGCTCAGATGTGAAATGACTTTGAATGCAAAAAGAAAGAGTATTTGAAAACAAGATATTTTTGCCAATTAACTTACAAATGAATGACCTTCAGTATATATGCTTGTAAACATCATGGAAGATACAGGTGGAAGTCACCTCTTCAAAGAAAGAGGGGGTATTTGAAGAGCTACTTCTGCTTTAGCTAGAGGGAAAACACTTTTTTATTTTTCATAAGTTTATAAATTTTCTAAAGTATGACAAACTTTGAAATTATACAAGATAAATTTACTTTAAAAAATTAGGAATTCAGACTGAGAATTCTTCAGTCCTTCAGATTGAGAATGCAATCTGAAAATGAGGTTGTCATTTGTATTTGGGGGGTATCATTTGTATTTTTTGGCCTACATTTTATTTCATCAGCATAAAAATCAGCATTTTGCCTTTCAGGCTAACCCATGAAACTGTGGAAATCTGAAATCCTTCTGATCAGAGCATTCACAACAGTAGCAGAGCGAGTTATTCTGATGCGGAGGTCAGTCTACTTCAGTGCTGGGGAAATAACTGCCAGAGATATGTTGTGGGTTGCTTTTCCTGCCCACAGTTCCATTTCTGTAGGAACTGTTCCCACTCAGGGACTCTGCCTGAGCTGCCATGATTTAATTAGGGAAGACCAAGAAAACTGGAGGGAGTAAGATAACCAAGAGGGCGCTGCCCCCTAATGGCTTCCACGGTCACAGATCCATTCCTAGGGTCTGGCCATCCTCTTTTCTGAGAGGTCTTTCTATAGGTGTGACCAATTCCTCCTTAACTAGAACTAGCTTAAGTAAGTTGCCCATTTCTGGGGGGAGAGATACTTTGCAAAGATTAATTTTATCATTTTTCCATGTTAAATACACATGGTGGGCAAAAGAAAAAACATCATAAACTATGTTTCTTATAATATATAACATTAGGGAATAAATCTTAAAGTAAGGAGCAGGAGAGAGCAAATGGTTTAGAGTTAAAAGATATAAACAATAACTTAGGATCTTTAAGAGGCTGCTGAAGCTCTTTGTGCCTCAGTTTCCTGAAGTGTCAATGAAGGCAATGCTGATATGCACCCTTCTGACCCACCTACTTTATAGAGTTACTGCAATGATAAAATGAGATCACATATGTGAAAAAGCTACGGCAGTTTAAAAGTGTTACGCATACATTTAAAACTACTTCTGTTTTGAAATTATTAGGGCTAAATTTAGTATTAAGAAAGTTCCTTTTTCACAGGTTATTTCCTGTTGCTAGAAGACACTTATGAATCTTGTAAGTCTTTAGATTGAGAATCAATTGTCGGAGTACAGAGACCAGTGAGGAATTAAATTCAGTTGCTTAAGAACAGGGCAACCCCTCTTCTCTCACGCCCTCAATATTGTTCTCTCATACAAAAGAAATCCAGAGGGGGACAGTCCAAGGATGGTACTGGAGTTTTACAATACTGTTACGGAACAACTCAGCTCTTTCCAGCTCTCCAGTCAGCCATCCTTAGAGCTTGACTCCCACATTTCCAAGATGGCAGCCTCAGTGCCTGCCACGTGTCTGTATTCCAGGCAGGCAACAGGGACAGGGCATAGGTAAAGAAGGTGCATTTCAGCAGTCAGCTTCTTTTAGAGAGCTTCCCTAGAATCCCCATCTAGTGACTTCCATTTATATCTCCTCAACCAGAAATGTGTCACACTGACCACCCCTAGCTGCAAGGAAAACTTAGAACCAGGGTTGTTGTTTGGCTGGACACCTTGCTACCCCAAATAAAATCTGGGTTCTCTTAGTAATGAAGAAAGGAAGAATGCATATTGAATAGGTCTCTCTTACACTAGCCACTGAAAATGCTGATTACTAGAATTTGAGGCAATTGTATTAATTGTCCATTTTTAAGATAGTTTAATGCTAGACATATTGGTGATACCCTAAAAGAACCAAAGCCCCACTGCCTTGGCCAGTGCCATGACTTCAAGGCTGGAAGAAGATCCAAGCTTTCCCCATTTCAGTCAAGTGCTTTACTCAGCAGTCTACTCCATGTCTGGTTTCCAACACAACCACCACCTGGGGTTCCTACCAACCCAAGAGATGGGTTCAGTGGTGTGGTCAGTGGAAAATGGCCTCCAAAGATGTCCACACCCTGGGTCCCAGAACTTGTACAGATGTTACCTTACATTACAAAGGGATTTTGTAGACCTAATTAAGAGGATGAATCTTAAAATGGGGAGATTATCCTGGATCATCTGGGTGGCCCAACCTAATCATGAGTCCTTAAAAATGGAGAATCTTTTCCAACTGTGTCAGAGAGATGGGACCAAAGAAAGAGGAAAGATTCAAAACATGAGGAGGACTTGGCACAATCCCCTCTCCTGCTGCTGACTTGGAAGACGGGAGAAAGGAACATAAACCAAGCAATGCAAGCAGCTGGGAATGACCCTCAGCCCACAGCTGCATGGAAATGGAAACTTCAGTCCTACAACCTCAGGGACCTACATTTTGCCAACCTGAATGAGTAAGAAAATGGATCATCCCTTAGATCCTCCAGAAAGGACAGAGCCCTGCCGACGCTTTGCTTTTAGCTCCATGGGACCTGTGTCAGCTTCCCATCTACAGAACCTTAAGATAATAGGTTTTTGTTGTTTTATGTCACTACGTTTGTGGTAATTTGTTACAGCAACAATAGGAAACTAATATAAGTGGGTTGGCAGAGGCTGCAAGCTCTTCCGAAATATTCTTCATAGCTTTAAGCAAGCTAATAAATGAAATGTCTCCTTACCTGCACAGAAACAGTTTCTGACAAATTAACGGACTGGAGGCCATTAAAGGGTAAAAGGCAATAGGGTGCTCAGGAGGTAAGCAAGAAAAAGGAAAAGATGGGGAAGGACTGAAACCCTGGAAGAGAAAGAACATGGTTATGTGCTGTTGGAGGCTGCCTGCACCAATGCCATTTGGTCACACATGCCCTCAGGGCTGGCCATGTTGGACATGCTCTAGATTGAACACTCTGCTCATTAACTGGTTGCAATGCTCCCCTCCTCCCCACAAAGCCCCTTTGTTCTTCTCTTTGAGGCAAACAAGTTCATTTGACTTCGGATCTCATCTGGAGTTGAAGTAGCTGACATCTACTTTGTTACAGAAGCAGCTGCTGAGGCAGCAGGACAGCTGAAGCCCTGAAATGCCCGGGGTGGTGGGAACCAGACCTCTTAGAGTAAGAGCAAAGGCCGGGTAGGGCTAGTCTTCATGATGGGCATGCAGGGAAATCACAGGGACAGACTCAAATGTCTACAGGGCCACACAGATGATGCAAATGAGTGAAGCAAGCCAGGTAGAAGAAAAAGCAATATATAGTAGTTACAGAACAGCACAAGCGCCAACGCCAAACAAATCCAGGGGAAGGCCGTTGCAGGCTCTCACTTTGCAATCTCATCTCTAAAGCAAAGGACAGGGCACATTAGTGGATGTAAAGAGTGGGCTGGCTGTCAGTCACCCTGCTAGATGTGGGTTTTGGGGAGGAGAGGCTGTAGCCTTACTGTCATTCTCCAAACACTAAGCCCATGCCTGGGACACTATAGGTGCTTAGAACACTGTTTAAGAATGTCGTAGAGAGGATACACAGCCAGCCGAGGCCTCTGCACTTTTTGTCGTCTTGCCCTCTGCCCCACTTTCACCCAAAGTTGTCTCAAAACCCACATATTTCACTTTTTGCCACTTCGATCCTATGAGTCACCAACTTCACACTCTATCAGAATCATGACATGGCCCATGAATTTTAACTCTCAAGTTCGTCTACGACTTCTCAAAACCCCTCGGCCTCACTGGCCTGTAGGTGACCTCTCGTGGTAAAAGAGGGTAACTGCACAGTGAAGAACCTTTTACATCCGAAAAATTCGATTCATATCAATTCAATCAATAGTTATAAAGTGTCCGAGGAAGAAGAAAAAATAAAAGTAGGGGACCTTTAAAACAAATCGTAACTTTTTCAAAAAAGGAATACTTTGAGGTGGATAGAAACACGGAAAGAAGGCTTACATTGGGACAGAGGAGATATAATTTTCTAATTCATATTTTTCTAACTTATTTCCCAGGATTGCTGAAAAATTGGAACTGAGTTTTCCAATCATTTAGTACAGGCTTTCGATCCTAAAGATATGGCACAGAATCTGGAGTCTGGTATACATAATATGTGCAAATTTGAGGCACATCATTTAAAGTTTCTGAGACTCAGTTTCTACATCTGAAAAATGGGAATAATACCAGTTCCACTTAACTTCTATGATTGTTATGAGGTCTAAATTAGATGAGATATGTACAGTGTTTTCTGTATTGGACCTTATAATCTTTTGGTTCATGATATATTCTCATCAGTCCTCATGCAGCTTGCTTTCATTTATTTAGCTGTTTTATTATAAACTGTACTTGTAACTGTAAAGTGTTGTGCACATATTAACTTAGGGATGCAGTGATAAAAATAATAAACTTGATGGAAAATTATGCAATTTCTTTCCATGATATAAACATGAGTTAGATTGAGTTCTTCTTCCTCCTTTCCTTTTAAATGCTCTCTGGAATTTTTCTCATCCTCTTTCTCAAATCAATTCAGTCATCCTTTATTTTATTTTTTTACCTCTTCTGTATTCAGTTTGTTCCCATATTATTTTATAAGTGCCCTTCAATTAATTCATTAATGTAGGTTCTTATTTGAAATAATACAAAGAGAAATCATGTATTATGGTAGAGGGTTGGAGCAAATTACCTTTAAGTCACTCATTCATCCATTCATTCTGTAAATATTTAGTGAGCTTCTATTATATGGCATTGTGATAAGCACGAGGGATATAAAGTGAATAAAATGAACAAGGTCTTTGCCCTCATGGAACTTACCCTGAGGAGTTTACAATAGAAATAATTAAACATATCCTGTGAGCTCTGAGAAGTGCTGTAAAGAGAATAAACAAGGGTGAAGATACAGGAGATGGGAGAGTGAGCATGTAGTTATCTGGGGAAAAGCATTCCATACAAAGTGAACAGCAAGTTCTAAAGTCCTGAGGTGGGAGCAAAGAGGAGCATCATACAGTCCTCTACCATGTGTAAGTAATTTATTGGACATCTCATGGATATATGTGTACAGTCTATCAATATGCATACATAGATATGTATAAACATAGATATATGTATAAATATATAAGTAAATATACATAAAATACATACATTATATGAATATCTTAA
Organism: Homo sapiens; assembly: GCF_000001405.40. Classification (NCBI taxonomy): domain Eukaryota; kingdom Metazoa; phylum Chordata; class Mammalia; order Primates; family Hominidae; genus Homo; species Homo sapiens. The sequence goes on from NC_000009.12 coordinate 69,551,006, forward strand.
AACCTTATCAGGAGCGTGTTAAACCTTAGCTATGAGAAAAAATAGTATTGACATATCCTGCCTTCAGATAAAGTTCATTAAACATATTTTTGGGACAAGAAAAAATCTGGAAAAGTAATTTAATGGATACTTTTTGGATGGCCTTGGTGACAGATTTCCAGGAATGAGGTCACGGCTGCTTTGTTAACACTGCTATACATTGTCACTTGTAACAGCATATGTAGCTTCACAACTTAACATCAATATTTTAAAAAGTAAAATAATCTGGCTGGGCGCGGTGGCTCATGCCTCTAATCCCAGCACTTTGGGAGGCTGAGGTGGGCGGAACATGAGGTCAGGAGTTCGAGACCAGCCTGTCCAACATGGTGAAACCCTGTCTCTACTAAAGATACAAAAAATTAGCTGGGCGTGGTGGCACACGCCTGTAATCCCAGCTACTCGGGAGGCTGGGGCAAGAGAATCGCTTTAACCCGGGAGGCGGAGGTTGCAGTCAGCTGAGATCATGCCACTGCACTCCAGCCTGGGTGACAGGGTGAGACTCCGCCTCAAAAAAAAAAAAAAGTAAAATAATCTGTTTACTTTGTAAACATTAGCTTATGGAATTTCAGGACCAATCTCTTTGTTTTCTGTATTTTTTCTGCCAATATTACATGATTTTATTACAAAAGAAGTCTGGGTGAACTTTTTTATTGCTGGAACGAAAATCCTAATTACTCTGTATCATGGAGTTTGAAGGCAAGGAGAAACAAGGCTGTTGAAAGGTTCCATGAAATCTCTATCAGTGCAAAACCTGTGTACCATGAAATGGTAAATCTGCAACATTTCATTTTTTCTTCTAATCTTCGCTGTACAGACAGTTGCAGGCTTTCTCTTTCTCTACTTCCCTTAATTCCATAAAACTTTAATGCCTACTCTGCAGAAGGCATGGCATCTATGGTTTGAGATGGAAAGACACACAGGAGGGGAAGAACTGACTTGTGCTGAGAGGCCAACATGAAACTGTTCAGAGTTTTAAAGACATATCACACAGTTCACTATGGACAGAAACTTGGAGGTGGCAGTTCCTGCAGAAGTGTTGGGAATATGGCTGGAAAGACTGAGAAGAAAGTATCCTGAAAGCTTTGAATATGACAATGGAAGAGGCTGTTTACAAAATTTTCAGCCATCATGAGGATTTTAAAAAGGAAAAAATGAAATGATAGCACCAGTGTTTGCCTCCAAGATGATCTTCACAAGTTGGGTGATTATTACATTTAGGCTGAGCCTAGATATGTCCTCCACCTTGCTTGATTCATTGTGTTTTTCTGTTCAAGTATTAGAAAACACGTACCACAGAGCGAATGGAGAGTAATCAGCTAATGGCTCATTATTTATGTATAAAATGAAGATGTCCTGCACGAAAATCAATTCACATTGAGTTCAAATGCACACTCACATTCATCTCTAAGTAACTTATTCCCCCACTACCCCCATGGAGGATTTTAACAAACCCAAGCTGGGAAGATGAATTTACAACCCAATTTGTTCTTTTCTCCAAATTGAAATATCAATGCATCCAAAGAGAGATTTAAAATCAATGACACTTCTAAATTCAACACAGATACGCTGTCTAGCATTTCAAGACTAGAACTTATTGTTAAAGTGAGTACTGTTTATACTGTTTATTCTGTTTCAGAGCAAAAGCTATACTTAAAAAAGTTGAGATCCAATTCATTCATGTACAGGAAGCTACCCTGACAGGTTTCATTGGGTTTTAAAATCAGAGTTGAGTGGTCGCTTCAATTTTACAGAAATGGAGTTTATAAAATGTAAACCCTAGAGAGACTGATATTTTTCAGAGTTAATTTCCTTCTACCCTCACCTTGCTCATCTCTGCAAATGAAATGGTGCCCTTTCTTGGGCTTTTTTTTTTTTTTTTGATAGGGTCTTACTCTGTTGTCCAGACTGAAGTGCAGTGGCACAATCTCAGATCATTGCAGCCTCAACCACCAGGGTTGAAGCAATCCTCCCACCTAAGCCTCCTGAGTAGCTGGGAATACAGGCATGTGCCACTACACTCGGCTAATTTTTGTATTGTTTTTGTAGAGACAGGGTTTCTCCATGTTGCCCACGTTAGTGTTGAACTCCTGGGCTCAATTGATCTGCCTGCCTCGGCTTCCCAAAGTGCTGGCATGAGCCACCATGCCCAGCTGGCACTTTTCTTTTAATGGAGGTATAACTTAGATACCATAAATGCACAGATCTTAAATGTACAATTTGATGAATGTGTGTATGTGTGTGTGCGCTTGTATACACATCCTTGTAAGATATAAACCATTTCCATCACCCTAGAAAATTCCTTTTTGCCCCTTCTCAGCCAATACTTCCCCTTACCCCTATAGGTAACTGCTATTCTCACTTATATCATCAGAGATTAGATGTACTTGTTCTGTTCTTGAACTTCATAAAAATCTAATCTTAGAGTATATACTCTTTTGTGTCTGGCTTTATTAACTCAATATAATGATTTAAAATTCACCCATGTCATTGTATCTATCAGTAACTCAGAATTTTTCACTGTTGAGCAGTATAGCATGGTATGAATATACTTCAATTTGTTCATCCATTATTTTACTGATGCACATTTAGGTCACTTCCAGCACGGACACTGTTTTTGACAGATTTCCATGGGGGTTAAGACTGGGATAGATGGACATAGCAAATGATCTGAGAATTCTAAGTTTAGGAGCCACAGATCTTTTCTACAGACTGTTCTACATACTTTACATCACAAGTTCCTGCCACAAATAGAATATACCTTTCTCACACCCTATAAAGTATCTGAATCAAAATGATTAAGCATCCAATTAAATATATTTGGTTCAGCGTGGTGCTAATAAACACACAAGTGTGGACTGAATCTTATATGGTCTTATTGGTTTTTCTGGTGAAAAGGGCTCCATTTCCAGGTCTTAGAAAACAACAGAGACCCCCTTGAGCCATCTCAGCAGGGCATGCAATTGAGCACAAAGGTGACAGAAAGTGTGTGTCACCTGGAAAAACTCATCCAGATTAGAAACTAAGCCCCTAGTATATCATGTTCAACTTGGGTGAATTGTAAAGACATTGAAAAAAGCAACATATTCAAATACCTACTGTTTACAGTGTCAATAAAATGCTACGGAAATATTAATGGTAATAGCATACATTGATTCTTCCATAGGACACATACTATCTTTAATCCTCACAACACTACCAAGTGAGTATTGTTCTTCCCACAGTTCAGGTGAAGAAGCAGACTCAGGGGCATTAAGTAAATTAAGAGTAAATTAAGGTCATGTACTTAGTAAGTAACAGACCCAGAACTTGATCCTAGGGTGTCACATTCTAAAGCCCACCCAATTCTCCTTACACTAAGACATCTTTATACAATTAGTAGGCACCATATATTCTATACTTGAAGAAGTTAGATATAGGTACAACTAACTCACTTGTGATCCATTAGTGGTTTTTGATGATGAGAACTGCAAACCTCTAATATCTCCATTCCAAAATGATCAGCACCCAGAGAAACTCTAGAAGTTTCCAGCGGCACACAAGGAGCTTAAATATTATACAACAAAGACCTATGTGCTCATAAGAACAGCTTTCCTCAGTGCCTCCATGATACACCAGTCAAAACATTTCATCAGTTCTAATTTTTTTCTACCTTAAAAATAAGATTATTTTGAATGAGAGATTTTGCTACTGCCTCTCAAATAAGCACACACTTTAAAAATAGCAAAGAACAGCAGATATTTTTAGGGTAAAAAAAAAACACACATGGTGATGTCCTCAGATTCCAAAGATAAGTCTTTTTATGAGAGCTTTTTCTATTTATTTTGATTCAGTAGTAAGAACACCTGCAGAAAGATCAGCTCTCTTCACAAGACCATTTCTTAAGCATTCATCGCAGACATAACAGATGATAGCATGGAGACAGACTAAGCTAAGAGAGCTGGAGCACAACTGATGATTCCTACGTCCCGCACGTGTTCTAAGAAAACGACATTCCCATAATTCAGGCATTCAAAACTAAGTGAGGCATGGCAGACAAGAGCATTGCAACATCAGAAAGTCATTTTGCTTGGAGACGGTCCAGGTTTCTTCCAAAGAGTAGTAGATTATTTAACCACAGAGATAAGTTTTAATAACATTTGTGCAATCATTTTTCAATGCATGGGAGGAAACAAGCTATAGCATTGGGCTGTTTCACCCAGATTTAAAACATTCCTTAGACTGTGTGGCGAGGGAATAGAAGGAATGGATAACCAGGCTGGTGGTGCTAGATACCACACACCCTTCACCCTCCCTTGTATTCTATTTGACTATATGAGTTTTGAAGGCTGGGGCTACATAAAATGTCATTTGTCCTTTTTATAAGCATATTTTCTGTGTTATGTAAAATATCCATAAATATAAATTTAATGCCTGCAAGTATTATCTCATATGTTGTGCAGTAATTTGTTTAATCATTGGCAAAATTCAAAGAATGAATCATCTCAATATAGAAAAGGGTGCAGAGAACCAGCCATCTATCCTTCTATACTGGCATACTTGGTAGTATATTTGGTATTTAACAAACATTTTGGCAAAATATAAAAAAAGTTTTATCAACTTAACAAGATTCATCAAAATATTTAATGCCTTTTTAAAATTAAAATGTCTAGAAATAAGTAACTAAAGTAGAATTTTAGCAATGAGAAAGGATACTTCATGGTTGCTTTAATTTACATCTGTTATTACTAGTGAGTGGAACAGTTTTTGAGATGCATACTAGCCATCTGATTTTCTCTTTAGGAAACTGTCATGTCCTCTGCTCATTTATCCATTGTGGCCTTAGTGTTATTCATAAGAATTATAATAAGCTAGTTATATAATGAGAATATTATCCATTTATCTGTTAAAGTTTGTTTATGACTCAGGTGCCTGTTTTAATCTAAACCTAAAACTGATCAACCCCAAAAGAGGAAGCAGTTAAGTGGCAACAACAAAGAAAAAAAACAAAAACCAAACCACTTTCATATTTCTAGCTCAAAACAAATAGCTACTTAAACACAAAAGCATTTAGAAATTCTCCAACAAGGGACTCACATTCAGTGAATGAAGTCTTTCATAGGAACCCTTAAAGCACAGCAATGATATAAACATAATGAAGAGAAATCTGTTACTATCACATTGACATGCCTCCCCACTTTATATCAAGTGGAAAATATCGAATCAGTTCAAATATATCTGGATCTAAAACAAAATCAAGTTTCCTTTGGTCAGCAAGAACAAGCCACAGCATTTACATCTTTGTTCAGTCCACACTAAAGACTGAAGTCTTGGGGACAAGTATAAGAAGGCAGAGAGATCCTGGACACACCTAGACTGGAGGAAGTCTGTGGTCACACTTGTGCTGGACAGCCTGTCGGAGTTTACACAACTGCAGCCAAAGACAACTTCCACTGCAGTGAGAATTCTGATGCCCAGGGCCAGTTTGTGGCCCAGTGCAGTTGTACTTTATTATTCTTTGCCAAGGGACCAATAGTTAGCACTTTTAGAAAAACACGAGCCTCTGCATTATTTATTCCTTAGAGATAGGGGATGATGCCCAGTCTCAACAGTTGCTTTGGCTCTTTAATTATATTGTAAAATTAACTGTGACAGGTTGTTTTATTTCTTTTGTGTCAACCAAAAGCACCCATGGGATACATAATTTGGTGATCAAAGCCTTAATTTAGGAAAGTTAAGAAAGATTTTAGGAAACAGACTGATATCTAATGTGCAGAGGCAGCGTGGAAAAGGAAATTAGCAAACATTCAGCTAAAATGTTCTCAAGGGCAGGGACTCATAGTAATAATGGAGTCATTTCAAGCTTGAAGGAGGTTACCTATGGGAGACTGCCAGATCGCTTCAGGGATCGCTGCGTTTCATCAGCCTAAAAATGGAGCTGCCTCTAGAATTTCTAGGTCAGCAAAAGATAAAGAGGAGACACTAAAATCTAACAAAATGAGAGGCTGGCATGAAACATTTATAAGGGGTTAAGAATGCTGTAGATGAACAAATTAGGAGGCTATACACCAAATCTAGAATATTGTATCCACGATCATGAATACTATTATTCATAAAACATGGACAAAGGAGGTGAGACAATTTGATATCTAAGTAAAATGCCCATAATCTTCCTGATAAAGCCTGAACTCACCCAACTCCACAAAGAGAATCTATGGCCAAGTCTTCTCAGGGTCACATAGCTCCTTCAGCCATGACAAAGTGTAGGTGCTTATTAAATGGGTTCTAGTAGATAAATAAAGCCTTATCTTCATCCAGGAAGAAAATTATTTCATCCATTTTCAGTATCTTCAAAGCAAGATTTTACACAACTTCACCTAGAGGTGAACTCCTGGCAATGAAGAACAATGAATAACCCAAAATTCATCACAGAATCCATAAACCTAGCCTTAGGCAATAGCTTCTTCCTCCTCCTCACCCGCTCCCTCCTGCTGCCCTGTTGCCTGCCATCAGAAATGTTTATGACTCCAAGATGACTGATAACACCTTTCCCTTCTTTGAACACAGATATCAATGAGTGGTCGAAAGGTGAGAGAGTGGGCAACAAGATGGAAAGGCAGCAGCAGGCATTTGGCTTGGATGGTTTCTGATAATGCAGTCACTTTGAATGTTCAAACCAGAAGCCATAGGCTGCAGAATGGTTTCCTTTTGCTTTCGCCTTAAGAAGGTGCATTCTCTCCTGTTTGCCACAAGCCTCAGTGCTCCCGGTTGTCTTCTATTTTGCCTGGTTTACCCTTTACTGATACTCCTTTTCTGGCTGAAGATATAGATTCCATTCTTATAAATGATGTATGTATGTTGTGCTTGAAATGTATATTGTCTAACTTGTGGCAGGAATCTTTATATAGCACAAAGGTCACATTCATTAATTGTGCTGTTCAAATCTTCCACAACTTTGATCATTTCATTTTCTGAGGCATACATGTTAGAATCTCTGATTATAATTATGAATTTGTCTATTTCTCCTTGTCATTCTATTAAATTTTGCTTACTTTGAGAGTTCAAGCTCAAGACTTTAATGGCTTTCTGATGAATTATTCCTTAAAATTATCTGTGCATTAAAGTCTATTTTGCATGGCAGTAATGTGGTTTTTATTGGCTCTCAATTTTTAAACTGTCTTCCTGATTTATCTTTTTCTACCCCTTTGCTTTGTGTTATTTGGCTTTGAAAGTCTCTTATAAATAGCATGGAGGAATCTCCATCTTCTAACAGATGTTAAACATTAAATCTGTTAATAAATTATACTTATATTGTGATTACTAATTTTATTGCACCCATTATTCCATTAGTAATTTCTAATTACTATGTCTTTTCTATGCTCCTGTTTTTCTTCTCTCCTGATTACTGTTAGGTTCAATAACTTCTTATTCTTGTTTTCCAATTAACTGATATGAAAGTTAGACATCATTCTGTTTCTATTGTTCTTGTGACTATCTTAAATTATATATATATACACACACACATACACACACACACACACATATATATATATATATATATACACATTATATGTATAACTTTTATTTTAGGTTCAGGGGTACATGTGCAGGTTTGTTATGCAGGTAAATTCATGTCACAGGGGCTCGTTGTACAGATTATTTCGTCACCCAGATGTTATGCCTAGTACCCAATAGTTACTCTTCCTCCTCCCATCCTCCACCCTCACAGACCCCAGTGTCTGTTGTTCCCTTCTTTGCATCCATGAGTTCTCATCATTTAGCTCCCAATTACAAGTGGCAACATACAGTATTTGATTTTCTGTTCCTGCATTAGTTTGCAAGATTACTTTAAATTTTTACAACTGACTCAAAGTTAATATTTCTACCCTCTTTCAGAATAAAAAAAGGATCTTAGAAGGCTTTAACTCCAATTACCACCTACCACCTTCCATGATTGTTATCTAGCACCTTAATTCCATCTTGCTTTTTAACCCCCACTCCTCAAAGTCATTATTATTGTAATTAGTCAATATTTGTTTAAATGCAACCACTAATTTACCACTTTCTTTTCTTACTGTTCATTATTAAAACCCACTCCAATCCTCTGAGTTCTATCTCAGTCTTACAGAAATACATCTTGACCAATTCTTTAGTGAGTATTAATAAAAAGCAAATTAAAAAGTCTTTATTACAGTCTCCATCTTTAAAAAATATATTCTTTCTGGGGGGTAGGTTTAAAATACATACAGTGAGGTGCATAATGTGCATGCATTTAAAGGGTTTGGCTCAATGAATCTTGCATATGTAAGCACCCATGCAAATACCATCCAGATCAAGATGATAACATTTCCATCACACTCTCATGCCCCTTCTTTGTCATTACTCACTCCACTATTCAGACATTTATCCCTATTAATTTAGCCTATTTTTTGAATTTTATATAAATGGAATCCTATGGTGGGTACTCTGTGTCTGGGTTCTTTCACTGAACATGTTTGTGAGACTATTGTTGTTATCACTTTTTTCTTTCCTATCACTGTGTATTCCATGTCATTATCATTCTTAAAATAATACTTTAACAGGGCATAGAATTCTGGGTCGACGGTTATTTTTTCTCAGATTTTGAAGTTGTTATTCCAATGTGTTTTAGGCTTCACTGTTGTTCAGAGAATGCTGCCAGTTGAACTGCTATTCCTTTGATAGCAATTTGACCATTTCCTCTGGTTATTTATTTTTCCCATTTTTGGTTCTATTAAAAATGTTCTATTCATCTTTAGTGTTCTAATACTTCCATAGGTTATATCACAGTGTGGGTTTGATTTTAGCAATGCTAAAAGAATTGATAGAAGTCAATGTGCTTCATCAATCCAACATACATCTTTCCATTGAGACAATCTCCCCCAAGCATCTGCATCACTAGAGTAGTTTTGGCCCCCACACCAGTATACCAGGACATGGAAAGAGCTTGATGGGTGGAGTTTCTCAAGTCCCCTTCTTGCGAAAGGGGCAGCCCTTGAGGAGGTCAGCAATATATGGGGATTAAGTTTTAGCTCCCTGCTTGCCCAGGTTTAGTCACATCAACTGCCCCTGCATGCGTGGACATTAACACAAGGGACTCTCCAAATCAAACAGCTGCCAAGGCCATGCCTTCAGCTTTCTTCTCTGGTTCTTTTGAACTGCCACTTCTTTTTTCATACTTTGGTGATTTCTCTTTCTTTCTTTTGATCTTTATTATGACTTTTTAAAAAGTATATTTTAACCAATTTTTCTATTTGAGGTTAAAGGAGACTCTGCATGGACTTTGTCCACCATGTTTCCAGAATCTAAATTTGTTTCACTCCTTATCTGCCAGATGCCCATGCCCACACCACACTTAGTGGCTCTTAACTAAGAGCAAGAGCCCTGAAGTTATGGAGACCTGGATTTGAATCACTGCTTCACTACTGGCTAGCTTTTTGAAGCTGGATAGGTTATTTAACTTCTCTGAACCTTGGTTTCTTCATCTCCAAAAAGGGGATGATCAAAATTCTTACCTCACAGCATTGTTGTAAAGATGAAATATGGGAATGCATGTAAAGTACTTGGCACAGTACTTCATTAAGCACTTATCAATAAAATTCATATGGGCTGAGAACCCTTATCTGAAATGCTTGAGACCAGCAGTGTTTGGGATCTTAAATTTTTTCAGATTTTGAATATTTACATTATACTTAACAGTTGAGCATCCCTAATCCAAAAATCCAAAATCTAAAATGCTCCAATGAGCACTTCCTTTGAGCATGACCTCTGAGCATCATGTCAGTCCTCAAAAAGTTTTAGATTTTGGAGCATTTCAGATTTAAAATTAGGAATGTTCAACCTGTATTATTAAACATTGCACAACAACTTTATTCAAGTTATTAATTCATCTACCTAGGGATCAGATTTATGTACAAGTTGGTGCCACACAGACACAGAAAAATATGTTTCATGAGAAGGAAGTAAACTGAATAATAACTAAATATGACAATAGAGATTCTACACATGTGGAATATATAATGTTGCTCTTTACAAATACCACTTTACAAAAATCCCATATTCTCATAATTTTCCAGGGTTTGGTGAAAATCCTTGAAAGTCAGAAAGAAAATATTAAAGCAAGAGAAGTGCCAGTGAATAATGAGATAAAGGCTTGCCCCAGAACGTAAATCAATGCATGTGCTTCTTTCATCCAGAAACTTGCTGTAATAAAAAGATGAACTAAATAGTGTGTTCAGCAATGTAGTTGGTTTATATGATGGTGCAAGCATTTTAATTCACTGTAGATCAGGAAAAAACAGCTTACTGACTGGGTGGAGGAACACACTTTGAGTGATACTGCTTTAGGGACATTTTAGCACTATCCTAAAAGTGATACCATTGTTATGTAGGAAGGAAGGTAGCTTGGATGCTGGGGGCCTGAGTTAAACAATAACATCAAGTGGAGAACAAAATAAATCATGCTACATAACCAAAGAAAGTTCATTACAAACCAATCAACATCTGTTAGAGTTCAGAAGTACACTGGAGTCCTGACTGTAGTTGATTTGGGGTATAGATGGATCTGCCAAACCTACTCCTTATCTACAGGATTTTTTTTTTTTTTTCTGAAACAGAGACTCACTGTGTTGCCCAGGCTGGACTGCAGTGGTGCCATCTCGACTCACTGCAACTTCCGCCTTACAGGTTCAAGCAATTCTCCCTGCCTCAGCCTCTCAAGTAGCTGGGATTACAGGTGCACTGTGCCTGGCTAATTTTTGTATTTTTCAGTAGAGACAGGGTTTCGTCACGTTGGCCAGGCTGGTCTTGAACTCCTGACCTCAGGTGATCCGCCCATCTCGGTTTCCCAAAGTACTGGGATTACAGGCATGAGCCACTGCGCCCTGCTGTCTAGGGGATTTTTTAAGGTGACTGTAATTACCATCATCATAATCATTTCTACTATTTGATTGCTAGCAGTTTTTTTTGATGGGGGGAAGGTGATACATTTTAATTCATTTTTTCATTATTTTTCCAAAGAAGCAGCAGTTGGACTGACTTGGTGTACTCTCAAAGTAGGCCTAATAATATTTTCCATGTACATTCAAAGTGAATTAGCTTAATTATCCTGATTTTATCATTATACAACGTATACGTGTAAAGCATTACACAGTATCCCACAAACATGTATGACTATTATGTGTCAGTTATAATCAACAACAATAACAAAAGATACAAAAGGGATTAGCTTGCTACAGTAAGGCCAAATCAAACATCAGATTTAATTCACAAGAGAATTATACCTTATAGTATAAATATTACTAGTACCTTCATATATCCTAGATTTTCTTTCTTTTCTTTTCTTTTTTTTTTTTGACATGAAGTCTCCCTCTGTCGCCCAGGCTGGAGTGCAGTGGCATGATCTCGGCTCACTGCAACCTCTGCCTCCTGGGTTCAATTGATTCTCCTGCCTCAGCCTCCCCAGTAGCTGGGATTACAGGCACACGCCACCAAGCCCAGCTAATTTTTGTATTTTTAGTAGAGACAGGGTTTTGCCATGTTGGCCAGGCTGGTCTTGAACTCCTGACCTCATGTGATCCTCCTGCCTCAGCTTCCCAAAGTGCTGGGATTACAGACGTGAGCCACTGTACCCGGCCTGTATTTCTGCTTTAATCAATATTTTTAAAGGTTAATTTAAGGATTAAAAAAAAGAAGAAGAAACCAACAATACATTATGTATGGTTAGCCTGCTGGAAAGAGAAGAAAGATCTGCCCAAATAGAAAATTTTAACTCTGGGCTTAACAATACAATACAATGCTCTTTTAAAATATTGATTTAAAAATAAGGAAGTTAAAAACAATTTGACAAAACAGTATTGGTAGACCTGAAAACTACAGAAAATAATTATTTCAACATTCACTATCACTATCAACTCCAAAGCTATGGTTTACAAAATTTAGCTTGCTTCTTTGGAAATGACTGTTTTTCTAAATCTTGAACAGAATCTAGTCATCTCAAGATGCTTAAAAGCCTTCAGCTAAGATTTGCTCTGGGCTTCTGCAGCCCATTGGCTGGGGTAAACTCGATCCCTTCCACACACGAGTCTCAAGTCTGTCTTATCCCACAAATGTAAAGTGACTTAAATTTGGCAAAGTACTTAAAATCTGAATCATATATTTTCACTTTTTTGGCTATACCATTATTAATAAACTTAAGAAAAAGAATATCCCTAACCAACTTGTCACTTTAAAAATAACTTGCTTTCCCCATCCCTGCAAAATGGACTTTGAAATTAAAAAGATTTTTCTACTAAATTTCTCTACTTTTACCAGCAACAGAGATATCTTCAAAACTTCTCTTCCGAAATGACTACAAATAAAAAGCTGTCCCAGTATGAGCACAACTTTCATCAAGATCCAATTTAAGGTTTACTTTCTAGTCTCTGAAATATAAACCTTCCTTTGAATTCAAAAGCATAAAAGATGCCTATGGGTTAATACACGGGTTGCATGGCTACCAAATCACGGTGGCCATACAACCCATATATTAATCTTTCTACTCCACCTGACTTGTATTGGTAGAGAGTATATTAGCTCATATTATTCTCAATGTACTGCTTACTTGGTTTTAATTTTTTTTTTTTAATTTGCTAGAGACTTGTCTATCCATCAAGATTCAAATCACTCTAAAGAAACCAACCCTTCTGGCTCAACTGTTTTGCACTTTATGGTTCCTGACACTCAGACAGACAGATGTTTCCAAGACACGTGAGAGAACAGGAGGTCTTTACCTTTGCCAAGACTGATTATTTCCATAGCACTCACTGACTTTTGTCAGTGTAAAGTCTCTGGGATAAAGTGTCAAGAAATACAAGCTACCCACTTTGAAAACAGTGCAGTCTCTCCTCAAGGTCAAGTCTCAGTAAATTGTGCTTGGTGGCCTTCATTTGACAGCAAGAGACCCCTTTTTCCGGTGGTGGTGATCTATTCCCAGTGACCACCATAATTACCTCCATAAGGTGCACATAAGATGCAACTCCCCAAACTCCAAATTCGAGAAGCACCTTCCAAAGCATTCTCTCCTGACTTCTGTATTTCTAATAAGCACCTCTCGGTTTCAGGATCACAGGCTTACAGATGACTGATGGAACTCATACCCAAATGCAGTTAATCTGAAGAGCCCTGGAAGAGCAGGGGCAATTTAATCTCTGCAGCAATGCTTTGAAACCCAGTGACAACTGTAATGGCTTTAATACCAAATGACAATCTCCTTTCAAGAGCTTTATGAATATTAATGTAGTGATCACAGAGCAATATTTAAAAACAAAGAGTATGTCTTCATTTTCAACTGGAACATCTCTGAATTATAAAAGGCCCACTTTCGCCTCATTTTCACAGGTTATTTTCACAGGTGCATTTCAATAAGGTAGGCTGGACATTGCTTTTACTTTTGGGGTGGGAGGTCACAAAATGACCTCCGTATGCCTTAACTGACAAAAGTGAAACTCATGCTGTCAATCTGTCAATTTTTAAATAAATCTAGTAAATAACTACCCAATACATGCTCAGAAGGGGCCAGAATTTTGGGGAGTAAAGAAGTAGGAGACATCACTTCACACCCATTAGGATGGCTATTATCTAAAAATCAGAAAATAGCAAGTGTTGGCAAGGCTGTGGAGAAATTGGCACCCTTCCTGCATTGCTGGCAGGAAAGTAAAATGATGCAGCCACTTGGAAGACTGTATGGCTGTTTCTCAGAAAAAGTCAACACAGAATTACCATGTGATCCAGTAATTCCAGCATGTACCCAAAAGAGTTGACAGCAGGGACTCAAGCAGATACTTGTATATCAGTGCTCTTAGCAGCATTATTCACAACAGTCAAAAAGTAGAAACGACCCAAATGGGAAAAGCTCATTTTGAATGATAGTACAGTAATCCTTTCGAGGTGTGTGAATTATTTCTAATGTGAATTTAGTGAAAAAGAGGCAGCACAATATGTAAGAAGAGAAGGCACATCTTTCTTTGTTGCTCCTCATATAAGCAAGGGCATAAAGCTAAGAGAAGAAAATGTTCTAAAATACTTTTTCTAGTCCTGAAGTAAGAGGCAGAAAACAAGACAGATTATTCACCTGCAAAAACCTCCAAACATCTAAAATGTGAAGTGCTGTCAGGTAGAGTCCTGCACTCATTTGTTATCTGGGATGCCACCTTTCCAAGGACCCTCCTGTTAGCCAGGTGCCTGTCCGAGCCCAAAAGCCTTGGTGTAGGTGCGGACCCCAGCCTCCACATGCCACAGCCAGTGCTGTGCCTCAGCAAAACTGTGATGGACCTGAGATTTACATACACGGCTGGTGAGAGGCCTTAGGCAGTCCTTAAATGCCAGCAGTCTCCAGCGAGCCCATCAGCTCCTATGACCTTAATCATCTACGCACCAGTGCTCCCGACTGTGTCCCTGCATCACACCTCTCCATGGAACTTCATACCCCAATAGGCAGCTGCCTACTGGCAGTCCCACACTGCCCACAAATGAGTTCATAATCTTCTACTCCCATCGCATTTCTCTTCCACATTATATTATTTATCCCAAGAAATCCCATTTCCACCATTTCAAAAGCAGTGCCATGGCAGCTGTCAATGGTTCATCCTCCCCTCTTATTCTCCGCGTCCAGTCAATTGTCCAGTCCTGTGGCTCTACATCCTCCATGTCATGCAATCCACCACTCCCCTCCATGTCCACAATGTCCACTTTCAGCTAGGCCTTGGCATGAGTCCTTACCGTTCTCCTCCCCTGTCTTTGCTTTTTTCTCAGAATATTCTGCACTCTGCAGCCAGAGTGATCTTTCTAAAATGCAAATGGAATCACGTCCCTCCTCTGTTTAGAACGCTTTGATGGCGTCTACGGCTCTCAGAGTGAGGAGCAAGCCCTGACCGTGGCCTCAAGGCCTGCCTGCTCAGGCCCCACCGACCAACCCAGTTTCATCTCTTACCACGTTCCCACCCCTATTCCCAGCTTCAGAACTCCCTGCCCTGCTCCTGCACACATGCAGGGCCCTTGCCTGGCCAGCCTCCGCTCATTCTCCAGAACTCAGCCAAAAAATCTAGAAATCCTTTCCTCAAAGATCCTTCCCTTGACTCTCCCAAACTGAGGTAGGTCTCCGTGCTGCATATCCCCATAGCAACATACACTCCTGTTTTATAGCACAGATTAGGGACATCATCAACAACATTCTCATGTGGAGGATTGCCTCCCATGCCCTGGTCTGGGGTCCCTTTGTCCTGGGTCTGCAGCCCTTCACCACGCTGACCATCATGACATTAACCCAGGGTGCTGTAGGTGTCTATTTGTAGGTGGGTTTCTACACCTGATTGCAAGTTTCTTGAAGGCATGTACTGGGTCTTTTATCTGCCACTCCCTGGTATCTGGCATGGGGCCTAGTGCTTATTGGTGCTTGGTAAATGCTGTTTGAATAAAAGATGATGAAAATGCTCTGATAGTGACTCTTACAAATATAAATCTGATCATGTCACTTTTCTGCTCAATGATTTCGCATCTCAGAATGAAATTCAAAGTCCTTTTCATGGCCAGTCAAGCTTTGCATGATTTGGCTCCTGGCTTCCTGTCTGATCTGCTCTCCTAAAACTCTCCTTTCTCAAGCACTCCAAGCTCATTCTCTCCTCAGAGCCTTTGCACCTGCGGCCCTCTCCACATGAACCCACTGTCCCCGAGGCGTCTTCAATGCTGGCTCCCCAGCTACATGCAGGCCTTTCCTCAGCTGTCCCCTACCTGCCCCACCCCACCCACCATCACACACAACTCCCCTGCTTGGCTTTATATTTCTTCAGTTATTATCTGGCATTATACACTTGCTGTTTGGTCACAGTCGGCCTCACCCTACTTGTGTGTCAGGGCTGTGAGGGCTGAAACTCTGTTCATGTTATTTCTTCCTGTATCCCAACTGGCACCAATTAGATGTGCAACAAATATTTCTTGAATGAATGGAGAAATACTCAAAACTGAATGGTCTATACACTTCAGTACTGTTTGAATTTTTTTTTACAATGATCACTTATTATAACAAAAACCTGTAGATTCTAGTATAGCATTATATATTCATTCAACAAGTATTTGTTGAATTCCGTAGAGCACAGAGAAGCGATCAATCATTTCCACACAGAAGAAACAATGCTAGAGCGAGCTCCTGAAAGATGGGCAGACACCTGCCAGAGAGAGAAGGGTGATTCCCACAGAGAAAACTGCACCCACAAAGGGGATGGCCAAGGATGGGAGAGGTTCTTCAAATGCTAAGGAAATTCCTGCCGCCCCCACCGCCATGCAACACAGAGTCATTCATGTAACTGGAATTCTTTTTTTTCCTTTCTGTGAATTTTTTTATTTTTTTATTTATTATTATTTTGTATTATACTTTAAGTTCTAGGGTACATGTCCACAACGTGCAGGTTTGTTACATATGTATACATGTGCCATGTTGGTGTGCTGCACCCATTAACTCGTCATTTACATTAGGTATATCTCCTAATGCAATCCCTCCCCCCTCCACAACCCCACAACAGGCCCCGGTGTGTGATGTCCCCCTTCCTGTGTCCAAATGTTCTCATTGTTCAACTTCAAGTTTTCTACATTTCTCATTAACTTTGAATCCCAGGTCTGGGCCTCACGCTCTCATGTCAGTCTGACTAATGCAGGGTTTCCAGCAGAGCTCAGGCCTGTCAGGAGGAGGTGCAGGCCTTCTTCAAATGGCACTGGGGTCCGGGACATCCTGTGGGGGACTCCCCTCCCCTCAGCACCCACCCTCCACCTTGAGCATCTCTGCCTCCAAGCTCGTTCCCCAGGGGTGTAGGAGAGTGCTGCCTCCCACAGGTATGATGAGGTGGGAGAAATGATGAAAACTCTTGGGCTTGTGTTGAGAATCCCAGGAATGTTCCAGACTTCATCCCCAGA
Source organism: Homo sapiens (assembly GCF_000001405.40). Taxonomy (NCBI): domain Eukaryota; kingdom Metazoa; phylum Chordata; class Mammalia; order Primates; family Hominidae; genus Homo; species Homo sapiens. Next base: position 69,567,980 of record NC_000009.12, read on the forward strand.
AAACTCCCATCACCACTCCCAAAAAGTAGAGTCACACCTTTTGCCAAAAATGCTTAACAAACACAGTAAGTATGAGAAATGACATAGGATAAGGTCAGTCTACACTTCCTTGCAGTATGGACTACTAAACTGCCTGGGTAGGAGACACAGGAACGTTTTCCACGTAGAGAAGAGCAACAGAAAGCCACAAGGGCTTCCTGAGAATGTCCCCCATGCCCTATGTAGAATTTCTCATTTCTCAAAGCTCCTAACCAGAGTTGGCCTGTGATCACACTTCAACAAACACAGCAAGGGTTGGGGGCACTTCATGAAAGATCCAGAGTTTTCTCTTCACTTTAGGATGCATCATTCTCTCCTTTGAAAATTTAAATTTGAGAAGAAATAACCTAGCCAGGCATTCTACATTTTATGACTTAATCTGTTATTCAAAATAGAAGAGAACTAATTACATCTTCCATTTAATTACTACAAAAATACAGCCAGAATGCATGCATTATATCACATTTACGCCACCATGAAGAGAACCAACCTTCCCCCAGGCTTTGGTTGCCTCTACTGGAACTTTAAGTATTTCCGTGCTTCTTCCAGCTCCTCTCATTTTCAACCAGCAATGGAAGAGATCATATAAAAAGTGTGAAACTCATTCATATAAATCATTTATGATGTGGTCATCTGAGGGTCTTGATAAGCAAATCCACATGTTCAATGGAAGGTAACACAGCACAGTGGTCAAGAAAGGGAACTGCCATTTAACAACTGTGTGTACCCAGTGTTCTACGCCTGGGTCCTCATGTCTCAAACTGTGACATTAATGGTATCTACATGGTAGAATTATTGCAAAGAATAAGAGAAATGATGTGGGGAAAAAGTTTAGGATAGTGACTGGCATGAGAAAGTACTCAAAAACAGTGGCTCTATTACTTCCAGCTAAGCTTTTTAGAGGTATACGTGAGCCAGGATATAAAAACTGGACTTTCCACAAGAGCTGAGTCTTTGCAAGCTGCTAGGTCCCCAAAGTCTGGCAGCAGAAAAGGATGCTCAAAGCAAAAAGAGGTGAAATGTGAAAGAATGAATATTGAACAATTCCTTGTTGCAAGGCTCACTTAGCTATGGAACAGGCATCCGCTAGGGTTTCCGTTTGACCTCCTGTGGTGCTTCTTCCCTGAAAAGGAAAGTTAACTTGGTCACCTTCCTAGGGAGGCTGCATTTTTCATTCAGGTGTGGTTTTTCACACACCAACACACACACCCCACCCCACATCACATCCCTGAACTGAAAAAGTCTTCTAAAAGAAGTGATTTTCACGTAAGTGAAAGCCAAACAGAATTTGCCAAAGCTATTTGAGAGAGTGTGTGAGAATGTCTTGTATGTATTTATTTCCATACATTCTAGTGTACAGGAGGGCTATTTTGCCTCTCCCCTGCACCCTTCCCTTGATATATGGAGACATTTTTGGTTGTCACGTGTGAGTGTGTGTGTGTGTGTGTGTGTGTGTGTGTGTGTGTGTGTGTTACTGGCATCTAGTGAGTAGAAGCCAGGAATGCTACTAAACATTCTACAATGTCCCACACACAAAGAATTGTCCAGCCCCAAATGCCAATGGTGCCGAGACTGAGAAACCCTCAAAAAAATATCTACTTCTCTTATGCATATGGTTGAAGGTGACTGAGGCAACGTTACACATTTCTACTAACATGAAGAAACAGAAAACTTTGTCTGCAAGACTTAACATTCTTCTTGTGAAATAAACTCTGTTATAGGGGTGAATGCCAGGCTTAAAATGGAAAAAAATTTCTTGCCTTCTTCTGCAATAATACTGATTCAAAAATGGCCCAAAAACTTGCTAGAGTTTTTTTTTTCCTGCCTAGGCAGATATGAACAGCCTGAATTAAGCTCCACAAATAATTAAATCAAATTGCCAGGCATGTAATCTTCATTGTGGGTGAGTAACATTGTAAATTCTTGTTCCCATGCCAGGTAGGTCAGAATCGAGGCAGAGATTTTAAATGCATTCCAAGACAGAGAATCAGAGAATATTAATCAGGGATCTAAGAAGCTTGAGAAGGCACTTAACTCATTGCTTCTCCTTCTAGCAAAAGAGAGGTGGTGCAGGAGTCATCTGGAGCAATGAGAACTTGCCCAGAGTTTAGGACCTAAAGGCTACTGAACACATTTTAATAACAGTCACTTGCTTTATGCGATGGAAGTATTCACTTTAATATAAAGTGTACTGAGTGCCGACTCTGTGCCAGGCAGTGATGACATGCATGAGAGTGAGACACAACCTCCAGTGGCTGAGGATGGAGACATGTGCAAGAAAAGAATGACAGTGTGATTGCAGAGGCCAGCTGCCCAGTGTTCAAAGATTCCCAGAGAAAATACAAAGAAGTCACAATCTGGGGGAGTTAAGGATCTATTTGGATCCTCATGATCATATAGGATCATATTTGAGACAGCTGGTAATACTGTAATATATCCTTTCTCTTGAATTCAAAGTGACTCTCCCAAAATAGTTTGATCCTCTTTAAGCATCTCTTTTTCTGATATTTAGAGATTTATAAACAGATATAACATGATAGAATGATCCTCTGAAAAGGGACTAAGTAAATTATTTTGTACTAGGAAAAAACCTACCTTCTAATCAGTTTGCAGCTTTTTCAAGGAACTTTTGGAGACACTTTGAGAGAATAGCCCCCTTTGTCTTTTTTTTGTTACCTCTCACCCAACAAACACATTATATCTTCACTGTTATGGGCTAGATTGTGTATCTCTCTCCCCATATAACATGGTAAGTGCCATATACAAACATGAACAGGCTATAAATTAAATAACATTTCATCCCCACGGCGATTGATTACCAAAGCCTATGATTAGAACTTCCATTTTCCCTCTTGGTTTGTTTGTGACTATGTTCTGAAGAAAGAAATTCAAGTTAATAAATCAACAAGAACAACGTCAGCCTAATAAGACAAGTCTATTCCGGTTTTTATCACTTCTTACATTGACAAAGTAATTCTCCCACTCTCAGATAGGCGTGGATGGTGGATTCTAATCCCAGCTCTCCTTTCCTTCTCTCCAACGTGCATGTTTTCCAAACCCAAGCCTAGGGTGGGATGTCAAGCAGAAACACAACTTTTATTATCAACTGCTCACACTGTACACTGCACAATGAAGGAAAAAATGTTACCTGTTGAATGAATGCATGACAAGGGTTGAAAATCTTTAAAAAACTAAATTATAAAAATAACCACATTAGAGAAAAGGAGAAATTGCCCATAACCTCAGCATTAGTCATCTGTTTCCTGTGCCAGTTCTACACCGCTGTATCATAAAAGTCTATCCAGTATTTTTGATCCTGGCCTTTTTATCCATTTAAATAATTATTTACTCTATAAAAATAGCCATTAAAATGTATGTTTTCTGAGAACATTTAATATGCATAGGGAAATGCTTTCAATATAATGTTAAATAACAAATACTAAGTACAAAACTAAATAATATATGACTCTAATTTTTGAGTGTGTATATATTTGCACACACACACACATACATACACATAGATGGAAAGATATATACCAAAATATTAACAGTGGTTTCGGATGGTAGGATTACTTTTTAAATTATTACTTTTCTGAATTTTTTGACATTTCTATAACAAATATTTATCATTAGACAATGGAAAAAGTTCTAAATATCATATTAAATTTTTTTCTGTTTCTAGTGTTGATAACTATTATTTTAATGCTCATACAATATTCCATTAAATGGACATCACTTTTTAACTTAATTCTCTCTTGCAAGGAAATGTAGGCCATTTCCCATTTTGGGCTATTATAACTCATGCTTTGAACTTCTCCCTGTCTCCACATCCTAACTGCTTTATGTGGAAAACGAGGCTGTCATTGATTTGACCTCTGCCGACTGCTGCAATCTCAGGGCAGAGCTAAGGGCACAGGCATAGGAGTGGGATGTTCTGATCAGAATCCTGCTTTACCACTGCTTCAATGCACAATCATGAAATAAAACACAACAGTGGATAACGAGCTCCTGCACATTGAGGGCAGTCCAAGATAGTGCTGCTAGTGTTATTATCTCTTTTTAAAATTTGATTTATTTTTTAAATTCTAGGGTACATGTATAGGATGTGCAGGTTTGTTACATAGGTAAACGTGTGCCATGGTGGTTTACTGCACCTATCAACCCATCACCTAGGTATTAAGCCCAGAATGCATTAGCTATTTTTCCTGATGCTCTCCCAACGTGTGCCGTCCCCCCTGACAGGCCCCAGTGTGTGTTTTCCCCTCCGTGTGTCCATGTGTTCTCATTGTTCAGCTCCCACTTCTAAGTGAAAACATGCAGTGTTTGGTTTTCTGTTCCTGCGTTAGTTTGCTGAGGATAATGGCTTCCAGCTGCATCCATGCCCCTGCATCTCCCTCACTCCTACTCCTTCCCCAGTCACCTGAAGCTCCAGTCAGAAGGAATTATTTGAAGCTGACCAAATACTAGCCCCTGCAGCTATCACTGCCTTCATGTGTATTGTTCCCTTTCTAGAAACCCCCTCTCACTTCATCTCTACTGTGGCCAACTCACGCCCACCCAGTTCAAGTACCTATCCTCTTGTGATCTTTCTAGACCTCTTGTCTGGGCTAGGTGCCTGTCTTTGGGAGTCCTGGAGCCCCCAGTACACACCTCCATCTGAGCATTTGCCACATTTTGTTTGCCTGTTTATTTCCCTCTCTCTTCCACTAAACTGAAAACTCCTCCACATGAGAGCTGTGATCTCCATCCTGAATGCTTATTTACCACAGGGTTTCATAAACAGTAGATACTAAGCTGTTGGGTGCCTGGATGGCTTTTTGCCATGTTACTCATCTTCAAAAAATATGACTTTTGGTGGTTGCATAATATTTCACTGTTATAGGTTTTATGATTTAACTATTTTCTTTCCTATGCAGTCCCTTGTTTTGGGGTGGGGAGAGGTATTTATAGAGACCATCCCAGTACATAAATCTTTTTTAAGAATACAAAAAATTAGCTGGGTGTGGTGGTGTGCACCTGTACTCCCAGCTGCTCAGGAGGCTGATGCAGGGTAATCGCTTGAACCCAGGAGGTAGAGGTTGCAATGAGCTGAGATCGCACCACTGCACTCCAGCCTCGCGACAGAGCAAGACCATCTCAAAAAAAATAAATAAATAAAGAAGAAGAAGAAGAATACAATTTGGCTGGGCGCAGTGGCTCCTGCTTGTAACCCCAGCACTTTGGGAGGCCAAGGTGGGAGGATTGCTTAAGCCCAAGAGTTTGAGACCAGCCTGGGCAACAAGCTAATTTAAAAATTAGCTGGGTGTGGTGGCAGGCACCTGTGGTCCCAGGTACTTGGGAGACTGAGGCAGGAGGATCACCTGAGCCCAGGAGTTCAAGGCTGCAATGAGCCATGATTGTGCTACAACACTCCAGCCTGGGTGACAGAATATGATCCTGTCTCAAAAATAGTAAAATAAAATACAATTTACAGCATTGTTGTATTTACAGAATACAATTCACAAAATTGTTGACTTTGAACATCTTAAGATTTTGATTTTACATTGCCAAAGTGTAGGGTGTGATATCTTTAGATTCTAGTCCCAGTCTTTTGTATTTACTGCTGCGGTACTCTAAATGAACCCACTAAATAGCTAGTATTCATGTCTTCCCCTGCAAAACGGTATTCTTGCGAAGAGCTTCAGCAGTTTCTGACAATTTCCAAGCTGCAGCGCCTGGGTCCCTGGTGATGCACACATATTACTCTTGGAGGGGCCTCTGCTGGGGTCCTGTGGAAAAGGAAGACTCAGCTCCATTTCCTTGGCATTCTGCCTGCAGAGGCCAGACAGCTGGCTGTGAAATGGGAGTTCCTGAAACTCAGCATGATGACTTAGAAACAGCACTTTGATATCATTACATTCCTGTTCAGTGATATTTCCTCTCCTTTAACCCCAGTTATGACACCTTCTTTGAAACTTTGCCTTATTAGGTAATACGAAATTGGTGATACACAAACATTTTTGTCCTACAAAAATAGTAATTTATTTATGTTTGTATATGTGTGTGTACTTATATACATATTTATGTATCTTCAGATAAATGTCTAATTAATAAAACAAGTCCCCTAGATATATTTAAGACAGACAGGAAACTTTTACATGAAGATGGTGAACTTCAAAACATGGTGCATCCCCCTGGCCTTGCATAGGAATCACCTGGGTCCATACCGCCCTGACGAGCAGGCACAGGGATCTGTATTTTGAAAAAGTTCCCAGAATAGTTCTGAGCATGCCCAAGTTTGTGAACTATTACGACAGAGCCTCATTTTGTCCTATCTCTAATGCAGTGATTGCTTCTCCAACCAGTTTCCCCTCCTTCTGTGGACCTTTCTTCGCAAACAACTTTACTTGCTTCACTCCAGGCTGAAAATTTTGGTCAGCAGAATAGACTTGGATTAATAAATTCACATTAAAAAAAATCCTCTCTATATATGCATAGCCTGCCCCATAAAGCAAATGAATGTACTGATCTCTTTTTGGAACTCTGGAGAAAGAGATCCTGTGAGGTTTCTAGGGAACAAATGTTTAAACAGCATAAGGGTCCTCCTAATTTTTTGTAGTTGGTGTGCTGGTTTTGCTCTTATTTTAGGTAATATAAAAAGCATTCACAAAAACTTTACAAGTAGTTTTTTGAAACATGGATCCATTTATTTTCTTTCATAGAAAGTGAAAAAGCAGCAAAACAAGCAAAAATACTGCTTCGTGATAAATAATAAGCCAAAAAGACTATTTGCAATATTATGGATAGTGGTCACCTCTGGAGACAGGAGGGAAGCCAAGTCAGGGTAGAGCAGCACAGGGAGACTATGAAATGCCCACGGTCTATTCATTACTCTGAGTGTCCAGTGTATAGAACTTTACACAATTATTATTATTGTGACAGGGTTTCATTCTGTCGCCTAGGCTGGAGTGCAGTGGTGCAATCTCAGCTCATTGCAGCCCCTCAACCTCCTGGGCTCAAGTGATCCTCCCACCTCAGCCTCCCAAGTAGCTCAGACTACAGGTGTGCACCACCTCTCCTGGCTAATTTTTGTATTTTTTTGTAGCAATAGGGTTTCAACATGTTGCCCAGGCTGGTTGCAAACTCCTGGGCTCAAGCAATCCACTGGCCTCAGCCTCCCAAAGTACTGGGATTACAGGTGTGAGCCACTGCACCCGGCCCAATTATTACTATTATTATTTAAGCATAAAATATTATCAATATCGTGAAAATGGCCATACTGCCCAAGGTAATTTATAGATTCAATGCCATCCCCATCAAGCTACCAATGACTTTCTTCACAGAATTGGAAAAAACTACTTTAAAGTTCATATGGAACCAAAAAAGAGCCTGCATTGCCAAGTCAATCCTAAGCCAACAGAACAAAGCTGGAGGCGTCACGCTACCTGACTTCAAACTATACTACAAGGCTACAGTAACCAAAACAGCATGGTACTGGTACCAAAACAGAGATATAGACCAATGGAACAGAACAGAGTCCTCAGAAATAATGCCGCATATCTACAACTATCTGATCTTTGACAAACCTGACAAAAACAAGAAATAGGGAAAGAATTCCCTATTTAATAAATGGTGCTGGGAAAATTGGCTAGCCATATGTAGAAAGCTGAAACTGGATCCCTTCCTTACACCTTATACAAAAATCAATTCAAGATGAATTAAAGACTTAAATCTTAGACCTAAAACCATAAAAACCCTAGAGGAAAACCTAGGCAATACCATTCAGGACATAAGCATGGGCAAGGACTTCATGTCTAAAACACCAAAGGCAATGGCAACAAAAGCCAAAATTGACAAATGGGATCTAATTAAACTAAAGAGCTTCTACACAGCAAAAGAAATTACCATCAGAGTGAACAGGCAACCTACAGAATAAGAGAAAATTTTTGCAAGCTACTCATCTGACAAAGGGCTAATATCCAGAATCTACAATGAACTCAAACAAATTTACAAGAAAAAAACAAACAATCCCAACAAAAAGTGGGTGAAGGATATGAACAGACACTTCTCAAAAGAAGACATTTATGCAGCCAAAAGACACATGAAAAAATGCTCATCATCACTGGCCATCAGAGAAATGCAAATCAAAACCACAATGAGATACCATCTCACACCAGTTAGAATGGTGATCATTAAAATGTCAGGAAACAATAGGTGCTGGAGAGGATGTGGAGAAATAGGAACACTTTTACACTGTTGGTGGGACTGTAAACTAGTTCAACCATTGTGGAAGTCAGTGTGGCGATTCCTCAGGATCTAGAACTAGAAATACCATTTGACCCAGCCATCCCATTACTGGGTATATACTAAAGGATTACAAAACATGCTGCTATAAAGACACATGCACACTTATGTTTATTGCGGCACTATTCACAATAGCAAAGACTTGGAACCAACCCAAATGTCCAACAATGACAGACTGGATTAAGAAAATGTGGCACATATACACCATGGAATACTATGCAGCCATAATAAAGGATGAGTTCATGTCTTTTGTAGGGACATGGATGAAGCTGGAAACCATCATTCTCAGCAAACTATCGCAAGGACAAAAAACCAAACACCTCATGTTCTCACTCATAGGTAGGAATTGAACAATGAGAACACATGGACACAGGAAGGGGAACATCACACACCGGGGCCTGTTGTGGGGTAGGGGGAGCGGGGAGGGATAGCATTAGGAGATATACCTAATGTTAAATGATAAGTTAATGGGTGCAGCACACCAACATGGCACATGTATACATATGTAACAAACCTGCACGTTGTGCACATGTACCCTAAAACTTAAAGTATAATAAAAAAATTATGCATTATTTGTGTGATAAAATTTACTATAAAATATAAAATATTGTTTAATTATTAAAAATAATTTTCAAATTTTTTTATTTTTGGAGGGATGATAAAAATCTTTTAATTTTTATTTTTTGATTTCACTTTCTAAAAATTGACAATAGTTGCACATATCTATGGGGTACATGGTGATGTTTTGATATGTATAAAGTATAGTGATCAGATCAGGGTAATTAGCATATCCATCATCTCAAACATTTATCATTTCTTTGTGTTGGGAAAACAGAATATCCTCCTTCTAGCTATTGGAAACTATATATTATTGTTAACTATGGTCATCCTACAATGGTATAGAAGACTAGAATTTACTCTTCCCTATCTAGCTGTAATTTGTGAATAATTTTATTGAGTAAATAATCAACTTGGTCTATGTGAAGAAAATATTGAGTCATCATGAGTAGACAGGGTGCATAGACATGGCAACAGCTGTGATGGTGACATGAGACTGAGGGAAAACTAGGAAGCTCTGGACTGGACCAGCCCCACATTATGGGAAACCCAGGTGGTTTTCTGATTTTCCATTGGCGACCCACTCCAGTACACCAGCACACAAGGGGAACAGTTTCCCTCAAGACCACCATTGAATAGATGGCCAAGAGAGAAAGCTTTGGAAAGGAGACTGGAGGGTTTACAATTTAGGACCATCTGAACAAGGCAAGTAAAGAGTTGTGGTGGGTCAGCTGTGAGTGAAGAAACCACAGGAGGGAAATGTTACTCAAATAAAATTACTTCAAAAGAAATGCAATCATCACTATAAAAATCTGGTATCACTTCATATAAATGGAATATGACAATGAAAAATAAATACATATATTAGTATATAAAGAATGCTCATCCTTTAGCCACTTAAAATCATCTGGCTAACCAGTCTGAGAAAACCTTTTTTTAAGAGCTTCATATTTTAGATGATAAAAACAAGGCCCAGAGAGGTGAAGGGACTTATCTAAGGTAGCACAGCTGGAATTCACCTGTCTGGACTTCACCACCACAATGCTCCCAGTGTGGCAGCAACCCAGGCAATCACCAGCACTGGCCCAACTGGAGAAAGCCTATCATCCCAAGGGACCCTGCAAACACTTTCTTCTGTACCTCTCAGCTCACCTAAAATGAAGGACCCTAGATTGGCTGTGTTGAAGGTAAGTGTAAAAGGAGCCTAGAGGCAAATTAGAAAACATCGATCTTACTTTCTTCCTCTAAAGTGAGAAGTTAAATCAACCAAGCCAAATTAGGACATCCCAGCTGTAGTGGCAAGGGAGCCCTTGGCAAAGCCCAACACAGCATGAGAAGCAGACTCCAGGCCTTTTCTGTGCTCACTGGGAAGCCAGCCCTTTACACTGGAGCACGGATCCAACTGCTAAAGCTGCTTCTATGTCCCCACAGACCCTGCCTCTCCAAGCCACAGCACAGCTGGCCACATGGTGGTTTTCTTTGTGAGCATGCGCTGATAGGTATGGGAAGGCCAGGGCATCTAGGGTCAAGATTTCAATCATCTTTTGAGGCTCAACTTGCAGAACATCCTCTGCTGGGGGTTCTCTGGGTCTTCTCACCTTCACTCATTTCTCCTCTCTAAATACCACCCTGAATTTCTGGATAAAAGGGGCTTTGAGGTGGCAATCTGGTTGCCACTTAAAAACAATGTTTTACAGACTTTAAATTAAAAAATCACGGTTTCTCAAAACAATTTTATTCATACTTTACAAAGATTGAGAAATAAATGATCTATCTTTGGGAATGTCATTATGTAGAAGGGTGGCCAGGGAAGATGTGGCAGATTTTACAGGAGTGGGGAGCCCCCTCCCCTGGCCACCAACTGGTGCCATCTCTGCTGTTCTCCTTCTAGTCTTAACAGTCTAGCTTAGCACACAAAATCTGTCTGCAACAATAGTATGTCTGCATTTTAACAATTGCAATTTTATCACAACTTCACAAATTGTAGGGACAGTGACTCTGCCTTTGTGGACACCATTGTACCCAGCACCATGTTAGCATATATTAGGCACTGAACTGTTGTTGAACAGATGGATAAGAAACCTTGGGTTGTCAAAAACTGCACTACAGGAAGCCATTCTTTTACTGAGTAAAAGAGGGTTAGTGAATGCAGTTCCAGCAACAACCAAGTTCTATTTCCTACAGAAATTTCAACGAGTTTTTTTTTTAAGATAAGTGAGTACAGCTTAAAACAAAAAACCCATACCTCACTGAGGCACCTCTGCTTGTTAACATGTGACTCAATATGAAGGGTCTCCCCAACCTTTAACTCTCCTGCATGGAGCCAGCATCAGCACCCTATACTCTACATACTGCAGCCCCACTGTGGTCACAATGTGCACAGCCACATGAGGAATGCCCCTGGCCTGCACCGGGAGCAGCACTTTTCTTTTCCCCCTAAGAATGTTGCTAATCCCCGAGCAAGATGGGGTCATTGTCAACAGAGGCTACATAAAGGACATGTTCCTCAAGGTATTGGCTCTCATATATTCATTTGCTTTATGCGGACTTTAACTATAGGAGGAATGTCTGTATTTTTCTGTTTCATTTTTTAACCAGTCCAATTCCTCATTTACAATGAAGGCAGGAGCTACATTTTATATTCATCTATGTGAGAGTAAAATGATGCTGTTACCAGCCCCATTTTATTGCTGAGGACTTTGAGGTTATAAGAAATTATGTAATTTGGCCAAGGTCACACAGCTAGTAATGGAAGGGGCTGGGGAATCAAACCCAGGCAGTCTGGATTTTAAGCCAATGTTCTTAAGCATCTCACCAAAACCGTCTTGGTGCTCACAAAGTGGTAGGTCACAATAATGCATGTTGCCGGATTCCTGTAAATATGTTATAATTGAAATAAGATGGAAAGAGGAAAACAAGTGGGTCAAGGAAGAGGAAGGAGAGGACAGAAAAGAGAAAAGCCAATTTGGAAATAGATCTAATTTGATTCTTGCTCATTTTATCCCATTTGTCAAAAGTCACTTAGCCACAGGAGTGGTTTTTATAGCTGTGCACACACCTAACTGTATCAGTCAGCCTTTGACCCAGAGATGCGGTTATCTGTAGCCCCATATGGATATTTTCCTACTTCCTTAAAAAAAATGTAGCTACATCTGGCTGTGGATACAGTTCTCAAAATGCAAGTTCTAATTTAACAACAGATGTTTACTGGGCAGCAAAGACAGCCAAGAACATGTGAGGAGATGGGAAGCTGTGGTCTGTGTCCTTGAGGAAATCATTTTAAATACCTGGATGGCCCACTGGTGCTGTTTTGCTTGCCAAACGTTATTGATTGGTTGCAGCTGCCAGAAGCCTTCTATCGAGGATTCGGAGCCTGAATCTGGGCTTAATGGGTGAGTGCTGTTGTCCATGAGCAGTGTCTGCCAAGGGCACAGAGGATGGGTGGTTTCAGGGTTAACACTGAGTGGGTATTTAAATATTAATTCCTTTACTTCAGATCAAGCCCTAGCAACCTTCATATTGAGCAGAGCTTCACTGCACCAGCTTTTCCTCACCCTGCCTGAACTCAGGACAGAGGACAGACACTGAGAAAGGAAGATGGACTTTGCCTGAAGGGTAAAAATCAATATTCCAATGGTCATGACCAACCCTCCTGGCCCGTGTCAACAAATCCTATTAGCAGTGATTAGTACCCTATTATTCTGGCAAAGCCCTAAATATCTCCTCATGGTGGTATGACATTATCTGATTGGCTAGGACTCTTAGTGAAGTTCAACCACAGCACAGTTATTTTTTGCTGTAGGAAACTTGCTGACAGGCTTCCTTTGAAAAACCAAAAGCGTGAAATGCTTTTCACTCCACTGAACGGTGTTCCACATGACACATACTGATTGAGCCTACAGAATCCTGTGGCTATATAAAGTACCTTCAGCTCCCCACTACATAAACTTCGCATATCCCTCTCCATGTCACCTTGGCAGCTTGACAGGGTTGTTCTCAAGCAGCTAAAATGAAGACCCATTAGGAGCTAAAGAGCTATCCCTAAACTGAATAGCTGAATTGCTTTTGAAGGCCCCTGATGGGTATTCTGACCTGGATCCATCTTTGCCATGCCTCTGTGAGCCTCTGATATCTTATATCATTTATAGCCAGTCATTTCCTGAGCAGCAGGGGACACAGATCAAAGATGGCCCCAATCAGAGATACCATGGATACACCCCACAAACGGCGTCATCTCCAGACACCCTTTTCTGGCATTGTAATTTACTGGTACATCTGACCTAAATCAAATTCAGGCTCAATATAGGCCACTTAAATGGTATCAGTCAAAGCAAGGGTGTCAAAATGCATTTTCCCCTCACCCTGCCCTGCAATTTCTTCACCTTGGGATTATATGTTTGCATGGCCACTACTATTATTTCTGTTGCAAGTGAAAAGTAAGAGCAGCCCCTGAGATTCACTGATAAAACATCCTTGACATTTACCTTAGTGTATTCAGAAATATTAGCTCACTACATTTCTCTGAAGGTAGAAAAAAAAAGAAGTTCTGCCTCCTTTGGAAAAGTCACATAGTACAAGGGGATAAATTATTTTGTGAGGGAAATATACTGCCTTCAGGTGTGTTTGCGGGGGCAGAGAGTTGACTACGTGAATCATTCACACTTCAAGTACTCTCATATTTTGTCTTTTGAACTTTGGTTTCAGGATAAGAAGGCAGAGACATGACTAGCCTAGAACAGTATCGGCACACAGTAGGCACTAAATAACTAATGAGTGAAGGAAGGAGTCTTCAGGAAGAATATTCCCCACTGACAATGCCCTAGGGAATAAGCGGGGCATGGGGGAAGGACTATTGCACTGAGGAAGAGCAGATCTGAATTCAAATCCCACCTCAGTTACCTCCCAGCTATGTGACCCCGGTCAAGTCACCTCAGCTGCTGAGCTGAGTTTTAGTCTCTTTGAGGGTAATTTGAGGATAAGGACAAGGGCCTGGCTTCCCTCTGAGACATTTTGTGAGGGCACACTGTGGAGGCTGAAGGCACTCTGTAAAAGAGTGACCACAGCCCAGTATGGTCTAGTGGGTTGATAGAGTCCCAGATCCAAGGCCAATGTGTTAAGTGTCCTCATGGGACTGCAATAGCTTTTCACAGGCAGCTAAACTGTGTGTTGCTGTGTTGATTCTTCCAAAAGGTCTGAAGACCTTTTTTAGTGATTACCAAGTTATTTACACAAATTTATTTACACAATTTACAATTATTTACTTCTCTTCTGAAAAGAGAAGCTACATTTTCAGTCAATAGATACACCTATTCTAAGTGGCTTTGGGCATCTAACCGAGCACTTAACACATCAAAGTGAGTCATAATTTGTTTTCTGATTTAAATGATCAGATACAAAGTAAGATAAACAAACAGTGGGAGGCTCGCTCATAAGTAAGTTCCCCTTTTAGGCACTCCAGGAGTCCAAACAAAGAAGTGAAATCTCACACTTTCCTACCTGCTTCTACTGCGGGACGGGTCGCTTTCTCCACCCTGGACAATTAGATAATGAGATAGTGATGCAACAGCCTATCAAACCAAACCACAGACAAAGGAATGTGCAAACTGGGTATTCTTGCAGATTTTAGGCAAGTTGTCTGCTACTCTTTCCTCTGGCTCAATATTACTTCCCATTCCACCTCCCCAGTTTCTTCTAGCCTGGTACCTGCTTCTGACTCTGTCAAAATGGGGGAAATACCACTGATTTGTCCTGCTTGCTCCTTTGGCATCCTCTCTGCTTCTACCCTACTGGCTTTATCTTCCCATTCAGGCTGTTCCCATTTTGGTCCCACTTCACCAGCCCCACCCACTCCTGGTGGCTCCTCCTTCTAATGGGGACTTATTCTTCCCCATTACTTGCTCATTTCCTGCCTGAGCTTGTTTGCCCAGTTCCTTCCGCTATGAAAGTGAGAGGAGATCCATCAAGCTGGAAGCTGTCATGTTCACATAGAACAAATCCTGTGTAGACTCACTATGTATTTGTTGAGTGAGTGGATGAATGAATGAAACAAATGAATGAAGAAAAATACAACCAGCTTTGTAGGGTAAATGCACTTGTCAGCAATCACTTGAGCATACCCTTAGAATGATCCTGTATGGAAGCTGTATCTGAATGTGTGTTCTGAGCTAAGGAATCTGGTATGGCCAACCCAGAGATCTGTTCTTTGTCTATGAGGAACATCTGAGCCCCCAGGCTGTCCTGTGGAACAGGCGCAGTACAGGCGATTGACCCCTGTGATTTGGATTAAATGAATTGCCAGGTGGAGGTCATTAGGGGGAAGGTATTAAGTGGAAATGCTATATAGACTGCATGCTGCTTGCAAGCAGTTGTGGCTTTCCCACCCAGTCCACCACCACTGTTGGTTATCTAGTCCAGCCCACCACCACTGGACTCTGTCCGCTCTATGTGAGCCCCTAAAAAAACCCCAGGTCTCCTTTGCTGGCTCTCGGTCTCTTCTTCAGCCCCTTGAACCTAGTGCCTTCCCTATTGAGGTTAATAGGGGTTCAACACCACAACCCTGTACAGAAATCCTGAGTGTTCATAGCTGTGACAACTGGGACTTATCTTAAATCTAGTACTGAACCACAAAATTACCTGTCAGCAATCAGACACTGTTCTTAAGAATTCTATCTTAAGCTCCTGTATCTCAAATGATTATACTAAAATGATGTTATTAGAGCTAACTCAAGAAAATTATCCAGCAAATGAATGGGATTTAAAATGTTAAAAATCATCTTAAAAGAGATTTCTAATTATACAATTTTAAAAATTACCAGAGTTTCTACCCTAACCATGCCCTGCATTTCATGAGAAGCCTTAGATAGCAGCAGTTTTCATGGCTGACCTCCTCTGCCCCAATTAGGGATCTTGTGATACTGCGGAATCATTAAAAGCTCTGGCTTTGTAGCATGCACGAGCCAGCTGGGGAACCCCAGGCAAGTACTTAGCCTCCCAGGCTTCTATCTCTTCATCTCTTGAATGTGGATAATGGTACCTAATGTGAAGGCATGAGATGAGGATTCAAGGGCGTAATCCATGTAAAGTGCTTAGCACAGTGTCCAGCACATAGTGAGTGCAGAATAAATGCCAGCCGTTTTCTATGTGTAAATGCTTTTCTATCAGGCAACTGAGGAATGGCTAAGATTAGTAATCTCTCCAGCTGTGAGCCACACTCCCTTCTTGTGTGTTTCAAAATAAACTTCATGTCCCTGGCTCCAGCTTTTCTCTCCCAACTTCTGCCAGTGAAAGAAAATATTGATTAATCCCAAATAAAAATATAATGAGATAGATATGTATGTTTCCATCCATATGTGTACATCTCCGTGTGTGTGTGTGTGTAAAAGTATATTTATCATACTGTCTCCTCTATAAGACTGTGAGTTCCTAGAGGGTGGTAGTGGATGAAAAAGGTTAACATTTGTTCAATGTTTTAAGTGTTTTGGCTGTATTAACTCATTTTATCCTCACATTAAGCCTATGAAGCAGTCAACATATCTATCCTCTATTCACTCAATAAATGAAGACATAAGTGATGTTTACTAATGTACCATTATAGGCTGTGTAGTCTGATGGCTAAGGATGCTCCCAGATCCTTTACTTATTAGCAGTATGACCTTAGGCAAGTTACTTAACCTCTCTGTGCTCCAACTTCTCCACAGGCAAAATGGGAAGAAGAATCATGCCACGTACAACTATTACAAAGATGAGCTGATACACTTAGAACAGTGCCAAGTACAGAGTAAGCATTCAGTAAATTATAGCAAACTTTAACATAGGTCCATTTTAAAAGGGGAAATAATGCCCTTTCAATGAAGTGAAATCCATCCCACTGATTATAAATACAAACAAGCAAAGCTTATATTCTTGTAGGAAAATGAGAAGGGTCAAAGTTTGAATGACATAAAAATCCAAATTACTCTTAGAGTAACTAACAAAACAAAGGAATGATCATTTCATTATGTCCAGGATGAATTAGTCATAATTTGCCTACCATATCCAGAGAAAACTTCTGATTACTTAGCACAAACCCATGAATTATCTCATTTGGGTATAATGTGTCTGTGGACAGATTAGAGCCAGCCAAGCCCACAAGAATGGAATGTTGACTTGCTTATTCATTTATTCACATTTGTTCACTCAACAAACATGCTGAGCATCTATTATGTGACAGACACTGTTCTTGGCACTGGGAACCCAGTAGTGAACAAAACAAAGGCCCTGCCCTTGGGGAGCTGACAATCCTTTTAGGTGATATAAACAGCAAACAAATAAATACATAATATGTCAGGTAGTGAGAATGCTATATCTAATTAGGAAATTTGCATTTGAAAAATTATCTGCTCCTTAAAATACTAAAAGCAGAGGAGAAAGACTTAAAGACTAAAAAAGTTGCTGAACCACAATAATCTGTAAGGTGAGTCAACTTAGCTACTGACCCAAAACCTCTGCCAGGATCCTCTAAATGACAACAGAAGAGATGATAAGAAGAGACTGAGGCTCAAGGAAAGGGGTGTGTGCCCGCTTCCTTCATTCTTGCCAGGGCCAAAGGCTGGCCTAGCCCAATGTGCCCTGGAGAGAAGGGGGATGCCTCATGGGCCAGACAAAGCTGTGGCTTTGAGTCCCAGCTTCTGCATCTCTCCCTTGGCCCAGGGGTACCATCTGACTCCAGCTGTAGGCTCAGGCCACCCAGGTCCCCACAATTCAGTCCTGACCTGCTGCTGGTGGGATTTCTGGAGCTCTGGTCTAACATACAGGGCCCAGTGTCCAGATCCCCTTGACTGTTTCTGATCTGTACTCACGGTATGAAAAGTGGACTCTCTCCCTGTTCATAAGACTTATATCCTAAGCAGTGACTCATTTCTGGTGATGGAATTTCTATTTATTCCCTGTACCAAAGCCCATCTGCTCACCTGCTGAGCATTCCTGTACTCCTAGGACTTGGGACCATCTGCCTTTCTCCTGCTTATCTCATCCCCAAAACCCAAATCCAGCCTCTCATATGGCCCTGGGGTGGGCTCTGCGACCTGCTGGCAACCTGTCCTGGCATTTTTAAGTTGAGCCTTATTCTAGACTGCCCACCTATGAATATGTTTGCCTCGTCACTTCATGATGGAACCTGTTGCAATGACCAATTGTCTGGCCCATGGATTTTACTCTGCTGTCATAGAACTCCTGAACCCTTACTGCAGCTGCTCAACAGGATTTCTGCTGGGGCAAGCAGCTAGAGCCATCACTCAACACCCATCCATACATAATAACCACTATAAAAACAGATCAGTATGCTTCTAGGGCTTGGCCTTTACAGCAACTAACTCTACGTGCTGAATGTTGTGTCCAGATTGACTATTGGCATCTCCTTGCCCCTTACTGTATACAAGCAGCTCAGAATCAGATCTCCCTATATTATGCTGTGATTGTTTATACATCTCTTATTATCAGAGTTTCTATTTTTTTGATATGTATTTGATGCTGAACCTGAGGGCTAGCACATCACGGTCTCAACACATATATTTGTTGAGTGACCATAACTCAACAACGGCTGGCCTCCAGTTGACTGACCTCTGAGGTTTTCCTTGATTCAGCCCATACCTGAGCTGAAATCATGATAACCTGGCTTTTGGGCAGGGGATTTTTAAAGCCAACCTCTTTGTGGAACATTCTTCATTTTCTTTCTCTAGCCACAGTTTGGTGCTCTCATGAGGACACTGCTTCCCTTGTAAAGGTCTCAAATGGTGGTGGTTTCTTTACACAGCCCTTGTTTTCCTGGACTAGGAGGAACAGTTGGTGTCTTCCTTAATTCCCAATGCTGCTTCCAGATCATCCTCTCCTTGTTGCCTAAAAAATGAACTATATCTGCATTTTCTAAGAACTCTGTAGAGGTGGGAAATATAAGGGAAGACCTGGCTGCCCATTACAACTAACAACCCCAAATAAGTACTTTTTACTAGAATGAAGCCACTTAGCTCTCTCCTTAGTCAACAAAAAAATTCAGCCTAAAGTATGATGAAGCAAAGAACCAAGAGTTCCATATACTTTAAAAAATAGTTTGGCTGTATGTGCTTCTGGTAGAGACCATTGTCACTAAAGGTAATTCAAGAAGAAAATATGGTCCATTGATCAGAGTGTTTAGAATTGTATATTGTTGGTTGATAAATCTTATATGCTGTTGTAGTGAACATTTTTGTCCTTTTTTTGCCACTGGCATCCATTCATCCTACTTCCCACAAGAGCTTTTTAAAGCTTCATCCATTCCCAGTCTCAACTCACTATGGTTCAATTGCCTCCCCATCCTCCAAATTCAGTGATGGAGAACACAATAGTGGTCCAAGGTAATCAATGGGTCACATTCCTTTCATCACAGTAATTGGTTCTGTGATGGGCAGGTGCCCCAGAGTCTAGAAGACTTCCACTGGGGCTTCCAGGAAAGAGCCTCATTGTTTATTTGCCACTGTAAGCAAGAGGACAGCCTATCTGAGAATGTGGCCAAACTGAAAGAGAATCCAGAGTTGGAGAGAGAAAAACTGGAGATTGGTGTCATTGGTGTATCTGTAAGCCACACACTTGGACTTTCAGTTACATGAGCTGTGGAAGTCAAAGATGTGTTTGCCACACTGTTTCATCTTCCTGAGCACATGAGAAAATGACATTTCTCGGCATCCCTTGCAAGTAGGTTCGGTATATGAGACTGAAGTCTGTCTAAGAATTATGAGTAGAAGTGATGTAAACCACTTCCAAGCCCTCTCCAAAAAACATCCAATAAGATTCTCCAGTACTTCCCCACGACCCACCTTTGGTAGCAGCCATGGAGATGTTCCAGAAAAAATAAAAGAATGTACTGTGATATTGGCCCGGCGTGGTGGCTCAAGCCTGTAATCCCAGCACTTTGGGAGGCTGAGGTAGCCGGATCATTTGAGGTCAGAAGTTTGCGACCAGTTTGACAAACATAGTGAAACCCCGTCTCTACCAAAAATACAAAAAGTTAGCTGGGCATGGTGTTGGGTGCCTGTAATCTCAGCTACTCAGGAGGCTGAGGCAGGAGAATCGTTTGAACCCGGGAGGTGGAGGTTGCAGTGAATTGAGATTGTGCCATCGTACTGCAGCCTGGGTGACAGAACAAGACTCTGTCTCAAAAAAAAAAAAAAAAAAGAAAGAAAAAGAAAGAAACTGGGTGGTGGGTGAGGTAGGTGAAAGAAGCAGTGTCAGGGAAGACCTCTTTGTGGGAATGACATTTGAACAGATACCTGATATGCAAAGGCAAGCAAATAATGAAGCTACTGGGGAGAAAGAAAGAACGTTCCCATTAGATGAAATATCTAGTGCAAAGGCCCTCAGGTAAGAAAGGGGTTGGCATATTGGAGAAACAGAAAAGGGGGCAATGTCATTAAAAAGCTTATTGACAGTGGGAGAATTAAAGAGCTACAAATGAAACGCAACAGACAATGGTGCCTTGGACCAGAGTGGTAGCAGCAGAGATGGGAGAGAAATAGGCAAGTTCATGATTTTTTTTTTTAAGAAGCAGCAAAGACAAAACTTGTTTGTTGGTTGGAAATCAAGGAAAAGAAAAAGGGAGGAAATCAATGATGTCCCCCAAGTCTTTGGTTTTAGCAATAACATGGTGATGCCATTTAATCAGTTGTGAAGATGAGAAAAAAAAACAGTTTGGAGAGGAAAATAATCAGCACTTCCATTTTTTGGACATGTTAAGTTTGATCTGCTTGTTAAAGATCCATGTGGAGATGTCAACATAGACATCAGAGCTTACAAGTCAGAGCTTAGTTCCTCTGCACCACAATGATGATCACGATTATGGCAACTAATATTAACTGAGTACGTATCATATGGCAGGCATTATGCTAGGAGCTTTACATAGATTATCTCATTTAATCTCACCACATCCCTGTAACTAGTGCCTCCAATTTACAGATGAAATTGAAGCTCATACTTCCTTGCCAACATTAACAAGGCTACTAAGTAAATAAGCAGTACAGTTCTACCTTATATAGCATGAGACCTTGCTCTCTATAAGGGGCTTGAGGGGAAGAATAGTATCTTCTCATGCTTTTTTGTTTGTTTTCGAGACAGGGTCTGGCTCTGTTGCCTAGGTTGGAATGCAGTGGCACAATCTCAGCTCACTGCAACCTCTGCCTCCCAGAATCAAGCCATCCTTCCACCTCAGCCTCCTGAGTAGCTGGAACTACAGGCACACACCACCATGCCCAGCTAATTTTTGTAATTTTTTTTAAAGATGGGGTTTTACCATGTTGCCCAGGCTGGTCTCAAACTCCTGGGCTCAAGCGATCCACCTGCCTTGGCCTCCCAAAGTGCTGGGACTATAGGCATGAGCCACTGCTCCCGGTGTGTCTCATTCTTGATATCCTCAAAGCACTTAGCAAAATGCTTTGTACTTAGAAGATAATCAATCACTGTTGCTTGATTCCATTGCTCATGGGAAAAGACCAAATGACGTGATGCTAGGCCCAGACAGAGAAGGCATCCACTCTAATTCTTCTTTCTCTGCTCTTTCCATGTAACAAGGGGTTTCTGACCCATGGGCTCCCCTTCCTCTCTCACAACCACTTAAAGCACTATACAGAGGGATGTGTGCAGTGTATCATGACAAGATTTGGAGCATGAAATCACCAGAAACAAGGAAGGGTGGGGGTCTCAGTACCCAGCTTTCATTCAGTATCTCATTTAGCCCATGGTTTTCTACTGGGTCTTTCAGGTTATTGGGGTAGTCTTTAGTGTATTAAAGCCAAAACTCATTCTGTGCCCTGCCCCCTCCTCAATTCAGTTAGCTTTCAAAACAAGCTGAAATCGTGAACCGGAAGATCTGAGATCCTGATTGAATCAGATTCAAACAATTTAAACTGGGATTGGCTTTTCTATTTCTCTCTGGCCAAACATTTTAGGTCCATCTTCTACTTGATGAAATAGAAAAAGAAAAATCCAAAATACTCACTGTATATTCTACCTGCAATTTTAAGAGAAATGATGGTACTGAATTAAAGGTGAAGCCCCTCCTGCTTCTCTATGGAGGAGCATGAGGACTTGGTTTGGTAGTGGAAGCACAGCAGGTGGGGCTCATGCCGCTCCTCCTCTGAGCTGCTCTTTTCACCCTCCTTCCCAAAACTCACCCTTGCCAGTCCTTTAAGCCTCAGCTCCAATGACACCTGCTTCAGCACTCCTGGGATGGTCCACATGCTCTTCCTCTGAGTTTCTATCCCTGTGCTCATTCCTCTCTTCATTTTTTAAAAATAACAAGATGTACTATCAATGTTTCTCCCTCCCTCCTAGACTATGAGTTCCTCTTGGGGTGGGAACATGCTTTACCTATTTTAGAAACCCCAGGGCTTAGCCCAGTTCCTGGCAGATCCAGCGAGGTTCAAATAAATAGCTGTTGAATTGAATGGTGAACAGAGTGGCATTGTGTTAGGCGAGGAAACAGTATCCTGTGGACATGGGAGACTTTGGTTCTAGTCCTGGCTTTGGGCCGGCTCCTTATGTGCTGCAGGGTAAGCTCCTTACCCTCCCTGGGTCTATTTGTTCATCAGCCAAAATAATGAGGCTGGACCAGCTCAGCTCTGGAGGCCTCACAGCACTGGCACTGAGCAATCTGTGTGTGCAGATGGGAAAGCAGCTGAGAATAATGCATTCACATGGGCTGGCTCTCGAAGGCCTTCACCATTAATCACAATTCTCCAATCTGACAAAATCCCTCCCCAAACGATCTCAAAAGGATGCTGCACACAATGAAGGAGAAATAATCACCCTCAATTTCCAGAAAGAGAACCGTGCTCTAATGCCCACGAATTGTGTCAGTCTTTTTCTGGCCATGTGCATACACTGTGCTTCCCCTGGCTTCTCACTCCCAGCTTCGCCAGGGTGGGGGTGGGCAGGGGACATGGCTGGGTACCCAGCAACAGTGGGTTTCTGCAGACAGCTAAATGGCATAGAGAATATTCTGCATGTTTTAATCTTCAGTTCTGGTTCCAAACTCAACTTGAAAACCAAAGTCCTAAGAGAAAGCTAATGGCTTTCTGCTGAAAGTTTTCTGCCAAGTGCAAATCTGAATAGACCCGTGAAGAAAATCCTTTCCCACTGTTGCCATGACTCCAAGAGGTCCCCCGTACCATGGTCCCAAACTGTGGGAGGAGGTGAAAAACTGCATGTGATGCTTCCCTCCTGAAGCAGAGGCAAGGCAGCCGAGGGAGGAGAGAGGCACTGCCTATGAGGCCCCATTTTTCCAAATGCTTTCAAGGCAGAACTTCCGATGTGAGGTCCTGATGATGTCCAGTTAACTGCATTTCCCCCTCTCTCCAGGTGCCTCTTTTCCCCTTCTCTTTAGTTCTCTGTCTTTTCTGAATCTAGCCTTCCCCTGTGGATTCCTGAATCCACAATCAATACAGAGCTCTTCCAGTGGAATAGTAGTTTATACTTTCAAATACAGATGGTTGACAAATATTCCTAAATGTCTTAATGTATAAGATATCCAGTCTCTTCGATTAAGTACACATCTGAAAGCCAAGAACCATGTCTGCCACTTCTTCTGAATGCTCAACATAGAAGCTTGTCAACAATATGAAGGGAACCAAAATTCCCTTCAAAGACAGTTGTTAAGTTAAAGACATTGAAAATGCAGGGTAACACTCTGCCTCAGCCTGTAACCACCTGATGGCAGGGCACGAATCCTTCCTTCCTGGAGATGGCACTTCTCGGCCCAGAGGAGGCACCAAGCTGGCACCAGAGGAATCTGGGAACAGATTTTAGCATCTTCCCTCATTTTCCCGCCTTTTAAAACACCGCAACTGTTCTCTCTTTTGTCTTGTCACTATGTAGGATTTACAGATCCGTTAAAATACTTTTAAAGCAAGGCCCCTAAGCCACTGCCTTGAGAGAGAAATGCTTTTGAACCGAGGCCTTTCCCATGTGATAGGTACAGTGCATGTTAATAAACTTTTGCATGCTTTTCTTTTGTTAATCTGATTTTTGTTTTCAGAAAAGTGTCTCAGCTAAGAACTTTAAAAAAGGGGAAAAAAAGTCTGTTTTCTCCCCTAAATATATCTATCCAACATCAACAAACCAGGTCTTCAAGACATGCTCGTTTCCTAAGCTGACTTTGATAGGATGGGTGCTTTTACTCACAAAGATTGGTCCTCTCCTTACTTATCATTGCTGAAATCCATTTAACTGGGTTATTATGTTTTCTTGCTTGTATAATAAAAGTGATTTTTTCTACAGATACATTCATCATTTTCAATAATTAGAAAGTCATTTACCTAAATTACCCTCATTAGAATGCTGAACAGGAAATTGAAGTCCCTCCATATCTTATAGTCATAATATTTTACGATGTCTTCATTCTTATGGATCACAAAGCTCATGGTTTCTGTACCAAAGGAAGTGCTTTCTGGACCAGACAGAAGCAGTGGCTCTGCTTGTGATCCCAGTGCTTTGGGAGCCCAAGGCAGGAGGCTTGCTGAAGGCCAGGAGTTTGAAGCCAGCCTGGGTAACATAGTGAGGCGCTGTCGCTACAAAACATTTAAAAATCAGCAGGTTGTCGTGTTGAGCACCTGTATTCCTAGCAACTTGGGAGGCTGAGACGGGTGGATCCCTTGAGCCAGGAGTTCAAAGTTAAAGTGAGCTATGATCACGCCACTACATTCCAGTCTGGGCAACAGAGCAAGACCCTATCTCTTTAAAAATAAATAAAGAAATAAATAGTGGTTTCTGATGAGATCTGATGGTTTTATAAATGACAGTCTTTCCTATGCTCTCACGTGCTCACTCTTCTCTTGTCTGCTACCATGTAAGACATGCTTGCTTCCCCTTCCACCGTGATTGTAAGTTTCCTGAGGCTTCCCCAGCCATGCGGAACTCTGAGTCAACTAAACCTCTTTTCTTTATTAAAACAAACAAACAAAAAAAGAAGTAGTTTCTTATGTGAGCTTTTCTTCATATCATTAGGAATAAAATTGTCCTGAACCTGAAAACTGAACTATAAACAAGACTCAATACATTAATAGGAACTGAGGTTTTCTGTATACATAGGAATGTTATATCATTTTACCAAATTAAATGACGTAAAATGATAAAGGCTTCTGCAACAAAACAGTATTATAAAATGCCATATAAGAAACTTGCTAGTCATTCAAATACTGCAGAGTAATTATCACTGTTAGAAGTGGCTTTACAGTGTCTATACCTCATTCTATCATATCTTCCGAAGATAATGCATTTAAAATACAAAGTCAAAAGTTGCATTTCTGTTACATTTTTAAAATTTGCCCTTTGAAAGTCAAACAACAGACTGTATTTCTTTCTTCTTATCAGAATATTTGGAGGCTGATATAAATACACTTGTGCTTATCTGTGTCTAGTTATTTATAATCTCTAGGAAACATGACATTTTTCCTTCTAGAATTGGTTTTTAAAGCAGCAACCACACTATCATGCATATATGATACGGGGTTGCTTTGACAGGAAAAAGGCAATGTGTCATATTTCACTTGCTTAGACCTCCTCCAATCATAACTGAAAAGATATTCAAAGAATTATAACCGTAAGAATTACCAAACAACCGTCAACAAGGGGCTAAAAGAACATGAAGAAGACCCTGAGGGAGTGAGAGCTGAGGTTCATCTGTAAGCAGAAAACAGATGTAATATGTGGCTCAGGAAATTACAGGAGGCTAAAGTTGCCAGCACATGCCTGAAGCACAAGTATTATTTTTATGCACCAGTTTAGAAAACAATGAAGCAGAAAACAAAGCTTTGACCATTTGCTGAAAGGAAGTTTCAAATGAGGTCAATTCTTTCACATTCCCATTGATGCCAATGAAAATCAAAGTAGATAAGAGGTCCAGGATTAAAATAAAATTAAGCAAATACACAAAATCACTTTTCAAAAAGGAAACCTTTTATTAGCGTTTTTCATCCCTGAAAGATTTGTTATTTGTGAAATTTGTTCAGTGAAGCTCTCTTAAATGACTGCCCTTAAATGACTTTTGTGACCTTGATTACTCAACTTTTACTTAACTTTCTATAGATTCCAAGTTGGACTGAATGCATTTTTATTACATTTGCATAACAGCAGAGGCGTTGGATCTTCTGGCGTTAGATTCCGTAGGTCTTCTTTATTTATGCTGGGAACAAGTCTTGGCTCTTTCCTCCTCTTGACTTATCATATCGCTGAGTTGGGCCACAGGCTCTGGGTCTTCCTGCTGGTTCTGTCCAACTTTTCCCCTTGTAAACAGGCTCTGGGACCATCTATGTCATATCATGGCTGCAGCAACAGACAAGAGCCATGCTGCTCAAACTTCAATGTGCCTAAAATCACGGGGGTAGGGGGTGTCTTTAAAATGCAGATTATGATGCAGTAGGTTTGGATGGGGCCCAAGAGTCTGCCAAGTGTCGCTGATGCTGCTGTTCTGCACAGCTCACTTGAGTGACAAGGAACCAGGTTGTTTAATCAAGTTCTTGGGCCCCAGTCTCCTCTGGTGAGCCAACATGTCAAACCAGCTCTTGGACAAACAGGACTTCTTATCTATCCAGGTTACTATTTCCCATGAAACAGGTGATCAGAAGAAAGGTAAACTAAGGAATGTGAAGAGAATCAGGGAGTGAGGGAAAGGAAGGATGACATAAGATTTGGATGACATTATAGAGGAAGGGAGGTTGTGGTGAATATAATATTCTTGGGTACAACATGATTATATGATTATGATTGGGGATTATAATAATATATAGAAATAACCTGATTGAGGATTCTTGGTGAGAATATGAACAAAACCCTAACAAAAAAGGCACACGTGATTGACTGCCCAAAGAGTTCTGAACTACTTTCCATCCAACATTTGTAGTTCTTTTCTGATGAGTAGACATTACCCAAGCCAATCATACAACACTTTCTGGTGAAGAAGTGGTGGTTAAGAATAATGTTTTGGAGTCTGACAAGAGGTCAGAATCCTCTTGTTACTGTTACTAGTGTTAGGCAAGTTACCAAAGCTCTCTGGACATAAATTTTCTCATCTGTCAAATGAGATATTAACAACTACAATGTAGTGGTATGAATTAAATGAGAAATGTGGTATGAAGTACTTAATACAAAGATTGGCACAAAGTAAACCATCAATTCATATAAACTATTATAAATATTATTAAAAACAAAATACAGGTTCTACATACATGTATTGTTACAGTTCACTTTCAAGGTGATGATACTGGCAACAAGGAGATGAAAAAGTGAGGCTCAAATAAACTTTATATGAAAGCTGCCCGAGTGCCTGGGTAATATCTGTAATATTGCTGTCTGAAGCCTAATGCTAAACACCAAGCAGTCAATAAGTCAAAGAAATACCTGATATTTAATATTTTCAATCTCCTTTGACTTATCTTCTAGTTTAGTTTCCATGGGAATCTGTGCTTAGGGGCAACATCAAAAGCATACTGAAGAAAATCCACCTAGTTCCCAATGTGTGCCTTCCTGCTTATTAATGGAATTGTAGTTAATAGAATGGCACACACCTCTGAGATTGTCTGGTGCCCCCTGCTCTCCATGGCTTCGGACTATGTCACACTTCAAGAAATATTCTAGCGGATCTCTAACTCATAGCCCATTTTATATCCATTATTGTCAATCTGGCTCCACATCTCCCATGCAGAAAAGGGTATGATCTTCGTGATAACTGTTTCCTTTTGCATTCAAGGATAGAATATTTTTTATTTGTGGGTTCATACATGATTTTTCAGATGTTCGAAGTTGCTCAATCTAGCTATATCCACAGTGAGGCTAAATACCCTGGATCTCTTGGGATGGTAGTAAACGATAGTAGCAGGATGTCTAAGGAAACACCCTGAGGGAACTCAACAATTATCCTAATTGCAGTCTGAGGGTAGCTCTTTCAGTATCTAAGCTCTAAGCTCTGAAGAGACCTTCAGGTCAGGCACACCGGTTTTCAAACTGTGTTCTACAGCAATTCACGATCAGTGATGCTTCAGAGGGGAGGGAAGGCTGAACCAGTGAGACTCTAGACACCCCCACACAATCAGAGCAACTTCTTTATTGATTGATTGTTTTGTTTTTTTGCATCCCCCCCACCCCTTTTGGGAGACAAGGTCTAGTTCTGTCATCCAGGCTGGTGTGCAGTGGTGTGATCATAGCTCACTGTAATCTTTAACTCTTTGGCTCAAGGGATCTTCCCATTTCAGCCTCCCAAGTAGCTAGTACTACAGGCATGCAGAGCCACACCCTGCTAATTTTTAAATTTTTCTGTAGAGACAGTCTCGGTATGTTGCCCATGCTGGCATTGAACTCCTGGGCTCAAGTAATCCTCCTGCCTTGGTCTCCCAAACCCCTGAGATTATAGGTGTGAGCCACTGTGCCTGGCACTTTTTATCTATTTATATGTTGGGATTCTGCTGATATTTTTCTTTTACCCACTGATATGGAACTTTTATTCTTTCCAGGCATCTAAATCCTTTCATCTGATTTATCTGTGTATTCATTATGATGAGATTTAGCTACAAGTAACCAAGACACAGGCTCATGGCGAATGAACAAGATATATGTTTGTTTCTCTTTTATATAAAAATCCAGATTATGGCTAGCATAATAGTGCCAGCTATATGAGAGCAGACAGCTTATCCTTGCATCCAAGCTGGAGCTGCAGCCATCACACCCATGTTCCGAGCATGTTATTAATAGAAAGAAGGGTGCACATCATCCTTTAAGAAGACACCCCCTCTCCTCCACAGATGTTGCATTCTGTTTACATTTCATTGACTAGTACTTAGGCAATCTTCCCTATTCTGGTGCCACATATCCAACTAAATATTGGGAATTCTATACATCTAGAAGCAGAGGGCAGATACTAAAGGACACGATCTATCTTCTGTTGCAGTCTATCTTCAGCCCAGTCAACTGGTTGAAGGCTTGGATTATCTGATTTTCTGCATAGGTCTTCCTAAAACTAGCAGATTAGAAGTGGATGTGAAGACACCTTGAAAAGTGACAGCTGAAATGGTAGTGGCTACTGAATTACATGCAGCAGCTCCCAGCCATTTAGTGGGGGTGCAAATCAATATTTACAGTGCAACACTGACCTTGGTTATGGAGGAAAGGTTAAATTATGTTTGGCACATTCTGCTTGAGGCTGAAGGGACTAATACATTACAGAAAGATTCCCATTGACATGGGTAAAAGTTTTAAAAGACATTTAAAGTTGCATGCTTTATCAACTGAGAAATCTACTTATTTCTCCACATCCTCTCCAGCACCTGTTGTTTCCTGACTTTTTAATGATTGCCATTCTAACTGGTGTGAGATAGTATCTCATTGTGGTTTTGATTTGCATTTCTCTGATGGCCAGTGATGATAAGCATGTTTTCACGTGTCTTTTGGCTGCATAAATGTCTTCTTTTGAGAAGTGTCTGTTCATGTCCTTCTCCCACTTTTTGATGGGGTTGTTTTTTTCTTGTAAATTTGTTTGAGTTCATTGTAGATTCTGGATATTAGCCCTTTGTCAGATGGGTAGGTTGCGAAAATTGTCTCCCATTTTGTAGGTTGCCTGTTCACTCTGATGGTAGTTTCTTTTGCTGTGCAGAAGCTCTTTAGTTTAATTAGATCCCATTTGTCAATTTTGGCTTTTGCTGCCATTGCTTTTGGTGTTTTAGACATGAAGTCCTTGCCCATGCCTATGTCTTGAATGGTAATGCCTAGGTTTTCTTCTAGGGTTTTTATGGTTTTAGGTCTAACGTTTAAGTCTTTAATCCATCTTGAATTGATTTTTGTATAAGTTGTAAGGAAGGGATCCAGTTTCAGCTTTCTACATATGGCTAGCCAGTTTTCCCAGCACCATTTATTAAATAGGGAATCCTTTCCGCATTGCTTGTTTTTCTCAGGTTTGTCGAAGATAGGAACACTTTTACACTGTTGGTGGGACTGTAAACTAGTTCAACCCTTGTGGAAGTCAGTGTGGCGATTCCTCAGGGATCTAGAACTAGAAATACCATTTGGCCCAGCCATCCCATTACTGGGTATATACCCAAAGGACTATAAATCATGCTGCTATAAAGACACATGCACACGTATGTTTATTGCGGCATTATTCACAATAGCAAAGACTTGGAACCAACCCAAATGTCCAACAATGATAGACTGGATTAAGAAAATGTGGCACATATACACCATGGAATACTATGCAGCCATAAAAAATGATGAGTTCATGTCCTTTGTAGGGACATGGATGAAATTGGAAATCACCATTCTCAGTAAGCTATCACAAGAACAAAAACCAAACACTGCAAATTCTCACTCATAGGTGGGAATTGAACAATGAGATCACATGGACACAGGAAGGGGAATATCACACTCTGGGGACTGTGGTGGGGTGGGGGCACGGGGGAGGGATAGCATTGGGAGATATACCTAATGCTAGGTGACGAGTTAGTGGGTGCAGCGCACCAGCATGGCACATGTATACATATGTAACTAACCTGCACAATGTGCACATGTACCCTAAAACTTAAAGTATAATTAAAAAGTAAAAAAATTAAAAAAAAAAAAGAGAAATCTACTTGACACAGCACACCTCACTCCAGGTGGGCAGGTAATGACAGGTGTGGTCCTTCTGGGTCCCCAGTAGACTCTTTAAGGTGGGGGTGGTGGTGATAGGAAGCAGAGGGAAGGTGGCTCTCCTCTAGGTCCCTGCATCTTGAACAGAACCTGTATCTACTGAATGAATAAATAGACAAGGTTGGGGGCTCAAGATCCAGCTCTGCCTAAGGGCCTACAAGAGGACAAGGTTCTTGTAGGAATAGGAAGCAAGATCCACCTGTGGGGAGATGGAAAAGGTATCCAGACTAGCCTTGGGCCTGGAATACACCAGGAAATGGGTTTCAAGTTATAGTCCGCCATGAAGGAAGATTCTTGAAAGTCCAAGGATCAAGCTTTCTAACTTGATTTTGTTTTCAAGTGCTTTTTTTAGTTTATATTTCATTCATTGTTAGGGTATTTTTACTGCATTTTATAACTGTCTCAAAGTATCTTCAAAAATTAGTCTAAGCCAGTCACAAAAGGACAAATATTGTATGATTCCACCTATATGAGGAAGCTAGAGTAGTCAAATTCATAGAGCAAAAAGTAGAATTGGTGGTAGCCAGGGGCTGGGAAGAGAGGGAAAGGGGAAGTTGTTTAACGAGTTTGGAGTCTCAAGGTTACAAGATGAAGAGCTCTAAGGTCAGATAGTGCAGATGGCTGCACGACAATGTGAGCTGTGCACTTAATAATGGCTAAAATGGTAAATTTTATATTACATATATTTACCGCAATTTTAAAAACTAGTCTAAATTTTAATTGCATATATTAGAGAACTGCATTTCATTCCAACTGTCAATATTTGAAAAAGTGTTTTAGTCATTGCCTTTAACAACTTTGCAAATACTAGAAGTGGTTTTAAGCATTTCTTATTACTCATTCACAATAGTCAGTGTTCCCTCTGGGTCCTCAATGGGACTGAGGAGTTCCCACAATGTTCTAGGTGCTGTTCCTAACTGACTCACCAAACCAATTTCAAATTGTTCGGTAAAACACTCTCACATACTCCCTCCAATGCCAAACCACTCACCAGCACATTTAAACAAGCTTGCCAAAGTTTGATAATTCAAAAATTAGTAATTCATCAACCTAGTATCTACTGAAGTAGGGATTATAGAACTTTCACCAAAATTCTCTGAAACAGTGGTTCTCAAAGTGTGGCCCCTGGACCAGTAGCACCAGCAGTACCCAGGAATGTGTTGAAAGTGTGAATTCTCAGACACTATGCAGACCTCCTGAATCACAGCCAGAGGTCTGTGTTTTCCCAAGTCTTCTAGAGGATTCCGATGCAGACTAAAGTGTGAGAACCACTACTCTAAGGAGTCTATGGCTGCCAAATGTTAAGAACCAGCACATTCGCTCGAAGGGAGAGGACGATCAGGAGGCCAAAGTAAGTTTCTTTCTGGGGCTTCATGCGTTTTTACAAGACTGATTCAAAACAAGTCAAAGGTTCACTTTGCCCGGTAGCGTTTCTGCAAATATCTGATCTGAATACAGCCCTCATCTCACACCCAGAAACATGACCAAAGCTGCCCACACTAACTTGCTGTTTTGTCTAAGGGGAGCAGCTGCTATACTCCCTTCTTTCTAATCTGTTGCCTCCCTGGTAATGACCAGGAAGAGAGGCTATTTCAAAACTGTGCCTCCCATAAAAATTGGGACTCCTGTTAACTCCCCTCTCTCTGCCTTCAAGGAAATGCAAAGAAGGCAGGGAGAGCATAGGCTGTGGCCAAAAACAATTTCCGCTGACTATGGTGATGGCGATTCTGCAGAAACAGCACCATGGTTTAGGACCAGATGACCTTACTTCAAGTCCAGCTTCTGTCTCTTAGTAGCTGTGTGACCCCGAACCTTTGCTTCCTCATCTGTAAAATGGGAGTGGTATGGTTTTTGTGAGAGTTTGAAAAGATGTAAGCAGAAGCTCTTTATGAGAAAGCAGCCCCATGGTGACAGCCCAAGTCTAGCTCAACCACTTATCAGCTATGTGTAACTTTAGGCGAGTCTCTTCGTTTTTAAAATAGGGATGTTGGCTGGGTGTGGTGGCTCACATCTGTAACCTCAGCTTTGGGAGGGAGGTGGGTGGATCACCTGAGGTCAGGAGTTTGAGATCAGCCTGGCCAACATGGTGAAACCCTGTCTCTACTAAAAATAGAAAAATTAGCTGAGTGTGGAGGTACACACCTGTAATCCCAGCTACTCGGGGGGCTGAGGCAGGAGAATCGTTTGGACCTGGGAGGTGGAGGTTGCAGTGAGCCAAGATGTGTCACTGCACTCCCGCCTGGGCAACAGAGAAGACTTCGTCTCAAAAAATAATAATAAATAAATAAATAAATAAATAAATAAAATAAAATAAAAAATAAATAAAATATAAAAATAAAATAGGGATGTTAACTCATCCTCCACCTGGGAGGCTTAAATGAGATAATATAAATAAACAGCATAACATACTTGCTAACACACAATAAAAAATTCACAAATGTTTAATGGTAGTAGTAATAAAGCTTATAGCTATATAACTATCAGGTATCCCTAGTATAATTTTAGAATACAAAAAGAAAAGTTGATAATACAAGAGTATGTGCAGCAGATTCACATATTTTAATAACAAACAAGATGCAGGCTATTGAGATCATTTGTTTATTGTGAACAAGATAGAATAATTACTTTCCAGGAAAAGTTTCAAACACAAGAAGTTAATCTATTCCAAAGCCGAAAGAGCCTTAAACTCCCTTTTTGATCAGGAGGTCAGTTTTTTATTTCTCTCAACATAGTTGAGATACAATAAAGATAATATTAATTAGTATTCATGTAATAGTAAACACTCTTTTCAAACTAATTTCATATCTATCATTTGAGAGAAAATACAAGAAAATTGCCTGAAATATAGGAAGATATATTTTTAGAAGTCTACATGAACTTGTGCTAAAGAGGATGTAAAACCATTCCCACCACCATAACCTGCCTTTGCTGACTTGAAGGACCATAAAACTACTTGTTGGCAACTATTAAGTGGGTAAATTACATGAATTCTGACAAATCCTTGCAGATTAGTTGTCATAGTGTAGCTAAATGTTTCAAGAGATGGCATTAATCTGTTTTGACAAAGTTTGCTCTCTGCAGAGTAACAGATTCATAGGGACTTTAAACTGATTTAACAAGAGCATAGAATGAAAGAGTTGGAAAGATTGGAACCGAGACTGCCTGTGACAGAGGTATCTCCTCCATATTTAAAAAAATGTTCAAAAAGCATCACATTGCAGTCTCCTTTGGCAGTGCTTGAATCAAACAATCTCAATAGACAGGAACTTACTTTTATTTCTGACTCAGAAACAAAACTACTTTCCCGAAGAGAGTCTACTACATTTTCCCCTGTATTCCAACCCCTTCTAATACCAAACAATGCTCAGGCTCCATGGGCAACCTCAACTTCCTAAACTCAAAGATTTTTAACCAGATAACTACCAAGCCACACAATGAGTGACACACAGACCATGCTTTGAGAGAAACATTTACTCAGATGATTTGGTATAGAAAAACAACCATTCATACATTCAAAAGATATATTTTTTAAGCACCAACTATGACAATGGATAAGGCATATAATTTATTAATCCCTTCTTTTTTCATGTATTCTCTTTTTGCAATTTAAAAAAGTGAGATATAATTAACATTCCATCAGATTAAACCTTTTAAAATGTATAATTCAGTGGTTTTTAGTATGATCACATGGTTTTGCAACCATCACCACTAACTCAATCCAGCACATCTTCATCACCTCCAAAAGAAAACACATACCTGGCGGGGCGCGGTTGCTCAAGCCTGTAATCCCAGCACTTTGGGAGGACGAGGCGGGCGGATCATGAGGTCAGGAGATCAAGACCATCCTGCCTAACATGGTGAAACCCCGTCTCTACTAAAAATACAAACAATTAGCTGGGCATGGTGGCAGCCGCCTATAGTCCCAGCTACTTGGGAGGCTGAGGCAGGAGAATGGCATGAACCTGGGAGGTGGAGCGTGCAGTTTGCCAAGATCGCGCCACTGCATTCCAGCCTGGGTGACGGAGAGAGACTCTGTCTCATTAAAAAAAAAGAAGAAGAAGAAGAAAAAAGAAATCACAGACCTATTAGCAGTCACTCTCATTCTTCTATCTTCCACCCCAGCAAAAACTAATCTACTTTCTGTCTCTATAGCATTCTTCATTCTTGTTATTTTTGAGCACCTACTTGGCACCAGGCACCACTTTAGGCCCTGGGGGAGAGATTGGGAAACAAAATAGGCTATGAGTCTCCCCAGTGGAGTTTTTATTCTAGTGACTGCCTACATTTCACAAAATGAAAAACATTACATATTTAGAAATATAGAAATACATGCAAGAAAAAGAATATGCTTAATCTGGCAAACAAAAAAATACATACACACACATGACCATGAAAATATGCAAAACAGAGTCAATCATCTTTCTTATCAAAAGACTTTTGGCAGCAAATCAACATGTGGAATTTTCCCCTTTCTTTCCTTCTCCTGGTCCTCTGGGAGGGTAGTAAGGATGAAACTAAATAGCTAAAGAGAAAAAGACAAGTGATGCATGGCTGGAACCAGGGGCAAACGGGACAGTTAGCTCCAGAAGAATCAAAAGGTGTCTTCTCATCTTGCATTCACATGCCTTATGCCACAAACCACCATCTGAGCCCAATCACTGGCTGAAGACCTCAGATTTAAAACCAAAATAATAAATTTCTGACAAAGGCAAAACCGTCATCCAAAATGGCAGGTTACAACCAAAACTTCTGAGCCCCAGTCAATGATACCTTTATTTTAGGCAGAACAGGATAATGCAATTTCGCTTTGAATTTTTGGAAGAAAGAATGTGTGTAAATCTTAGAAGCTCACTGTAACAGGCTTTGCAGGCTTTGACCTCTTGGATGTGAAATATCCTGATCAGCTCACACTTCAAAATTTTTGCTGAAGCTCAGACAATCACTGCTCCAAAGTGACCAATCCCTGCTTTTTCTGTTATAAACTTGCTATAATCCCTAAGAGAGATAGTACAAAAAGTACATGGATATTGCCATATCTTTATACATAAATACTTCCCAATTTTATAAATTCAAACATAGGTCTACAGCTAAAAGTAAATGAAGAAAGAGAATTAGTGATTAAAGTGAATCTGTGAAACAGCTTCTTTGTTTGGCTCTAGTAGGCCATAAGGCCAAAGTGTTTTGGGTAACTAGAATAACCTTATAATTTATCATCCAAATGAAATACTCTTGAGAGTGAAAGCAGGCATCATTAACAATTATGCTGAGAGAGCAGACATAAACCTGGACAGTGCCAGACAAATGGGAATAGACGGACGGTCACCCTATGAACGAACATCATGCCCTCTCTAACAGAGAACGGCCTCTTCAGTCTGCCCCAGATTCTAGAGTCTAGAGGAGAGATCAGATACTGCAATATTACACAGTAGAAAATGCTAACTATTACAAAAAGAGAATCACTTATGATTGTTGTTTAATATTCCCCGGGTAAGCTCAAGTAAGCTTGAATTCTAAAAGCTTTTTAAAAACAAATCTGGAAACGCTGTACAAAGCAGTGTATAGTGAGGACAAGTCTCAAATCAGTAAGTGTGAGTATAATAGGTCAAAAGAAGTTGTTAGACAGCGTTTGTGGGGGGGTGTGCACATGAGTGTGGGCACGCATGCACACACTTGAGGGTAAGTGGAGAGGCACATGAGTGTGGGCACGCATATGAGGGTAAGTGGAGAGGCACACGGGTGTGGGCACGCATGCACACACATGAGGGTAAGTGGAGAGGCACATGAGTGTGGGCACACATGCACACACATGAGGGTAAGTGGAGAGGCACATGAGTGTGGGCACACATGCACACACTTGAGGGTAAGTGGAGAGGCACATGAGTGTGGGCACACATATATGAGAGTAAGTGGAGAGGCAAATGAGTGCGGGCACACATGCACACACATGAGGGTAAGTGGAGAGGCACATGAGTGTGGGCACATGCACACATGAGGGTAACAGGAGAGGCACACGAGTGTGGGCACACATGCACACACATGAGGATAAGTGGAGAGGCACACGGGTGTGGGCACACACATGAGGGTAAGTGGAGAGGCACATGAGTGCGGGCACACATGCACACATGAGGGTAAGAGGAGAGGCATATGAGCATGGGCACACATGCACGCACATGAGGGTAAGTGGAGAGGCACACGAGTGTGGGCACACATGCACACACATGAGGGTAAGCGGAGAAGCACATGGGTGTGGGCACACACATGAGGGTAAGTGGAGAGGCACATGAGTGTGGGCACACATGCACACATGAGGGTAAGAGGAGAGGCATATGAGCATGGGCACACATGTACGCACATGAGGGTAAGAGGAGAGGCACACGGGTATGGGCACACATGCACACACGTGAGGGTAAGTGGAGAGGCATGACAAGGAAGGAAGAGGTTGGAATAATTTCATTCTTTTACAAGAATTAATGAGAAATTCTTAAACATGCCAATTCGGTTATGACTCACACAAAAACAATAGCTCACGACTACAAAACATAAAACAGAATGATTTGGGGGGTAAAAACAAGAGTTATAACCTTTCTCCTGCCCTTTAAAAATATTTTCAATAAATCAAAGCCATAACTAGTTTTTGCCAAACAGCTCATATTTATATAGAATTTTACCCCTGTAGAGAATTTTTCTCTGGAACAATGTTTCTGCACTTGAACGATGGTACTAACCTCCTTTACAGTAAAAAAAAAAATTATCTCAGGCCTCCCCAGAGCAAACTAAAAAGAAATTATGCATAAGATTATAAATACCTTGTTTCAAGCTCTTATACAGCTATAAAATCAATATAAATTTATAACTGATAATACCAACAAACCTACAAAGCCAATAATCTGCCATGCAACATATTGTTGAAATTAGCTTTTCACACCATAGCCTGGTTCTTCCAAGAGTGGCC
Source organism: Homo sapiens (assembly GCF_000001405.40). Taxonomy (NCBI): domain Eukaryota; kingdom Metazoa; phylum Chordata; class Mammalia; order Primates; family Hominidae; genus Homo; species Homo sapiens. Next base: position 69,605,484 of record NC_000009.12, read on the forward strand.
TCCCTAGTCTATGGCATATCGTGTGATGACTCAATGCTCCAGCCACTCTCTTCTATTCAAACTCTACGTGCAGCTTTTATTGTCACAAATGTTAGCTTACGTTGTCATTTGGTCTTGGCTGTAAGGCATCATTTATAATTAGATTCACCTGTGCCCTTTGAGCTGCTGACTATTAAGGGAAAGCCATTTGATGCCAGGCACTAACAGCCACATGTCACTGTAGACACTGAAACCTCACAGCAGCATTTGTGGTCACCCAGAGAGTCCAGAACACGCTTACATTAAATTTATTTTTAAATCATCAAACTGAATTTCACTAGTTACAAGTTCCATGAGGTCACAGATGTGGGTTTGTTTTATTGACTGTGGTATTCCCAGCACTTAGCAGAGTACCTGTAAATAGTAAGCAATCAACATGTATTTATCCAATGAATTAATGATTGAATTAATGCATGGAAAATTCTCAAAGAAAACTCATGTAAACATAAGAAACACATCCCTGGTCCCCAGTCTCCTAGAACCTGAAGGAAGAATATAGGCAGAGTCCTGCCAACAGGCTTAACAAGTGAATATACACACAAAAAGAATCCACTCTCATACTCACTAGATTTTATACCCAAATCACTCTGAAAAGAGCACTAGTATGCAAGCAAATACTGTTCTTCCTCAAGAATATCAGTGCAGCCAAAGAGGGCTCCTTGCCCTCTGTCCATTAGCAGAGAATTGCTTTTGATAACGAAACCCAACTATGGCAAATGGCGGTGCAATGGAGCAACAGAGAAGGTAGAGGGGCAAGAAGGGAACTAGAATATGTGACATTAGCACCTACTGCAGGCCAGCAGGCGTGGTGATAGGAACTTGATATCTGCTGCCTAGTTTGAACTTCACAAGAACTTTACGAGGTAGGCTTTATTGTATCGCCTACTTTTTTACAGAGAAAGAAACTGATGCTCAGAGAAGTTAAACAAGGTTGACACAGTGAGTGAGGGAGCTAGCTTTTTTTTTTTTTTTTTTTTTTTTTTTTTTGAAATGGAGTCTCGCTCTGTCGCCCAGGCTGGAGTGCAGTGGCACGATCTCGGCTCACTGCAAGCTCTGCCTCCCAGGTTCACACCATTCTCCTGCCTCAGCCTCCCGAGTAGCTGGGACTACAGGCGCCCACCACCACGCCCGGCTAATTTTTTTGTATTTTTAGTAGAGACAGGGTTTCACCGTGTTAGCCAGGATGGTCTCAACCTCCTGACCTCGTGATGCGCACGCCTCGGCCTCCCAAAGTGCTGGGATTACAGGCTTGAGCCACCGTGCCTGGCCGGGAGCTGGCTTTTTAACCTTGCCCTCTCCAGTTAAAGTCTGTATACTATTCTCAGGCCATGCTGCTTCCTAAAAGAAGTGACACATGGCAATAAGAGGGCAAGAAAGCAGGTAATAAAAAGGCAGATGAAGACATTTCCTGTCCTGCAGGTAACTGGATACATTAAAAAATACAATCATATTGTCCCATTTATTTCTAAGAGATACAGCAGAAGTTCTTTTAAAGAAACCCCCATAATTCTGGCCAGAATTGTATTTGCTTCACAAATGAGAAGTTCAGCCTTTAGTTTGTCTGTTATTATCTCTTTGGGTTGAAAGAAGAGAAGCAGCAGTGTATTCGTTTGTTCTCACACTGCCAATAAAGACATACCCAAGACTGGGTAATATATAAAGGAAAGAGGTTTAATTGACTCTCAGCTCACATGGCTGAGAAGGCCTCACGGTCATGGCAGAAGATGAAGGAAGAGCAAAGGGATGTCTTACATGGTGGCAGGCAAGAGAGCTTGTGCAGGGAAACTCCCTTTTATCAAACCGTCAGATCTTGTGAGACTTATTCACTATCATGAGAACAGCATGGGAAGGACCCGCCCCCATGATTCAATTACCTCCCACCAGGTCCCTCCCATGACACATGGGAATTATGCGAACTACAATTCAATACGAGATTTGGGCGGGGACACAGACAAACCATATCAAGCAGCATCTACCATTACTGCTAGGACTGGCAGATTAGCACATTTACAGTTTTTTTAATTCAAGCTTCCTCTAACTTTCAAAGCTAAGCTTTACCCTATGCACTTTGAATAACACGCTGTAGTACTCATTCATAAATAAAACCACATATTTTCTTACATTTTTCCCAAATACTTTGTATTAACTTTTGACTTACTAAAGTAAAATATTAATGGGCAAAAACCAGTCCGTTTGGGCCAATAAATGGCTGATGGGAGGTAAGACTAACTAGTGTTTAGATCCAGCTGTGGCTCCAGAGTCAGATTACTTGGGCTGGAATCTCAGGGTTGTCTTACTGGCTGTTTGATAGGTTTCTTAGGTTGGTTAAGCCTTAGTTTCCTTATCTATAAAATGGGAGATATTACCAGTACCTCTCTCAGAGGGTCTTTGTGAAATCATGCATGTAAAGCACTTAGCTCAGTGCCTGTCACATAATAACAGCAAAATAAATGCCAGTTATTATTATTAGATTATGCCTAGAAAATATTAGCGCTAACAAGGTGGCACAGGATGGAAACAAGCCACATCTACTATTTTTACACTACTCTGATCACAATAGATTATCACGTTTACTTAATTGGAAGTGCATGATACTGTAAAATATCCTACAGCTAATTCTTTTTATATGCAGTGGTATTCCCCCAAGAACACTTAGTCCCATATTTGGCAAAGAAATCACAGAATCTTCTTAATTACAATGATGAACACTGTTGACTGCAAACTCAGTCATAACATATAGAAGTGTTTACTAAGGTGGAAATGGCCACAGTGATAAACTAATGCACCCGTACCAGATTAGGTACATCTTAATCCATCTGGTTTACTATTTATTTGATTGAAAGGAATTTTTGAGTCTATACCATCATCAAATTACTCAAAAGGAAAGGGGGAGTAGGTGAAGCAGCAGACCTATAACGAATATTCACTGTTGTTACCCAGATATGAAAAGGCCTAAAAGGAAAATTCAAAGACAAGAATGATGGTAGACTGAGGAGGGAAGAGGGACCACTGCTTGGATAAGCCTTATTGAAGGCACTTGCTCCCAAAAAAACAGTATTTATGACATGCTACTTCAACATAAAAGAGGGCACAAAGGAACATCTGTAAATACTGTTGCCTTTAAGAGGCCCCCCTTTGAGTCCCCTTCTCCCTCGAAGTGGTGATAAAGTCTTAGAGGGTAATTATATGCAATTATCTAAAGCAAACTGAATTAAAGGGCACCCATACTGAGAAGTTGGTTTTGGTCACATTCCTATCAAGTACACTTTCCCAACTTTGAGCCCTAATTTTCTGATGTTTCCATCAACCTCTGTCCCTCCTCTGTAGTAGGTGTGGCTTTTTTCCACCCTGTGCCGTCTTGTTAGCTTTAATATTTTCTAGACATAATCTAATAACCATCACTGGTATTTAATTATCTCATATTATGTGTAAGTAGGTGATATCTAACATGGTACATAATCTGCTTTTAACCTAAAACATCAGTTTAACCAATAACTGTGTGCTGTATATGTGACAGACTGGGCTAGGCACTATAATGACTACAAAACCAAATTAGATGTCAATTCTACTTATTCATTAACACGATTTTTAAATGCTCACACTGATTCCTTCTGGGCATTGTACTTGGGAATGGGGTGGGGAGAAGATGCTAAATAAAAGAATCATAAGATTGTGAAACTTTTCAGGATCAAAATGGAGTCACTTATGTTTAAGAACCTGACAAATAGAGCCAGGGGAGGACATGAAGGGAGGGTTTTCATGTGCAAATGCCTAATAAAAAGAGCTATCATAAAAGACCCTGAAAAAACACAACTTTGCACAAAGGCCATACACAAAATCCTTCTGCAAGGACATCTGCCCAGCAACTTCCCATCAGCCTTGGACTGGTGCTACCTTTGTTACTGATCCTTGTAGCCAAGAATAGTTATCTCAAAACAATTATGTAATTCTCTTACATTTCCTTTAAAAACCTTTATTTTCCTTTACCTCCATGAATATGCACATGGTTTACTATGGCACATGTATTCCCATTGCAATGCCTAATACCAAATAAACATTTTCTTTTAGAGTCCACCTCTCTGCTATTTAGATTGATGAAAATGATATCAGAAATGGGATCAAAGTGAGCTCACTTCAGACAAATGTGCAGCCCCTAGAATTGAGTGCAGTACCACCAGCTAAGCCCTTTGCAATGTCCATTTCTGTGAGTCACCTTTTCTGCCCTGCTGAGTCTCCTTTCAGATTCTTGGTCTCCTTCCCTTTGGTGAGTTTGTTGTTGTTGTTGTTGTTGTTTGAGACAGGGTCTCCCTCTGTCACCCAGGCTGGCGTGCAGCGGCACAGTCATAACTCACTGCAACCTCAAATTCCCGGGCTCAAGTGATTCTCCCGCCCTGGTCTCCTAAAGTGCTGAGATTACAGGTATGAGCCACCACATTGGACCTTTGGTGAGTCCTTATTGACTTAACTTGGGATCCGATCTGATTATAAGGCCACCTTAAATAAAGAACCTTGGGGCCAGGTGCAGTGGCTGATGCATGTAATTCCAGCACTTTGGGAGGCCAAAGCAAGAGGATCACTTGAGGCCAGGAGTTCAAGATCAGCATGAGAAACATAGTGAGACTCTGTCTCCACAAAAAAATTTTTTTAATTAGCTAAGTGTGGTGGTCCATGCCTATAGTCCTAGCTGCTTTTGAGGCTGAGGCTGGAGGATTACTTGAGCCTAGGAGTTTGAGTCTACAGTGGGCTAGGATCCTGTTACTGCAGTCCAGCCTGGGTGACAGAGTAACACTCTGTCTCTAAAAATAAATAAATAAAGTACATTGTATCCTTCTTGGGACTATAAAAGTATTTTTGTTGTTGTTGTTGGGGAGTAAGCCCTTTCTGGTATACGAACAATGTCCTTCTGGTTTGAGTATTCTAGGTTCCACAGAATTTACATTTTGTCAGGTTCTGTATGCCTAGTTTAATATTTTGCTTGATCTTCACACCTGAGTTAAAATTTTTATGGGCACTCTGATTTTGGTTTTGTTTTGGTTTTGTTACATGTCTGTCAATGATCTGACTCATTTTTCCTTTGCTTTTTTCTGAACATCTCTTGAGAGCAAAAAATAAACATTACAAATGGTGGGTGCTACATGGCCAATGAAAAACTACTAAGGCAGTCACCATCATCTAAAACACTGGTCCAAACTCCCTAATAGAAATTATCAGATTTTCTTTGCTCTCAAGAGATTAATAAGAAACAGAATGAGATTCTCAAACATTAAGGCATGCCAGGTTCTCCAGGACTCCTGCCAGCTACAAGGCTTTTCCTCAGGCACATTTTAAAATCAATGGTCATAATGTGGATCATTCAAACTCCCCAAGCTTGTTTTTTCTTAGAACTGAATTAAAAAATGCAATCAACTATACAGTTAAAGGTAGAGCCTTCTAAGTTCTTTTTTTTTTTCTTTCTACTTTGAATCTGCTGACTTTTCTGCTGGTGTTGAGGTAAACTCACTGCTTATGGGATGCCAGTTGAAGTTTTTTGTTGTTGTTGTTTTAAGTCTGGAAGGGCTTTCAAATTAATGGCTTTACAAATCACAACAGCTTCATGGCAACCAACAATGTAGACACCTTTTGGAAGTGTAAATTCAGGTTTGTCTAACAACTGCTTAGACTTTCATATCAAACAGGTCAAAATCTTGAGCTCAGAGCAGTAATATAAGGTATCTCTGTCCGGGATAAAAATTGCTCTGTCTGACATGCAGGGACCAGAAAAGGAAAAAAAAAAAAAAAAAAACAAAAAAAAAACCCAAACCGGCTAAAATGCTTCCCTGCTCACACTGACTAGTCAGGCAAACCAGATCAACAAACAAAATATAGTGTTGTTACTAAAATATTCAAACCCACTGGGAGACTGTTTTTCTGATGCAATTCAGCCAGTCCTAGCTAAAACACAAATATTTGAATATCTAACCTTAAACTCATTTGAAACTGAAAAAAGGGGGTGGTGGGAAGTTAAAAGATTTTTTAAAAACCAAACTGGTTTATTCAAAATTTTGGTCCGCACTCTTCATTAGATTACCCATTGGAACAAATAAAATTTAGCCATGGGAACACGTTCCATTTTGTCAGAAATATAATTTGGATCCAACTGTCTTATCAACTAATCAGTTTCTATTGCTATGTTTTACTTCCTCATGACTAAAATTCTAAAAGGAAAGCTATAAGGTATTTATTTGTGTGTGGGTATGTGCATTGTGTGTTCACACATGTTGTGTCTACATGGTAAAACCTGGCATAGTTGGCCATAAATCACTTAAGTAATTCTATTCAGATTGGCTTAATGAGTGCTATATTAACTATATAGTAATGAACTCAAATGCTGTTTAGTTCACATTAGTTAAGTAAATAATTAACAAATAAGCTAGTTTTAAATTTGTTGATAAAATAAAAATTAAAATGTCTTCAGAATTGTTGGCATCCACTTTTGTCTGGTTTTGCTAATCAGATGGGATTATATTTGTGTCTCTATATATTTTAAGGTCATACAACTATAAATCCAACCTAAAAACAGAACAATTTTTGTGTAATTCTTTGATAAGTAAGACTAATATTGTTAGTTTAATGAAAACATCTTTATCATCTGATTTACCCACAAAATACCCATATATTTAAGGTTCTTATATAGGTGAACTCCAGATATTCACAGACTATAAAAATGGTTAACAGGGATATAACTTAAAATGATGACTAGTTTTGTATAATATCTCAGTTTTTATAAGTAATCTAGGTATAATTTTTAAAAATAAATTAGGGAAATGTAAGTGGGATAAACATTTAAAAATGAACTTTTCCTGTGATCTGAAATCTTAAAGTTATGTTAAACTAAGTGATAGATACTCATTAAATGTCTGGGTAAATTCCTAATAAAATACTAAAACATAAATTGCTGAACATAAATTCAGGATTGTTCTTGGATTCTCAAATTTTATACAAAGACTAAATATATTGGGTGTATTAAACATAAAAATTATGTTATAGGAAATGTTGCTAAAAATTATGAAATTGCTCTCATCTTTAAAATATTGATGAGGTGACAGTTCAAAACGTTTTGCTTCCTAGGTTTTCACTAGAAATTCAGGTTACTAAGAGTTTAAAATTCTAATTAACATAAAATTATGTATACAAAATGTACCAAAAAGATGTGTTTTGGTGAGAAAAATTGTAAGAAAAACTATGTTCTTTATTGAGAAAAAAAGAATAATTTTGTCTAAATTCAGAGGTCATTAAAGGTTACTTCAAAATATGGATTTAGGAAGGAAGAAGAAAGAGGATAGAAATGAACCAGTAAGCAGGAGATACGTGAAGAAAGTTATAAGTATTAAGATGTATTTGTGGTAAAGCAGGTTAAAAAGAAAAGTGAATAATTTTGTATAAGAAAATGTTGTGTGGTAGATTTTTGTCCTAACGTAAAATGACTGGTTATTTAAGAAAGAAAATGTATAGGATAAAACTAAAAGTCTAGCCTGTTGTCGAACATCTGTGTAAGTCATGAAAGGTTTGTGAAGGATGAATTTATGAAAAAAATTTGTGTGTGTGATCAAGTTGGTTATAATTAGAAGGAAATTATTTATGTCTTTCTAAATATTGAGCTTTGATATTAAAAATACACTGCTACATAACTAAAACTTTGATCTCCCTGTTAGAACAACAAAGTTTTCCTGAAGTACTGATCTGCTCTTAGTAAAATTGTAAGAGGTTTTGATTTTTAATTCTGAAATCTGTTTAACAGCCATCTTCTAAGCTGCAACTTATTCCTGTTTAATAGTTTCTATTCCTGCCACATTTTTTTTCCTAAGCCATTTAATTTCCCTGGTTTAAGGCCGGAAATGCTATCTTCTTCATTTAAATTTCTCCAGGTACAGCTTTCCTCTTGAAGCTTTTCAGGTTCTTGTCTCGGAAGTTCCACTTTTGCTGTATCTTGCTGCACGAGATTTATAGGTTATACATCATTGCCTTAAGCTTTTTCCCCTTGAGAGGATATATCTTTTGCTTGGCTGAGGTGATAACTCTTTCAACTTTTTAACCAGCTCCTGTAATTTTTTTATCTAGCTCTAACTCTGTTGACATGGCCTGACACTGGGATGTTCCTCCTTGAAGGCCTAGAAAGGCAGTTACCCTCCAACATAATGTGATTTCTACATGGGTCTGAATTGCTCCATGTAACCAGGAAACTTCCCATGATTTTACTAATAACCACATATTCCCCTGCTCAAGATATAGTTTTCTTGTTTACATTTCTCTATAATACGGTATACATTCATAATCTTTGGACACACACTCTTCCTGTGTCTGATTAAATTCAAGTATTTTTCATCAGGTTTGACTTCCAGGTTATTTAAACTGTCTTCCCGTAAGGAGAAGCAATCACATTGCAAAATATTTTTTTTTACCTTTTTGTTAACTGACCTAAGACGTAAAGATTTTGAGTTTTATCAAAATAATTTCCTTTGTAGTCTTTATTAGGTTTTTGATTCTTAAAGTGAGCTTTGAAAGGGTTAAGGTTTTTGTTTGTTTGCTTTTTACATCCATGTAACTTTCTGTATAGCTTTTGAAGTTTTTGATTATCACTGTAGTTAAACGAATAACTATTATTTCATGGTGACCTGTGACCCTGCTTTTATCAGGTATTCTAAACCTTTTGGCATCTTTGATGGGCTTCCCCAGCATCAAAATTCTAAATTAAGTCTTTTTTGACCTAGAATTAACTTTGAGACTTTCTAGTCAGGCCCGTGGAGAGTATCAACGGATGCTTCTCTCATCTTGTGGAGATATTAAATGATTAAGCTCTATGGTAAATTGTATGAGAAACATTGTCAAATGATAAGTGATGCTAGACCTTCCTTAAATTACATTTATGGGTATGTTATATATACAAATGTTAAAAAGTATGTAAATTCATAGAAGTCTAATATGGTATCAGTCATAATTTTGGTTATTATGTTAAAATCTTATATGCTACAGAAATAACCAAATTCCTTGTCAATTGCAAATTATAATAAACTTCCATCAGATTTTTAACTATAGATATTCTAAGTCTCTGTCATCCACCATTATGATACTTTTCTAAAAGCATTTGCAATCAGATTCATGGAAAAGACTAACAAATATTCTTAAATATAGGTTTAAATAACTTTAAGGTCGATGGACTAAATGAAAATGTTTCAGAGCTCTAATGAAGAAACTGATGAATTCATGAAACTACTAATCAAGATGAAGCAGAACAAAATTAATTACATGAAATTAAGTAACTGATAAAGGTAATGTTTGCATGACTTTTATTTGAAATATTGTTAGTTCTTTAAATGTTTTGTTTTCCAGATTTAAGAAAATTTTCTCTTTTAAGGAAGGCTGGGCTTGTTGGTTCACACTTGTAATCCCAGCACGTTGGAGGGCTGAGGCTGGCAGATCGCTTGAGGTCAGGAATTCAAAACCAGCCTGGCCAACATGGTGAAACCCCTTCTCTATCAAAAAATACAAAAATTAGCTGGGCGTGGTGGTGTACACCTGTAGTCCCAGCTACTCGGGAGGCTGAGATGGGAGAATTGCGTGAACCCAGAAAGCAGTGGTTGCAGTGAGCCGAGATCACGCCACTGCGTTCCGGCCTGGGCGACAGAGTGAGACCCTGGCTCAAAAAATAAAATAAGAGACAATTTTTCTCTTAAGCCTTCTATAGTTTACAGCAATTTTATAAAGTATATTTTTGTAAACAAATATGGAAGCATTTGCTTTTTTGCCCTACTAATTCCTTCCAAAATTCAGAAGCTATCTGTGAGTGTTCTTATGACAATGCAGTTATTTCCATAAGTTCAAAAAGAATTTTCTCTGTCTTTATAACAGGATACAATTGGAAACATTGGTTATACTACCAAGGCTTTGACTGGAATATCATATTTGAGAACGTGCTTAAAATGCCTGGCTTCAAGGGTTCCCAGCCTTAGAGTGAGTGAGTAAAAATGCCATTTCATGATAGAAACCATAGGTAAAATCTGAAGTATGCCTTGATCTGGCTTCCTAGCCTCAATAGATTTTAAATCTGAGCTTCCTATGTCATCAATGTAAAGATAAAAGGTTATATTTCCAAGGAAATGCTATAATACACCTGTTATTAGAATACAGTCCTGTGCATTGTTTTCAAGTTCTTATTCTCCACCTATAGATTAGACTAGATCCTGAATTCTTCTAGAATCCTCCAATCTAACTCTTCCATAGAATTATTAAAAACAGAAGCTGCTCTGTTCCTGAAGTCCTATAAGCTGAAACTAAATAAATTTTAAGGGACAAATCTCATGCCTGATGTATGGGCCACAGCAAGCATTCATCAAACTGCTCAATACCATAAACAGAGACATTCGGACTGCAAACCAGGACAAGAAATTGATAACTTTATGCTGTGGGCAGCTTTTCCCTAGATGTCAGAACAAGACCCAATATAATAATGAGACTCTTTCCCCCCTTAATGCTACCTTTTTCACTTAGCAGGATAATGACGTAATTGCAGTTTCACAACCAGTAGCTTCCCCTGGTAACTTAACCACCTGATCTAGGAGATCTTTTAGTCCACGCAGTGAGTGACTGTAGCAACAACCCTAAGGCAACTGTTGATTACTCTCTGCTTTAATTCAACCCAATCATAGAATACCAGATGGAAAAAAATCACTCTATATTTCTTGTTGCTCTATATTATTGGTTAAATAAGAAAACACCTGTGCTATTGCTAATACCATATGCTGTAACTGGATAAATTCTTCTGGGAAAGTTGAGATCCATATATACAAAATAAGAAAACAGGCCACAGGGTTACAACATGTCTCATCTAATTGCCCATGGTCATTTGATTGATGCAATACCTTTAAGCCTAGGTTCACGGCTCAAAACCATGCGAACTGGGATTGTCATAGTACTATTAATTTTACTTTGTATTTTCCTTTTTAAACTTTGTACCTGTTACCTGTTAAGTGTCTTCAGAAGTACAACTTCTAACAGGATGATACTGACCCAGCACTTTGAAATGAGAGCTAATGCCTACAGAACAGATAAAATTGAACTTAACAATGAACTCCAGGTAGACCTATCCTGAAAAACACTCCCTCCAAACCTCCCTTGTTGCTCAAATGTAGCTAAAAGGATCTTGACACTGACTACTAGTCACCAATCACTTCCTTCTGATGTGGGACCAGATTAGACCACACCAGGACAGGTCCATTGCAGCACTGAGGGAAAATCAAAACCCAAGGATGACTGATCAGCAATGCTTCTGGAGAAAGATCTTGGTCAAAAGGGGGGAATGTGAAAGTTATCAGAATCAAAATGGAGTCATATTTTAAGATGTTTAAGACCCTGACAAGTGGAGCTGGGGAAGGCCATGAAGGGAGGGACATGCACAAATGCCTGATAACAAGAACTATCACAAAAGAATCTGAAAACAATGCAACCTTGCACAAGGGCCATTGTAACCTTACACACACACACACATATACACATAAAAAGACTTCTGTGAGGACATCTGCCCAGCAACTGCCTGTCCAACCTCAGACTGGTGCCATCCTTGTTGTTGATTCTTGTAGCCAAGGATAATCATCTCAAAACAACTATATAACCCTCCTCACTTTTCCTTTAAGAATCTTTGTCTTCCTTCACTTCCCTGAATATGCACATAGCTTACTATGGCATGTGTGTTCCCACTGCAATGCCTATTACCAAATAAATATCATTTTCTTTTAGAGAGTATACCTCTCTGCTTGCTCTTTAGGTTGACAAGATTAATATTGTAGTGGTGACTTCCATAAGCTGAATATCACATGGAGGAGAAAATATATACTACCAACATGGCATAGTGTAGAAACTAGGCAACTATATTTATCCTGGATAATCAATAATGGCAAATCTAGTAGAATGTGTGTATCCAGCCTAGATTTGACCATTACCAACACCAACAAATATTTATTGACTATTCCCTGTACACCTCCACCTTAAGAGCCAGAAATTCAGTTTAATAAATTCACCCCAGATCATGATACAGATTTGCTGTAGGCTTAGGAAATTGTTGAGAATATGGGAATGTCATGGGGAAAAAAAACGGGAACTACACCTTCATTCTCCCCAGATCTCTACTCATTCCTACTGTTCAGCCAGACAACTGTCAACACCAAATTTTTGAGATTTATATCTCATTTTTTAAAAATTGTGGTAATATATAATATGAAATTTACCGATTTAACCATATTTAGATATACAATGGCATTATGTACACTCACACTGTTGTGCGACTTTCCCTCCTTTTAAATCTTACTTTCTTGCCAATCAGAAGATCAAGTTTGGGTGTTTATGGACATAAAGCTAGCAGTGCTAAAGTTCTGGCCTCCCCATGCTTCATCATCAAGCTTAAACACACACACACAGCCCTCCTAGGTAGACTAACCTAAGAGCAGCAAATACATTTTCTTAAATCTCAACTTTAATTGCTTGGTAATGTATGCCTGGAATACTGTGTAGGAACAGTACCATGACTGAATAGTGTTGTTTGCCTCAGGTGTGGGATGGGATAATGGCGCCATGCAAGTTGCATATTTATCATTTCCGAGCTAGTCATTTTAGTACAGGTCCATAGAAATTGAACACAGCTCAGGCACTCTGGTAAACACACACAATAGACACTAACTTGGTGGAACATCCCCAGGTCTTCTCAGACTCTTCATTGGCTCCCTACAGAAGCCATGCATTGACACCAGTGACTTTTCTAGGAACCACTCAGCTTCTCTTGACTCAATTTAATTCACTCAACATTTAGTGTGTTTGCGCGATGCACAAGAGACACTGTTCTAGATGCTGGAATGATTAAAGTGTAAGTAGAATAATTTCCAACCAACTCAAAGCTCACAATATGGAAGGATGCTAATGAAGGCAAGTACTTGAATAATTGTTCTATGAGGAAGGATATGATACTTTCCATGGAAAGAGACCAATGAAACGGAGGTATGAAGTAAATCAAGATGGCGGCCAGTCATACTCAACCAAGGCTGATGTGGCTATGAAAAATCAGACGGTTATGACAAGTAGAATCAGACAAGGGCACCAGGTAGGGCAGAACCAGATAGAGACAAGGAGCCATCATGGCTCAGGCCAGAAAAGAACCCAGCCTGAGAGTGAATTCACTGAAACAAAGAGAGGTGAGGGCTCAAGATTTGTCATAAGAAATTCTTAGCAATATATTTTCAGCCTTTGTTTTTAAAGATACATTACATAGAGGAAAAGGGTAAAAACTTGTTAGAGGCAGAAGAAATGGATTTACATCGTAACCCTGCCCCCTACTAGCTGGGGTATCTTAGGTCTAAGTCTCTCAACTTTTCCAAACCTCTTATCTTCAAAATAAGGACAATATCTACCCCATGGGCTGTGTGAAAAGTTAATGGAGATGCAGTCTGCAGAGCAGCTAGTGAAGTATTTGGCATATGGCAGGTACCTAACATATTTTGGTTCTTTTCATTTAAGGGGGTTCTAAGTAGCATTGTGGACTACAAAACCACATCAGTCAACTCTGTTTAATGAAACAGAGTATTTGTTATTTTGAGGCAATTGAAAGGAAATTTAAGTCCCCACTCTCAAGGAAGTTATCTAGGAGTGGAGAGAAGGAAACAGATATCTTAAAAAGCCATAATAAAAGAAATTACATTCATGAAAATGACCCCATAATATACAGATTACTTTGAAAACACACTCTGAGTCATTCATGAAGACTGACAGAACTATAGAAGCAACTGGAAAGGTCTTTGTAAATTAGGGAAGGAAATATGAGACACATAAATACTATAAACACATTTGCTATTTCGGCCCTACTATTTACTAGCTGTGTGACCTTGTGCAAACTGCTTAACCTCTCTGAATCTCTATTCCCTCAGCCATAAAGAACAAATGAATCTCTCTCCTGCTTATCTCACATGGGTGTTTTAAAACTCAAAGTATGCAGATGGGCTCTGCCAACTATCAAGAGCCATACAAAGGCAGGGCATCATTATTACCATTGTCTCAAAGAGCACACAAAAAATCAGTTATTCAGACACAGGCTCCCTCCCCAACTCACTTGTGCTTGGATTGGGAAAAACAGAGAAGCCAAGTTGAATTTTTCCCTGCTTAAACAATAAAACCTGCCTTATGAGAAAGTTTGAGCATAACACAGAGTCATGTCTTAAATTCTGGAGTTTCATGCATGTGGTCTAAATTAATTATTCGCATTGACAGAGGCAGTCAGACTGCCCCCACATATGTAACAGAGATGCACATACACACACATTATGTTCTGCTGAATGACATAAACTGCAACTTTTCCATTCCATGTTCGCACAGCCAGCATTTTCTGATAAAAATAAAAATTTGTATTCTCGGTTTCTACGTGAAAAGTTACCTGAAATCTCTAGAACATGAGGGAACAAAAGATTCCCAATACCCAAAACAAGCAATTAAATACTGAACTGAAAACAGTCTTCCCTTAACATCTTGGTCTCAAAGCCCTGTCTGTCTTCTGGAAAACTAGGTCCTTGCTCCCAGCATTGCCTCTTCCTCCCTCACCACGTTAGATCTGGCAGTTAGTACTGGTAGCTTCCAATTTCTCCTGAGGACGGTCTAGTCGTTTTCTTTTTTTAATTCTCAAAGCCAGGGCAAAGTCTGAAATAAATTCTAGCCGCATTTTCCCCCTGCAAATTGGTATTACCAGTCTTCAGCAAGAAAATGAGAGGATATAAGGTACACACTAAGCTAGGAAAATGGGTTGTGGCCAGCATGCCAGTGAGGTTGAGCTTATCCCTAGAGACTGATGGTCAGAGAGACAGAGTGCCGGCCAGGCATGGTGGCTCACACCTGTAATCCCAGCACTTTGGGAGGCCGAGGCAGGCAGATCTGAGGTCAGGAGTTCAAGACCAGCCTAGCCAGCATGGTGAAACCCTGTCTCTACTAAAATACAAAAATTAGCTGGGCATGGTGGCATGTGCCTGTAGTCCTAGCTACTTGGGAGGCTGAGGCAGGAGAATTGCTTGAACCCGGGAGGCGGAGGTTGCAGTGAGCCGAGATCGTACCACTGCACTCCAGCCTGGGCGACAGAGCGAGACTCCATCTCAAAAAAAACAAAACAAAACTGAGAGACAGAGTGCCACCTCTTCCTTCTACAGATAGCAAGGAGAAACCCAAGGGGTCCGAAAGTGGCTGCAGGGTCCTTTCCCAGTCATTTAAATTCACTCCATCTCTGCATGGAGATGCCATGGAGGGAGGTGTTACAGTGTGCAGGCTCGGGCTGGTGCGGTCACACGAAGGAGCTGCACAGTTGGACGACAGTGAAGCTCCAGAAATGAAGCAGCAGCAGCAAGGCTTGGGTAGCAGCATGCGGCGGTCCTGCATGTGGGCTTAAATCCAAAGGCCCGGGAGCTGAGACTGAACCTGGGCTCTGCCTTATATTAACTGTAGCATGGTGGGCAAGTTACACAACCTCTCAGTGCTTCAGTTTCCTGATCTGTAAAATGGAGTTGGATAGGACTTTTGGTAAAAATCAGAGATTGGCACAAAGTAAGCATTCATAAAATGGTAGCTGTTATTATCACCAGTGAAGGGAATTTAACTAAAAATACGGAAACCTAAAGGTGCTGGCTGCCTGGCCATCTAGTCATCTTGATGCCAGTGGGATTTCTTAAAGTGCTAGCTCCACAGGTATCACTTCATGTAAGATTACGTGAATTATATTAAATGTAGCACAATAATGACTTCATTACCTTGTTTTCTGGTACTTCAACACCACTGAAATTCCTGCCAAACCTGTGGCCTCTCTGTGGCCCTATGTTGAGTGATGTCCAACCACCTTTCCAGTCAACCAGCCTAGAAATCCAGAGTAAAAGCATAAAAGCCAATGACAACTTCTTATCCATGGAGAAACTGTATGGTGCAGTGGCTGAGTGCATGGCTCTTGAGTCAGACTGCTCCGGTTCAAGTCCTGGCCCATCACTTATTAACTGTGGGTCTATGAGCAAGTTATTTATTCTCTTTGTGCCTCAGTTTCCACATCTGTAAAACATGTACAATAACAGCTTCACAATATTCACAACAGCAGTTGTGGGATCAAATAAATTCATATATATATCAAGTACTTATTAATAGAACAGTTCCTGGCACAAGGCACTAAGTGGGTATTGGCCATCATTACAACTCTTCTTTATGAATATAACAGAAAAATACAAGCGAGTCAGGCTCAGAAGCCTCCTAAGGCAAATGTTTTGTGATCTTTAATCTGCTTCCTACTAGTGAATAAACCATAGCATTTGGCAGAAATAAAGCAGTTAATTGGAACGCAGTGTTGGCTATGATTAGCAACAAACCATGTTCTCCCGTCCCAGATGGCAAACTGATAAATAGCATAGATGTTGCCTCCCAGTCCATCAGAGCCAGAAGGATCTTAAAGATCACCTGATAGTGGCCACCAAACCTGAGGAGCATCAAAATCAACTGGGGAGCTTTCCAAAAAACACAGACTCCTTAAGCCCAGACTCTGAAATTATCTCAATTGGTCTGGGATGGGCCCCAGGAATCTGGGGATGTCACCCATATGTGAGATCTATGGATTAAATCCATTCTCCTCCTGTCAAAGATGATAAAAATAAGAACCAGCAGAATAAGCCCACTTGCCCTATGACTCACAGTGTGTAAGAGGCAGAGCAAAGCTCAGGTGTGCCACACATCTCCTCCAGCAAAATCATCTCTAGAAAGTGAAACAAAGAAATGAATCCTACACCAAGGGCTTAATCTCCAAAGGTGATTAAATATGAGCATGTCTGTGTCTAGTTCCTTATAGGAGCAGGTAGGTCTGGCTAGGTTTCATGGGTTCTTCCATTAGCAGAGGGAAGTGCTGTTGGAAAATGTTCCTGGTCTTTGAAGTCATTCAGTAACAAGAGCATCTAAGGCCAGTGCAAATTAAATCAAAGTCTGTTTTTATACCTTTTTATTCCAAGTGGCTTTTTAATAGAGACCAAGTCATAAGAAAAAAAAAAGAAACAAAGAAAGAAAAGAAAATCTATTGGAGAAGTAAAGGAGGCATTTGGGAATAAAGGGAAATAAGGCCTTATTTGAACCTACAGAGTCACCCTCACGTCATCTATGTCATTGCAGCCTCGGGCCTTGCAATGTGTCTGTACTTCTGTACGTCCAAGAACAACTTATTCAGAGCCTGTGAACTAAATTCCTGTCAAGCTAAAGATTTTTCCCTGGAAATTTTGGTAGGGATGATTGGTATAATTTCCCAACTTCTCATGACAAACCCTTCTGATGTTTGGAAAGCAGCTCATTATCAGCTGTGGTTTTGGCAATCACAGCACATAGAAACAGCATGCATTGTCTTCATGATTAGCACAGGCAGCAACAGAATCTGCAAGAATGACTTCATAATTCAAGTGTCCACACTCTTGGCAGAGCTAGGGGTCCTCTCCAAAGACTGTCCAGGGGTCCCACTAGAAAGATCTGACATGATCTTTGGCTCAAATGGCAAAATTGTACTTGAAAACTCTGGAAAACAGCAAGTTTAAGAGCAGCTCATAGGCACCCCACCCAAAAACCTACATTATCAATCTACAGTTGTTTTGAAACATGGATCTTGGGGGAGAGTGCTGGGAGTCTACTGCGCTTTCATTTACTCTGGTTTACTGACCTGAGGCTGCAATGAAATAGATAAGGGTGATTCTGCAGGTTCAAGGAGAGCCTCATTTTCCTTTATTCCCAAATGGTGCCTCCTCCACTTCTCCTATAGATTTTCTTTTTTTTCTTTTTTTTTTTAAAGACTTGCTCTCTGTTAAAAAGCAGAAAACTTATGGACGAGTGGTACTTTTAGCTTTTGCATATCCTCTTCTCAAAGAGGGTTTGATAGAAGACAGCTGGGGACAAGCTTGAAGTCACAGAGGGAAGAAGACGATTTAAAGCAGGAAGTGGATGGGTCAAAGAAAATGCTCCCCAACCTCACAATTTTGCAAGAGCTGGCCCTGACTAGATCTAATTGTTCTTTACACCAATTGTTCTCAATTTTAATGCATATAAAAACCAGCTCGGGAGGGTGTGTAAAAATGCAGATTCCTAAACTCCAAACTTTGGGAGTCTGGTTTGGGAGGCTTGGGGTGGAGTCCAGGAACCCACATTCTAACAGGCTCCCTGGCCATGTGGATGCACATATTTGACCCCAACACTGGAGAACACAGTTGACACTCTTGAGGATGTTCAAAACAAAACTGGTGGATTGCTTGTTGCTTTTAGCTTTATGACCTTGAGTAGGTCATCTTAACGTCTAATTCTCCCTTTGTGTGTTGTAATACCTCTCTTATCTTGCTGTAATACCTCTCTGACATGGATATACATGAGGTAGGTATAAGTGTATTTTTAGAAATGTAAAAGCAACATAAAATTTAAAACATAAATCATCATAATCCATTTTTTTCCATTTTCATTCATTTTTAACCTATCTTTAGAACATGCTGGCAAATTGCTTCTGAGGATTCCGAATATGAAATAAAAAGTTCCCAGAGGTTCAGATTATGATACTGTGCAGTTTGGGACAGCTTTCAGTGAAAATCAAACAGTCTCTAAATATAATAAAGAGCAGCACGAATTTACAATACAGTGAGTTTTAAATAGGCAGCCACACTGCATAAGACCAACATAAGGATGGGCAGAAATATGCCTAAGATTAAAACATCCTACACACTTACAGAGCAAGTAATGTTCATTCTTACTGTGCCAGGCAGTTTGCTCAGACCCAAGCAAGATCCCAAATGAAAAACACATTCAATTTTGAAACAAATTTTATAGTTACAAAAATTTAATTTTCTTCTATTATTAATTATTAAAGAAAGTGCCCACAAAACAGCATTTTTCTTTGAAAGCATGAGGGGCTATGCTCAGTCCCTGCTGGTATCCTCACTAGGTATTGAATATAGTCACCTCCACCATGACTCCACAGAGCTTGGGTGAGGTGCCCAGCAGGTCAAAATGACTGGTTTCTCACTCTCACCTGAATTAGACCTGCCTCATTTGAAGACATTCAAATATGTCCTAATTTTAGAGGGCAATCCATTGAAGTCAAGTTTCCAAGAAATTACATCAGTCTTTGCAACAAATTTACAATGGCATGACCAAAACTTGGTTCTTGAGCAAGGGTTTTAAAACAAAGCATGATGATTTACAGTTCAAGTTCTCACAAATGCAGAGAAACCCAGGTGCAAAGGTGAGTTTAGATAGACATCAACAATAAATTAAAAGTGCATCAAATTCTCTTTCTCCACTGTCAAACTGAGACATGTTTTTCCTGGTTTTTATTCCTATTGAAAAGGAAAAATAGGGCATGACCAGCCTTTGTTACAGATATTTAATTGCTAACAACCAACCCACAGCAACAGCCTGCTAATAGGTTTCTTGCCTCCATAGTTCCTTCATGGAGCTCACATTCCAGAGATCTTTGGATTTTATCTGTGCTTAAGATAAATTCAAATTCCTTCCTCTGTCTTATAGGGCTCTGCACAACATGGTCTTTATTTGGGACCACTTTCCCCATTCCTAGTACATTGGCCACAAAAGCCTGTACCTGTCTTCAAACACATCGAGCTTGCACCACTGTTCCTTCTGGAATGTTTTCCCAGGACTGCTCCTTTTTGACAATGGGATCTTTGTTCAAAGTCTGTATATTTCACTGAGACCTTCTTGTCCCACCCAGTTTAATGTAGCTGTATGATCACTCTTTGTCATGATGCCCTAATTAATTCTCTGCATAGGATTTAACTGCAGCTGATAGTTTTATTGAACATTTACATTTTTGCTCATTATTTTCTTCCTCAAATGAAATACAAGCTTCACAGGAAGAGGGATCTTGTCTGAACTGAGCATTGCAGCATCCCTTGTCCCTAGAACTGTTCCTAGCACATAGGAGGCCCAAAAAGATTTGCTGGCTCGGTGAATATGGAGAACACTGAGGTTGCCTGATTAATGTTCAATCTTGAAGAAATCTTAGGGTTCAAGCATTAATTAGGCTTAGAGATATGCCACTCACAGACTCAATTAGTTTAAATCACTGTCCTCTGCTGGGCTAATTTAGTTAAAATATATCTCAAGCTTTTCATTTGTTCTTTGTAAAATTTAATATTAAGCATATTATTAGAAAAGCATTACTAAAATTTGAAACATATTCCAACGACTTTAAGAGGTTTTGACTCAATGCACAACCATCAACTTGAATATACAAGAGAGCAACATATGTCACTGGGCTTGAGTTCATCACTGCCTAAATTACTCTCTGTTAATAAATTCAGCAGATTAATTCTTAAGCACATTCTTTGGGCAGTATATCCAGTGCTACCCTGATGGTCCAAAAAGGCTTTATCTGAGTTACTTGATAAGGGGATTAACTTGGATACTGGGGGAGACTCAAACATTAACTACCATTTAAATGTCATTCTAGGTTTAGGAAAAAGCAATTTGTTAAGTACAGGTCATGTCAAATTTTTGTTCAAGCCTTTAGATGAGGTTACTATTTTTCTAGAATCAGCTGCTAGATTCTAAATGTGGTTCACAAGCTTATAAGGTCAGTGAAGAGCAGCAAGCATATTGGTGATAGATGTGGCTATGCTGAAGACAAACTGAGCTTCAGCCACAAGCATGGACCAAAAAGTAAACAGCAGTGCCTCAGATTTTGGCCACAGGGGTCTTTCTATTGCATGGAAATAAACTGTCTTGTTGTTGTTATTGTTGTTTGTTTGTTTGTTTGTTTGTTTTTGGCTTTTTTTTCCCCACAAATGTACATTAGGAACTGTTAGTACTTTTAAAGGATGATATAAAAGCCAACGGGGGAATCCATTAAATAAAATTCAAGTCAGTATTCTCCATTTTAATGTAATCACTCTTCCCATTAAAAATGAAGAGTCACATACTCATCGTGTGTATCGCAATATACAAGAATAAGAAAGAACTGTAAGCTAAACTGCATAAACAAACATCTCCTGAAAAATATGGAATAGAAAAAAACAAAACATGCTGCCCCCTTTATCTGTCAATGAATTTCTGAGAAGCACCTGGCACTTTTGTCCATTTATATAAATTTACTCTTTAAGACTTGGCCAAATCTCTTGGAGAGAATGAAATGGAAACATAAGCTTTCAAACCCTAAGAAAAGAAAGAACTATTATGATTTTATGTTCATGTCCTAAGGCACATTGCTATCCACAAAAGCCAATGGCATCTTGGCCCATATTTATTTACCTACTAATGTCAGCCAGTAAGCCCTCAAACTTATAATCCTGAGGCCAGTGGGAGAAGAGTAGCACCTACAGAAAAAAAAAAAAAACTTGGACAATTTCCGAGTTATTATTTTAAATAATACCTTTACTTTTGCAGATTTCTACCTCAGTAATTTTGGCTGTCAATGCTTAAAAGTGCCTTCCAGTCACTATTCAAAAACCTCATACAATGCTGACCTACTCTTTATTCTGAAACTAATGCACTCTGTGGGCATTTCTTAAGGCACTTCAAAAGCAGGTCATTAGAAAGAATATAAACAGAAACATGCTACATAATAATTTCCAAGAATATGGGCACTCTAAATGTGAGAGAGAAGTTTTTAAATACCCAAAAAATTACACTGTTTTTTCAACTGTGAAGGGTTGCCTTTTTGTTGTTGTTGTCATCTTATTTGATTGTCTTGAGGTTCATTATAGTTCAATGCAGTAAGATTCACCCTAGGGTTTTTATTTCTCCTTCTCTCTCTCAGTCAGATGGTGAAAAATAGTTCTTCCATTAACTAGATCTCTAGAGAATATATCCTCCCCCAGCTGGCTTGCATGGGAAGGCAGACTTTCTAATTTTATAGCAAAAAAGGATAATTTGTGGGTAGGACATGCTCACTGAGTTCATCTGGACCAGTTCCCACCCTGACTGTAGGACTCCTCTGATGGTGTGTGTGTGCCATCTGGGTGTCAATTTGTTGTGATAACCTAAACGACTTTCCTGGGTGACATAACAAGAAACCAAGTGGAAATAGTGTTAATGCCATGAAACAAATACGATGGCTACTCAAAAACTCTAGAATCGAACTTTCCCTTTCTCAAGACCAAATTCTCTGTTTAACTCCATTATCCTC
Organism: Homo sapiens; assembly: GCF_000001405.40. Taxonomy (NCBI): domain Eukaryota; kingdom Metazoa; phylum Chordata; class Mammalia; order Primates; family Hominidae; genus Homo; species Homo sapiens. The sequence continues at coordinate 69,627,709 of NC_000009.12, forward strand.
AGGGACTCTCTCCCACACCTAAAGTAACCAAGAGAGATCCCAGAACACAGAAAGAAGCTTGAGAATGAAACACAAATTGGTCCCACAACTAGAAAAAATAAGTCTGAAATTCCTCCCTTTGTAGTCACCATTAACTATATTAAAAGGTGTGATGCAACGGCTAACAGGCACTGGTGGGGGAATGAGATACCTGAACATGGTAGACACACCCTAAGGTGACCCAGTGACCCTCCCTCCTCCTGTGTATGCTTTTGTGTAATCCCCTTCCTTTGATGGCAGGTGTGACCTGTGACTTGTTTCTAATCAATAGAATAGAACAAAGATGATGGGAAGTCACCCCCATAACTACCATATAAGACATGGTTTGGTGGGTTGGAGTGAGAGGATCTTCTTGCTGGCTTGATGAGGTAAGCAGCCACACAGCAAAGAGCTGTAGGTAGACTCCTGTCTACAGTTAGCAGAAAGCTAAGTCCTCAGTCATACAGCCACAAAAAATATAATTTCTACCAACAAACTAATGAGCATGCAAGTAGCTTCTTCCCCAGCCAAGCCTCAAGATGAGAATGCAGCCCAGGGCAGACACCTTGATTGTGACCCTGACCTGTGCCCAGACTCTTGCCCCATGGAAACTGTGAGATAAAGAATGTGTATTGTTTTAAGCTGCTAAATTTGTGGTGATGTGTTATGCAGAAATAGAAGACTAATACACTATGAGAAGAAATAAAGGTCAAAAGTCTAATTTAAACTGCCCATCCTTAAAGTGAATTGGAGCCAGTCTATGTCTGGCTGGAGAGTTCTGGGCTAACCCCGCTCTGAAAATAATCACGGGAAGAAATATTCAGACAGTGACAGGCAGAGTCACCTGAGTGCCATGGCAACCATTCCAAAGAATATCTATTAGCTTTCTAGAGGATCTAGGTTCTGCGATGAAAAGCTTATTAACCAGAAGAACTTCTTAAGCAGATAATGAAAAATAATGGGCATAGTGACATGTTCTAAAATCTTATTATACTATACAGGAAACTTCTAAGTAGCTTGACTTAAAATTCCTAGGAGTGCAGAACAGTGAGAGACAATCAATTTGTCTTCATCTTCCTATAAATCATGTTTTTGCAAATAAGTTTCTATTAAATCTCCATACCTGTGAACTCATGTAATAGTTCTGGAGTAAAAGTGAGTTAAAAAGAAAGAATGCCTAATATGACCTTCTTAAAGGCATTGTTACAGGGCTGTGATATTTCATGTGTTAATCTCCTCTTATATTAACCCACAATTATATTTTTTAGGCTTTTAACGATTTCTTCATATCTTTTTATAGAATGACAATTTCAAAAATTAACCACGTAAGATTCCTTGTAGAAAACTATACAAAAGGTAACTTCAGAATATGTGACCCCTATAATAAGGGAGCTAAAGTCTGAATTGAAACCAATTATAACTTTTAAACATATCCAATAAATGTTCAGGATTCCATCAATCTTCTCCTTAATTTATCCAATGCCAGCATCAAGTATTTAATTAATGACAAGATTAATATTTAGAATATTTAATTCTCAAATTTTAACTTCACATTATGATTAGACAGCTGATGTTAATGTTAACTCATGCCTGATATTAACCATTATATATGCTACAGGTTTAAATACTATCTAAACTTCCTTTTAGCACTAATAGTTCATGATTAACCTCATTTCTGAGCAATATTTATTAAATATCTACAGGCATTAAGAATTCACATGAAGTAAAAACAGGCATAATATCTATGAAATGATGACAACAAGTTGCATAAGATGAAGTCAGAATCCACATTCTGTGTTATGGTAAAATATTGAAGTTCCAGAAATTTCCAGAGGGACAAAGCATGGCAAAGGTCTGGAAACTGACAGTCCAGATTGACAGTCAGCTGTGCTTCAGGCAAGCCAAAGGTCTAGAGCCTGGGAGTTCAGTCGAGTTAGGGGATATAACCATCAGTCACTCAACATATTACATATTCATTGAGCACTGCTATGTATTGACCCAGTTCTAGTGCTGGGGTTACCCCAGTAAATGAGACTATCAGGGTCCCTGCTTTCCCTGCTCGCATTCTGTTTAGGGGACAAATAATTAATAAGCAAGCAAACAACTGATTAAGGTAATTTCAGATAGTGGAGAGTTAAGTCAATTCAAACGAACATATTAGTGAGGTCCTACTCCCGGCCACACAGTGTCCAGGTGCTTGAAATACATTAGCGAACAAAGCAGATATAGATTCCCAACATCATGGAGATCACATTCTACTAGGGAAAAGAGATAATATCACAAGTCATAATAAGTATTAACTTATATACCATGTAAAAAAGGTAATATGTGCTATATTAAAAAAAAAAAGCAGGAAAAAGGCGAGTGGAAGTATGTATGTGAAGGGGCAGTGGGTCACAATTCAAAATGGGGCAGTCAGGGTAGGCACCAGTAAGCAAGTGACATCAGAGCAGACTTGAAGGAGGGAACCAAAAATGCAAAGGTGCTAAAGCAAGACTGAGTTCAGCATGGAGGAACAGAAAGAAGAATGACTGGGCATAACGATCAGGGGACGGGGCCAGCAACATGGGCAGGGACCAGATCGCACAGAATTGAGTCAACAGGCCAACTTTGATCCCTAATTGCTCCCCCTCTCTGCTACATTGTTATCCTCTTCCTGTCTATGGACTCTGCTCATCAGTTTCAAACACATTCTAATATCTTCTGTCTTTAGAAAACCATTCCACCCTCCTGGTCGCCACTGAATATCTACCTTCCTTCTCAGCTACATTTCTCCAAGGAAGGGTCCAGATGTGCTGCCTCTACCTCCTGGCCCTCCTATTTACCCTGAAGTTTACTCCAATTGGATCACTCCCCAACACTTCTCTTGAAGGTCACCAATGATCTCCACATGTCCAAATGCAAAGGACACTTGTCCTTAACTTATCAGGCTCTCTGCTCCTCTGGCACACGGCTCTCTTTCTAGAAACACTCCCCTCTCTCCATGACAATACCACCATCCTCATTTTCTCCTGTATCTGTGGCCTTTCTTCAGCTTCTCTTCTTAGGAGTAACCCATAAATAAACATAGGTGTTCATGTGAAAAAAATACGTGAAGGCTTTGGTTAACTGAAAGCTCATTCATCAGCCCTGATGGCCTTGGCCCAGGGCAAATCACTTAGTCTCCAGGGGACACTACAGTCAGTAAAGAAGATAGAGCCTCAGAACAAGTGAGACCTGTCAGGGCTTATGCTTTTTAACTGAATGACCTTGAGCAAGACACATATCTCCAGGACTCAGTCTTCTCACCTGTAAAATAGGGATTTTTAACAGCAGCCTTGCAAGACTATTATTAAGATTAAACGATTTATCCTTCCCAAGTTCTCTGGCCAATGCCTGGTACTTGGTAGATGCTACTCTGCTGTTAGTGTCCTCCTGAAGCTCAGAAAAAGCACCTTTTGGCTGATATCCAGAATCTACAAAGAACTTAAACAAATTTACAAGAAAAAATCAAACAACCCCATCAAAAAGTGGGCAAAGGATATGAACAGACACTTCTCAAAAGAAGACATTTATGCAGCCAACAGACACATGAAAAAATGCTCATCATCACTGGCCATCAGAGAAATGCAAATCAAAACCACAATGAGATACCATCTCACACCAGTTAGAATGGCAATCATTACAAAGTCAGGAAACAACAGGTGCTAGAGAGGATGTGGAGAAATACGAACACTTTTACACTGTTGGTGGGACTGTAAACTAGTTCAACCATTCTGGAAGACAGTGTGGCGATTCCTCAAGGATCTAGGACTAGAAATACCATTTGACCCAGCCATCCCATTACTGGGTGTATATCCAAAGGATTATAAATCATGCTGCTATAAAGACACATGCATACGCATGTTTATTGCGGCACTATTCACAATAGCAAAGACTTGGAACCAATCCAAATGTCCATCAATGATAGACTGGATTAAGAAAATGTGACACATATGCACCATGGAATACTATGCAGCCACAAAAAAGGATGAGTTCATGTCCTTTGTAGGAACATGGATGAAGCTGGAAACCATCATTCTCAGCAAACTATCTCAAGGACAGAAAACCAAATGCCGCATGTTCTCACTCATAGATGGGAATTGAACAATGAGAACACTTGGACACAGGGTGGGGAACATCACACACTGGGACCTGTCGTGGGGTTGGGGAGGGATAGTATTAGGAGATATACCTAATGTAAATGATGAGTTAACGGGTGCAGCAAACCAACATGGCACATGTATACATATGTAACAAACCTGCATGTTGTGCACATGTACCCTAGAACTTAAAGTATAATAAAAAATAAAAATAAAAAATAAATACAATAAAAAAATAGAAAAAAGAAAAAGCACCTTTTCTCTGAATAACACAGGAAAGAAAAATAATATTAAAGGGAAGAGAAAGAAAAGCTATCATTAAACTGTTCTGGGTGGAGTCACTGTTAATGACCCACAAACAAATTAACTTTCTTTGCCTTATAAACCCAAAATTCTTCAGTTGGAAAGAGATTTCAAACACATTAAATCTCTTCAAATATCTAATTATCAACAGGAAGCAAATATTAATCATTACTGAATGCTCCAACTTCCCTCCCCCAAAGGTGTCTTATTTACTTTTTCCTTTATTGAGAGAGAGTCAGTACAGGGTAGGAGTGTATTCCTACAGCCTGGATTTAAATCCTGCCTCTTCTGCTTCTGAGCTTCGAGACTGTGTATGGAGGACCTAAGCTTCCTGTGCTGCAGTTTCCTCAACTATATAATATGAGACTAATTATAGTACTTATGGGATTGTTTTAGAAACTAAACGACTTAATATAGATGTAGTGTTTACAACAGTTCCTGGTACAATGTAAGCTCTCAACAAAGATGAAGATCACAACAATAATGACCACTACTATTATTAGTTCAACTACCCTTGGGGTTCTCACTTCACACCCATTCAGTGATTTGGAATCAGATACATGAAGTCACTTGTTCATACTTATCATTTTGCTGTATAGAACAATCCATATTTTAAAGGAAATAGATGTTTTTGGGTATTTTCTTTCCATTTGCCTCTCTGGATCTACTGCCTCTCAATTCTGTGATCCAAACGAATGATATTCTGTATCATTGGGCTTCCTCGTCCTTTCACTTCTGGTTGGGTTAAGCCAATGGGACACATTGGCAGGAGATAGGAGAGAGGCAGGAAAGTGAGGTCAGAGTATCGATTCCTCTAGCTCCCCCCCTGCTGGGTCATGATGGTCATCAGCCTCTCCTACAGGCCACAGCTCCTGCCAGGCTGCCCTCCCTAACAGCTATAGCTACTCTGTGCAGGGTTTGAGAATCTTCCCTCCTTTTTTTTTTTTCCACCAGTAACTGTGTCTTTTATTTTATTTTATTTTATTTTTATTTTTTTATTATTTTTTTAAATCTCTTGGCCCCTTCAGGCCTACATAGGGTTAAAGCTCCCCACTGTTGCAAACCTCAGGATGTCTCACAATCTCTTGTTGTTTTATGTAGTCCTGAACATATCTTTTTAAAGAGTCGCTTCATTAAACTCTTCTAAATTACCTGATTCTTTCCTGCTGGAACCCAGACTGACACATAGGTCATGCTTTTCAACATACAGCCGTGCAAAACATGAAGGAAAGGTAGCACCTGGAATACTTTCTATAAGCAGAAAGCAGCAGTTGAGCCAGAAGGCTGAGACTCTCTCCCAAAGCACTCCACTTCAAACTCTTTTGTCATTGGAGCTGGGTAGCTCACATGGAGGGCAAAGTGAGGGACTCTAATCTTCTCAGTATTTGCCATCCCAACTGACCTTTCATTCAGGTAAATGTTATTTCCTCTGACAACTTGAAGGATGAGAGGACTTGCTGGTACTCCATCTCTCAAATGATCAAAGTTTCCTCTCCATCTGCATTCAATCCACTGAGATATTTGCTACCATGCCCTTGAGAACAAGTTCAAATACAAGTTTCTCTAATACTACTGCTCCTTTTCTAAGCTGGTCTAGCAGAACCAGAGTTAAAAGGAGCATCCTGAAGTTCTCCCTGTTAGCAACCAAGCCACAGATAATACTCAATGCTCCAAGGCTGCAGCTCTTAATTATAACCAGAAGCTTAATTTTAGAAGGTGACACCAGCATCAGCTTTCAGCTTCACAATCTGAACTAATCATTAATTGCATCTTTAGGTCAAACTCTGTAAGAAAGTTATTCAGTAAATGAGAAGAGGAAGCAGAGCAAGATGGCTGAATAGAAGCCTTCACTGATCATCCTCCCTGCAGGAACACCAAATTGAACAACTATCCACACAATAAAGCACCTTCATAAGAACCAAAAATCAGACGAGCAATCAAAATATCTGGTTATAACTTCATATCAGTGAAAGAGGCACTGAAGAGGGTAGGAAAGACAGTCTTGAATTGCCAACACCACCCCTCCTCCATCCCCTGGCAACGACCATGTGGTGTGGAGAGAGAATCTGAGCTTAGGAGAGGGAGAACACAGTGACTGAAGAACTTTGCATTGAAACTCAGTGCTGCCTTGTTGCAGCAGAAAGCAATACCAGGCAGAACTCAGGTGGCACCCATGGAGGGAGCATTTAGACCAGCCCTAGCCAGAGGGGAATTGCCCATTCTGGTCGTTGCAACTTGAGTTCCTGCAAGTCTTGCCACTGCGGATTAAAGTGTTCTGAGGTCCTAAATAAACTTGAAGGAATGAAACATGCCTATAATATCTGGAAAACAAGCTCAGAAAGGCAAATCTAAGAGTAATTGGCTTAAAATAGGAGGTAGAGAGAGAGATAGAGGTAGAAAGTTTATTCAAAGGGATAATAACAGAGAACTTCCCAAACCTAGAGAAAGATATCAATATTCAAGTATAAGAAGGTAAAAAACACCAAGGAGACTTAACCCAAATAAGACTATCTCAAGACATATAATAATCAAACTCCCAAAGGTCAAGAATAAAGAAAGGATCCTAAAAGCAGCACGATAAAAGAAACAAACAACATACAATGGAACTCTAATACATCTGGCAGCAGACTTTTCAGTGGAAACCTCACAGGCCAGGAGAGAGTGGCATAACATATTTAAAGTGCAGAAGGAAAAAAAATTATTCTAGAATAGCATATCTGGTGAAAATATCCTTCAAACATGAGGGAGAAATAAAGATGTTCCTAGACAAACAAAAGCTAAGGGATTTCATCAGCACCAGGCCTATCCTATAAGAAATGATAAAGAAAGTACTTCAGTCTGAAAGAAAAGTATGCTAATGAACAATAAGAAATCATCTGAAGGCACAAAACTCACTAGTGATAGTAAGTGCACAGAAAAACACAGAATATTATAACATTATAATTGTGGTGTATAAGTATATCTTGAGTAGAAAGACTAAAAGATAAACTAGTCAAAAAAACTATAACAACTTTTCAAGACATAGTACAATAAGATATAAACAGAAAAGAAAAAGTTTAAAATCAGGGGATGAAGTTAAAGCATACAGTTGTTATTACTTTTCTCTTTACTTGTTTGTTTATGCAATTGGTGTTAAGTTGTGATCAGTTTAAAATAATGAGTGTATTATCTACAAGCCTCATGGTAACCCCAAATCAAAAAACATAAAACATATACACACAAAAAAAGCAAGAAATTAAAACACACCACCAGATAAAAATAACCTTCACTAAAAGGAAGATAGGAAGGAAAGACCACAATACAGCCAGAAAAAAACAACAAAATGGTAGGAGTGAGTTCTTACTTATCAATAATAACATTTAATGTAAATGGACACAATTCAATAAAAAAACTTAGAATGGCTGAATGGATGAAAAAAACAAGACCCAATGATCTGTTGCCTAAAAGAAATACACTTCACCTATAAAAACACACACAGACTGAAAATAAAGGAATGGAAAAAGATACTCCATGTAAATGGAAACCAAAAAAAAGCAGGAGTAGCTATACTTACATGAGACAACATATATTTCAAGACAAAAACTGTAAGAGGAAACAAAGGTCACTATATAATGATAAAGGGGTCAATTCAGCAAGACAATATAACAACTGTAAATATATATGCACCCAACACTGAAAACTCTCTGAGACATTGGCTAGGCAAAAACTTCTTGAGTAATATTCCACAAGCACAGGAAACCAAAGCAAAAATGGACAAATGTGATCACATCAAGTTAAAAAGCTTCTGTACAGCAAAGGCAACAATCAACAAAGTGAGGAGACAAGCCACAGAATGAGGGAAAATATTTGCAAACTACCCATATGATGGCAGATAAATAACCAGAGCTAAAACAACTCTATAGGAAAAATATCTAATAATCTGGTTTAAAAACAGGCAAAGGATCTGACATTTCTCAAAAGAAGACATACAAATGGCAAACAGGTTTATGAAAAGATGCTCAACATCACTGATTATCAGATAAATGTAAGTGAAAACTACAATGAGGTAGCATCCCACCCCAGTTAAAATGACTTTTATCCAAAAGACAGGCAATAGCAAATGCTGCTGAGGATGTGGACAAATGGGAACCCTTATGTCCTGTTGAGGGGACTGTAAATTAATACAGCCACTATGGAGAACAGTTTGGAGGTTCCTCAAAAAACTAAAAATATACTTACCATATGATTCAGCAATTCCACTGCTAGGTATATACTCCCAAAAAGGAAATTGGCATATCAAAGAGCTATCTGCACTCCCATGTTTGTTGCAGCACCATTCACAATAGTCAAGATCTGGAAGCAACTTACATGTCCATCAACAGATGAATGGATAAAGAAAATACATTCTGTAATCACAGCACTTTGGGAGGCTGAGGCGAGCTGATCACTGGAGCCCAGGAATTTGAGACCAGCCTGGGCAACACAGTGAAACCCCATCTCTACAAAAAGTACAAAAATCCTGGACATGGTGGCATGTGTCTGTAGTCCCAACTACCTGGGAGGCTTAGGTGGGAGGATCACCTGAGCCTGGAGAAGTTGAGGCTGCAATGAGCCATGATGGCACCACTGCACCCAAGCCTGGGTGACAGAGTGAGAGCCTGTCTCAAAAAAAGAAGAGAGAGAGAGAGAGAGAGAGAGAGAGGGAGGGAGGGAGGGAGGGAGGGAGGGAGGGAGGGAGAGAGAAAGAAAGAAGGAAGGAAAGAAGGAAGGAAGGAAGGAAGGAAGGAAGGAAGGAAAGAAAGAAAGAAAGAAAGAAAGAAAGAAAGAAAGAAAGAAAGAAAGAAAGAAAGAAAGAAAAATGTGATACATATACACAGTGGAGTACTATTCAGCCATATAAAAGAATGAGATCCTAAATGAAATCCTGTCATCTGCAACAGCAGGGATGGCACTGGAGGTATTTACGTTAAGTGAAATAAGCCAGACACAGAAAGATAAACTTCACATGTTCTCACTTTTTTCTGGGAGATAAAAATTAAAACCATGGAATTCATAGAGATAGAGAATAGAATGAAAGCTGCAAGAGGCTGGGAAGGGTTGGGGAGGATGAAGTAGGGATGATTAATGGACACAAAAATATAGTTAGATAGAATAAATAAGATCTAGTGTTTGATAGTACAACAGGGTGACTACAGTCAACAATAATTTATTATGCCTTTTAAAGTAACAAAGACACTATAATTGGATTGTTTGTAACAGAAAGAAAAGATACATGCCTGAGGTGATGGATAGCCCATTTACTGTGATGTAATTATGACTCATTGTATGGCTGTATCAAAATATCTCATGTACCCCATAAATATTTATACCACTATGTACCCATAAAAATTGAAAATTAAAAATTAAAAAATATAAATCCTTGTAGGCTGCTTTAGGGATAAACCATTGGCTCAAATAGGTAAAACAGATGAAATACGCTTCCATACCGTGGCACAGCAGACACAGGCTGAGAAGCAGTTTGAATAACAAGCACAACTTCTAATGCAGAGAAGATGTACTTGTCTTGTATAACAGTTTCTGCCAGTTTAATGTGGACCTAAAACACATAAAAGTGCTATAAAATAATATCTTCAAAACTGTCATACTTTTTAAAATGACAATTATGAAAAATAAATGTTGAAGTTACATTTTAATAGGAAAGCTGGATCATGCCCAACACTGGGCCAGACAGGAGAAATTCTACATAGAAAAAAGGAAGGCAGGACATATGAAATAGAGAAAGGAAGAAAAATCATGAATGTGAGATAATGAATTATGTGCTACAACAGCTGACCTCACTGCTCAAATATAGCACATAATTCATGAGTCATGACATTACCATGAATGCCTTCTTGCAGAATTCACAACTGAGCAGCATTGGCAACCTCTGAATATGGTGTTGTTTCTTTCTTTCAAAAGACAACACATCTGATGAACAGTAATTTTATTTACTCAAGAGATATGTTGCTAAAGAGCTGTATACAGATTTTTGTACAGGTAACATATTTTAAATGCACTAGGGTGTCTAGCTTTATGAATGAAATGCTCAAGTGCATATTTTGTTTTTGTTTTTGTTTTTGTTTTTGTTTTGAGATGGAGTTTTACTCTGTCATCCAGGCTGGATTGCAGTGGCAAAACCTCAGCTCACCGCAACATCCGCCTCCTGGGTTCAAGCAATTCTCCTACCTCAGCTTCCCAAGTAGCTGGGATTACAGGCATGCGCCACCATGCCCAGCTAATTTTTGTATTTTTAGTAGAGACGGGGTTTCACCATGTTGGCCAGGCTGATCTCGAACTCCAGACCTCAGGTGATCTGTCCACCTCGACCTCCCAAAGTGCTGGGATTACAGGTGTGAGCCATCAAGTGCATACTTTATAAAGTGAATAATACAGCCCTTGCCCTGACCCTCTCTTCATTTATGTGTACAAGATTAAACAGATGGTTTGTGTTTGCATGCAGGCATGTGCATGTTTAAATAGTTTAAAGAACCACTCAGGTATCAAGTCAGCAAATGAATCAGAAGTGATTAAAAATCACATAAAATTTTTACTAAGACAAGATAAAGTTGGTGTCTGTCTAGGCAAGTATATGCAAAATCTTTTTCTTTCAGATGCCTCAGTGCCCATTCAGAAGATTGATGGAAAAAACATATGAGGTGTATGTTTTTGAAATTTTGAATTTTGAAAATCAAATTTTTGAAGATTAAAATTTCAAAGTTAAATTTTGAAAACTAAAAATTAAAAAATATAAATCCATGAAGTCACATGAAAATAACAGAAATATATAGACAGGGACAGAGCTTCTCAAAAAACAGGGTCCATGCCCCATTCTCAGGGTCCCTAAAACTATAAGAGAATTTATATAGGTTTTGATTTTTATGATAACCTAATCCTCAGCTCCCATCATGTTCACTAAATTATTATTTAGAAATAGAAAAACTTCTATTTTACAGAGATAGTTTACAGTTAAAAGACATTTTTTCGGCATTATTTTCATCCATCTATTCTCAACTGAGTTCTGTGGCTCACTGAAGTTGTATTAGTCTATGTGAATTTTTCTCTTTTAAAAGGGAGTTGTAATCCTGTTGTACTGAATTTGAATGGGAAGGATCAATATGAACTTGTGAAGCATTTTATCTTACTCTGCCCATTAAATTGGCCTAGAAATAATGAGCAACCTAGTAGTCCCAATAGATTGAGGTCATTAAATACCATTTCTCACTTAAAGAAACTAAGAGAACCTCTCAGGGGAAGTAGCTGATTCCAGGTCAAAAGTAGAAAATATAAAGGATGAACCTGGAACATCTCATCACACCAGAAGCAAAGGAGCTATCAAAGAGCACAAGGAGTATGTCAAAAGGAATCAGGGCCACCTTTAATAGGCTCCTACTGTCCAAAATGAAATGGATTAAAATATATCAAATGTGCTTAAATTCACAGTACTAAAGTCAATAGTAACAATAAAACTTGCCTTTCTCACTGGTTACCCCCTGGAGGGTGTGAGCAAACCAACTCCTTATTTTGAAAACTGGTAAATAAAAAGAAAGAATCAAACATTTACTCTGCCTTGCTAGTATAAATTATATGTCAAGTAACCAGAGAGTTGACAAGTGTTTCTCCTTATAGAAGTCCAGCTAATAAATGAGGGAATAGTAAAATCTGAATGTCATCATTTTTAAATCCCAATAAATTAATACACTTAGAAAAAGCACTTATGAAATAATATTGCCAAAAATCATCTAAATGGAGTCCATTGAAGCTTCTACATCTGTCTACTAATTTATATAAAACACAGAGAACAGAGAGCATATGAAATGACAGTACAGGGGACAATCAGCAAAACCCAGACTAAACTTTAGGGATAAAGAACATCCTACAGGAAAAATCAACCATTTTTTCCTCAACAAATAAATTACTAAGGGAAAAGACAGATAACAGAAAAGATTAATAAAATAAGCGTTATCCAGGTGTAATGCCCATCTATTTTGCATATGTACAACTCCTAAAGCCATTACTTACACACACACTCACACATTATATGTGCATATTTAAACAAAAAATGTTGCTTTAAAACTTACTAGGAAACAATGACAGTTTTAGAATACAGTGTCTTATGATTAGGAAACTATAAAATAGTGTGAGCCCTCACTCCCGGGAAATAAAGCAAATCTGGAAAGCTTAGGACACGAATGCTCATCTGGGGCACAAGTATTCCTTGGGAGAAGTTTAGAATTGCTGGGAGTCATATAATTTGCAAAAGCTTGGTTAATAATACGTTCACATTTGGAAAATTAAAAAAATTAATGTATATAATAATATTACAGAGTCAACATTTTGACTCTGTAATATTAATAATTATCCATATAATAATATTACAGAGTCAACCAACCACCAGAGCCTATGCTGAATGTTATATATATTACATAACAGCCACAGGAAAAGGTATTAGTATCCCTATTTCTCAGAAGACAGAAACTGACCTTTCCAAGGCTATATAGCTAGTAAAAATAAACATATACACTCACCATCTCAATACGTTCAGAAAAAGCATTTCACAAAACTCAACTCCCATTCATAATAAAAACTCTCAACAAACTAGAAATAGAAGGAAAGTTGATGAAGAGCATCTGCAAAAAACCTGTAGCTAACACCGCACTTAATGGTGAAAGACCACTTCTCTCATCATTTCAATTATTTCAATTCAATATTGGTGGTCCTAGCCCATGTAATAAGGAAAGAGGAGAGGGGAGAGGGGAGAGGGGAGAGGGGAAAGGAGAGGGAGAAAGAGAAAGAGAGAGAGAGAGAAAGAAAGAAAGAGAAAGAGAGAGAGAAATAAAGTTGGTTTCTTCATTTGCAGATGACATAATCTGCAGATGACATAATCTATGTAGAAAATACCGAGGAATATACCAAAGTGATAAAACTAATAACTGAGTTTAACAAGGTCACAAGATACAACGTCAATATATGAAATGCAATGACATTTTAATATACTAGCAATGAACAGCTGGAAGTTGAAATTAAAAAGAAAATACTAAAAACGTGACATACTTAGGAAAAAAAACATTGCTGAGAGAAATTAAGGAAGATCTAAAGAAATGGAAAGATATACCATGTTCATGGGTTGGAAAATTCAGTATTATTAAGGCATCAATTATGCCCCAAATGATCCATAGATTCAACATAATACCAATCAAAATCCCAGCAGACTTCTCTGTAGAAACTGACAAGTAGATTATAAAAGTTATATGGAAATGCTAAAATCTGATTCTAAAATCTACAAGAAAATGCAAAGTTGGAGGACTCATACTACCTGATTACAAAACTTAGTATAAAGCTACAGTAATCAAGACAGTGTGATATTAACACAGGATAGACATATAAATCAAAGAAACAAAATGAAGTCCAGAAACAGACCCACCATATATGGTAAGATGATTTTCAACAAAACTGTTAAGGTAATTCAATATGGAAATGATAATCTTTTCAAAAAAGGGGTATTAGAACTGAATATTCATATGTGAAAAAAATCAATCGTTCTCTCTCACTATTCACAAAAATTAACTTAAAATGGGCCAGAGACTTAAATTTAAGAGCTAAAGCTATAAAAGTTCCAGAAGAAAACATAGCAGAAAAATCTTTGTAACTTTGGGCTAGGTGAAGATTTCCTTTTATTTTTTATTTATTTATTTTTTGACAGAGTCTCTCGCTCTGTCATCCAGGCTGGAGTGCCGTGGCGTGATCTCGGCTCACTGCAACTTCCGCCTCCCGGATTCAACCGATTCTCCTGCTTCAGCCTCCCAAGTAGTTGGGACTACAGGCACACGCCACCACACCTGGCTAATTTTTTGTATTTTAGTAGAGATGGGGTTTCACCATGTTGCCCAGGCATGAAGACTTCTTAAACAGGACACAAAAAATGTACAAACTATAAAAGCAGAAGTTAATAATTTGCACATCACCAAAATTAAAAGCTTCCATCCTTTGAAAGACAGTGTTAGGAAAATAAGATGAGTCATTGACTAGAGATAATATTTGCAAAACACCTATGTGATAAAAGACTTATACCTGGAATACATAAACAACCCTTACAACTCAATAAGATGACAAACAAGCCACTGAAAATATAACCAAAAGATTTAAACAGATGCTTTAGTACAGAAAAGATATGATTGGACAATAAGCCCATAAAAAGACACTCAACATCATTAGTCATCAGGGAAATGCAATGCATTATCTCTACCACTTAACTAGAATACCTAAAACTAAAAAGCCTGAAAATTCCAAGTGTTGACAAGGATGCAGAACAACTGGAAATCTCATAAGTTGCTGGTGGGAAATCAAAATGGAAGAACCACTTTGGAAAACAGTTTGGCAATCTAGTGGTTAATTTTATGAATTAAATTGGCAGAGCCACAGTGCCCAGATACTTGGTCAAATATCATTCTATATGTTTTTGTGAAAGAGAGAGAGAGAGATAGAGAGAGATAGAGAGAAATAAAGTTGGTTTCTTCATTTGCAGATGAAGGTTTTTTTTTGAGGAGATTAACATTTAAATGGTAGACTTTGAGTAAAGCAGATTGCCCACTATAATATAAGTGGGCTTCATACAATCAGTTGAAGGCATTACGAGAACAGACTGACTACCGCCTGAACAAGAAGGAATTCTCCCAGCAGACTGCCTTTGAATTTGAACTGCAACTCTTCCCTGGGTCTCCAGCCTTCCAGCTTGCTCTGTGGATTTTGGACTTACCAAACCTCCACAATCACACGAACCAATTCCTTCAGCTAAATCAACCAGCTGATCTCTATATATACATATATGTGTATACACACACACCCCCGCCACAAACACACACACACACACACACACACCCCTCCTCCCCCCTCCACACACAGCCTGTTGGTTCTGTTTCTCTGGAGAACTCTGACTACTAATATAGGCAGTTTTTAAATCAAATTAAACAAATACTCTGCACTTACATTTGATCCAGCAATCCTACTCATAAGTGTTTACCCCCTACAACCCAAAATTGTTTGTGTAGACAAAACAAATATATGTCTACACAAGCTCCCCATGAAGACTTTCTTCACCTGCCGAGTCTCAGTAACTTTGCTGTCCTCAAGGTCAATAACCTCTTTTCCACACCTCTCTCCTGGCATACAATGGGGTCAGAGTCAGTGACAATTTGGTTGAAAGAAATAGAAGTCACTTAGGCTTAAGTATATGTGAATTTGCTAACAAGGACATGGATAATATATAGAATTCAAGAGCATGAAGTGTAGCTGGGCCTCAGGAAGCTTTGGGACCAAGACTGGCACATCTCTCCTCCTCATGGACCCATGGGCTCTCATTTATGTTTCTTTTCCTCTATGTCTGCCTCATTCCTCTCCCTCCTTCTTGTTTCAGGATACTTCTCTATGCACATGAGCCAAACACGGCCCATGCAGCCCAGCCCTGCCTGGACTCTATCACTTTATAAAGCTTCACATTCAAATTCTCAGGATAAAGAATCCGACGGATTCGTCTTGAGGTCCATTGGCTATGGCTTCAGAGCTGATATCCCAAAGCCCAGTGCAGGACTAGCTTAGGAGACAACTCTATGGGAAAGGAATATGGAGCAGAGAAGAAATGATCAGTCTCCTGGCCTACAAGACCCTACCTGGGCTGATCCCTGACTGCCATCCTTAATACCATTGTAGTACCCACTGTCTCTCAGCTTCTTGCTATTATCCAAGGACTCCAAGCATGCTCTTGCCTCAAGGTCTGTTTTTGTGTTTGCTGTTCCTTTTGCCTAGAAGGCTCTTCCCACAAATATATGCAGGGCTTGTTCCCTCACTTCATCAGGCCTTGGTTCAAATGGCCAGGCCTTCCTTGACCACTACAACCCGATGTCACACTCTTTGCCATTACTCTGCTTTATTTTTCCTCAGAACATTGTAAAAACATGACATGATCATGTATATTTACTTATTAATCTGCTTGCTATCTGTCTTTCCCACTAGAATGTAAAATTCATGAGAATAAGAACTGCTATCTTCTCTACTGTATCACCAGAACTCTTAGTATCAGGTACAGAATAGATGTTCCATAAATGTTTGTTGGATAGAGTATTAATTTTACATGCCTGTTTTACATGTCTACTAATTGAATGACCACCACCACAGTCCATATATCTCCACTGATAATGTCCCATGGAGGGGCATTTCCTACCATGTTCATGCCAGTATTTTGTACTCTTTCAATGTTGACACTATTTTTCTCATCCCCCAAAATTCTTCTGTTAGTTCTCAATAAGTGATTTAATTAAATTCCTCTTTAGCCCATTCACATTCTGGCAGCTCCATGAATGGCTTTCCCCATTCAAAAAACCTAAATGCTCTCATTACAGAGTCCCATTTGTAAGAAGCCCTACAGAGTCCCAGCAAACCTGTTCTTCTCTTTCCAACTTGGCCATGTCTCAGATGGGACCCCAAGAGCTTAAGCTTCTTTGAACTCACCCACAAATAACTGGTTTGAGTAGAGGGAGTTGGGGATGTCTGTGGAAAACTGTGAACTCATGCTGGATGGAAAGCCAGGGTCCTAATGGTGACACCCCTTGGAAGCAGACTTTATTCTGTGAGTAGTGGGGGGCCACTGATGGTTTCTCAGCAGGAGTAGGTAATAAAAGATGTGCTTCAAGAAGATGTCTGGTAGCAATGGGTAGAATGATAGTGACCTGTGATTATTCAGGGTAGAAGATGATTATGGCCTAGATAGGGCTCTGGAAACAGAGACTGCTGCAGAAAAAAACATGGTGGGAAGAATCTATAGAATTTGGAAAGTGAGTAGAAGTATGTGTGGGGATGGGAGTGGGGGACTGGGGGTGGGAGAGGTGTCAGATGCTGCCAAGGTGTCAAGCCAGAAGTCACTGGATAGTTTATTAGGATATCCACGATAATCCTCAAGATGACAGTTTAAGATCGATGTTGGAAGGGAAAGGAGATACTGAGAAATTAGTCGAGGGGTTGAATAAGTATAACTTGTATGTTTTTTATTACCTCCAAAGCATTTTCATCTTACTTGATCCTTACTGGCTCATGGGATAGGTAAGTAAGAAAGGCTGTAACTTTGTCCAAGCCACAGAGGCCAACAGAATTGAGGTCAATTTCTCTAACATGATTGAACAGGAAGCTGTTTAGTTATTTGAAAACATCAGTTAAGGCAAGATCTCATAACAACATGACACAAGCAAAACATTTTTCTTTCATTTGGCCACTCACTGCCTGAACCGAGTTATGTGTTTGGCAAGTTCACCACTTTGTGAGTCCAGGTTGGGCGAGGCAAGATCGTCTACCTGAAGTGAGAGAAAAAAAGCTAGAGACTTGCTTGCCCAGTTTCCCTTGCAGCTAGAGAAAAGGCTGAGGGAGAAGTGAGCTCTGCCAACCAGGCAGCCTGCACGGAGGCGGACTGGGAGCTTACATTATGAAAGGGAGGGGGGAGCTCGTGCTCTCTTCAGCAGTGGCAGGAGAAGGGTGGCCTTGTAGCTGCACACTCGACACAGAGGTAGCTTTGAGGATGGCAGGGCCAGCAGCTGCGATTAAGGTCCTGGCAGACAGGTCACGTGGCATCGAGAGCTCCCTAGAGGTGGCACTTTCTCGTCAGACCAGTTCTGGGGTTTGGTGTTGGGTGCTGCTCCAGGAAGCTCAGCCTTCATTCAGACTCTCCAGTTCTCCCAATTCTCCAGCTGCCCAATCACGTCTCTGCTTAGCCAGAGTCATTTTCTGTTGCTAGTGTCTAAGAACTCTGACTGATACACCTTAAAACCATAAATGTTTTGTTTTACTTTAAATATCACATGGATAGACATACTCACCAATCTTAACACCAGTTGAAAGTAAGTCCTGTGACATATAAGCAAAATGAAAATAGGAAAAGTTTTATTTTGATAAGCACCCAGGAGTCATTTTCTAGATTTATTAAAACTCATTTATAATATCAAGTTTTTTTATAGAGGCAGGCTACAAAATAGTAAATATGCTGTATTTGTTGCACCCACAAGAAAAGAATATGCCCAAATGTTAACAGCCATTATCTTGGGGTAGTGGGTAATGAGGAATTACTGATTTCCTCCATTCTGCTCATATACAGTTCAAAAATTTTCTGCCATGCATGTGTCATTCTTGTATGATAAAATATTTTTAAAACATATAGAAAACAGGTCTGTTTTCTTCTGTAATTGTGCTGATCGTTACTTTTCATCTCTGTTGGAGCATTTTAGGAGCAACTTCCTTGCCTTGGTCTGATGTTCTCAGAAGGGATTTGCAGAGAGTAACACTCCAGGTTTCTCTACTCCCACCCCACTCCCACCCTACTCCTCAACATCCACCCCTTCTGGAGAGCTTCGGAGGAAGTCCTAGACAAGCCTGGCTTCAAGCCTTCCTTGCTCTTTTTCACCTCTGTCTGCCCACAGAAGGGGGCATTCTGGTCTGCTCTCCTGCAGGTAAGTTACCAGGCAAGAACTGTCCCCCTGCACCAGGGCTGAGAGCATGAGTGACACTAATTCCAGGCAGTCTTTAGTGGCCACACATCTAAGCCACAGTTTCCAACTGGCTTTATTAATAACAGAGCTCCATTTGTCTCTTGCATTTTATTTCTCATTTGGTTCCTAAAATGGGAGGGGAATTGAAGAAGGTAATATAGACACACCCAGGCACCAAAGGAACTGTGATTAACACTATTTTCTTAGGCCTCTCAGTGCCCTCCATGAATAAGTCCTGAGACACAGGGGAACGCAGGCTGCTGAATGGATTTTCAATTGCCTATAACCCTGGGGAGAAAACGCTCAAGCCCCAGTATGCTGCCAATACTGCCTGCATTTTCCCTTTTCACTGCCTTGTTGGGAAGTGCATCATTGCTTAATATTCAGGAACTCCCTACCAGGATTCAGTGCCTTAATAACAGCAATATAAAACCTCGATTATCTAATAAAATATCCCAGACTGGACCCTGAGGTTTCATTAGTGGCAAGACATTTTATTGGGATTATAGCTTTTTGTTGTTGTTGTTCAGAAAGCAGACACTGTTCAAGCCTGGAAAGCTTATTCATTGATGTTAACCTTTTCCTTCACAAAATATATGAAAAGAAAGCAAATCATGGACTCTCAAATCTGCAGTTCTACCTCTGCTATTTTATTATTCCTTACCTCCTTCAGATAAAGTATCTAAGTCTCAGAAGTCATTACTCTTAAATTCAAGCCATAAAAACACACCCATCTTCCTAAGAGTTTATCAGCATTTTGCAAAGTAGCTGGATACAGCAAGTACTTTAAAAGCCACAGTAAAGTGCAAGCCGACTTCCAAATCTTACACATAATTGCTATCTGACAGCTTTCAGGGTAGACAACAACCAAAGTCAAGTTTCCTGACTATATTTTCCTCTAACTTATTAAGTTATTATTCAAGGTCACAAAACAACAGCTTAGGATATGCATGCCATTAAACAGAAAGCAAACCTCATCAAACACATAACTCTTAAAAGTTGCTTCCTTAGTGCGCCAGAATGTATGCTATAGAAATATAAAGACATGAGCACACAAAGACAGAATAATACTATTGAGTATTTAAAAGTCTTCAGCTAAAATGTTTTCAACAGCACTGTTTTCTAGGAAATCAAACAAAAGGTGCTTAATGAACAGTGAAACTGTGATAAGTCCTTTTTAATAAAATAGGCAGACTGTTGACTGGGGTTTTGGTGGGTGGTCTGTGGGGGATAGGAACATGGGGTTGATAAAGACAGGCCTTAAAGGCAGGACTGCATGACTGGCAAGCTTTGGCTGTTGCTGCCTAGGTTGGGCCATGCTGCAGCCGCCCCCACCACTGCACTCTCTGGATCAGAACTGGAAGGTACCTCGATATCTTTGCTTATAGCATTGGACAGATGAAGGGCTGGTTACCTGTCAGGAAGTGAAGAGCGTGGTTAAGAGTCCTCTATGCTAGGTTGTCACAGTCACCAGCTACTAGACTCTTGGCTACAACATTTCTCACCAAGAGCAGTGTCCTTGGGGAAAAACTAAACAGGGATGAGAAAGGGGTTAGGAATAAAACTCTCTCCTAGAGACCAGGTCAGAATACATAATGGGTTTAACTTCGCAATAAAGTGACAAGGTGCACTTGAATAAGCCACCCTGATACACGGAAAGCACTGGGCACAGAAGTAACTTTCCCATTGAATCAGGAGTTGATCCCATAAACCTTACTATTAGCCAAGTTTACATTTATGAACATTTTACACACACTACTCAGTTATATATTAAAGACAAAAATTGATAAAATACTTATACTTTGGTAAGCCATAGAGCCAATTCTCTTTTCAACCTAGTTGTTCATTTCACCAGTGGGCAAAAATCATTATTTTTAAAGGTTTCCAATTTAAGAGCACAGACCACCCAGCTATTATAGAGCTCTATAGTTTAGCCCTCGAAGGTGAGTCCCAGATGCAGTTCAGGGATGGTCTGAACCTTTGAACAAGGGCAAATCCAAGCACTCTAACTCCTGGTTCCCTGCTCTATCCCTCATCCATGCCACCTTTTTTAAGCATCCATATGGATTAGTGAATCTCATTTCCAAATCTATGCTTGGTTAGCATAATCTCTCATCCAGAACTCCCCTTTGAATTTGAGATCCTATATCTAAGGGCCCACCTCCATTCCTCCCTGCAGGTCTCACAGACACCTTAAAGTCAATGTCTTATCTGTTTCCCTTTCACGCTCCCAAACGAGTCATTGTTCATCTTCCACTCCTTATTTCAGTAACTGGAACTCCATCCCTCCAGAAGCACAAAACAGAACCTGGGAGTCATCCTTGATTCTTGCTATTTCCTCACCTCCCATATCCAACCTATCCCCAAGTCCTGATGACTTTACCTGCTGAATATCTTTCCAGTCTGTCCATTTCTCTCCAGCCTTCTGCCAGCAACATTCCAAACCATCACCTCCCTCTTGAAGCTCTATAATAGCTTCTTAGTGGCTATCACTTTCCATCTTGTAAAATGCACGTAAGAGTGTCTTCTCTTTTGCCCCTTTTCCAATCAAAGATCCTAGAAAAGCACAAATCTGATCATGTCTTTCCTTTACTTGAAATGCAAAAATGGCATCCCATTATTCTCAGAATAAAGAACAAATCCCTAAGGCAGCCTGGAGCTCCTGCCTGACCAGACCCTGGCTCAGTCTCCAGCCAGCTAACCCACACTGTCTGCTTCAGACACACCCTCTCCCTTCTGCCCAGAGTCACTTACCCCCTAGAGTCACTTTCCCACTGGCCCCACAGGACCAGGTCTTCCTGCCACATGCTAGTACCCTCACTTCTCCATGGCACTTATCGGTGGGTGATGACACATGTGTGGTTTTGTGCAAGTGCCTGTCTCCTGTGCTTAACTCTAAAGCCCCCTGAAGAGAAGGGCTCCATGTGCTCTGCTCCCATCCACCCCCGGGGCCTTGCATGGGGCTGACACACAGTTGATACAGTGCGAACACATGTAGAATGCACAGCACTCACATCACAGTGAGTAAGGCCCAACTCGGACAGCATCATCCTCTTGCCAAACAAGAGTCAGTTTTTCAGGGCCTCAGAGGGTCTGGAGGAATAACTCATCTCTCCCCTTAACAAATCTCCCCAGTATGATGTCTGGGCTTAAAAGTGGGGGTAGGGTGGGGAAAGTATTCTGTTAATGTGGTTTTTAAAGATAGTGACAGCCGGTTGGCATCCTTTAAACATCTGATTAATGGAATATATTAAAGTAATAATAAAGATTTTAACTGCTACAGCTTTAATCCAAACTGAGAAAATGTCTAAGAAATGAGAAAGCAGGAATGCTCTCTCCCACTGCCTCCTCCCCCATGAATAAACAGGAAGATGAGAGACAGAGTTACAGGCAGTGTGGTATACTGGTTATATGTGCACACACTCTGGACTCTGGCTAGCTGCATTCAAATTCTGGCTCTGTCACCTACTGGCTGTGCTATCTTGGGCAAGTCACTTAACCTCTCTGCTTCAGTGTCCTCATCTGCAAAATGAGGATAACAACAGCATGCCTTATAGTGTTGTTGTGAGGATTAAATGAGTTAATGTAGGTTAAGTGCTTTGAGCAATGTCTTATGCTGCTTATAGTAAGCAATACACAAACATTTGCCATGTTATTGTTACTTGGTGTTTTAAAGATGTTTAACAGCATTCTGGCTAAAAGTGTTATGTTTTGGTTAGAATGGAACTCAATGTTTAAAATGAAGATGTTAAAATTAAAACGTGTACTGTCTTGTTTTGTTATACACGAAACTATTTTTAATGAAAATAGTCTGAATGCTTAACCTTGTTGAACTCAGATAAAACAAACAAAATATCTGTTAGTGAATGGTTGTTGGCTTCTTAACAGAGTGTGACAAAAACCTTCCTCAAATATGCACGAATAACCTGAATTCAGTATACCTGTTCAGTATCCAGTGAATTCAGAAGCATATGCCTCATTTCCCTTTGATAGATAAAGTAACAAAATCACATTCAGTTAACTGAGCTGGACAACAAAATCAGAAGGAAATTAACAAAAATAAATCACTGCATTAAAACAGAGCATGTATACATACATCTATCCTTGAATTGTGAAGAATATATGCTCAGATTACACCAAACAGAAAGGTACTTATTATAAAAACAGTTGACTAAAATGTCTCCAACTAAACACATGCCCATCCCTATGACGAAATAGTTTCACTCCTAAATATATACTGAAGAAATACAAAGACAGAAAGACATATATAACATTGTTCATAGTAGTTTTGTTTATAATAGCCAAAAACTGAAAATAACCTAGATTTCTATCAATAGGAGAATGGATAAACAAATTGTTGTATGTTTATACAACTGAATACCATATAGCAATGAGAATGAACAAACTACTGATACGTGTAATAACATGTATGTATCTTACAGATATTTTGTAAAGTCGAAGAATCTGGACCAAAAAAAATGTATATATGGTTCTCTTTATATGAAGTTTAAGAATCATCAAAAATGATCAATAATGACAGAAGCAGCAATCGTGGTTACCTCTGGGGAGCACAGGCACAGAATGGGAGGGAGCGTGAGAGGATCTCAGTGAGTGCTGGCAATGTTCTAGATCTTGATCTGGGTGGTGGTTACACAGGTTTATACAGATGTAAAATTCATCAAGCTGTACACTTAAAGATTTGTGTAGTTTATACACTTTACTGTATGTGTTTTACTTCTATTATAAAACAATCTTCCCGACCAGTAATTTAAATAATGACTGACTGTATTTTTTTTTTTCTTGAGACTGAGTTTCACTCTTGTTGCCCAGGCTAGAGTGTAATGGTGTGATCTAGGCTCACTGCAACCTCCGCCTCCTGGGTTCAAGCGATTCTCCTGCCTTAGCCTCCCAAGTAGCTGGGATTCCAGGCACCCACCACCATGCCCAGCTAATTTTTGTATTTTTAGTAGAGACGGGGTTTCGCCATGTTGGCCAGGCTGGTCTCAAACTCCTGACCTCAGGTGATCCACCTGCCTGGGCCTCCCAGAGCGCTGAGATTACCGGCGTGAGCCACCACGCCTGGTCTCTGACTGTACTTTAACAAAATTGACTGCCAATTGATTACTTTGTGTGTTGTTGAAGAGTTGGCAGAGTGCTCCACCCACATACACACCAAACCAAATATTAAGTCTCCCACAAAAGTCACATGTTGAAGCCCAAACCCCCAATGTGACTGCATTTGAAGACAGGGCCTACAAAGAAGTAATTAAGGTTACATGAACTCATATGGATGGGGCCCTAATCCAACATGACTGGTGTTCTTTTTAGAAGAAGAGACACCAGGGATGTACACACAGAGAAAAGGCCACGTGAGGACACAGCAAGAGGGCAGCCACCTGCCAGCCAAAGAGAAAGGCTTCAGGAGAAACCAGACCTGCTAACACCTTGATCTTGGACTTCTAGCCACCAGAACTGGGAGAAAATAAACGTCTGTTGTTTAAGCCACCCAGTCTATGGTATTTGTTATGGCAGCCTCAACAGACTAATATACCAGGTAAAGAAAGCTCCAAGAGAAACTTCAGGAACTAGACACAGGCCCTCTGGTTTTTATGGAACCCAGGTGTTGATATCTGACTCTCGCTGGGAGAAATCTAAGGGCTAGTCAGAGTGAGCAGGGCAAAATAGGGGTACAGGGAGGGGGATATGTTGGGAGCAAAAGGCATGTCTACTGCCAACCAAATAAGTGTGTGTGTGTTTCCTCTGGTCACAATGTGGCTGCACAGAAGCAGCCTGTCTAAGCTGGAGGAAGTGAAGTTTAAAATGAGACAACTGTCACTTAGCCACAAAGACAGTAAAAAAGAAATAAAAGAAGAAAGGATCTGCAAAACAACCAGAAAATAAGTAACCAAAGGGCAGTAGTAAATCCTTATCTGTCAATAATAACCTTGAATATAAATTAATTAAATTTTCCAATTAAAAGACATAGAGTGGCTGAATGGATTTCAAAAACAAGACCCTGGCTGGGCGCAGTGGCTCATGCCTGTGATCCCAGCATTTTGGGAGGCCAAGGCGGGTGGATCATAAGGTCAGGAGATGGAGACCATTCTGGCTAACACAGTGAAATGAAACCCTGTCTCTACTAAAAATACAAAAAATTAGCTGGGTGTGGTGGTATGCGCGCCTGTAGTCCTAGCTACTTGGGAGGCTGAGGGAGGAGAATTGCTAGAACCCGGGAGATGAAGGTTGCAGTGAGCTGAGATTGCACCGCTACACTCCAGCCTGGGTGACAGAGTGAGACTCCAACTCAGGAAAACAAAAACAAGCAAAAAAAAAACAAAAAAACAAGACTCTGTGTTGGCTACAAGAAACTCACTTCACCTATAAAGACATGCATAGACTGAAAGTGAAGGAATGGAAAAATATATTCCATGCAAATGGAAACTAAAAAAGAGCAGGAGTAGTTATACCTATGTTAGAGAAAGTAGATTATTTTAAAGTTAAGAATGGCTTAAAGACAAAAAAAAGGCCATTATATAATGATAAAGTGGCCAGTACAGCAAGAGGATATAACAATTCTAAATATATATGCACTCAACACCAGGGCACCCAAATATATAAAGCAAATATTCATAGACCTAAAGGGAGAGGTTGACTACAATACAATAATAGCAGAAGAGTTCAACACCCCCACTTTCAGCAGTGAACAGATCATCCAGACAGTAAATCAACAGAGAAACATCAGAGTTAAGCTGCACTCTAGGCCAAATGGACCTAACAAACATTTACAGAACGTTCCATCCAACAGCTACAGAATACACATTTTCCTCAACACCACATGAAGTATTTTCCAGGATAGACCACATGTTAAGTCACAAAACAAATCTTAAATTTAAAAAATCAGTCATATCAATAATCTTTTCTGATCACAATGGAACAAAACTAGAAATCAATAACAGAAGGAACTTTGGAAAGTATGCAAAATCATGGAAATTAAACAACATGCTACTGAATAATAAATGAGTCAATGAAGAAACGTAAATAGAAACTTAAAAATTCCTTGAGACAAATGAAAATGGAAATAGAACATACCAAAACCTACGGGATACAGCAAAAGCAGTTCTAAGAGGGAAGTTTAGACCAGGTGTGGTGGCTCACACCTGTAATCCCAGCACTTTGGGAGGCCGAGGCAGGTGGATCACTTGAGGTGAGGAGTTTGAGACCAGCCTGACGAACATGGAGAAACCCTGTCTCTAGTAAAAGCCAGGCATCTCCCGTGTAGCCGGGCGCATGCCTGCATGCCTGTAATCCTGGCTACATGGGAAGCTGAGGCAGGAGAAATGCTGGAATCTGGGAGGCAGTTGCGGTGAGCCGAGATCACACCATTGCACTCCAGCCTCGGCAACGAGAGCGAAACTCCATCTCAAAAAAAAAAAAAAAAAAAAAGAGGGAAGTTTATAGTAATAAATGTCTATATCAAAAAAGTAGAAAGATCTCAAATAAGCAAGCCACCTCAAGGAACTAGAAAAATAGGAACTAAACCCAAAATTAGTACAAGAAAAGAAATAACAAATATCTGAGCAGAAATAAACAAATCCTTAGCTAGACTTACTAAGAAAAAGAGAGAGAAGATCAGGTGCGGTGGCTCATTCCTGTAATCCCGACACTTTGGGAGGCTGAGGTGGGAGGATCGCTTGAGACCAGGAGTTCAAAGTTTCAGGGAGCTAGGATCACTCCAGGAATACTCCAGTTAGGAGCACTCCAGCCTTGGTGACAGAGCAAGACCCTGTCTCAAAAGAAAGCAAAGAAAGAAAAGAAAAGAATAGAAAACCTGAATAGACCAATAATAAGTAATGAGATTGAAGCAGTAATAAAATGTCCCCCATCAAGGAAAAGCCCAGGAACTGATGGCTCCACCACTAAATTCTACATAACATTTAAAGAAGAACTAATACCGATTCTTCAAAAACTATTCCAAAACATTGAAGAGAAGGGAATACTTCCAAAATCATTCTACAAGGCCAGTATTACCTTAATACTAAAACCACACAAGGATACAACGACCAAAAAGAAAACTACAGGCCAATATTCCTAATGAATATAGATGCAATAATCTTCAACCGAACACTAGTAAACCAAATCCAAAAACACATTAAAAAGTTCATTCATCATGATCAAGTGGGATTCATCCCAGGGGTGAAAGGATGGTTCAATATAGGCAAATCAATTAACATGATACGTCACATTAACAGAATCAAGGGTAAAAACCGTATGATCATTTTAATAGATACAGAAGAAGTGTTTGATAAAATGTAACATCCTTGATGATAAAAATGCTCAACAAATTAGGTACAGAAGGAATATATTTCAACACAACATGACAAAGGCCACGTATGACAAACCCACAGCTAACATCATGCTGAATGGGAAAATGTTTAAAGCTTCTCCTCTAAGATCTGGAAAAATATAAGAAAGTCCATTTTCACCACTCTTATTCAACATCATGCTGGAAGTCCTAGCTAGAGCAATTAGTCAAAGAAATAAAGGGCATCCACATTGGGAAGGAAGAAGTCATATTGCCCCTACTGGCAGATATGAATATATATACACATATATACACATATGTATGTGTGTATATATATATGTATATTCTCAAAGATCTCCCCAAAAACTATTAGAATGAGTAAGTAAATTCAGGAAAGTTGTAGTATACAAAATCAACATGGAAAATTAGTAGCATTTCTATATACCAATAACAAACTATTCGAAAAAAAATCAAGAAAGCAAATCCATTTACAATAGCTACAAAATAATAAATTACCTAGGTCTAAATTTTAGCAAGGATGTAAAAGATCTCTACAATGAAAACTATAAAACACTGATGAAAGAAATAGAAGACACAAATGAATGAAAAGATATCTCATGTTCATAAATTGGAAGAATTAATATCATTAAAATGACTGTATCTACAGATCCAACACAATCCCTATAGAAACACCCATGGCATTCTTCACAGAAATAGAAAAACAATCCTAAAATTCATATGGAACCACAAAAGACTCCAAGTAACCAAAGCGATCTTGAGAAAAAGAACTAAGCTAGAACAAAATTACAGTTAGATAGGAGGAATAAGTTCTGTTACATTAGCAGGGTGATTACAGCTAATAGCAAGGTATTATATATTTTAAGATAAGTAGAAAAGAGGATCTTGAAAGTTATCGCCACAAAGAAATCATAAAAGTTTCAGTGACTGACATGCTAACTACTCTGATTTGATGATTATACAATGTGCACATGTATTAAAGCCTCACACTGTATCCCATACATGTACAATTTTTATGTGTCAATTTTAACAACATTAATAAAAATAACACAACTTTAACACTACTACACACTTAGCAGAATACCTCAAGCTAAACAAATGGTAGGAAACCAGGTGCTATCACCAACGTGGAACCAACTACGATTCTCATAAACTGCTGTTGGGAGTATAAATTGGACAAAGTAGTCCCCACTTTGGAAAACCGGCAATATCTCTAAAGCTAAATGTATACCTGTTCTATGACCCCACAATTCCATTCCTGAGTATATACCCTACAGAAATCAGTGTATATGTAAACCAAAATAAACATATAATAATATTCACAGTAAAACAACCCTAATGTCCTTCAACAAAAGAATTGATAAACTCAGTATATTCACACAATGGATTAAACAGCAAAAAAGGAATGAATCATGAATTAATCTCTACAATATTAAACAAGAAGTCAGATGCAAAAGGCTACATACTATATGATTCCACGCAGATGAAGTTAAGAACAGGCAAAACTGCTCTATGGTGACAGAGGTCAGAGTAGTGGTTACCTTTCTGAAAGTGGTTGATATTGACTGACTGAGAAGGCATATGAGGGAGCCTCCCAGGGGCCAGAAAATGTTCTATGTCTTGATTCAAGTGCTAGTTATATAGTTTTTCAGATATGTGAAAATTTAGCAAGCTCTACGCTTGATATTTCTGTTTCTTCACTATTCAAGTTACATCGCAATTTAAAAACATCAAATATTAGATGAGAATTTGAGTTATTTATTATCACATTGGATGTATTATGTGACTAGTAGTCAAACTTTTCACCACTTAAGAATAACCGGGAGATCTTTTTTTTTTTTTTTTTGAGACGGAGTCTCGCTCTGTCGCCCAGGCCGGACTGCGGACTGCAGTGGCGCTGTCTTGGCTCACTGCAAGCTCCGCTTCCCGGGTTCACGCCATTCTCCTGCCTCAGCCTCCCGAGTAGCTGGGACTACAGGCGCCCGCCACCGCGCCCGGCTAATTTTTTGTATTTTTAGTAGAGACGGGGTTTCACCGTGTTAGCCAGGATGGTCTCGATCTCCTGACCTCATGATCCACCCGCCTCGGCCTCCCAAGGTGCTGGGATTACAGGCGTGAGCCACCGCGCCCGGCCTAACCGGGAGATCTAAGAGACCTGCCTAAAATTTTATTCCCATGGGGAAGAGAAGACAAGTCTGTTAAGTGGGTAGAAAGAAGCTGTAAGAGAAGAACAAGAGATGATGGCTATTTGCATCCCATTGAGTCCAGCCCATTCAATAAATGTGTTATATATAGAAGGCAGTGGATTTTGCTTGAGATTCCTTGAACAACAAATAGTGTTTTCTGAGCCTGCCAGTTATTACTTAGGTTTCTGTTTACTATTCAGTTCCAAAGATTAACTCTGATGTGATGACATGGGAACCATGGTTCACACTGACATCAGCAGTTTATTGACCTGTGTCTAGTGTTAATATCCAAAAACATTGTGAAAGACAGAAGTCCCCCTGCTTAGCCCAATGAGATCAACATTAGCCACTGGCTGACATTATCCAACTAATGATTACAACAGACTGTAACTATTCATTCTGACTAACATAGCACTTTGCTAGATAATACTTAGATTGGCTAATTACCAACTATTAAGCCTATTTTTTATGAAGTTATAGGAATATACTTACATATATATGCATATGTGTGTATACATATATATTTAAACATTTTACTACTTTAGCTTTACTTTAGATTCTACTCTAGCTTTTATTTTGGGTGACTCCTGGTTTAACGTGACAAATTTACCACCTTAATACCATCAATTATATATTTTTAATCTTTTCCTCTTCTTTTCCTCTTAAAGAGTATAAAGGTATACATCAGGTATAAATCCACAGAGAATGGAAGAGAGAATATTCACAAACAAAAGATTACAACACATTTTTCTTTGAGATGACTGAACTGTAGAACCCCAGGGATGCAGGCCTACCAAAGGATGGGGTGGAGAAGGCTCTGGAAACAGGAGGTTCACTGATCCAGAACAGCAGGATCCCCAGCCCTCTGCTCCACACCACACACATGTATCACTAGGAGCCAGCAGCTACTTCTCAGGAAAAAGACTGGAATGTGGAGATTCCCAGTGGAACAACCTAATAGCTCCCTTGGTTACCCTGTAGAGAGGCCTGCTGATGGACAATGTTGTCCTACTCAAGTCCTTTCTCTCTTTCTTTCTTTCTTTCTTTCTTTCTTTCTTTCTTTCTTTCTTTCTTTCTTTCTTTCTTTCTCTCTCTCTTTCTCTCTCTCTCTTTCTTTCTTTCTTTCTTTCTTTCTTTCTTTCTTTCTTTCTTTCTTTCTTTCTGTGTTTCTCTGTCTCTCTTTCTCTCTTTCTTTCTCTCTTTCCCTCTCTCTTTCTTTCTTTCTTTCCTTTTTGAGACAGAGACTTGCTTTGTCACCCAGGCTGCCACGATCTTGGCTCACTGCAACCTCCACCTCCTGGGTTCAAGCAATTCTCCTACCTCAGCCTCCTGAGTAGCTGGGATTACAGGCGTGCACCACCATGCCCAGCTAATTTTTTTTTTTTTTCAGTTAAGACAGGGTTTCACCATGTTGGCCAAGTTGGTCTCAAACTCCTGACCTCAGGTGATCCACCTGCCTTGGCCTCCTAAAATGCTAGGATTACAGGCATGAGCCACTGCACCTGTCCTCAAGTCCCTACTTTCAATGTGCTTTCCCACCCAACAGCCAGCACCTATGGCTCTTTTTGGGAGGGCTGCACTTGCTTCACCCTTTCATGTCAAGAGCCAGAAATACCTGAGAATTTATGTCCCCACCCAACAGACCCCCTCTCTTAACTGAAGACTGACAGGTATGGAGTATGAAACACCAACCCCATAGATTCAGGCAGGGACAACTCTGAGGCTGACTTACACTCCAGAGCTCCCCCACCCCACACAGGATCAGGCTGAAGCCCCTCTTTGCAGTATTTTGTTTGAATGAGAGCATACCCTTACTTGACTTCTTCCCCTTCCCTTCCCAGTTTTTCCTAGGAGCATCTCCTTAATAGAGCAGCACATATACACACAAACCCTCTTCTTGGTGTCTGCTTCTGAGGATTCTGACCTAAGACATCTGCAAAGCACACCAACTTATACAGACCTTCTGGCCAGCTTCAGTGTCACAGTCCTACATATGAAAAGACAATCAACGATAAGCAGACTGTGCTAAAAACCTCCAGCAGGGAAGGGAGTGATCAACATAAACAAAAAGATGTAAACACTGTAATTCCCCAAGTGGGAGAAGCAGGAGATGTGATAGGAGAGGGAAAAATTAAACTCAGAAAGAGTAAAAGATTCACTGTACAGATATCATAATAAATGACACCTGAATCATCCACTTTCATATGCACATTCTCTCTACTTCATCAAGGGGAGCCACATTCCACATGAGAAGCTGCAGACGGGTTGATAATTGCCTACCCATCACATCACCATGCAGTCCTCTCTAAGCCTGCCCTCTCCACATCACCCCATCGCCTCTGCATCCATCCACTAAAGGTAATTTTGAAAACAGTCTTTGCACTGCCAGTAAGTACCATGTTGTGTTTCACAGGGAGCAGCTTAGACATAATAGCAAACAAAATCCTGAGCCTCTCATCCTCCACTCTTCCCCAAGCAGGTTTCAAATACCTCACATGACTTAAATGTATAATGATATGCACTTTTAACACTGGCTTAAAATTCTGTCTTTAGGACTAGACATCATCTACCATAGCAGTAACAATTTATGTCAAGTCAAAGTATACTTTATAATTTATTTTACATGTGTCATGGATCTCTCTTCCAGGTTATGGAAAATTAATATATTTTGGCAGGCTAAAATACTTAAGCACTCAACAGAAAGCTGACTTAATTGTTCCTTTCCTTAACAAATTTTAATAAGGAGTAGATACTGTTAGTGATTTTGGTCCCAAGCTTTTAATATATTTATTTCTTCCCACCCCTTAACTACATACCCACGTGCACACACTTACACACAATCCTTATTATAGAGTAACATATTGATCATAGACTATGTGGAATACCACAAACAGCCCTGCCATAATTCCAGCATACAGTTTCTGTCCATTTTGAGAAGAAATGTCAATTTACATATGTTATAATAATTCCACTTCCAAGTCTATACTTATTAAGAAGAAAAACAGGAGGTATGTTCAAGGCTTTGCTCTTAGAGAGATGTGCATGATTCCTCAATACATGGTAGGGAAATACAAAGATAAAGTACATTCTATGAGGTCCTCTTTATTTATAGTCAAATGCATGGAGTTCTGGCCCCCATGTTAAATTTTGGGGAAAGCATATCACCAAGGGCTGCTGGCAGCTGAGGCATGAAACACTTCAGCCGGTTCAGAGTTCCCTATAGTGGCAGGATACCCAAGGGAGCAAAGCTAAACATCTGGCCACTTTAGTTATCATCTAACAAGCGCTTTTCATGCTGAAATGTTGGTTTTGTTTGTCTGTTTGCTTTTCCTCTCTGTCCTCCCTGACATTCTTTTCCTTTTATGGTTAATAACAGAGGGGGGAAATACTTTAAGGCAAGAATCTCAAAGCCTTATATTTAATCACAAAATCTTAACTCAATCATTCCCAAAGCTTTACTAGAGAATAGGTGGAATTTCCTTTAAAGATGAAAAAACAGGAAACATACAAAAGCAACAGATTTTTAATCCTGATTTACTCAATAAATATTTCTTGGGCATATAGAATATACATGTGGGGGGCATACTATACATATGCTATTATCTTTCTCAGTGTTAAGGGAGATGAAAAAATGAGTGTGTGGGTGGGTGCATATTTTGAAAGGACAAGAGAGATGGAAAAGATGAGCATGAGCTGCTGGAATCCAGAGTGGTACAAAGCACTGTGAGAGTTTAGATCAGGGGTCAGTAAACTGAGGTCCGTGGGACAAATCCATCCCACTGCCTGTTTGTGTACTGCCTTGGAGCTGAGAATGTTTTTTATGTTTTTAGATGGTTGCAAAAAGTTAAATGAGAAATCAACATTTTGTGAAGCAAAAATGATATGAAATTTGAATTTTAGCATCCATAAACAAACTTTGGTTGAAATACAGTCACACTAATAGGTTTACATATTGTGTACAGTTGCTTTTGCACTACAAGGGCAGAGTGGAGGAGTTGTGGCAGAGACCATATGGCCCACAAAACCTATTTACTACTAGCCCTAAACAGAGAAAGTTTGTCAACTTCTGGTTTAGAGGAAAGAGACACTAGCTATTAGAACTAGGTAGGGAGTCACTTTCGTTCAATGTCATGATGAAGGAAGTGAGACATCTACCTTACTTTTCTGTACCCTTTCATATTTTATTTGACCCCAGCGGCCCTGTGCAGGAAGAGATGGGAAGGGCAGGTTTCATCATTTCCCCTTTTGTAGCTGGAGAAGCTGAGGCTCAGACCAACCTGGAGACTTGTTCACTGTTGATGGCTAATTATGGCAGCACTGTATTCCAGCTCATTCTGAGTCCTTGCCACCCCACAGGGCCAAGAATGGAGAGATGTCGGTGCAACAGTACTATGGTCTGAATGTGGTTCATCCCCACAAAATTCATGTTGACATTTAATCCCCAATGTGGCAGTATTGGGAGGTGCATGGGTCATGGGGGGTGAATCTCTTATGAACAGATGAATGTCCTCCTGCAGTGATGAATGAGTTCTCACTCTTGCAAGGATGGAATAGTTTCCTAGACAGTGGATTGTTAAAAAGAATCTGGCTTCCTTGGTTTTTCTCTCCTTTCCTCTTTCACCATGTTATCTCTTCGCACACACTCGCTGTCTTTCCACTTTCCACTATGAGTGGAAGCAGCATGAGACCCTTACCAGATGCAGCTGCCTGGTCTTAAACTCTCCAGCCACCAGAATTGTGAGCCAAATAAACTTCTTTTCTTTGTAAGTTACCCAGCCTCAGGTACTCTGTTATAGCAACACTGAATGGACTAAGACAAACAGTAACACACACACACACACACACACACACACACACACAGACATCCCAAGTAGGATGAAGGCATCATAAACAAGAGAGTCAAGATGGGGCAGTGGGGATGGGAAGCTACTGCTGGGCCCAGAGGACAGAATAGACTCCAGGACCAGCAACTGTCTGGGCCCATTCCTGTGCCTAGACCTGAGGCAAATCCCCTTTGTCCTGTTTTGTAGCCACTGAGGAACCTCTGAGAACCTCAAAGTCCAATCTGCAATATAAGTTCTCTCCTGATGTGGTTATGAAGAGTAAATTAGGTCATTATGAGAAGTAAATGAGTTAGCTGTGTACAGTACTTAGCGCAATGCCTGACACTTTGTAACTTGTTTTTAGTCACTGGATGGGGAATCTGCTGAGCTTTTAAAAAAGGAATTTATGTGTACTTTGATAGCTAGCCTGCCATAAAGAACACAATCATACCTGAACATAAGATTAGGTTAAGCTTTCATATGACCTAATACTATGGAAACATTTCATCTGTAGAACAAATTCTAGCTCCTTTAGGAGAGAACTCTTCCAGGTACTAGCTCAGGGAAAAATGATTCTTATATTTTCAAGTTATTTGGAAGGGAAGTGGGCGTAGAAACTATTTTCACATCTGGGAAGAAATAATATTAGGTTAAAATTTAGAATTAAGTAATTTAACTAAACATCCAGAACTCTAGAGGCTAAGAGACAGCAGCTAGGAAGAGGGGCAGGAAGAGTGAAGGACAGGAAAGAATCGTGAGGAACCAGCTCAGCAAGGAGGTTGTGGCCCAGTGACTTGACACGGTCCCCACAACCCAAGAAAGCCACAGATCTAAGAACAAATCTATTCTTCTTACTCCACTTTCCCTTTTCCACACTAATGTAATTTCTTCTTTTGGAAACAAAATGTCTACTCAAAAATAAAGTTTCTCTCTGTGATTACTGCATCATTTGTCCATACCACCAAATATCCAAATATGCTAACAATTCAAAAAACGAAAAAACAACTTTTGACATGAAATTATTTCATACTATAAGAAAATAAACACTCTTCTGATAAATGTAATACAATACAGCAGTGTTTTCTAAACTGCATATTAGGGTTCACCAATGCAGAGATTACTTCAGTGGGTTGGCAAACATACAGAACAGAAGAGAATAGGATAGGAAGCATCAGGGTGGATTACACATAATAAAGGACAAGTATTGTTGAGTGAAACTTGTTTCAGTGATGTATGTGTGTGTGTATATGTGTTTACACACATTCATCTATGTTGCTAGCCTATCATCTAAATTGTGTTCTCACCAGGAATCATGGCCAAAAGTGTGTAAAAGCCACTGCAACAGAATGCAACCCACTTTAGTAAAGTCCAGTATAAAAGTCCAAATTCACTGAATAGCCAATGTAGGGGGTAATTATTCTTGTTAAGTGGAATTTCCTTAAATGACTCTAAGCTCGTCCTCTGCTTTTAAAATATGCTACAATTTACAAGAAAAAGGAATTTATACATACTTTGGCAATTATCCTTCTTTAAAATAAAGTGTGCCTGTTAATAAATGCAGAATTGATCTCGAGATACAAAATTTATCAATAGTCAGAAACATAACGATTACATTATTTGGAATGGTGGCCAATTAATTCCATTAGGAAATAAATCATTGCTGTATTTGCTGTATTTTTCATACAAATTGTATGCTAATTAATCCACATGGAACAGAAGAGGAGGCTGAAAAGGAAACTTAGTGTGTAGGGATTGGTTTTGCCACCATACCTTGACAACCTCCTGTGATCACTTTACATATACAAAAAGATGAGATTCTGTCCTCCAAAATGTGTATTTCAGAAAAGAGAAAGTTGCCTTATGTATAAATGCTTACAAAGTCTCCCATATTGTGGGGTATTCTCTTAATTACCTTCTTCTGAATGCCAAAAACCCTGTTACCTCCAAGATAACAGAAATTGAAAGCCATGTAATTCACTAATGCTGGATGTGACGGCAACTGATTTTAAAGAGAGAAACCATGAAAAAACATATTACCTGGTAAGACTGCAGATTTCATGAAAAGGAGTTGTGTGTTTCAGAGGTTACTTAAGAACTATTTGGAGAAGATAGCCGGAAATAAACTCAATCAACACAAGATAGGGATACTTCTGAAGGCTATGCAATTGAAAGAAGATAAATGACTGAATGAATACAGAGTAAAGGAGGCCATGATTTTAACACCAATTGAAGTAAATATTCCTGGGAAGGAGCTTTACAATTGCTTGTCTTGGATGTCTTTACACAAGACATACAGAAGTGCTGGGTTGCAGAGATCATAAATATACTCCTTTAGGAAGAAAGGATAAAACAAACGTTCTTACATTAAGTGAATGAGCACACAGGGTTTGGAATAAAGTTTGTGGTGGTAGCATCATACAGAAACTCAAGAAGTACTATATCTCAAAAAAGTTAGATAGAAATGAACATGACAAAAGTGGCCTAATCATGACAAAGACTCTAAAGTCAAAAAAGTATGTGAAGTATTTGAATAAATGATTTCATAAAATGTGAGAATGGAAGGATGTCATATTTCTAAATTAATAATTTTATATAATGTGACTTCAATTATATGAAAGTAAACTAATAAATTAAACATAAGTAGATACTTCACTCTTTGCCTATATTCCTAGAATATGCATATTCAAGTTGACATAAAGTCTTTTTATAAACGCTCTTGTTGGAAAACTGAGGGCCACCCTATAACAGAGCGTATCTTACACATGAGCATATATAGTACTCTGCACCTCAGATAACTGAGGGTGGCCAATAGTTGGCTTGTGAGTGAACAGAACTGCAGGCAGTTGTCACAATACATTAAAATCCCTAAATTAAAATAACTGCCATCAAACCAATTATTATCTGTTAAAAATTCTTTATGATACCTCTGTGCTGTGTTAAACAGGGGTCCCATGTCCACTTCTGAGTTCAGCTATAGCTGTATCGACAGTCTCCAAATACACTGACAGTTTCCCACTTCCACCTGGCTCTGCCTCTCTGCTTCTCTGCTCAAGAGCTTTCTTTGGTGTCTCTGGAGCTTGCTCAGGCTAATCTTAGCAGCCCTAAAGTACTGAAGATTTAATATCCCTAGGGAAATGGTGGATAAAGACCCCACTTTCTCCACTGCTTGGTGGACAATCCTAATGTGCAGTCTATATAATGCCAGCAGAGCCAAGCCTCAGCTGCCCACCGTGGTAACCTGCTCATTAACTCACCTCTTAATGGGCTTTCTTCCCTCTCCTGTGTCATTTTCTCCATTCTCTCACTTGTGCTTCTTGAGGTTGTCTCTCAGATAAACTATTCTGAACTCAAGTCCTCATCTCAGGGTCTGCATGCATAAACTGCTTTAGCATCCTATGGCAATTCTGTGTCCTGTTTGAAAAACAGCTACCTATCTGCAGAAATCAAGGTAAACGAGCTTTACCCTCATTCTTTACACCTGAGTTACTTAAATCTTTGGAAATTTCTCATCAATTCCTCTCCGTAAGTATTTGATAAACCCTTACTAATGCAGAGAGTCAGTCTGTGTTATAGAGTATACCCAGATGAACAAAACAAAGTTCTAGCCTCAAGGATCTTATACTTGAGAATGGAACATGAAACAAGGAAGAAGAAAAGAGAGCAATATTTAAAGAAGATTCAGGACACAGAAGAGATGTAAGTTCCAAGGAGCAGAACTACTTCCAGCTGACTAGTATTTCATCACTACCCAGACAGAATCACGCTTTGTTTTCTGATGTGATCTCGGCTCACTGCAACCTCTGCCTCCCAGGTTCAAGCAATTCTCCTGCCTCAGCCTCCCAAATAGCTGGGACTACAAGCATGCGCCACCATGCCCGGCTAATTCTTGTATTTTTAGTAGAGACAGCATTTCGCCATGTTGGCCAGGCTGCTCTCGAACTCCTGACCTCAAGTGATCTGCCTGCCTCAGCCTCCCAAAGTGCTGGGATTACAGGCATGATTGTTTTCTAACTTAAATACATTTGATTGAGGATATTCATCTTTATATAAACCCAGTACTGATTCATAGGTCAGCCCAAATACAGTAGATGGTAATACAGCCTTATGGGCAAACAATTGAAAATGAAAGGCAAAGCATTTTATTGTGAATTCCCTAAGTGACTGCTCCAGGTAAACCAAGGAAACCAATAAGGTTTCCCTGCTGTCCCTTGAGGATGCCAAACATGTTCTTATCCAGCCTTTTCATTTTTGATATCCTCTCTGCCTAGAAGACCCTTCCCCCAAATATCTGCAGGGCTCACTACTTCACATCTTTCAGCTCTTTCTGCTTAAGGTCTTCCCTGACCATACTATATAAACTAATGTCACCCCCCACCCACCCACTATCATCAGTCCATTGCTCTCTCTCTTTTATTCTTCGTCATAGCACTTACCACCTGGCATATTATGTAATTACTTATTTATTTATTTTTAATCTCCTTCCACTAAAAGTTCTGTGATATTAAGGACATGCCTCCCCCCACCCCATATTCCTTGCACCTAGAATAGTTTCTGGCCCAGAGAAAGTGTTCAATGAGTGTATGTTGAAGGAATGAATAAATTTCATCATTAAAACCTCAAAATCACCACTCATTACAGTTGAAGTTCCATAAACTCACCTGGAATCATGACATAATCCCATAACTCAAGGATCTAAAGGGTTCACAATCATTTTGTGAAAAATGTGGGGTTTTTAAAAATAAAGCTTCAATGTATATATCAGGTATGAATAAATAGTTTTAATGCTATCATAAACTTGCACAGGCCATAAAAGGCAACTCATTCGATGTCCATTGTGTAAGAATGAAATCCTGAAATTTAAAATTTTAGATACTGTTGCTAGCTTACTTAAAAAAAGTTTATTCATGTATTCATGTGACAAATGTATATTGAATGCATATGATGGGTATGGTATTGGGCGAGGTGCTATATTTGATTTTTCTTTTGAAAACTGACTTTACATGTACGTCACTGTAAAACCATATTCTACCATTACAGATAGAAAAAGCTCATCCTTTAAAAAAACACTTACATTTTTCCCCATTGTTTTACTATAAACTTCTTAAAATTTAGCTCAGATCTCTGAGAGAGAATATTTACAGGAAATACAAGTGGAGTCTTTTATTTGGATAATTTTAAAGGTAAACATTCTCCTCTTTTTACTGCATTTAAGGGAATGAAGAACCACTGTATTTAGTGAGATTAAATGCTCACTATACAAAAATTACTTAAGTAGTTGTCAAACTCCAATTATATAGCGTTAATTGGTTTCACTACAAATTCCTGCTTTTCAAACACATGAGGTCCTCATGGTTGGGTAATGATCTTTTATTCACTCCTAATTGACTCACTGCTCTGTTTCCACAATGCCCACAAGTCTTTGTCATTCTACTCCTGGCTTCAACCTGCCCACCTCTCTTTGACCTCACTTAAAAGACTGTGGCCAAATTCCTTTCTTTCCACCTCAAAATTCCTATGCTTCTGTCTCAAAAGAATCCTTCCTTTGCTTTCATCTAGTATCCTCCCATCTTCTTGAAGACTTAATTCCCTCAATTGAGCCTCTCCCTTACATTTTCAATCTCTTTTTCCCTCAATGGATTGTTCTCCTCAGCTTATAAAGCAGGCTCAAGTCTTCCTATACTAAAAATACCACTTTCCCTCTACTACACCATTGTTGTGATATATCATACTCTCTCTCCTTCTCTTTTATCTCCCAACTTATTGAAAATGAAGTCTGTTTTCACTGCTTTCCATTTCCCTTCCCCCACGCCTCCCTTCAACCCTTGCCCCTGGCTGCCACTTCCACCTACCACAAAGACAATCAAGGAAATCCAAGAGTCAAATCCAATGGCTTTGCCTTGGTTGCACCGTCACCCATGGGGTGTGCTGTGTGAGTGACAGGGGCTCTCCTCACCCCTTCCAGCTTCCATGACACTGTACCACTTCACTTCCATCATTTTTCTCCAATTGCCCCTTGTTTAACGTGGTTCCTGTCCTCTTCTTTCTCTTTCCCCTCCAACATACAGACATCCCTCAAGGATCCTATCCTTACTTTTGCTTCTTCTTTCTTCATTTTCTTTATCAGTGATTCCTGGGATATGAAAATCGCTCCTAAGCAGATGACCTACAAATCTCCTGGTAGCTCTAACCTCCCTCTGTATTCTAGTCCCTTAACTTGGACAAGCCTGTCATGCTCAAAAAGAAACTTCTCTCCTCTTCCTTATCCTCTGTTATATCTTCTTTCTGAAAATGACCCAACTGCTCTCTCAGCTAAGCCTGACAATGATCTTTTGGCCTCCCTTTTCCCTTCCTCACTTTCCAGTGACTGTTCAAGCTCCTCAGATAATTCCCGCACACCACCTCTTAGGTGTGTTCCCTTCTTGCCTCCCACTGCCTCTTTCCATCTTTCCCCTACTTTGACAATAGAGTCTATCTGGTCTCCCTCCTGCCAGCCTTTTCCCATGTCATTCCATCCAACATAATACTACAAAAGTATTGCCCCAAAGCACAGTTCTGATACTGTCAATCTTTCTCCTCACAAATCTTCTATAGTTCCCCAGTCCTTACTGAACAAAATCCACACTCCTTAGCTTGGCGTACAAGTTGCTCCACCACCTTGAACAAACCTCTCTTTCTTGCTTTATCCCTCATTACATCTCTTGGCATTCCTAGCGCTTCAGCCAAAGCACACCATTTTTTTGTTTCCTGTGTAGGCATACACCTTCCACTGCCAGGCCTGTGCTACACTGTTCCTCCCCCAAGCATGCCCTTCCTTCTCTGCCAACCCAAATGCCACCTTAATCACAGCTCAAATGCTATATCCCATGTAACCTTCCCTAATTCTTCCATCAGAAGTCACTTTGTACCCTGTGAACTCCCACAGCTCTGCAGGAATACTGCTTTTTCAGCACTTAATCATTTTTCACTATTTTTACAGTTAGTAACATATTTCCTCTTTTCTCCTTCTAGATCATGATCCACCTCTGGCCAGGATCTAAGACTTAGCATTCTTTGAACCTCCAACCCTTCTCAACATTCCCTGTCCCCTATCCAAAGGTACAGTGGATCTGAGATGCGGGAGGCAATTAACAAATGTTTGCAAATTAATTATTGTAACCCAGAGAGTTAACTTCAGATTTTACGGCTTGAAATTCTCTCAATTTTAGCAACAATTACTTCTTCTTTCTAGGATAAAAGTCCTATCTCCCCAAGGTACTACAGTTAATTCCTTTTGGCCCCAGAGGTCAATTTTCAAATATCTCTTACCCCTAAGTCTTCCGAAACAAACAAACACAATAACAACAAAACAAAACAAAACAACAACAACAAAAAACCTTAAGAGGCTCAATAATGGAAGAGAAAAGCACTGATGCTACTTTAAGTGAAGGAAAGGCATCCATGCACAAAAAATGGCTTGCTGCAGGCCACAGCAAAAGGTACCACCATTTATTAGAGCTGTCTCATTAACCTTATACCAGTCCGATCTTTAGAAAAGCCAGATATTGCATTTTTAAAACTATCAGCCTGGGCAGCATAGCGAGACTCTATCTCTGAAAAAAATAAACAAATATCTGGGTGTGGTGCCATGTGCCTATTGTCCCAGCTACTCAGGAGGCTGAGGCAGGAGGATTGCTTGAGCTAGGAGTTTGAGGCTGCAGTGAGCTATGATCACACTACTGCACTCCAGCCTGGGCGACAGAGGAAGATCCTGTCTCAAAAAGACAAATAAAAATAAAAATGATCACATTTACATTAGAAAAGAACTGATTCCTGAGTCATCGATTTTGCTGCTGTGTAATTCCTCTTTCTCTAAACAGGGTATTTACCTGGTAATTCCTCATATTATTAAACTTTCTTGTGAGACATTTACATCCCTGGTCTTACTTGCAAATATAAAGGATGATGACTTTTTTTTAAACCAAAATCTCTTAGAATGGCTTTTAAATTCCCTAAGTACTTTTCTCAGAAAGACATTTGGCATAACAAATAAGAGAGTAAAGAACTAAGATTCAAAATTCATTTTTATAAATCTATCCTTAAATCTTGGATGACAGCCAACAACCAACCTCACATTAAAATCTTAGAAGGCTTGACTTGAAGAACATGGGGAAATTTACTTTACATAGACAGCTTCAAGAGCACCTTGTCTATATATCATTAAATAAGATACATGGGAAGAAAAAAAAGCATATGTGGATAGCCCTAGTTTTATTATTTTCACAACGATATCATGCAATCTTTGCCCATAAAAGAAAGCAAAACAAAAATTTTAAAAAAGAAAAATAAATCTCTGGTGCCAACATGTTGTATATTTACTTGTGTAGCCATGACTGCTACGGGCTTTTCGAAGAGAACCGGGCAGCCAGTTTGGATTCCGACAATGCAGTAGAATTTAAGGTGTTATGACTAAAACATGTCCTAAGCAGATTAAGCTAGTCATACAACATTTTAATAAAGAAGTGTCGAGATATTAAGTGTAAAGTGCACTCATTCCTATGAATACCGCAGGAGAAACATAGGTGAGGGGGAATCACACTGCCCTGGATACACATGAATATGCCATCTCCCTGCCTACCTCTACCCAACCCTACCTACACACACCTATCTTTACCACGCAGAGACAATTAAACAGCCATAGACTCTGGATGCATTTCTGTGTCCTTGTTCCCACTGGGTGAGTTGTTGCCAGCCTGACATTTTTCCAAATTCCCTACTAGTGGGCTCTATCAGGTAGGAAAGCAGGGACTTTACTGACCTGGGACCCCATCGCTGTGGGTCTCAGGAGATTTCAGTTTCCAAATGATACACGGCACCACCTAGCTATTGTGACAGCTGGGAGAGTGGATGTCACCAGCAGTAGAAATAAAGTATCCTGTTTCCTGAGGAAAACGCCCTGGCTGTGTGATGCTGACCAAGTGGGCACCAAACATTTCTCCGTGTGATATTTTTCTTCTTTTTAAAAGACCGCCCCCCGCCCCACCGCATCTCTCTATACGTATACACCTCCAGAGTTCATTCTAAAAGAACCAACACAAAGACCATCCATCCTCTAGCCATAAGGTTTTCAGTGCTTAAATGTGGAAGGAGAAGGTCTAGCTAGCATTGAAAGTTGTGGGGACAGGAAGAGGAATCTGATCATTCAACATCCTTCTCCTTCTGGTCAGACAAGAGAAAAACAATAGAAACTGCACAGTCAGGGAGTACAAGACCCTTATGGAACAGGTGCTAAGGAGAGAAGTAGTATCACAGGATGGAAGGCCCCTTCAAAACCAGGTACATTAGCAAGCCCAGAATGTGTAACGGTTATCCTATTTCCCTGCCATGTGCCTCAAAGCAACATGCTCACTTCCACATCCCCATGTCATGAGGCCAGAGGAAGGGGAAGCGAGAATCCCTACACTGGGCCATCCACACGCAGGAGCAGAACAGACACTGTGCTCAGAGTTGCAGGGTCAAAATAACAAACACTGTCCCACAGTCTTAGCCGGTGACATCAAGTAAGGGCAGCGGCAGATCTCTGGATTTGGGGCGCAGTTTGGGGAACGTGGATGCAACCACACGCGTACACACACATATACAGGATTTTACAAACCGGCCCCTATCCCACTGCCTCCCTCCACACTTCACACACCAAGTGCATCCTGCCCACCTCACCGTTTCCATCATCACATTCTTTCTCCAGGAGAGTCAGCCGAGAGATGAGGGGGTCCTAGCGGGGATTCCTGGAAATGTCACCCCCCAACACCTCCGTCCGCCACCCCATCCCCTCTGCTGTACCTTTTACACACACACTCTCACACACTCACTCCTGCCATGACTGTCATCAGGCCCGCCTGCTGCGCCCGAAGCCCGGCATCTCAGCGGGCACCGGACCCCAGGCGTCTCGCTCGCAACGCCGCCTTCCCCCGCCTCGCTAGCTGATGGTTCCAGGCACTGCCTCCTGGATGTCGCCTGCTGCCTCCGCTCCTCCGCACTATTGTTCCAGGCAGCCCCTCTCGCGTCCGGGGGCGCCCTTTGGCGAGGACCCGGGCTCCGTCGGGGGCCGCATCAGCGCCGGGCACCCCTTCTCACCCACCCCTCCCTG
The DNA here is from genome assembly GCF_000001405.40 of Homo sapiens. Lineage (NCBI taxonomy): Eukaryota > Metazoa > Chordata > Mammalia > Primates > Hominidae > Homo > Homo sapiens. Next base: position 69,672,143 of record NC_000009.12, read on the forward strand.
GCTGTGGTACCTTGCCTGACAGCTGGGTCCGCGGGCCCGCGGGAGCAGGCGGCGCTAGTGACAGCGCTGGTGCCAAGCCTGGGAATAAAGCTCCGCTCCAGCCGCTGCTGCCTCCAGCGCCACCATCTTCTCCCGCCGCAGCTGCCGCCGCCGCCGCCGCCGCCGGGACCGCAGCCGCCCTCGCCCAGCTCCGGCTCCGCAGCCGCTGCTCGGACCCCTCCGGTCTCGCGGCCCCACCCCCTTTCCCCACCCTCCCTCCCGCCCTCCAGCTAGCTCGCTGGCCCCTCGTGACGCGCGCTGGGGCCGGGCGGGCCTGCGAGGGAGGGCGCGGGGGAGCGCGCGCGCGCACGCCGCCTGCTAGTAGCGCCCCTGCCTCCCTCGCCCACTCGCGTGCGCGCGCGGCCCGCGAGCCCGCGGCGGCGGCGGCGGCACCGCTGATGTCCTCCGTGGGCCGCCGGCTGCAGCGCCCCTGCCCCGGCGCCGGTGGGCGTGCGGCACACCCGCGCCTCTCGCCTTCCCTCGCGTCCGGGTTCCGAAGGGCCCGCCCTGCCTTTCGGAATGGGTTCCACAGCCCCATCCTCTGGCTCCCGGCCGGACGCAAGGAGGGGAAAATGCAGCTGCATCCCCGAGGGGACTGACGGGGGCCTCCACCCTCCTCGGTGGCAACCCAGGTGGTCCCCAGTTTCCTAGCCAGCAGCTGTGGCCAACCTCTGCGCGAAGCAACGGGCCACGCTGCAGGACCACGAAGCCAGGCAGCCGCGTCGACTCCTGCAGGGTGTTCTCTCCGGAGTGACTCCCGAGCTTTCCCGCTTCCCAGGCCCCTTAGATATCGCCTGCGCTTCAAATTCGGAGATTGACGGCGTCTCCGGAATGCGTCGCAGTCCTGCGAGTTCTCCGCCAGGGGGAGAGCCGCGCGGGCTTGGGCCTGAGCGAAGACAGCCGGGCTGCAGCCCTCCAGGGGAACTGCCGAGTCCCGCCGGGGACAGCGGAGAGCCTGCGGATTGTGAAGCCGAGGAAGGCTCGGCTTGGTTTTCCTACCCGCTCCTCAGTTCTGGTTGATCGGAACTTAAGTGTCTTTGAGCCTAGCACAGGCCATCCGCCCTAGATATGGCTCCTAACTCGAGAGGCCACCCTTTGCGGCAGGGACCAGGTGGCAAGTGCTGTGCATTAATGAAAAGCTGTGGGCTAGACAGGCCCCGGGAGGCCTGGGCTCTGGCGCCAGCCCCACCTGTAATTGGCAATGCAATAGCTAAATCATTCCCCCTCTTAGAAACACAGATTTTTCCATAATAATGTTATAATGCACAAAGCCTTGTAGTTTGCAAAGCCCTCTCCGCACATGTATTCTCCAGTAAAATGAAGATAAGCGCTGGTTATCCAGATCCCTTGGGAAATGGATCTTTTACCACACCGTGTTTCCATATTATTTTAAGCACGTCTCTAGAGAAGTCTGGGGGTGTAGCCTAAAGCATTCTGAAAGTCTTGTTTTAGCTTTAAAATTCATATGAATTTTGCATTGTACTTTGTAATTTTTTTTTGCTTTAATAAAACAATAGCTACCTTCTCAAAAAGATTTTAGTAAAATTTAAAATTATATACTAGGAAGATGTCTGCTTGTCCTGTGACATTACTCATATTTTTTCCGGTGAATACTTATTTGGCATATGTACGAGCCAGACATGGTCCTTTTCCACCAGAGCTCACAGTACGCTGAAGGAAATAGGTATTCAACTATCAGACTGGCCAGGCGCGGTGGCTCACGCCTGTAATCCCAGCACTTTGGGAGGCTGAGTCCAGCAGATCACTTTAGGCCAAAAGTTTGAGATCAGCCTGGTCAACATGGCGAAACCCTGTCTCTACTAAAAACACAAAAATTAGCCGGGCGTGTTGGTGCACGCCTGTAATCCTAGCTACTCGGGAAGCTGAGGCACGAGAATGCTTGAACCGGGAGGCGGAGGTTGCAGTGAGCCGAGATCGCGCTACTGCACTCCAGCCTTGGTGTCTCAAAAAACAAACAAACAAATAAAACAATCAGACTAAGTGCAACTGTGATAAATTCTCAACTGCAAAGGCGCTAAGGTGCACGGGAAAACCTAATGTGGACTCTGGGACTAGGTAAGGCTTTCTAAGGAAATGACATTTCAGATCCCCCAGGAGAGGCAGCATTGAGACACTTCCAGGTAAAGGGAAGGAAATGTGAAAAGGCCCAAGCAGGTGGGGCCGAAGTGAGATGAGACTGGAGAGGCAGGCAGACTTTGTGGACCGTTTTTAAATAATGATTTTGTCTTATGAGCCTGGAAAGTCAATGAAGGGTTGCCAAGAGTTGGGAGCAGGCAAGCAGGATCACATTTCCGTTCCTGAAAGATGGCTGAGGTGGTTTGTGAGGAACTGATTCGTGGAGGGTCAGGATCCAGGGCGGAGAGAGTCTGAGCTTATCCTACTTAGTGAGTGTTTAGGGTTTTCTGTTTTTGCACTAACTGCTCTTTTGATTGTTTTTAGTTCTTGCCTCTGCTCTCCTGTGTACGCATCTAGGAGGCTTTCAGAGTGCTTCTCTGTAATAGTTTCTGTTTTGTTACTTTTAATCCACTGCAGTTTTAGGAAGGAAATGAACCCTGTTAGAATTTCAGGTTAAATAAGAGAATATAGGTTCTGAGTGAGAGGCTCTTTTCTGTGCATACACTTATTGCCATTTGGTTTGCTATCTCAGAGATCTTTCTGCTTATTTTCTACTTTTTGTGTTGCCTTTCCAGTTAGACTAGGTTCTTAGATGCATGAATAAGGGTTACATTATTGCTTTAATAATATCCTGGAATCTTACCTCGCAGGATTTTTGTGTAAAGAAAGTTATGTGAAATTTCTCTGCAAAGTATTCAGTGCCATATAAAGAAAGGTAATAATTGTTAGTTATAATGGTAGCTTAGAGACCTCCAAAACTAATTACTTACCAAATGTTCATATGTGGAAATTTCCCTCCCTCCCCCACCCCCATGAAAAACACATATTCCTATTTCTTCTGGATAGCATGAATCATTGTCTTAAGTGCTCTTGTTACTCTGTGCCTTCGCTGGCAGGAAACTCAAAGCCAAATTTTCAGATCATTGTAGGAAATGAGTGGATCCATATGGCATGTAGATCCATGTCTTAATCCCTCCTTTGGTCTTGTTCTATTCTATTTATAGATTTCCTGTGCCTGCTTTATTGATGTTTTTCTTTTTAGTAGATCTCTTATAAGGCACTCCAATCCACCACTCCAATCCACCTTCTCCTGTTAACAGGGTCGAAACTGCTATTCAAGTGTTTCAGGAAGCAGTATATAAAATACTGGCAGCCAGGCATGGTGGCTCATGCCTGTAATCCCAGCACTTTGGGAGGCCAACGTGGGAGGATTGCTGGGGAGTTCAAGACCAGCTTGGGCAACATAGTAAGACCCCCGTCTCTCAAAAAAAAAAAAAAATTAGTGGGCATGGTGGCGAATTCCTGCAGTCCTAGCTACTTGGGAGGCTGAGATGGGAGGATTGCTTTAATCCAGGAGGTTGAGGCTGCAGTAAGCTATAATTGTGCCATAGCATTTCTGCCTGGGTGATAGAGCAAGACCATGTCACTAAAAATAAAACACTGGCAACCTGCCAACCATTGAAGCAGGTAACAATAGTATAGACACTGTGCCAAGTGACTTGGGTTTAAAGTAAAGCCTTAACCACCACTGCATGTGCACCTAAAGTCTCCGTGCATGCCAGTATAAAACCTCATATTATTGGCAAACTTAAGTATGTCTCCCAATGGCTCATAGATAATCTCCTTTAGTTTAATCTCTGAGGTCCCAAACTCCATCAGCCTACACTATACCAATACAGACGGTTCCTGTCTTATGATGGTTCGACTTAGAAGTTTTTGACCTTACTTTTGGGCTTATCAGGGTATTAATTTTTTTTTTTGTCAGTGCCTCACTCTGTTGCCCAGGCTGGAGTACAGTGGTGCAGTCTTGGGTCACTGCAACCTCTGCCTCCCGGGTTCAAGCGATTCTCCTGCCTCAGCCTCCCTAGTAGCTGGGACTATAGGCGCCCACCACCATGCCCGGCTAATTTTTGTATTTTTAGTAGAGACAGGGTTTCACCATTTTGGCCAGGCTGGTCTCAAACTCCTGACTTCAAGTGATCCACCCGCCCTGGCCTCCCAAAGTGCTGGGATTACAGGCGTGAGCCACTGTGCTTGGCCTTAAATGCATTTTTGACTTATGTAACCCCACCATAAGTCAAGGAGTATCTGTATATGTTACCGTCACAAGCACTGTTGGTCACTTGGTAAAAGGACAGAGATTCAAAAACTTTTATTCATTTAGGGTTATTTTTATCAACAAAGACTTGAAGATTCCATGATTCACTACATCCATTCAAACTCTGCAAGAGTGTGACCATATCTTCCAGCTTTTGATATGGTTCTGGATAGCTTAAATTAGACATCCTTCTTCTGACATAAGTTGATACTTTTCCTTGATTTCAAGTTCTTTAGTGATTACCCTCTTTCTGTATCAGTCCTTGAGTTTATGAGCTGAGGTTGTATGTAAGACAAGCATAGAACAACCTTCGGTAATCTGGTTTCTCTTGAGGATTTCAGTTCTGCTAATATTTAATAATCCAGCATAATTCCTAACATATTGTATAGCCTTTTTGGTCACAGGATTTAAAGTGTATGAAAGAAATACACAATTATGACATGTATGTATCATAAACTTCAATAAATTTGCTTGTATATACAGATGCTTATTTCACCAGCTTTTTCTCTGGGCATGAAATCTGTCCAGAGAAATAATGCCCTTCTTTTCTTTTTTATTCTGCAAACAAGGTCAGGCTCCTTCTCTTTTTCTCCCACTGTGCCCTTTAATGAGTCCAACCAGAATTTTGTACTATGTGTTTATCTGATACATTGGAAGACATTCTGGTGCCCCATATGGTAATTCTACCTCTGAAAATGAAGTTTTTGAGTAAATAATGTCATGGGAACATATTGACTTTTAAAAATGGTTGTAATCCCATTCTCTGAACCATACTCCATGGCCAGGGGCTTGGGTTACACTGACTAACTTAAACCAATCAGCTCCCAGTCCTGGAGCTGGGTCAATCCTCCCCAAACCACATGGCTGATTGAGGATAGAGCAAGATCTGGTGACTACAAAAAGGGTGAAATGGAAAGAGGGAAACAAAAACACCACCTTCCCTGTTCACCTCAGGCATATAATAGTGAAAAACTATAAACTTCAATGTAAATGTACCACAATAAGGAAATTGGTATATAGATCAGTATGACTGTACAGTGGAATACTATGCAGCCTTTAAAGATAACCATATGCACAGATTTTTTTTTTTTTTTTTTGAGACAGTGTCTTACTCTGTCACCCAGGCTGGAATGCAGTGGCCCTATCTTGGTTCACTGCAACCTCCGCCTCCCAGGTTCAAGCAATTCTCCTACCTCAGCCTCCTGAGTAGCTGGGATTACAGGCACGTGCCACCATGCCCAGCTCTTTTTTGTATTTTTAGTAGAGACGGGGTTTCACCATTTTGGTCAGGCTGGTCTCGAACTCCTGACCTCGTGATCTGCCTGCCTCATCCTCCCAAAGTGCTGGGATTACAGGCATGAGTCACCGCACCTGGCCAGATTTTTTTTAATAACATGGAAAAAGTTAATTTCACATCTTAACTGAAAAAGCCTAGATAAAAAATTCTGTAGATGGATGGCCATAACTTTAAAAAATGCACAGAAAAGAATACATCAAAATGTGAATGGTAGCTCACTCAAGTAATAGGGTTATTTTCTTCTTTCTATGTTTCGGTAGCTTACGTTTTTTTTTAAACCAACGTACAGATGACCTTAATTTGAAAAACAATAATACTAAGAATGTGGCTGTAAACATTAATACCCCTTACCACCAGATGCCATAAAAATAATTATTGGGTCACTTTGCATTTCTAAAGCATTTTTTCCAAATTTGATTTATCCTTCAAGGCTTATTTTAAACACCGCATGCTTTAAGAAAATGTTTTTAGACTAATTTACTCTCATTGAAATACCTTATCTTCTGAGCATTTGTTTGTAGCACTAGGAGCCTCACAGCCTTTGTGGAATGTCAGGATAGAAATAGATTTTAAAAATGATTAAATTGGTTGCTCATTCCGTTTAACACTTGCTTATATATTTGGTTGTTTCCAAATTTATTTTGACAGTAAAGTAGTTGAATATGATGGTCATCTGGTAGGAACACTATAAAATATTGACATATTTAATTCATCCTACAAACCAGGCACAATTTTACCAGAAGAAATTATGACTATGTGGTTTCTATATAAAATATGCCATTACAAGTATATTTCCTTGAAAATAAGCTGTGAAATTAAGTGCTCAGCAATTTCAGAATTTTTTCTTTTAACATGTGTTTGCTACAGATTTATAACTTTTTGCCATCTTATTAGTAAATCAAGTGGTAGTAAATACCAATGACTGAAGGAAGATGCCTAGAATAAGAATATAAAATTGAGAAAATTCCAATAGATATTTTCCTCTTACCAGTTTGTAGACAAAAATTATATATACATGCATATGTATGTGTATATATATGTTACCATTATTCATTTTTGGCAGGAGTCCCCCTTGGTGCTGTTTCTAGAATGGCACTGACATATGGACACATGATTTAAAATCACTGCTCTATTCCTGTTTTCTGTTAGGTATTTTGTTCCACGTTGTTGGTATCACCTCTCCAAGTTGTTTATGAACCCTGAAAGATCAGTGAGCAAATGTCAACTACATTCTCTTAGTATTTCCTCCACTAAATACGTAGCATATTACGGAGTACCCAGGAAGAACTCATCAAATATTTGTTGGCTGACTGATTATACAGACACTCCTTGGTGGAGTTACAGTTTCTACTCAATGCCTATAGCTTTCCCACCATTGTAAAGTCAAAAAGTCATAAGTTGAACTATGGTATGTTGGGGACTGTCTGTACTTATTAGCTATCTTTCCAGTTATTCCAGTTAGAGTGTTCAGGAAGATTATGTAAATAATTTGCCATTAAAACAATTTCCTTTTCATTTGCTGCTATTTTTTATTAGTGTTCAGTAGTGTCCGAAAAAAGTTATAGATGTGTCCACTGACTCAAAAATAAGGAGCCTGGTAAGACTTTAAGAGTATATAAAATCAGTGTCAGCAATTTTATCAGATCTTTAACCCTTCTGTCAGACAAGGAAATTTTTCCCTCTTTCCTCTCTCTCTCTCAACACACACACACACACAAACACACACACACACACACACACACACTATAAGTGATATCCTGTGAAATTCTATTTCATTAAAGCACTACTTCTTGAGAATTTTTTTCCATATGCTTGCACAATATCAGCATTCGGGATGAACAGTAACAATATAGTGAACAGTCATGACTATATTTAACATTTCCAGTAGGTAATACTATTTTTAAAAGCTACCAAATGATTAGATCTTCATTCCCCAAACTTTACTAATCTAATATGCGCTAGCTACTGTAGCAGGCATTTAAAAGTTCAAGCCAAATATCACAAGCTCTATCCTCAACAACTTGTCAACTTGTCTACTTTAAGAAAAATCAGACAGACCTCTAATCAAATAACTCCAGTGAAGTTTACTGACTGGGATAAAAGACACACAAATGAGAGCCTGACTAAATGGTGTTTTTGTGTTATTTGTTTGCTTTTCTTTTTCTTTTTTTTTTTAATAGATCCCTCATCCTTTATTGTGTATATTTCATCAAAGAGACATTGCAACAGAGTCTGCTGCTTTCACAGATAAAATGCAAAGGCCTTTCAGGCAAAAATATAAGAATAATTCAGTGAAATTTATGAAGTTCTTATGTTTCTAATTTTTTTTATTTTTTAAATTTATTATTATTATACTTTAAGTTTTAAGGTACATGTGCACAATGTGCAGGTTAGTTACATATGTATACATGTGTCATGCTGGTGTGCTGCACCCATTAACTCGTCATTTAGCATTAGGTATATCTCCTAAAGCTATCCCTCCCCCCTCCCCCACCCCACAACAGTCACCAGAGTGTGATGTTCCCCTTCCTGTGTCCATGTGTTCTCATTGTTCAATTCCCACCTATGAGTGAGAATACGCAGTGTTTGGTTTTTTGTCCTTGCAATAGTTTACTGAGAATGATGACTTCCAGTTTCATCCATGTCCCTACAAAGGACATGAACTCATCCTTTTTTATGGCTGCATAGTATTCCATGGTGTATATGTGCCACATTTTCTTAATCCAGTCTATCATTGTTGGACATTTGGGTTGGTTCCAAGTCTTTGCTATTGCGAATAGTGCCGCAATAAACATACGTGTGCATGTGTCTTTATAGCAGCATGATTTATAGTCCTTTGGGTATATACCTAGTAATGGGATGGCTGGGTCAAATGGTATTTCTAGTTCTAGATCCCTGAGGAATCGCCACACTGACTTCTACAAGGGTTGAACTAGTTTACAGTCCCACCAACAGTGTAAAAGTGTTCCTATTTCTCCACATCCTCTCCAGCACCTGTTGTTTCCTGACTTTTTAATGATTGCCATTCTAACTGGTGTGAGATGGTATCTCATTGTGGTTTTGATTTGCATTTCTCTGATGGCCAGTGATGGTGAGCATTTTTTCATGTGTTTTTTGGCTGCATAAATGTCTTCTTTTGAGAAGTGTCTGTTCATGTCCTTCGCCCACTTTTTGATGGAGTTGTTTGTTTTTTTCTTGTAAATTTGTTTGAGTTCATTGTAGATTCTGAATATTAGCCCTTTGTCAGATGAGTAGGTTGTGAAAATTGTTTCCCATTTTGTAGGTTGCCTGTTCACTCTGATGGTAGTTTCTTTTGCTGTGCAGAAGCTCTTTAGTTTAATTAGATCCCATTTGTCAATTTTGGCTTTTGCTGCCATTGCTTTAGGTGTTTTAGACATGAAGTCCTTGCCCATGCCTATGTCCTGAATGGTAATGCCTAGGTTTTCTTCTAGGGTTTTTATGGTTTTAGGTCTAACGTTTAAGTCTTTAATCCATCTTGAATTATTTTTATATAAGGTGTAAGGAAGGGATCCAGTTTCAGCTTTCTACATATGACTAGCCAGTTTTCCCAGCACCGTTTATTAAACAGGGAATCCTTTCCCCATTGCTTGTTTTTGTCAGGTTTGTCAAAGATCAGATAGTTGTAGACATGCGGCGTTATTTCTGAGGGCTCTGTTCTGTTCCATTGATCTATATCTCTGTTTTGGTACCAGTACCATGCTGTTTTGGTGACTGTAGCCTTGTAGTATAGTTTGAAGTCAGGTAGCGTGGTGCCTCCAGCTTTGTTCTTTTGGCTTAGGATTGACTTGGCGATGTGGGCTCTTTTTTGGTTCCATATGAACTTTAAAGTAGTTTTTTCCAATTCTGTGAAGAAAGTCATTGGTAGCTTGATGGGGCTGGCATTGAATCTATAAATTACCTTGGGCAGTATGGCCATTTTCATGATATTGATTCTTCCTACCCATGAGCATAGAATGTTCTTCCATTTGTTTGTATCCTCTTTTATTTCCTTGAGCAGTGGTTTGTAGTTCTCCTTGAAGAGGTCCTTCACATCCCTTGTAAGTTGGATTCCTAGGTATTTTATTCTCTTTGAAGCAACTGTGAATGCGAGTTCACTCATGATTTGGCTCTCTGTTTGTCTGTTATTGGTGCCAGAATCTCTGGGACACATTCAAAGCAGTGTGTAGAGGGAAATTTATAGCACTAAATGCCCACAAGAGAAAGCAGGAAAGATCCAAAATTGACACCCTAACATCACAATTAAAAGAACTAGAAAAGCAAGAGCAAACACATTCAAAAGCTAGCAGAAGGCAAGAAATAACTAAAATCAGAGCAGAACTGAAGGAAATAGAGACACAAAAAGCCCTTCAAAAAATTAATGAATCCAAGAGCTGGTTTTTTGAAAGGATCAACAAAATTGATAGACCTCTAGCGAGACTAATAAAGAAGAAAAGAGAGAAGAATCAAATAGACGCAATAAAAAATGATAAAGGGGATATCACCACCGATCCCACAGAAATACAAACTACCATCAGAGAATACTACAAACACCTCTACGCAAATAAACTAGAAAATCTAGAAGAAATGGATAAATTCCTCGACACATACACCCTTCCAAGACTAAACCAGGAAGAAGTTGACTCTCTGAATAGACCAATAACAGGCTCTGAAATTGTGGCAATAATCAACAGCTTACCAACCAAAAGGAGTCCAGGACCAGATGGACTCACAGCCAAATTCTACCAGAGGTACAAGGAGGAACTGGTACCATTCCTTCTGAAACTATTCCAATCAATAGAAAAAGAGGGAATCCTCCCTAACTCATTTTATGAGGCCAGGATCATCCTGATACCAAAGCTGGGCAGAGACACAACAAAAAAAGAGATTTTTAGACCAATATCCTTGATGAACATTGATGCAAAAATCCTCAATAAAATACTGGCAAACCGAATCCAGCAGCACATCAAAAAGCTTATCCACCATGATCAAGTGGGCTTCATCTCTGGGATGCAAGGCTGATTCAATATATGCAAATCAATAAATGTAATCCAGCATATAAACAGAGCCAAAGACAAAAACCACATGATTATCTCAATAGATGCAGAAAAGGCCTTTGACAAAATTCAAGAACGCTTCATGCTAAAAACTCTCAAGAAATTAGGTATTGATGGGACATATTTCAAAATAATAAGAGCTATCTATGACAAACCCACAGCCAATATCATACTGAATGGGCAAAAACTGGAAGCATTCCCTTTGAAAACTGGCACAAGACAGGGATGCCCTCTCTCACCACTCCTGTTTAACATAGTGTTGGAAGTTCTGGCCAGGGCAATTAGGCAGAAGGAAATAAAGGGTATTCAATTAGGAAAAGAGGAAGTCAAATTGTCCCTGTTTGCAGATGACATGATTGTATATCTAGAAAACCCCATTGTGTCAGCCCAAAATCTCCTTAAGCTGATAAGCAACTTCAGCAAAGTCTCAGGATACAAAATCAATGTACAAAAATTTGTTTGCTTTTCTAAATACATGTGTTTGAGGAAATTACATCAATTCTCAATCTTCTAGAAGTCAAGTCTGTAGTTAAATGAGCAGGTTTTCTTCCTCAAAAGGAATTTTGTTTCCTAATTGTAAAAAATATTATGATCACCTGGATGTGATGGTTTCCATTTAACCAGAAGGCTTGTGAGTTTCTCCCAGGCGAGAAATTGATGTATTTGAAAACACTATGGGCAGACAAATGTGTCTGCTTCCAAAAAAAGAATAGAGATCATCTTCCTAAATGGATGAAACTTCTGAAAGTTCAAAAGAAATGACTTAGTGTCTTTGACATTTTCTATCAAACAGAAAACTGACTTTTGAAAAGGGACATTAGTCAGTATAAACTGTTAAAAAAAATCCACATTTTCTGCTTTTATTTTATTCCTCAGAGAAACTTATCCTTCTTCTGCCTTCTACCTCAAACTCATATCTTTTTATTAAATCTGACTGTGGAGATGCTTCTAAGTTAGGTCAGTTTTGCTATGGATTGAATTTTGAGAGCGCTTTTTAATTTCAACATTCACACAGCCGAGCACTGCTAAATTGAATAGGCTGTGGTTATGGGAACTGCAGGAACTGAGATGGAACCAAGAAATCTGTTACTGGAGAAACCTTTTGAGTGTGGACAGATTTTAAGTCACTCTTAATAAGATATGGTAGGTTAAGGAATAACATGTTGTGGGATTCCGGAAAGCAGCTTTTCACCCTTCCTTGCCGTTTGGGAATTATTTTCGTCCTCACACCACTGCAAACTTAATCAAGAAAACAGAATTTAAATGGGTCTCAGTGAGCTGTGTAGCATACATCTGAAACTCGTGCAACTATAAAATTCTTTTGCCAAGTGGATAGTTAGGGCTGTATTAGTAGCATGCTTCTCAAAGAGCATCAAGTATGCATTTTAATTCTATTTGCATAGAACAAAGAATAATCCCTTAGGCTTCTGTATACTCTGCTAAAAAAAAAAAAAAAGTTGGGGGGGGCGGTGGGGAGGTTGAGAGATTTCAGCTATAGTTTCTCTTGATCAATTTTGAATCTTAAATAGGAAGTGATGTTTTTCCCAAGTCTTCCATGGATCACTAGTTCTGGGGGAAGACAGTAGTTATCATGTGGGAAAAAAAGGTTTCAGGATCAAATACATCTGGAGAACTCTGGAGTAAGCTAAATTGGACAGGTTTTTGTTTTTGTTTTTAAATTGCAGGGCCTCTAGGAGACTTTAATTATAAATTTCTAAGAGGGAACGAGAGATGATGGAATTACCAAACTTACAGTGTTCCTTTCGCAAGAAATTTTTTGAGGGACAGGCAAGGGTGTGTTATGACTTCTGTGGGCCCCTTGCTCCACAAGCAAATATTAAAGATTATATTTTATAAATGGGTTGGTATAAAGATGAATATATTAATAGTCTATAATAAAACATTTTATCTGACCTAAAAGTTCATTTTCTTTTTGCTTCCGATTTTAAAGGAAATTAAAACATTTTCGTGGGCCCCTGCAAGTATTGTGCCTAGGCAATGTACCTACTCTGTCTAATAGGTAAGTCGACCCTGGGTCTAGGTATTACACAGGAGGAATGAGTCACTGCAATAAACCTACAAAATGGAATCTAGAAACACACTATGGCATTTCATCTGAGGTACTGAGATTGTGGCCGCAGGGTCGCTTTTTTTCTTCATGCAATGCTCACTGAAGAAAGAAGTCTAACACACACACACACACACACACACGCACGCACACACACACAGTGGCAAAAAGTAGACTGTGGCAAATCTCCATGTTATTGATTCTATGTGAGCTCTACTCATTCAGTATGTTCCCTTAAGCTAAAATACTACGTCTCTTTTCAGTGTTTTCAATGTAAATCTATATGCGGTTAGATGAACTAGCTGGAAAAGGAGATTCTTAGTTACTCATTTCTACGTATGAATCTAAATATTCATTCATGCTCAGAGCATCTTTGAGAGGAAAAGTTCCACAGCTGAAACTGATGTCACCAATCTTTATTATGGATAAGACTTTCAATTTATGGTTCTATTATTTTGTCACAGTGAACTTACTGGCTAGGGATATTGAGAGATGAACATTATTAATCCTTCTTTGACAAGCAAAGTCTGGGTAAGAAGCTGTGGGTAATGCTCACAGTGGGTTGGACATGATACCAAATTTGACTTTTGGCCATGTTAACCAAATTTCCAAAGACTGATGATTCGTCTTGAAAGATAAATTAGTAAAAGGGAAGTGATATAGTTTGGATATTTGTCCCTGCCCAAATCTTGTGTTGAAATGTAATCTCCAGTGTTGGAGGTGGAGCCTGGTGCGAGGTGTTGGGTCATGGGGGCAGATGCCTCATGGCTTGGTGCTGTCCTTGTGATAGTGAGTTCTCACGAGATCTGGTTGTTGTAAGTGTAGCACCTCCCCTGTCATTCTCTCTCTTGTCTTTACCTTCTGCCATGAGCAAAAGCTTTCTGAGGTTACCCCAGAAGCAGATGCTGGCGCCACGCTTCCTGTACAGCCTGTAGAACTATGAGCCAATTAAACATCTTTTCTTATAAATTACCCGGTCTCAGGTATTTATAACAATGCAAAAACAGCCTAATACATGAAGTTTTGATATAGTCTAGGGATGTTCAACTCAGAACAGTATTATTTGGTTTCTCTACTGAGAGTACATTTACTAAAAAAAAAAAAAAAAAAAAAAAGTTGCCATTTCTTGGCTCAGGAGCAGAGGTAAATAGATTCTAGTGATATACCAGGTATACAGGAGAATTTAGTACATCATAAATGTGGCATTTAAATTAGTGTAGAAGAGATGGATTATTTAATAAGTGGTATTAGGCCTACTGGACTAGCCATTTGTGAAAAAGTTAGCTGAATCTCCATTTCACCCCTTAGCATCAAATAAGTTCCAAATGCTTCAACAGTAAAAATGTAAAATAATGAAATAATAAAAATACTTGAAGAAAACATAATAATGAATATTATTTATAATCTTGAAGCAGAGAAGGCCTTTCTAAGCATGATATGAACCCAGAATTAGAAAAAAAACTGATAAATATAACTACATTCAAATTAAAAAATTTCTATACAAAAATTGAAATAAAAAGAGTCAAAAGAAGAACCCTTATAAAATTGTGCATATAACACATAATTAAAGGCTACATTCCCTCGTCTAAAAAGAGTTTTTACAAACTAACAAAAAAAGATAATCGACTAGAAATACAGACAAGGGACAATGGCCAGTTCCTAGAAGAAAAACAAATCACCAACAGACCTAGGAAAAGATTTAAACAGTTCTAATAATTATAGAACTACAAAAGAAAACCAGGGCAATATATTTCACCTCTTAGATTGGCCCAAACAAGACAAAACAAAATGTGATAATATACTAGATTGCTGATGATGTGAGGACACAGGCATTCTTATTACAGAGTAGTGAGTGTAACAACATTGTAAATGTCTGCTTAGCAATAAGCTTTTTCCCAGAAGTTCCATTTCTAGGAATTTATCATACAGAAATATTTGAGGTATATGTGTTTATTGTAAAATATTCAAACATTTTAGACTTTTTGTATTTTCTCTTTTTTTTGAGACAGAGTCTTGCTCTGTCACCCAGGCTGGAGTGCAGTGGCGCAATCTCGGCTCACTGCAACCTCCACCTCCTGGGTTCAAGTGATTCTCCTGCATCAGCCTCCCAGGTAGCTGGGACTACAGGCGCCCGCCACCATGCCCAGCTAATTTTTTGTATTTTTAGTAGAGACAGGGTTTCACCATGTTAGCCAGGATGGTCTCGATCTCCTGACCTCGTGATCCACCTGCCTCAGCCTCCCGAAGTGCTGGCATTACAGGCGTGAGCCACCGCACCTGGCCAAACATTTTAGACTTTTTGTTATGCAAATGCACAAAGACATATGTGTATATTCAATGTAGTATTGTTGATAATAATGAGGAATTGCTAACCAAAATGATTATCACTCGGCAATTGATTAAATAAATTTTAGTATACCAAAAAAGGAATATTATAAAACATTAAAACAAATGTGAGGAGCCCATGTGTTCATACAAGGGAAATTGTCTACAATATTCTGTTTTTTGTTTGTTTTGGGGTGTTTTTGTTTGTTTTTGAGACGGAGTCTCACTCTGTTGCCCAGGCTGGAATGCAATGGTGTGATCTCGGCTCACTGCAACCTCTGCCTCCCAAACTCAAACGATTCTCTTGCCTCAGCCTTCTGAGTAGCTGGGACTACTCAGGTGTGCACCACCACGTCTGGCTAATTTTTGTGTTTTTAGTAGATGGGGTGTCGCCATGTTGGCCAGACTGGTCTCAAACTCCTGACCTCAGGTGATCCGCCTGCCTAGGCCTTCCAAAGTGGATTACAGGTGTGAGCCACTGCGCTGGGATATCCACAATATACTGTTAACTGAAAACTCAAGTTACAAAACAGTATGTTTAGACTGATCCCATTATTATCTTAAAAATATTAAATATTCATCCAAAAAATTTGGAGTAATATATAGCAAACTGTAATAGTAGCACACTCTCCATCATAAATACCTACAACAGTTGAAACTTTTATAATAAGCATTTATTATTCTTGTACTCAGAAAAAAGTCATTTAAAATTTTTTTAAAGCTTTTAAAAAAATGACCATTCAGAAATTCTAGTAGAATTATATTTTTCCTAAAAGTTTTTTTTCTCTCTCAGGCCCAATTAAGCACTGGATCTCTTGTGGCATTGAAACATACAGCAAGAGAGTTTGTGGCCCATCAGCTTTTTTTCCATATACCTGTCCTCTCTATGGCTGCTAGTGTGAGATGGAATTGAGATCATTACCACCCTTGGCTTAAAAACTCATCTAGAGTACCTTTATTAAAATCAGAAACCTGAACTCTATCATTAGCATGAGATTTCTCTGCTGCTGTAGACTTAGTAGCAATTGTTAATGAGTCACACTATATAATCATAAAAAAGATTAACAATTCTCCTTATAGAAATTTTGGTAAATATAAAATAATTAAAAGAACAAAATTACTCATAGCTCCTTCGCTCAAAGCAACTACTGTTAGCATGTAACATTTTTAACATTTTAAAAATTCATTTTTCGCCATGTCTCCATTTTTACAAATATGTGATCATATTCGGTAAACAATTTTGCATCTTGCTTTCATTATTTAGCACATTTAATCACATTATTTTAGAAATTTCTCTGTAAACATCATCTTAATGGTTATTTAATATTTAATAATTTATCTAATAACCTTCTGAGAAGCTTGACATTTAAGTAGTTTCCAAGTTTTCATTGATAAAAGAAATTATTAGTGAACATCTTTGTGCATAAAGCTTTTTATTTTCCAGGTTTTCCCATTAGGGAAGTTACTAGAAGTGGTACTGCTATTGAAGAATGCAAGACTCTTGATACAAATGGCGAAACTGCTTATTCTAACTTACACTCCCACCAGTAATGAGAAAGGGTGCCTGTTTCATTATACCCATTATTCATTTGATATTATCAGTAAAAACAAAACCAAAATTTGGTAGGTATAAATTGAAGTCTTTTTTAAAATTTGTATTTCTTTGCTACAGGACTGAATATTTTTCTGCCACATCTGTTACCCACCTTTTTTCCTTTGGTCAGTGTGTGTGTGTTTGTGTGTATACTTTCTGTTCATGTCTTTTACCTATTCATCTACTGGGTAAAAGAGTTTTTATAACTTATCGAGTTGCAAGAATTCTTCACATAGCCAAGGTATTCATAAATACACATACTTTAAATTTTGATATAATCCTAAACTTAAAGAGAAAGTTGTAAGTATAATATAAAGAACTACAAAAATCATTTTTGTCTGCAGCATTTTCTGCAAATGTTGCCGCCAGTTATAGTTTTTCTTTCGTTAGGATTTTGTTTAAAATTTAGCCTGAAAATGTGAGTTTATTGGGCTTTTAAAATCACAATTATTTAATCCTTTCTAAGATACATAGTCCTCTCCTCTAGGAAAATTCAATATTAAATTATATTTTTGTCAAAATCTTTTTAAGTAATTTGACTTAGTTTATATATCCTTTTAGTCCATTCAAAAATGAAAGATGAGGCTCTACACTGATTTTTTCCAAAATATTTAGTAATAATTGTTTCCCCAAAGTTTTACTGAATAATCTTTTGTTACTGGTTTTTAATGTCCCATGGATCACATATGAAATTCTCCTAGACAGCGATTATTTTGCAGATGTATCTGCCTACTCCCATGTCTATACTATAGTTCTTGAATTATTATAGCTTTAGACGTAGCTATTCTCCACTAATACAGCCACTTATTTATTTTTCCAAACTTTATAATTATGTTGTAAAGAAAATGTGGCTTTCATTGGCATTGAGTTATACAAATAAGAATTTGCTCTCTCATTGAAGAATGTCATATCTCTTCTTTTGTACCTTTCAGCAGTTTTGTGGTTTTCTTTGTATAGGTCCTTCATGTTTCCTAGGATATTAGGTTATATTGTGGATGGAATC
Organism: Homo sapiens; assembly: GCF_000001405.40. NCBI lineage: Eukaryota > Metazoa > Chordata > Mammalia > Primates > Hominidae > Homo > Homo sapiens. The sequence continues at coordinate 69,689,757 of NC_000009.12, forward strand.
TCTTCCTCTTGCATTTTATTATGTTTGTAACTAATTTTTGCTACTATATTAAGAAGAAACAAAAATGTTATAGAACAAACAAAAATCATTTACCCTTAAAAAATAGAGAGAATGCCTAGCTTTAATTTATGTTACCTCTAGGTGCACTCACTCTTCAAGGTAACACATGTGTAAAATGTACCTGTGGACAACTGAGTAGGTTAACTTGTGTGGGATTATTACTTTACATTTTGTAAGTATTGGGAAAGCCTTCAATAATTATTAACTTTGTTCCAGAATAACTTGTCCAATATACCTTTATTGTAGCAATAATCAGACAGAAGAGTTAGTTCTCTTTAAAGCCACTCTTGGTTTGAGATAACAAAATCATAGTGTCTACACATAAAATAATGCTTGTCTTGCTTTTTCTTTGGTTTTATCTGTTCTATTCAGCTCATCCCCAAATCGTAAATTTGTTTAAAAACAAGCTAAAAAGCAAACCTGTCTTATTCCTGTTGGAAAATTTAGCTGTCTGCCAAGGGCTCATTTCTTCTGAGTCTAACTCTTGTAGCAGTATAGTGTGGGTAGGTTCAGTATGGTAGTACAGTATAGGTGGGTTGCTCAATGAAGCTAGGCTATGTGCATGCAGCTGGCCTAGAACCAGTTCCCATCTGTAGAATCATAAACCAGAGCACAAAAATCAGTGACATAGTCTAACATCCCTCGAGATTTCTCCTCATGGGAGTAAAGAGTATAATGGAGACCTGAGGTGAACTAGTCATGCCTAAAAGCCATCTGCTTCCTAGGAGGTTCATCAAACTGTCCGGGAGAGCTAGATTTAGAGTTTTGAAGGGTGGCCAGTGGAAGAAAAGATAAGAGTTTTATATTTTCCATTATTTGCTAGAGTTAACATCTGTGCCAATTTAAATCTGTACATTCACCAGGAAAAATCTACCAACCGTGATGAATAAGTATATTTTCTCTTTGTTTTTTTTTTGTCCATTAGATGAAACTTTACCAAATGTATTGGCAAATTACATTTTTAGAAATATTAAAAACATTCCAATTGGATTTCAGAATCAAATGTTCACTTGGCCAATTTTATAAGACTTTAAGGTTTTAGAAAATATTTTAATAGTTCTCTTAAATCAATTTTCAAGTTTTCCACAGTCTATACTAAAAATTCAACATTTTCTACTATTTAAGACTATATTATGTGGACAAATTTATGTATTATGATGTTAAGTGAAAACAAGCAAAATCAAGTATGTTGTTTTTATATTTATTTTTATGTAGCAAAATGTGTTAAAAATAATGTTACTGCACAAAAGTGATAGTAATTGTTGTTAAGATTGTGGAACTCAAGTGATTTTTTTTTCTGTTTTTCAAATGTTTAAATGTTATGTTACCTCCATAACTAAATAAATGTGACGTTTACATATTTTATCATTGATTTAATTTAAAAAAAAAGCACTCAGAAAGAAAAATATTTTTATAATCTTTCACTGTACTTATATGTTCAACAGAATTCAAATTAGGGCCACATGATCAAGATAAACAGATCAAGAAGTCACCTTAAAATACTTTCAATTTTATTAATGTTCCCAATTATCACTTGTTCTATTAAGCAAAGATGATATAGTCTTAAATTTAATATAACAATTCCAATGTACTACATAATCACACCTACCTATGTCTGTCAAACACTTATTAAAATAGTAAGCCAAATTATGTTACCCTCTATTAATTAGTCTTTGTATGGTTTGCTTCCCAAGGAAGCTACCACATACTTGATCAGGGGTTACAAACTAGCAGCTGCAGACTGTTTGGAGCTAGGAAGGCAGTTGGATGGTTTGTTACCTCCCACAGTGTTTTTTAATTAATTAATTAGATAAATAAAAATTATATATATTTATCATGTATGGCATATTTTGAAATATTTATACACTATGGTATAGCTAAATCAAGCTGACTAGCATCTGTATTACCTCATGTACTTATCATTTTTGTGTGAAAACACTTAAAATCTACTCTCAGCAATGTTCATGAATACAATACATTGACTATAGTCAGCATGTTGTACAATAGATTTCTTGAACTTAGTACTCCTAGCTAACTGAAATTTTATATCCTTTGACTAACATCTCCCCAACACCTCCCACTCCCCATGCAGCCCCTGATAGCTACCATTCTATCCTCTGTTTCTATGAGTTCGACCTTTTTAGATTTCCATGTATAAAAGAGATCATACAAACTTTGTCTTTGTGTCTGGCTTATTTCACATAACATAAAGTCCTCCAGGTTACTCCATGTTGTGGTAAATAAAGTATTTCCTTCTTTTTAAAAGGCTGAATAGTGTTCCATTCTGTAAATATACAACATTTTATTTAGCCATTCATCCACTGCTGGACATTTAGTTTGCTTCCACATTTTAGTTATTGTAAGTAATTGTAAATAATGCCTCAATGAACACGGGAGTGTAGCTATCCCTCCAACACACTGATTTCATATCCTTTGGATAATTACCCAGAAGTGGGATTGCTGACTCATATGGTAGTTCTAGTTCTAATTTACTGAGAAAGTTCCATACTGTTTTCCATGATGGTTGTACTAATTTACACTCCCCCCAACAATGTGCAAGGATTCCCCTTTCTCCACATCCTCACCAACATTTGTTATCTTTCCTCATTTTGAAAATAGCCTCTCTAACAGGTGTGAGATGATATCTCATTGTAGTTTTAATTTGAATTAACCTGATGATTAGTGATGTTGAGCATTTCTTCATATACCTGCTGTATTTGTCTGTTCTCTCACTGCTTATAAAGGAACACCTGACACTGGGTCATTTAGAAAGAAAAGAGGTTTAATTGGCTCATGATTTTGCAGGCTGTACAGGAAGCATGGCAGGATCTGGTAGGCTTCCGCAGAGGCCTCAGGAAGCTTCCAATAATGGCAGAAGGCAAAGGGAAGCAGGCACATCTTACATGGCCAGAGCAGGAGGAAGAGAGAGGGAGGAAGCGCCACACACTTTTAAACCAGCTCTCCCGGGAACTCACTCACTCACTGTCACAAGAACAGAACGGAGGGAATGATACTAGCCCACTCATGAGAACTCTGCCCTCAAGATCAAATCACCTCTCACTAGACCCCACCTCTTAACACTGGGGATTACAATTTGACATGAAATTTGGTGGGGACACAGACCCAAACCATATCACCTGCTGGCCATTTGTATATCTTCTTCTGAGAAATGTTTATTCAGATCCTTTGCCCGTTTTTAAAAATGGGATTATATGACTTTTTGCTGTTGAGTTGTTTCAGTTCCTTATATTCTGGATATTAGTCCCTTCTCAAACAAATCATTTACAATATTTTCTCCCATTATACAACTTATCACTTCACTCTGTTGAATGTTTTCTTTGCTGTGCAGAAGTTTTTAACATTGTCTAGTTTGTCTACTTTTCATTATTGCCCTTGCTTTTGAAGTCTTAATCATAAAACTTTGCCTAGATTAATGTCCTGAAGTGTTGTCCCTATGTTTTCTTCTAGTAGTTTTATAGTTTTGGGTGTTATGCTTAATTCTTTAATCCACTTTGAGTTGACTTTTGTATATGGTGAGAGATAGGGGTCTAGTTTCATTCCCCATCCAGTTTCCCCAGCACAATTTATCAAAGAGGATGCTCTTTCCTCAATGTGTGTTCTGGGAAGCTTTGTCAAAAATCAGTTGGCTATAAATATGTACATTTATATCTGAGTTCTCTATTCTGCTTCATTGTCCCACATGTCTGTTTTTATACCAATACCATGCTGTTTTAGTTACTATATATATCTTTGTAGTATATTTTGAAGTTGGGTAGTGTGATGCCTCCCGTCAGGTAGTGTGATACCTCAGAATTGCTTTGGCTATTCTGGCTCTTTTTTGGTTACATACAAATATTATAATTTTTTTTCTATTTCTGTGAAGGATGTCACTGGTATTTTGATAGAGATTGCATTGAATCTGTAGATTGCTTTGGTCATTTTAAGAATTTTAATTCTTCTGATCCATGAGCATCGGATATCTTTTCATTTGTTTGTGTCCTCTTCAATTTCTTTAACCCGTGTTTTGTGATTTCCCTTATGTAGATCTGTTACATTTTTGGGTAAATAGATTTTTAGGTATTTTTGTTCTTTGTAGCTAGCTGTTGTAAATTGGAATTGCTTTCTTGATTTCTTTTTCAGATAGTTCATTATTGGTGTGTACAACATTACTGATTTTTGTATCCTGGAACTTTACTGAATTAATTTATCAGTTATAAAAGTTTTTTTGCTGGAGACTTTAGGTTTTTCTATGTATAAGGTCATACTGTCAGCAAAGAGGGATAATTTGACTTCCTATTTTTTAATTAGGATGCCTTTTATTTCTTTCTCTTGCTGAATTTCTCTGGCTAGGACTTCCAATAGTATGTTAAATGAGAGAGGTGAAAGTGTGTATCCTTGACTTGTTTTAGTTCTTAAAGGAAAAGCTTTCATCTTTTCCACATTCAGTTTGATGTCATTTGTGGGCTTGTTGTATATAGTCTTTATTATGTTGAGGTATGTTTCTTCTATGCCTAATTTTTTTAGAGTTTTTAGCATGAAGGGATGTTGGCTTTTATAAAATGCATCTTCAGCATCTATTGAAATGATCATATGGTATTTGTCCTTCATTCTCTTGATGTGATATATCACATATATTGATTTGCATATGTTGAAACATTCTGGCATCCCTGGTATATATCTCACTTGATCATGGTGCATTATCTTTTTGCTATGTTGTTGGATTAGGTTAGCTAGTATTTGGTTGAGGATTTTTGTGTCTCTGTTCATCAGTAATAGTGGCCTATAGTTTTCTTTTTTGCTATGTCCTTGTATGGTTTTGGTATAACAGTAGTGCTGGCTTTGTAGAATGAGTTAGGAAGAATTTCCTGCTATTCAGGATTTTTTATAATGGTTTGAGAAAAATTCATGTTAGTTCTTCTTTATAAGTTTTGTAGAATTAAGCAGTAAAGTCATCCAGTCTTAGGCATTTCTTTCTTGGGAGACTTTTTATTACTGATTAGCCATTGTTACTCATTATTGTTCTGTTCAGGTTCTCTATTTCTTCCTCGTTCAATCTTGGTAGGTTGTATATGTCCAGGAATTTACCCATTTCCTCTGGGTTTCCAAGTTTGGTAGTGTATAGTTGTTTATAATAGTCTCTTATGATCCTTTGTCTTTCTGTAGTATCAGTTGGAATGACTCCTTTCTCATCTCTGATTTTATTGATTTGATTCTTTGCTCTCTTTTTCTTAGTATAGCTAGAGATTTGTTGATTTTTTTAATCTTTTAAAAAACCCAATTCTTTGTTTTGTTGATCTTTTGTATATTTTAACCTCTATTTTGTTTATTTCTGTCTGATCTTTATTTCTTTCCTTCTACTAATTTTGGATTTAGTTTGTCTTTATCTTACTGGTTTCTTGAGGTGCATTGTTAGGTAATTTATTTGAAATCTTTATACTTCTTTGATGCAAGTGTTTATTGCTATAAACTTCCAACTTAGCACTGCTTTTGCTGTATCCCATAGGTTTTGGTATGTTGTGTTTCAATTTTCATTACTTTCAAGAATTTTTTTTTCTTAATTTCTTCATTGACTCAGTGGTCATTTAAGGCATGTTGTTTAACTTTTATGTATTTATAGTTTCCAAAGTTCTTCTTGTTACTGATTTCTAGTTTTATTCTACTATAGCCTGAGAAGGTTCTTGATGTGATTTTGATTAAAAAAAACTTTTTTGAGACTTGTTATTGGCCTAACATATGATCTATTCTGATGAAGTTTACATGTGCTGATGAGGCATACAACATATCTGCCACTCTTGAATATGTTCTGTAAATGTCTGTTAGGTTCATTTGGTCTAAAGTGCAATTTAAGTCCAACTTTTCCTGGTTGATTTTCTATCTAGATTATCTGTCCATTGCTAAAACTAGGATGTTGAAGTCCCCAACCATTATTGTATTGAAGTCTATCTCCCTCTTTAGATACAATATTTGACTTTCATATCTACGTGCTCTAGTGTTGGGTGCATATATATTTAAAATTGTTATATATCCTTGCTTAATTGATCCCTTCACCATTATATAATGACCTTCTTTGTCTCTTTTTACTTTTTTTAATTTAAAGTCTCTTTCATCTACGATAAGTATAGCTACTCCTCTTCACTTTTGGTTTCCATTTGCATGGAATATATTTTTCCATCCCTTCACTTTCAGTCTATATGTGATTCTTTGCTGATGAATGTGAGTTTCTTATAGGCAGCCTATAGTTGGGTCTTTTTTTTTTCCCATCTAGGCAGTCCATATCTTTTAAATGAGGAATTTAATCCATTTACATTCAAGGTTATTATTTGATAGATGTGGACTTACACCTGTCATTTTTTAATTGTTTTCTGGTTGGTTTATATATCCTTCGTTCCTTTCTTTCTTATTATTATTGCTGTTTGGTGGTTTTCGGTAGTTGTAACATGAGTGCTTCCTCTTTCTTGTATATCTGCTCTACCAGTGAGTTTTATACTTTTGTGTGTTTTCATGATGGTAGATTTTGTCTTTTCACTTTTAGATGTAGGACTCCCTTAAACATTTATTCTAGGACCAGTCTAGTGCTGATGAATTCCCTCAGCTTTTGCTTATCTTGGAAAAACTTTATTTCTTCATTTCTGAAGGATAGTTTTAGTGAATATTTCATTCTTGGCTGACAGTTTGTTTCTTCTTTTAGCACTTTGAATATATCATCCTATTCTCTCCTGGCCTGTAAGTTTTTTGTGGAGAAATCCACTGTTAGTGTCATGGGGATTCCTTTATATGTGACGTGACACTTTTCTCTTGCACTTTTCAGAATTCTCTTTTTTTTTTTTTTTTTTTTTTTTGACTTTTGACTCTGACTATACAGTGCCTTGGAGAGGATGTTCTTAAGTTGAATCTATTTAGGGATCTTTGTGTTTCCTGCATCTGGATGTTTATATCGCTTGCAAGACTTGGGAAAGTTTCAATTAATATTTTGTTAATAGGTTTTCTATGCCTTTGCCCATCTCTCATTCTACTAGAACACCCAAAATTCAAATTTTGGTGGCTTCATAGTGACCCATATGTCACAGAGGCCTTATTATTATTAATTTTTTTCTTTTCTGTTTGAGTTATTTCAAAAGATCTGTCTTCTAGTTCTGAAATTCTTTTTCCACTTGATGTAATCTATTGTTGAAGATCTTGATTGTATCGTTTATTTCATTCATTGAATTTTTCAGTTCCAGGATTCCTGTTTAGTTCTTCTTTATGATACGTATCTCTTCATTAGTTTTTTTTGAGATCATGAATTGTTTTCTAATTTCTTTTTATTGTTTACCTGTGCTCTGTTGTGTCTCACTGAGATTCTTTAATAGCATTTTGAATCATTTTGAGGCATTTCATATATTTCTTTTTTTTCAGAATATGTTGCTGGAGAATTATTGCATTGCTTTGGATGTATCATGTTTTCTTGCTTCTTCACGTTTCTTGTATCTTTACATTGATACCTGCACATCTGGTGTAACAGTCACTTCTTTCAACTCTTCTTTCAATAGATTAGCTTTTGTAGGAAAAGACGTTTTCCTGAACATATACCTATAGTGTTAGTGTAGGGTGCTTTGGCTTTGATTCTGGGTGGGCATGGTGTAGTCTCTGTATTATATCTTTAGCTATAAAAAGTGTTAGTCGTGTCTGTGAGTTCCTTAGTAGATTAGGCTGTGGCTATTAAGGGAGGTTTTGCTGGGCACAAGGATTTCAAGTAGTCCAGTCTTCTGGCACTAGTGCTGGTGGTTGTGGACCAAGCATGCCGGTCCTTGGGCCCTGGGTGGCATATGTGAGCACTGGTAATAGTGAGTCTGGGATGGCTGATCCTTGGCCCTCCAGGCAACTTGGCTGGGTGCCAGTAGTGGCAGCAGTGAGGCCACACATCTGAATATCATCATCATGGGAGTTAGGTTTCAACATATGAATTTTGGAGGGACACAAACATTCAGACCATAGTATTCCCATTTCATAAGTTGTCTCTACACTCTGTTGATTGTTTACTTTGCTGTGCAGAAGCTTTTTAGTTTGATAGAATCCAATTTGTCTATTTTCACTTTTGTTGCCTGTCTTTTCATATCAAAAAAATCATTGCCCAGACCAATGTCATGGAGCTTTTATCCCATGTTTTCTTCTAGCAGCTGTACAATTTAAGACTTTCATCCATTTTGAGTTGATTTTTGTGCGACGGGAGGTAAGCGTTTTAACTTCACTCTTCTGCATGTGAATATCTGGTTCACCAACACCATTTATTGAAGAGACGGTCTTTCCCCATTGTATGTTCTTGGCACCTTTATCAAAAATCAATTTACCATACAAGTGTGGATTAATTTCTGGGTTATTTTAAGCTGACAAGAACTTTTAATTTGATCACATCGAAAAACTCAACACTTTTACTCTCCCCTCAACAAAGTTTATGTTTTAGATGTCACAATTTATGTCTCCTTATATTGCATTTCTCTTATCAAATTATTGTAGATATTAATAGTTTTGTCTGTAAACCTTCATACTAAAGGTTTAAGTAAATTAAACACCACCATTACAGTACTAGAGTATACTGATTTTGACAGTGTACTTACTCTGAACCAGTGAGTTTTACACTTTCATAAGTTTTCATTTTACTAATTAGTGTCCTTTTCTTTCAGCTTGAAGAACTGAAAGACATTTCTTATATGACAGGCTGGTGTTACAGCTTTTGTCTGTCTGGAAAAGTATTTATCTCTTCTTCATTTCTGAAGGACAGCTTTGCTGGGTAAATTAATCTTATTTGGCAGGTTTTTTTTCCTTTAGCATTACAAATATATCATTCCACTCTATCCTAGCCTGTAAGGTTTATGCTGAGAAATTACTGTTAGCCATATTGATATGTGATTTACTTATTTCTTATTATTGCTTTCAGGATCCTCTCTTTTGTCATTGATTTTTAACAATTTGATTAATAACATGTCTTGGCATATTCTTGTTTGAATCTGATTGAAGACTGCTATAGTTTTAATATTTATCCCCTCTAAAACTCATGTGGAAATTTAATGTGAAATGTGGCCATACTGAGAGGTGGGATCCTTAAAAGGTGTGTGGGTTATTAGAGTTCTCCCTTCATGGATGGATTAATTCATTCATGGATTAATGAATAAATGAGTTAATGGGTTATCATGGGAGGAAAACTAGTGGCTTTATAAGAAGAGAGACCTGAGCTAGTATGTTAACATACTCAGTCCTCTTGCCATGTGATGCCCTGTACCAACTTCAGACTGTAGAGAGTCCCCATTAGCAAGAAGACTCTCACCAGAAGTGTTCCCTCACCCTTGGACTTCTCAGCCTCCATAATTGTAAGACATACATTTCTTCTTATTATAAATTACCCAGTTTCAGACTGTTATGAACGAAATAAAACAGATTAAATAAACTTTGAACTTTCTATACTTGAATATTTTTATATTTCCCAAGATTTGGAATGTTTTCCGTGTGGAGGGCAGTCTAGAGCCTAGAGCCACAGGAGCCATCTTGGCCTGGAGGCAAGCCTAGAGCCTGAGTCTGTGGGGCTGGCCTGGTGGTGGGGCAGGCCTGGAGATTAAGTCAACCATGCAAGCCTGGAACCTGGGGCTGCAAGATTCAGCCTGGTGCTGGGGTGGGCCTGGGAGCTCAGTCTGTAGGTACTAGCCTGGGGCCTGGGGCTATGGGGGCCTCTCTGGCACTGGGTTTAACTGAAGAAGGCTAGTGTTGGGGTCTGAGGCAAAGTCCAGTGCTCTCTTTTCCCTCCTTCCCTCAAGCAGAGGGTATGTCTCCTTACACTATGCTGCCTGAGGATGGGGGAGGAGTGACAGAGATAATGTGAAACTGTCCTTCTTATCCTCATGAATGCCTCTTACTTCAGTTCTATACCCAAGTGCTGTCATCTTTCACCTGATTCCCTTAGCTCTTCTGGAGGTATTTTTTGTGCTTGGATTGTTGTTCAAACTGATTTTCTGCTGGCAGGATGAGCACTGTAAAGTCCTATTCTGCCTTCTTGCTTATGTCTGGACGTGGAATTCCAGTACTTTAAAAGACAATATAACTAAGTAAAAATACAAATCAGTTACCATACAAATCAGTTACCATGTAGTTTTACATCTAGTCAGCTTTACAAGTTTACTCTAACTTCATGCTCCTGTCATCATGTGAGATTGTGACATTGCTCAAGTCTAAGGCCAATACGGAAGATTTAGTGATGGCAATACCTTGATTTAGACGTTTCCTTCTGGTCCACTACTTCAGTTTTGATACATGTTTATTTACACTCCTTTATGTACTTTGGTACAGACTTAAACAACTCAATAAAATCTGAAAGTGTATTTATTCTCTTTTTATATATTCAACTTGTAATATGGTTCCCCTGTCTAGCCATAATGTTCATTTTTCTCTGTGATATCTAATGTGGATACTTAATGGTCACTGTGAACTTATTTGGGGATATAATCCTATTTGATTTTTCAAGTGACATATCAGCTTTTAATTTGTTAGTGGTAATAAACTCTGTTTGACTGTCTTTGCTTTCATCCTACACTAAAAATTGGGACTGTTTTAAACATTGCTTGAATACATGTTTATTTAAACACACAAAGATCATAGGGATGATAAAATAGAAAAGTAAAGTTTCCCATAATTCCACACCTAGATTATACTTTTAAAAAAGATTTATAGCTATCCTAGTGGATGTGAAGTGGTTATCTCCATGTGGCTTTGATTTGCATTTCCTAATGACTAATGGTGTTGAACAACTTTTCATATGCTTACTGGACATTTTTATATCTTCTGTGGAGAAGTGTCTGTTCAAATCCTTTGCCTATCTTTACATTGGGTCATTTGCTTTTAATCGTTTAGTTGTAAAAGTTATTCATAAATTTTGGAGACTAGTCCCTTATCAGATATATAATTTGCAAATATTTTCTTCTGTGGGGTCGCTTTCCACTTTCTAGATAGTGTCCCTTTAGGTATGAAATATTTTAATATTGAACAAATCGAATTATTGATTTTTTCTCTTGTACTTGTGCTTTTGGTGTCATAACTAGAAAACTTTTGCCTAAAATAAAGGCCATAAAGATTTACACCTGTTTTCTTCTGAGTTTTATGGTTTTAACACTTACATTGAGGTTTTTATCCTTTTTGAATTACTTTTCATATTTAATGTGAAGTAAGGATCCATATTAACTCTTTTGCATTTAGATATCCAGTGTTCCAGAATCATTTGTTGAAAAGACTATTTTTTTTTCTCATTGAATGATGAGGAATGATGAAGAATTTTTACCCTGGTGAAAAATCAGTTAATCATAGATGTGTGGGTTTATTTCTGGACACTAAATTCTGTTCCATTGATCTATATGTTCATCCTTATTCCAGTACCAGACTGCCTTAATAAAGCTTTATTGTAGGTTTTGAAATTGGGAAGTGTGAGTCCTCCTACTTTGCTATTTTTTATTAGGATTGTTTTGGCTATTCTTGGTCCTATTCAATTATATATAAATTTTATGATCAACTTGTCAACTTCTAAAAAGAAGTCAGCTGAAATTCTGATAAAAATTGTGCTGAATCTGTAGATCTGTTTGGGGAGAACTGCCATCGTAACGATGTTAGGTCTCCTGATCCATGAACATAGAATGGTTTTCCATCTTAAATTTCTTTCAGCACTGCTTTGTAGTTTTATAATTATCTTGTTAAATTTTTATTCTTTTTGATGCTATTATACTTTTATTTTATTTTTTGTTTGTTTGTTTTTTAGAGATGGGGTCTTGCTCTGTCACCTAGACTGGAGTGCAGTGGTCTGGTCATATCTCACTGTTGCCTTGAACTTCTGGGCTCAAGCAATCCTCTCATCTCAGCCTCTTAAGTAGCTAGAACTACATGCCCAGCTAATTAAAAAAATAATTTGTTCATAGAGATGAGGTCTCACTATGTTGCCCAGACTGGTCTTGAACTCCTGGCTGCAAGCATTCCTCCACCTTGGCCTCCCAGAGTGCTGGGATTATAGGCATGTGCCACTGCAACCAGGCTAATTTTACTTTCTGATTGTTTATTGCAAGTGTATATAAAAATACAATTGATTTGTATCCTGCAACCTTGCTGAAATTGTTTAGTTCTAACAACTTTTTAGTGCGTTCTTTAGAATTTTCTGTGTAGAAGATCATGACATCTAAGAATAGACATAGTTTTAGTTTTTTCTTTCCCATTTGAATGCATTTTATTTCTTTTTCTTGCCTTATGGCTCTGGCTAGAAACTCTAGTACAATGTTGAATAGAAGTGGCAAGAGCAGATATCATGTTTTGTTCCTAATCTAAGAGGGACAGACTTCAGTTCTTTCACTATTATATTAGCTGTGGGGTCTTATTATTATTATTATTATTATTATTATTTCTGAGATGAAGTCTCACTCTGTTGCCCAGGCTGGAGTGCTGTGGTGCAATCTAGGCTCACTGCAACCTCCACCTCCTGGGTTCAAACAATTATCCTGTCTCAGCCTCCTGAGTAGCTAGGATTACAGGCACGCTCCACCATGATGAGTAATTTTTGTATTTTTGTAGTAGAGATGGGGTTTCACCATGTTGGTCAGGCTGGTCTTGAACTCCTGACCTCAGGTGATCCGCCCACCTCGGCCTCCCAAAGTGCTGGGATTACAGGTGTGAGCCACCATGCTCAGCTGCTGTAGGCTGTTATAGACACTGTTTATCAGCTTGAGGAAGTTGCCTTCTATTCCTAGTTTGTTAACTTTCTTTTAATCAAGAAAGGGTTTCGGATTTTGTCAAGTGCTTTTTCTGTAGCTATAGAGATGATAATCGGATTCCTCCCCACTTCATTATATTTATGTGGGCTACTGTATTGATAGACTTTTTTATGTTAAATCAACTTTGCATTCCTAGGATAAACCCATATATCATAGCATATAGTCTTTTTTTTATGCACTGCTGAATTCAGTTTGCTTGTATCTTATTGAGGATTTTTGTTCTGTATTCATAAGGGATATTGGTCTGATTTTTTTTTTCTGAGATATATTGGTCTGGTTTTGATACCAGAATAATTAATTCTGGCCTCTTAGAATGAGTTCCCTCTTCTATTTTTGGAATGTTTTGTGAAGAATTGGTGTTAATTCTTCTTTAAACATTTGGTAGAATTCACCAGTAAATTTATCAGGTGATTGATTTTTCTTTGTGAGAAATATTTCGATGATAAACTCAATCTTATTTATTATAGGTCTATTTAGATTTTCTGTTTCTTCTTGAGTCAGTTTTAGCAGTTTGTGTTTGTTTTTAGGAATTTGTCCATTTCATGTGTCATCTAATTTGTTTACAATATTCTGTATAATGCTTCTAATTTCTGTAAAGTTGGTAGTAACGTCTCCTTTTTCATTCCTGAGATTAGTAATTTGAGTCTTTTTTCTTGGTCTTGTTAAAAGAGTTTTCAATTTTGTTGAAATTTTCAAAGAAACAACTTTTGGTTTCATTAATTTTCCACTATTGTTTTTCTATTCTCTATTTTATCTCCACTGTCATCTTTATAATTTTCTTCTTCCTGCTTGCTTTGGGTTTAATTTACTCTTTTTTTCTGGTTTAGTAGTGTGGAAGTTTAGGCTATTGACTTGAGGTCTTCCTTCTTTTTAAATGTAGGTATTTACACTAAAAATTTCCCCCTGGGCACTGCTTTTGCTACATCCCATAAAGTTTGGTTTTGGTATGTTTTATTTTCATTCACCTCAAAGTATTTTTTATTTTGCCTTGTGATTTTGTCTTTGATCCATTGGTTATTTATGAGTGTGTTGTTTTATTTCCACATATTTATTTCCTCAAATTTCTTCCTGGCATGTTTTCTAATTAATTTGATGTGGTCAGAAAACAGTATTTATATTATCAGAGTGCTTTTACATTCATCAAGATTTATTTTATGGCTTAACATATGGTCTATAATGGAAAATGTTTCATATTTCCTTAAGAATGTATATTCTGCTGTCTTTGAGTGAAGTGTTCTATAGATGTTTTTAGGTCTAGTTGGTTTAGTGTGTTGCTAAAGACTTCTATTTCCTTCCTGATCTTGTCTCATTGTTCTATTATTGAATGTTGAGTACTGTTGACTTGTGTATTTCTCTTCAATTCTATTGGTTTTGCTTCATGTATTTGGGGCTGTTAGGTGCATATGTTTATAACTGCCGTCTTCTTAATGCATTGATCCTTTATCATCAGAAAATATCTGCCTTTGTCTCTAGAAAAAAATTGTTGTCTTGAAATCTATTTTGTCTGGTATTAGTGTAGCCACGCAGCTAGCTCTTTTGGTTAGGGTTTGCATGATATATCGTCTTCCATCGTTTTACTTTCAACCTATATGTATCTGTGAATCTAAAGTATGTAACTTGAAAACAGCATATAGTTGGACCAGTTTTTTAATCCATTCTTCCAATATCTGCCTTTTACTTAGTTTAATCCATTTATTTTATTGTAATCACTGATAAGATAGGCTTTATGTCTGTTATTGCTTTCTATATGTCTTTTTTGTTCCTCAATTATTTCATAACTGCCTTCTTTTTGTTAGATATTTTCTAGTGTACAATTTTAATTCCTTTGTCATTTCTTCTTTTATAATATATTTTTGAGTTATTTTCTTAGGGAAAACTATTAGCATCTTAATGTATAACAATCTGGTCTGGATTAATACCAGCTTAGTTTTCATACTAGATACAAACTTTGCTCCCTTATAGTTTTGTTACCCACCCCAGTTATGGTGTTTTTGTCACAACCTACATTTTTATATAGCGTGTGCCTATTAACATAGATTTATATTTATTGCTACATGCAGTTGTCTTTTGAATTAGATAGGGAATGAAAGGAGTTACAAATAAAAAATACATCACACTGTTCCACATGGATTTGACTAACTGTCTAGTGCCCTTTCAGTCTGAAGCATTATCTTTAGTATTTCTTTTTAGGGAAGGTCTGCTAGTGAAAAACTCTGTTTTAGTTGATCTTGGAATTTACTAATTTCTCTTTCATTTTTGAAGGACAATTTTGCCAGATATAGAATTCCTGGTTGAGTTTTACTTTTCAGCAGTTAGAACATGTCTATTGCTGCCCTCTGGTTTCCATAGTTTCTACTGAGAAATCAGATATTAATCTTACCAAGGATCCCATACACATGACAAGTAACTTGTTTTCAAAATTTTCTTTTTCTTTGGTTTTGACAATTTGAGTATGTGTCTGTGTGGGTCCCCTTGAATATATCTTACTCAGAGTTCAGAGTTTCTGGAATTTGTACATTGACGTTTTTCATCAAATTTAGGATGTTTAAAGCAATTATATATTCAAGTTTTCTTTTTAACACTTTCACTATTTTCTCCTACTGTGAATCCCATAATGTGCATGCTGATTGGCTTGATGGTGTGCCACAGATCCCTAAAGCTATTTACTTTTCTTTGCTGTTTTTTCTTCTGCTCCTCAGTCTGTTTATTGCCAACTAACCTGTCATCAAGTTTGCTGATTCTTCTCCCTAGCCAAATCTGCTATTGAGCCCCTTTAGTGCATTTAGTATACCTTTTCACAGAATCTTTCTTTCCTTTTAAAATATCTCTCTTGATATTCTCTATTATATATTACATATATGAGTCATAGTTTTTGTATTTTCTTTTAGTTCTTTGAATATAGTTACTTTACTTCTTTGAACATATTTAAAATAGCTGATTTAAATTCCTTATCTTCTAAGTCTAATGTCTGGTCATCCATAGAGGCCATTTCTATTGTTTGCTTTTATTCCTGGGTATAGGCCATACTTTGTCTCTTTCCATGTCTTGCAATATTTTGTTGAAAATTGAACATTTTGAATAATATAATGTGCCAATTCTGGAAATCAGATTCTCCACCATTCCCAGGTTTATTGCTACTGTTGTTTGGTGACTTTCCTGAACTAACTTCATAAAAGTCCATATTTTTTTTTGTCACAGGTGGCCACTGAGGTCTCTTCTCAGTAGCATGGTGGTCAGTTAGTAATTGGGACAGATATTTCCTTAAAGCAACAAATCTCCCATTTATTATTGAGGAGCTCATTGTGCATGCTGGGGCAAGACTTCCACATTCATTTAGGTAGTTTTCAGCTCTGCCTTAGCCTTAAGTTTCTGTTCGCGAATAGCCTTAAAGTAAATAAGGAGTTAGAGTTACAGCCTTCTCAGGTATTTCCTGAGCATGCACACAGCCCTACACATGTGTGGCATACCCTTCTAGATTTGAATTTCTTTTTAATCATGTCCTTATTAGTGCTTTTGGTGTCTTGTCCAATTAAATCTTGCCTACCTCAAGGTCATAAAGATATTTTGTTTTCTAGTGGTTTTATGGATTCTTAGTTTTATGTTTCATTCTATGATTCATTTTGAATTAATTTTTGTGTATTATGTAAAAGTTGGGCCTCTTTTTCATATGGAAAACCTGTTGTTTCAGTATTGTTTATCTTTTTATTTTATTTTAAGACAGAGTCTTGCTCTGTCACCCAGGCTGGAGTGCAGTGGTGCAATCTCATCTCACAGCAAGCTCCGCCTCCTGGGTTCATACCATTCTCCTGCCTCAGCCTCCCGAGTAGCTGGGACTACAGGCCTACACCAGCACACCCGGCTAATTTTTTTATTTTTTGTAGAGACAGGATATCTTGCTATGTGCCCCAGGATAGTCTCAAACTCCTGGCCTCAAGCAATCCTCCAAACTTGGCCTCCCAGTGATGGGATTATAGGTGTGAGTCACTTCACCTGGCTGGAAGAATGTTTTATGTGTTATCTAGTTATGAATATGGCACCCTAATTTTTCCAGTGTTTTTCTTCTTTGTGAATATAACTGGAAAAAGACATAGTATGTTATATATACACATATATACATGTGTATATGTGTGTATATACTCATATATATGAGTATACATATGTATGTGTGCAGAACATGTACCCAAGGCAAAGCCAAGAAACAGAACCCTGTCAGCGTCCCACAAGTTCTTCATCTTTTTCCTGTCCCTGGCATGGTTCCACTCCCCAACTAGATGCAACCACTATCCTGATCTTTGCAATAATTTTTTCTTTAATGATTATTTTTAAACTTTACATGAATGGACTCATATTGTGTATGTGTACTTTATTCTCATTCACCAAAAATTTTTTTCTGTTTATAATTCTAGATTACCACTGTCTTCTGACTCAATGTTGCTGTCAAGAAGTAAGTTATCAGTTTAATCTTTTGTCTTTAGCTCTTTTTGATTTCTTTTTTCTACTGGCATTCTACAGTTTTGGTATGATGTTTTTTAGTTTATCTGCTTTGAATAAAATTTTAATATATTTTCCAACATTTTTAGTTGTGCTCAGTAAGAAGGTTGGTCCTGCTATGATTAGAAATGGGATTTAAATAAAAAAAAAAAGTTAGAATCTTATTTACATACTGCTTTGTAACCTACTTTTAAAAACTAAACTTATTATGAGGCTTTTTCCTTGTAATTATAAGTTCTATTTTTATGAGTGCATAGTATACCTCTACAGGAAAACACTAATTTACTCAATCTATTGTTGCACATTGTAGTTCTTGGTGATTTTCTAGTATAATAAATGCTACACAAGATGATTTTTTTTATTCACATGGAATAACTGAAATTAAGACATATCAATGCCACCAACTAGATGTATCCTCATTTAGTTATAAACAAGAGATAATGTGATTATTTTTGCTCCAAGGGATGTCAGTAGATGGTATGGCTACACAACTTACTTGAAAATAAAACAAATGGGGGTGACTGGTGTTGCACCTGTCCCATTGAGTCACTACCTTTCAGTATTTTTCTCAACAATATATCTAGTGAGGTCACTAGCAATTTTAAAAAATATGAGAATATAAAATATGATAGAGGGTCAATTCAGCCTAGTTAGCTTCCCTACACAGACCTTTCGCTGATCATGCTGCTGTAGTTATTGTGAGAGGTATATGAGAAATCTGATACAAGAGACATTTGTATTATCATCAGACTTTTCCAATACTAAAAGAGTAAATTCAGAAATACCATTCTGTCTGTTGCTCATATCATTAAGAAGAGGTAAAGCACTCAGAATCCTGACAGCCAGGATTACTCTAAGAATCTCTTTGTGAAATAAAAAACAAGATGTAAATTATTGCTTCCTTTTTTTAAAGCTAAGGTGGGGAGGCAAGCAACCCTTCAAATTCTACTTCTGTGACACTGGACACATATAATGATACTATTGTGTTTCTCTTAAAGAAAGGGCACACTGTAACTTAAAGTTGATGCCCAACAGGGTCATTTTGGAGTAAGTTTCTAGCAGACAAAAGCTATGCTATTTAAACATCTCATAAAAAATACCTTTTCTTTTTTTAAGTAATAGAGTACCAAAAGCAAAACTTTGAGCTTCCAACATGAGGAAAATTGTGCTATCTGCTAAATGTAGACCAATGACAAAAGGGTTATCATATTTAATAAATATAATTGGCTAGTGTATCATCTTGGATCTGTTATTGTTGATCTATAAATAATAAATATAATTGGCGAATGTATCATCTTGGATCTGTTATTGTTGATCTTTCATTTCAAAAAGCATGTTACTGAGCAAATCAATTTCCCAGGGAAGCACTTTACTAAGACCAATTTTTGTCACACTTCTTAGAAAATTTGCTTATTAATTCAAATTAAGCTAGTTTTCTTTCCTAGCGTATCAGTGCAAAAACACTACTGCTTTTTTTATTTTTTATGGTTTTTTTTTTTTTTGGAGAAGGAGTCTCATTCTTTCACCCAGGCTGGAGTGCAGTGGAATGATCTTGGTTCACTGCAACCTCGGCATCCTGGTTTCAAGTCATTCTCCCGCCTCAGCCTCCCAAGTAGCTGGGATTACAGGTATGTGCCACCATGCCTGGCTAATGTTTGTATTTTTAGTAGAGATGGGGTTTCGCCATGTTGGCCAGGCTGGTCTTGAACTCCTAACCTCAGGTGATCCGTCTGCCTGGGCCTCTCACAGTGCTGGGATTACAGGTGTGGGCCACTGCACCTAGTCAGTACTGCAATTTTAAACAATTGTACTTTGCCATCATGCAAAATAAATTTGATATCCTGTTTCCTACCCAAAATATACATAATAGTAGTGCATTATATAAAATGTAATCCTAAATAGTCAAGGGATAAAGTAAGATAGGTCTTTCCCATAACACACTTCTGAAATATTTAAAATTTGAGTTAAAAAAAGTATCCACTTTATCAAACACTTTTTGGAGTCTATCTATGTATTATATTGTGTAAGTAAGACCACTATATCTGGCTTATAACATACAGAAGTGAGACTCAGGATTGAGAAAACATAGGATGTAACACTAAAATAACCGAGTAATTATATGTGCTCTACAGCTTCATTTGAAATGGATGGGAAAAAGCGTATCTAGTCATAATAACTTTTATAAGGCAATTAGTCACTGTTAATACAATTTAAAAACAACTGTGGCGATATCTCTAATTTGTTTTTGACATTTCTTTTATGTTCTAGACATAGTGGCATTTTTATTCTTTCTACAAATGTAGGTCATAAAATTATTGGTTTCATTTAGACAACAGTTCACACCTCCACCCCCCTACCACCATCAAAGCAAATAAAATGGAAAGCTTGGTAGACTAGACTCAAGTTTAAAGCACCAAAAGTAAAAACAAAATCACACTTAACACTCATTTTAGGAGATAAAAGGTTTACTTAGAAATTGCAAACATTTAGCAAAGGTAAGACAAATACTATTTTCCATATTCTACAGAAATACAATACTTTATAGCTGGCTTGGTACATGGTCACATAAGAACAAATCTAATGGAAAAAGAATATTTCATTCTACTTTTCTGCCACTTATCACAGTGTAATAAGTGCCAGTAAGTCCTGGAAGACAGTTGCAGAGGAAGATTAGAATCCCAGGGCTGTTTGTTAATATACATGATTATATTGTAAGAATAATATAAAAACAAAATAGGTAAGATATACAATTAACATGCAATTTAAGCTATATTATTTTGAAGAAACAGGACAGAATTTAGTGAACGCAACTTAAAAATTTGTTAATGTAGTATAATCAGCATATCATGGTATTTTACATGGTATGGAATTATTCCTCCTTAATAATGCTTGGCAAATTGGAACAGGCTGATCCTACTTCTAGAACATATTAAAATGAAGATGAAGGAAAACAAGTGGATAATTCTATTAGATGCTTTTCTAAATATTCTGAATTTTTAAAGTACCATAATTACAGGCCTACCTCACCATCTCCAAAGTTAAAGTCATATTTTATACTCTATGAATCTGTACTGTCCAGTATAGTAGCCCTTAGCCATATGTGACTACTGAGCACTTAAAATGTGGCCAGTCAGAATTGAGATGTGCTGTGAGTGCAAAATACACTCAAATCTAAGACTTAGTATGGAAGAAAAAGAAGATAAGGTGTTTCATTAATAATCTTTTATATTGATTACATGTTGAAATGATATTTTTAATATACTGGGTTACATAAACTGTTATTAAAATTAATTTTGCTTGTTTCTTTTTTAATATGGCTACTAGAAAATTAAAAATTATGTTGTGGTTCACATTATATTTCTGTTGAACAATGTGGACATAGATAATCTACAGTCATTACATTAGCCTTAGAATTTAGCATCATACTTTTAAGCACTCTGGGGTACTAACTTGAACTCCCAGAAACCCATAAGCACACTCTGCATATAAATTATTGCAAAATTCATTCTTATCTCTCTGAAAGATATGCATTTTAAGGGTAAAAAGAATTCACAAAATATTGAATCCTTAACAAATGTCAATTAGTATATGGAGAGAGCTAAAGGACTTCAATGTAGACTGTTACATTGGGGAAAAACAGATCAAGAAACATAGCAGTACAACAGAGGGAAGACCATTAGTCTCTTCAGTAAAATAGTTAGCCAAACTTATCTTTAATGGCCAATGCCTGACCCTGCACCATAGATTATATATGTAACTTTTCCATTTAAACATAAACTATAAGAAAATCTTAAAACAATATTGACGGCAGCTTACTTATATCTTCAAGCAATGTAAAATTAACAGGCATGGTTAATTTTAATGGCAGAATATAGTAGCTGAGAACTTCTTTTAAATGAAAGCTCCTCCATGTTAAATTATGCAATTGACTAGTGTCCACAAAATTCGAGTCAAAAAAAAATTAGACGCTATTAAAATCATAACTGGCCTTTTTTTTTCTCCCTCTCCTTTTTTAATCTTTTGTAGTGTATAAATATTTGGCATACTTATAATACCTCATCTTTTATTTTTTCCAACTCAAAAACAGTAAGTTAATCTAAGAATGCATTCCATTATTTTCCTAAAAACAACATATGCCAAAGTACAATACTGACAGTGGTCACCTCAGTCAGCAGCCAGCATCGAAGTCATGCATCAAGAACCTCGCCAGGAGGCAATGCCTAATTACATTTGTACTATACACTCTGTTCCTCACAGTTCAGGTAGGAATGTTTATTTGTGTTTTATAAAACTGTTTAATCTTTTTACATTAGGTAAACTCTGTCAAAAATGCTTTGAAAACCACAAATTAACAGATGCTGAGACTACTGTATCATTCACAAAAAGTTCTTCCTCATGCCAAAGATGTTCTGAGAAAACAAGCAGAAGTTTATTGTAACTTCACATTTTACCATTACCACTCTTAAGACGCTAGAAACAAGTAAGATTTAAGGAAAAATAAAAAGAACCTAAACCCGATAGTACTGGATATACCAATACAGAGACTGATTGCAGAAGACTACAGCAGTTCTCTCTAGAGTTCAGCCAGCTGCTTATTAAGACATTTAATTACATTTATTAATATGCCTTGCACAAGAAAATACTACTTAATCTTTCACATCTCCTATCTTTCAACTATGTTCTGTATAAATAATACTTCTATTACGTTACTAACTCCAGCTTAAATAAGCCTCATAAATCATGTCAAATGATATAATTTCAAAATTCCACACATATATTACTCTACAAATATACTCCTTGGTGAAAAGATGTCAACAGTCTCCTTTCTGAAAGCTGTTAGTTTGATGTTAGATCAATCACTGACTAAGCATTTATTGAGCATCTACTATAACTGTACCCAGTCTTTAACTAATAAGAAAAAAATACCTGCTCCAAATGCAAGATGATATTTGTAAGGGAGGATAATTTATCAACTTTTTCTAATAGAATGCTCCTTGAATCAATATCTGCCATATGAAATTATATGACAAGTAAACCTCAAATTTATTACCTATCACCTTATAATGATAAATAAGCAATCTAAAGTATGCTGCATAGTACCTTGAGGAAAGTGACTGCTATACTTAAAATTAAGGCTGATTCCTAAAAGGTATGGAAGAAAAGCCAGAATGTTATTGTTTGTAAACCACTAAAGACTTAATATGAACAGTTTACATAACTATCTGGTTAATTTGGGCAAATGAGCACTTGTGTTTGGTTTCTAACTTTGCTGGAAGGTGTTGGTCTAATAAAGAAAACTGCTTTAAGTAGGAGCACTTTTAGCATACACAAAAATAAAAATCCTTTGTAAATTTCACTTGCAATGTTGTGCAACTGTATATCTTTGCCTTATGCATTTGAAACTGATTATGTATTTTATGCAAAATGGTATATTTTTCCCAAAGCTAAGAATATGGACAATGATGATATGATAGCTAAGCTAGTTTTATCTTTCTAGCTTTTATCAACTCTTGACTTGTTGAATTCCTACAATGTGCAAGGCAGTATGCAATGTGTTGAACATATATGAGGTCTACACATAAAACAAAGGGAAACTGAAGTCTTTGGAAGCAAAATAGTTGTCAATTTGAAAACCAACGGTAATCATTTTCCTCAACAGTATTTCTAAAAGTTGAGAATGATGTCAACTAAAACAAAATACAATCATCCCCACCTCTACCAAAGATGGAACTATAACACAGAAATCATTTCCACAGAAGACACGAGAATGTTCATACTAGAGCCATAGGGACCAAAGCAGCAAGATAAACAATGAGGCAGTCACAGAATATCTACTAGCTACTGTACTGGTAATAGTTTATAAAAAATACGATCTATACTAAAATTTAAGAGCTAATAATATATTTAGCATATTTTTGCCTTTTCTTTTTGCCACTGAATATAAAATTTGTCCTGAATTTACTAAATCTTCTACACCCTGAGGAATAACAACAGACTAATAAAAGTAACGTCAGGGTTAGCTTTCTGGACAATAGAATCATCCAGAAAGCACAAATTATATATAGCTAATATTCTTGGAAGCACAAGGTTTCATCAGCAGACTAAACTACTGCCCTGTATTGTTCTTAGCAAAGAGTTTGGTTTTACAGTGTTAACATGGCCTGGTGAGAGTAGAGAAGTCAAAGTTGGGAGCCTGAGGTTTCCTCTCCCACCTGAGATCCACAACTGATTCATTGGTTTTCTGTCTTCACCATGAACATGGCATATTGCTGCCCTTTAGGAATATATTATTCAACAGTTCTCTGTAAAAGCACTTTGGAATCTTTAGCTATATATTTCTATGAAATTATATTTGCTATCTTGAAATATGGAATTCCTATCCCTCCCTTCTCCATATACAAACAGATAAAATGATACATTTAAAATTTCATCTACGCATTTACTTCTTTTCCTCCAATACCTGAGAGAAAGCAAGTACTGTTTTCCCCCTTTCAACTATATTACATTATGCCTGAATTTGAGAGGGAAGGAAGGTCCTAAAGTAAGGCAAAGGATTCATTTAGGACAACGTTCTGGCCTTTATTTTAGGGCAGAGTGCCACTGTTTCCCTTTGGACGCAGGTTTCAGGCTAATCTATTTGTGCACACACCATCCTCTAAATGGGATGCCTCCAACCCCCAAAACGTTAGTTGCCAGAAAGAAAGAACTAAATCTTGGTAGGGTGCTTAAAATGATAACTAATGGAATAATCAAAGCATCCTGCCTGCTTATATCAGTCTCTCACTGAAGGATAAAATACCCTACGGGGCCATGCCTAGCGATGGGAATAAATAAAACAATGGGCCACAATCAACTGTTTGATAAAACTTCCATCCTGTTTTCTTAAACATTAAATATAATCTTGCTCCCAAAAAAGTAAGAAAGGCACTCGAATTAACACAGTCTCTACAGTTATTTTTTAAAAGACACTATGTGACAATAAGGAATTCTTAGGGTTGATTTTTCTTCATTAACTTCTCAGTGCCTCCACACATCTCTCCATTAAATGGGAGCTTATTACAGAGCATACCTAGGTATGGGGAGGCAGCAACACATAAAGTGCTAGGGTTTGCACAGTTCTATTTGAGAAATTTATTCAAGACAAAAGGTTCAGTTGTTATCAGGTTCAAATTTTCTAGCATACTTTAAATATCTGTAAGTTTTAAAATATAATTTTCCAGTAGCAAAATAATAGTTAGCTTAAAACAGCTTTTTAGAAAAAAAAAATCATGTTACTTCCCTTTACAACTAAATCTTTAGCATCTTCTATAACTCAGGGGAACTAAGGTAGGGATTATTAGATTGTTGTACAGTAGGTGGTATCTGCCATCTTGTGCTATGTAAGAGAAAATTATTAAACTGACAATTTGTTTGCTTCAATACTAAAAATTCCTTTTACACACACATACATGTGTGTGTGGCCCAACAAGAATAAACTGGCATGACCTGAACATACCTAAGTGGCATACGATCTACTATGTATTTGCTTTCCTGCAAACTACTGCATAAAAATCCAAAAACTTTTGTTTCCGTATCTTGTATCACATAAGCCCTTATTTAAAAATTTAAGTACTTTTAGAGATAACCTGTATATATTTAACCCTACTAATAATTAAGCCTTTAAGTGAGAACTGTACCATAGGAATAAGAAATATGACTGAAAGTCTGGGCCCAGAGTTTCTTAAGAGGTAATAAAATGCTAAAATCTACAGAAGACAAAGGGGACATTAATACATATCAAATCCCTAAGCTTAAAAAATGACTCATACAGATTTAAGAAATATCTGAAAGAGTCACAGTTCAAGTTGCGGGGAAAAAAGGAGAAGCATAAAATGATATGTGCACAGGTACAGATCAGTAAGTCACTGAAATCAAAGAATTTCTTCAGATGATTAAAAGCAGTTTCGGCTCTGTATGCAGGATCTGTCCTCTAGTATCACAAATGAACAGAAAGTGGTGTTCTTAATGCAAGTGGGTTCTTTAGCTCTACAAATTTTTAATATATATTATAATACAGTTAATTGACAATTACAGAGCTGCATTTCTTGGCTGGGATTTAACAAGTTTAAACAAGGTAATGAAATGAAGAAAAAAAAAGTCTAAATCAACTTACTCTATATGCAATAGCTCTTCCCAAGTATTACGAAACTAGAAAGCATCATTCATTCCCAATCCATTGCACTAATCCATCAATTTCTCAATCATCACTCATTCTTAACACTCACAAACAATCTTTCTCTTCCTGTTAGTCATTCATTAATTTAATAAATATTTAATGAGTCCTCACAATGTGCAGGGCACAAGTAGAATCTGGAAAACACCGTACTGCCAAAATAGGTACACTAAAGTACACTAAGGTACACTAAAGGCGGGGTGAAGGTGGTGTTGGAGACAGTTACAGAGCTTAATGCTTTTTGCTTGTCAGTAGTATTCTTAATCCACAGTAGGATGACCCACTGTTCTTCCAGTGAAAGTTTAATGAAATATGTGTCAATAAGCCATCTTTTCCTTTTAACAATTAGATTGTTATAGAAAAATAAGTGAAGACTAAAAGTCCCAGAAAACAGACACATCCTTTCTACTACATAAGCTCAGTCAAAGACATTATCATGCTACAGCTAGCGGGTTTAAATATTAACCACTTAGGAAAAAAACCAACCATATAGGGCAATATTAGGATTTTCTGTGAATGAACAATTAAAAAATGCAAACTCTAGAAATAAAGCAGCACACAAAAGTTACATACTAACAGTATCCTTTGGGTATTTGCATTTTTGCTCTCTACTTTAAACTTTTAGGAAGGAAACAAGACATATTAAAGGACTGTGCGGCTTCAGAAAAGAGTGGGTTAAGAGCCTTAGAAGATATGAAAATAGTTTACACACCAAAGATAGGCAAGATAATCAGTGGAAGGTACACAAAGGCATGGAGCACTATAAAACTTAGCTAGTGTTTTATAGGGTATTGTCTACACTCATTTCCTGACATTTTTTCACATCAAAGCATAAGCCCTATTACTCAAAATGTGAAAAATGATTTTTAGGAAAAAAGGTAATACTGAGTTAGGCCAGAATCTGGCAACATATTTTAGTGGAATGGGCTGAACCACCCATGTCTTCTCTGTGTAGTTTGCCCCCAAACACTCACAGGAGCTAAAAATCATAAACTTATGATTTTATCCATAGAGGTCTAGGTGGACCTTGAGGTATTTAATTCAAAATATGCTTTGTACACAAAGGGCCATGGAATTATGTTCATAATGGTATTTTTTCATCTAAATAATATAAAAGCTATAAAAAGGTAATTTTTTACTTGAGAGAAGAACAAATTCTGTCTACTGGGGCCAGGCTAGACAACTTTTCTGGCGTTCTTAAGTCTCAACTCACTTCAACAGTCTGCCACTCAACAAAACCATGATGCCAAAGAAAAGGACATATTTCTTCTTCTTTAAGGCAGTCTACCTAACTCAAGTCCAGGCTTTCCGTAACAGTGAGAGAGAGGTTTACTTTCCCTACATCTTTATCCCCACTTTACAAATTACCTAGCAAGTAAAAAGAACAACAGGCAAAGCATTGTTGTCACACTTATTTCTGCCACTATTACTCACATTCTGCACAGATAGGACAACTGACAGCTTCCATCATTAGGGAAACTTTTAGAAGGGCCACTCTTCATATTTCTGGTATATGAATGTATTTTAGATGAGGTATGAAATTCATTGCAAATAGGGGGTAGAAATCTTGAAGACACACCCCTGAAGTAAGAAAGGAAAGGTATACAAAAATGACACACAAAAGTGACAAAAAATACGTAATGGATTGGCAAAACAAAGTATATGAAAAGAAGAAACAGACCACTTACAAAAGGGCAAATATAAGAAAGCAGACATTACATGGCCCATTCCCCACCCTCATCCCACCTACCTGAAAAACTCAGCCCTTGTTATTGGAAACATAAGATACGGCTATAATGTGGATACTTTGGTACCTCATCCCTGATTAAGTTCAGTATCAAAGTGTTTTGTTTTGCACATACTATTCCTTCCCTTGGCATTTGCCAGTAAACTTTAACAGTCACTTCATGATAATTTTATAGTTTCCATAGTGTATCCTCAATAATTTAGATTTTTAAAAAGGAATATTTTTATGGATCTATTTCTTTATATATTTCTCCCATTTGTCATAAGTGAATTTGAAATTAAAAAGTAGTAATAGCTAAAAATGGCATTCCAGGTTTTCAGGAAAAAAAAATCAATTTTATAAGGACTGATGTGTTTTGGCATATACCAAATTTGAGGTAAAAATAATCTATCAAAACTAGCAATAAAAATAATTTTCCTTTACTGCAATTACATAAACTCTTAAGTTAGTTTTTTCTTAAATAACCATTTAAAAAATGGATTACATTGGAAGCATTTTTTTCATATAAATTCCAATACTTCTGACTTTGGTAATTGGGTAGAACATGCTAGAGAAAGAGAACTAGTTTACATTTTTAAACATTCGCCCATCTAGCCATTTGATTCTCAAAACAATTACATCAAGTTATTCGGCATTCATACCAACATTCTTCAGTTGAACTGCAACATAAATGTTTATTTTCAATTTGTTTTAGAGACAGGGTCTCAACTCTATTGCCCAGGCTGAGTACAGTGGTGCAATCATGGCTCACTACAGCCACAAACACCTGGGGCTCAAGCAATCCTTCTGCCTCAGCTTCCTGCATAGCTAGGAACACAGTTGCATAGCACCATGCCTAGCTATTTTGTTTTACTTTTTGTAGAAATCGGGTCTTGCTATGTGGCCCAGGTTGGTCTCAAAGTCCTGGGCTCAGGCAATCCTCCTGCCTAGGCCTTAAATTTTTAATTTTTAAAAGAATTTGCCTATGCAGCAATTGGACTGAGGGGGGTAGAGGTGTGTGTGTGTGAACCAATCAGGAAAACCAAATGAGAAGCCCCACATATAGAAATACAAAGGGTGAGAAGTTAAACAGAAAATTTAAGACTCGCTGTTCAGCAGGAAGGAACTATACGATTATTTTATCCCCACAGGAATGCCAGTTATTAACAAAATAAATAAAATGAAAGATTTACTATGGACTTTCAACCTAAAGACGAAGAACATATGGTTAGCCAATAATAGTAAACAGTTCATGCAACTATGTAAATAATAAAAGAAAGCAATATTGCACTAAAAGGGGAACCTTGTAGGACTAATTCACCTCTTTCATTGACTCAAAGTAACCAGCCATTTCCTGTATGCACTGGCAAACCTGGCTTGCTCCACGTTCCGACAGGTGGACAATACTTGATCAATGAACCTGTGCTCCATTTCTAGGCCTAGGGAGTCTGGAACTGGCGTCCGCTTCAGGCGTTTGGTTTCCTGGGAATAGCCTTGCTTGCTAGAGTCATTCAGTCCATCTACTTCCATTGCTTGAGACAGCTGGGAGCCTGCTGGGATAAGGTGCAAGTCACTCAAAGTCCCCCCAGGGCTGTCTGCAGGTGACAACTGGGTCATGCTGTGAGGAAACCTACCATTTAAGTGATGCTGAAGGTAGAAAATATGCCGCCTGCGATAGAGAGGGGAAGGAAGAGAATAAAGAAAATCACATTACAAAGTCAAGCTTTTCCAGAAAAAAAAGTTTGCAATTTCAAAACATACAGTATTCAATTCACTGCCCATTTCATAACCAAGTTATACAGAGGAAGGAGGAAAAACAGTAGAGATGATGTTCCAGGATATTTGGACAAAGAAAGCCTTATAACTCCAGCTTACAGGTTTGTTTGTGAGAAAGAATACAGTCCTAAGGTTTTTCATAAGCATTTACTGAGATGACAATGACTTGGAGATGGTACTCTATGGTAACCGTAATATAAAACTAGAAATATGTGACAGTCTTATTTCTGCTATAAGTTATAAATATAAAACAAAACCAAGACAAATCTCATTGATATCCTAGAAGACAAGTGATTCAGAAATAAGGGGAATGAACAGTTCCTTTAGAGGCTTAATCTGTGGCCTCTATCAAGTACTTTAATAAAAATAACATATCTGTTGTAGTGGGTCTTATTCCCTAAAAGTCAACTGAACTTTACCCTAAATCCATCACCAACTACAGTTTTAAACATCCACATGCATTGGGGATGTGCTGGGCTCTGAGCAAAACATGTAAAAGATACAGTTCCTGTTCTCCCTCCGAGGAGAGCAATTCTCCTGCCCTTACAACCACCTACAATTGTTTGTTAAAAATGAAGATTCCCGCGTCTAATCTCCAAAAATTTCAATTCAGTGGGGGCACATCCATGTACAATGAACTGTATAACTTCTAGGTTGTTACATCTCATCATTCACATTAGCAACTCTAAGCCCTTAAGAGAATTCTATTCATTTTCCTTGCATATTCTGAAGCAGACAGGGAGCACATAATGTTCCACTTTTACAGGGGGTAAAACTTAAAGGCTAGATAAGCTGCCTAATGACAATGAGTCAGCAGTAGAAAACCGGCCTATGTAATACAGGCATACCTAGTTTATATTATGCTTTGCTCTAATGTGCTTTGCAGATACTGTATTTTTTATAAACTGAAGGTTTGGCAATCTTGTGTCAAGCAAGTCTATCAGCACAATTTTTCCAACAAAATGTGGTCACTTTTTGTCTGTGTCACATTTTGGTAACATTACTAATATTTCAAACTTTTTCAAGATTATTATATCTGTTATGTGATCTGTGATCAGCGATCTTTGATGTTACTACTATAACTATTTTGGGGTGTCACAAACACACCCATATAAGATGATAAACTGAACCAATAAATGTTGTGTGTGTTCTGATTGCTCCACCAACCAGCTCTTCCCCCATCTCTCTCCCTCACCCCAGGCCTCCCTGTTCCCTGAGATACAACAATATTGAAATTAGGCCAAGCAATAATCCTACAATGACCTCTAAGTGTTCAAGTGAAAGGAAGAGTCACAGGTCTCTCACTTTAAATCAAAAGCTAGAAATGATTAAGCTAAGTGAGGAAGGCATGTCCAAAGGTGAGACAGGCTGAAAGCTAGGCCTCTTGTGCCAGTTAGCCAAGTTGTCAATGCAAAGGAAAGTTTTTGAAGGAAATTAAAAGTGGTAACCCAGTGAACACACAAATGATAAGCGAAACACAGTCTTACTGCTGATATGGAGAACGTTTTAGTGCTCTGGATAGAAAAGCAGATCAGCCACAACATTCCCTTAAGCCAAAACCTAATCCAGACTAAGGCTCTAATGCTCTTTAATTCTAAGACTGAGAGAGGTGAGGAAGTTGGAGAAAAAGAGTTTGGAGTTAGCAGAGATTGGATCATGAGGTTTAAGGAAAGAAGCCATCTCTATAACAAAACTACAAAGTGAAGTAGCAAATGCTGATGTAGAAGCTGCAGCAAGGTATCCAGAAGACCTAGCTAAGATCACTGATGAAGGCAGCTATACTGACAAGAGATTTGCAATGTAGATGAAATACCCTTCTATTGAAAGATGCCATCTAGGACTTTCATAGCTAGAGAGAAATCCATGCCTAGCTTCAAAGTTTCAAAGGACAGTCTGACTTTTGGTAGGGGCTAATATAGCTGGTGACTTTAAGTTGAAGCCAAGGCTCATTTACCATTCCAATAATCTTAGGGCCCTTAAGAATTATGCTAAGTCTACTCTGCCTGTATGTTGACAGCACATCCGTTTAAAGAATGGTTAACTGAATATTTTGATCCCACTGTTGAGACCTGCTGCTCAGAAAAAAAGGATTCCTTCCAAAATATTACTGCGCATTGACTATGCACCTAGTCATGTGAGAGCTCTGATTGAGATGTACAAAAAGATTCATGTTGCTTTCATGACTGCTAACACAGCATTCATTCTCTAGTCCATGGATCAAGCAGAAACTTCAACTTTCAAGTCTTGTTAAGAAATACATTTCATAAGGTTATAGCTGCCACAGATAGTGATTCCTCTAATGGATCTGGGCAAAGTAAATTGAAAACCTTCTGAAAAGGGTTCACCATTTTAGATGCCATTAAGAACGTTTGTGATTCATGGGAGGAAGTCAAAATATCAACATGAACAAAACTTTGAGAGAAGGTGATTCCAACCCTCATGGATGACTTTGAGGAGTTCAAGACTTCAGTGTAGTAAGTCACGGCAAATGTGGTGGAAATTGCAAGACAACTAGAATTGGAAGTGGGGCGTGAAGATGTGACTGAATTGCTTACAATCTCATGATAAAACTTGGATGCATGAGGAGTTGCTTTTTATGGATGAACCAAAAAACAAAAAAAAGTGGTTTCCTGAGATAGAATCTACTTCTGGTGAAGATGCTGTGAACATTGTTGAAATGACAACAAAGGATTTAGAGTATGACACAAACTTAGTTGATAAAGCAGCAGCAAGGTTTAAAATGACTCCAATTTCGAAATAAGTTCTACTGTGGGCAAAATGCTGTCAAACAGCATCACACACTACAGAGAAATCTTTCATGAAAGGAAGAGTCAAACTTCATTGCAATCTTATTTTAGGAAATTGCCACAGCCACCCCAACCTTCAGCAACCACCACTCTGATCAATCAGCAGCCACCAACACTGAGGCAAGACCCTTCACCAGCAAAAGATTGCAACTTGCTGAAGGGTCGGATGATCGTTAGCATTTTTTAGCAACCTAGTATTTTAATTAAGATATGCACATTTTTTTTTTAGACATAATGCTGTTGCACACTTCTTAGACTATAGTGTAATGTAAAAGTAACTTTTATATGTACTGGGAAACAAAAAAAAATTGTGTGGCTCACTTTATTGCTATATTCACTTTATTGCAGTGGTCTGGAACTGAACCTGTGATATCTCTGAGGTATGCCAGTAGCTTAAAAGGTCTATCTTCCCTCTTGAAAACATGAAATAAGTGTCTTGGTTTTAAGAGAAAAAGAATGTTCTCTACTAATGAAGGTGCCAAAGAGGGGAGATAATCTTTTATGTTCTGAATATATTTAGTAAGGAAAAGCAGCTGACCAGGTCTCCTCAAATAACCTGCAAGACAGACTAGACTGGAGAAAGAAAGAAAATCTCAATAACTTTAGAAATAGGCAATTTTAAACAATGCCTACCTCCTTCCTGCCTAGCACAGGCAAGTCTTTCATTTACAAATACAATGCTATGGCCTAAAGTAGAATCTGTATTTATGAAGATGAAGATGCCTCCAAATAAAGGAAGATCCAAAAGAAATGAAGCTGGGAAGGGGTCACATATGTGACTTCAGTCCAACATACTGTCAAATGTACTCACAACTGAAGTTGATAGGTTGCTAACCCTTTTTCACTCTTTGCTACCAGACTTTCCCCTCTCTCAAAGAGAAATTCTCTTACACTTTAAACAAAAAGTGTCAAGAGATTATACTTCAGGTAAGTTAATTTGCAGACCATCAGGGTTGGAAAAATGATAAAGCATACCTTATTCTTGGGGTCTAATCAAATCTCAATCCTGACTGTGCATCAATGTGTTGAGCTTTTTCTAGGGGGGAAAAAAAAAAAAGGGCCAGGCATGGTGGCTCACACCTGTAATCCCAGCACTTTGGGAGGCCAAGGCAGGCAGATCACCTGAGGTCAGGAGTTCGAGACCAGCCTGGCCAACATGGTGAAATTCCGTCTCTACTAAAAACACAAAAATTAGCCCGGTGTGGTGGTGGGTGCCTATAATCCCACCTACTTGGAAGGCTGAGGCAGGAGAATTGCTTGAACCTTGGAGGCCGAGATTGCAGTGAGCCGAGATCGCGCTATTGCACTCCAGCCTGGGCAAGAAGAGCAAAACTCTATCTCAAAAAAAAAAAAAAAAAAAGAGAGATGGCAGCAATCCATCCTAGATATGCTAAATATTAGTATCTCCAAGGAAGGAGTCAAAAAAACTTCTGATTCTGTTTTATTTTGGAACTAACACAGGTTATTCTGTTGCACAGTCAAGGTTGAATATCACCATCCTAAGCTGCAGGCAGAGATCTACATGAGGAATCTCTTATTAATGATGATGATGATGATGATGACGATGATATGGTAACACAAAACCTCTTGTATTCACTCAGGCAAAGCTCCACAATCAGATGACCATGTTTACCCAAGCAGGCAGGAATCAGGTGTAACTAACACTTTCTGCAGCTCTCATGAAGACATGCAGTTTTGTGTAGGAAATAGATTTTCCCTTTTCTTACCTATGACACCAAAGGGTTTCATGTCCTGGGTAGGAATCAATAAGATCAGTGCTGAATTCAACTTCTTCTTCTAGAAGATGGGGAAGATTAATCCTTGGTTCTTCTGTTGAAACTGCTGCTTCTTCATCTTTTGGAGGAACTAGGGCTGGCTCACTTCTCAAAGGATTTTGCTCCATCACAGAACTGTCTATCACAGTTTGGCTAATCAAAGACTTAAGCAAAAACTGGCGGTAGTGAAATCCACTGTGGTCTGAAACGTGCATAGATGCCCAATGTTTAGTAGAAGATAGTTCATCAAGAAGAATCTTTTAAGAAGAAAAAAGGGAAGTAAGAAGAAGAGTTCCCAAAGGTTCTTCTTTCTCCATTATTGCCTCTGATTTCTCTTTGATTTGTTCCTTTTTTGACAAGACCATTCTTACCAATATTTTGTACACAATGTCTAGCACAGTGCTCTCACTTAGTGGAAGCTTAATACATGCGAATTTTCTCTTTCCCATATAAAAGTGATAGATTTTTTTTTAAGACTAAAGAATTTAAGGACTCATTTGTCATCCTTTCCCTAGACCTTGACTACTCACATTCTGATTGGTACACACAGAGAAGGAAAATAAAATTCTAAAATAATGATGAGCATTAGGGTATTCATTTACAAGTAATGCTGACGTAAAAGCAAAAATATAAACTCAGATTACTTTGATATAAACTTTATTTTACATTTAATAAATGTGTATAATATGTAACTTATTATCTCTACAATAGGCTCAGTGAAATTATTTGTTCTTCAATATAAATGTCATGAGGGCAGAGACCGTGTCTGTCTTGCTCACTACTTAATTATAAGGGATTAGTAGAAAAACATGATGCACTAATAATAAGATTTTTTCAAGAGCTCGTGACTTTAACTGTCTCAAACTTACTTAACAGTAATAATAAATGGGTTTTAAAATAACTGAAAATTCAGCAGCAAATTGTTTAAATCTTTGTGATACCAATATCTTGCAAACTAAAGAATTTCAAATGAAATGATTTTTTAAAAAGCAGCACCTATGCAAAAATAATTTATTTGAGAGTGTCTTGGACAGGTCGCAAACATAAATCAGTGAAAGGTATATCAAGTGCCTACCACGTTCCGTCAGAGGATTTTCAGACCAGCTAAGGAAAAAAGACATACATTTGTGAACAGTTAACAATACAGACAGCATAATGCTGAATGACACCTTTACCTGTTTGTCAAAGGTCCCAGGCAAATGCCTTCTCCTGTACCATGATCTTTTTTCCATTTCTTACACCATTTTTCTTCCGCGGGAATCTTTCCTTTTGCTGAACCCCCATAGTACTTATGTATTCCATCACATTTATTAAAGAATTTCAGTGCATCTCTTCATTCTCATTAAACTCAGTGAGTGAGGGCTTTAAGATATTTATTCATTCCTATCTGATACTTCAATCCCCCTATACCTACTGACATCAAAGTGGATACATAAATATTTTATGAAATGAATGAACAATTTAATAAATAAGGCAAATAGTAAGATTACTTCCAGCCAAGATAGTCAAGTTGTATCAGTGATATGTTTTAAACATCTCCTTTAAGTTCCAATGAGTTTATTCATAGCCACCTAAATTTATTCCAGAGGCTATAGCTGGCAAGTATCTGAGAAATGGAAAACAGTATCTTTATTTGATTTTAAAAGGTGAAGAAAAATAGCACCAGATAAACTCCTACCTGAAATAAAAATCAATCTTACATTTATTACATTTTTGAAAAATAAACCTGTAGAACATTCTGGCTATAATACAGCAGCTTTTTTATTTTGGCATGGCTTCTTAACATGGATTGAAAAGAGTACTCCACTTATTTAAAATGAACTTATATAATATGAAAACATTTAGATTATTTCTAACTGGATATTTCTATGTATAAAATTGCAGTTTATTATTTAATTTTGAGGCAAAAATAGCACACATATAAAAGATGTTCTGGCTGTGCGTGGTGGCTCATACCTGTAATCCCAGCACTTTGGGAGGCTGGGGCGGACGGATCACCTGAGGTCAGGAGTTGGAGACCAGCCTGGCCAAAATGGTGAGACCCTGTCTCTACTAAAAATACAAAAATTTGCAGGGCGTGGTGGTGCATGCCTGTAGTCCCAGCTACTTGGGAGGCTGAGGCAGGAGAATAACTCGAACCTGGGAGGTATAGGTTGCAGTGAGCCGAGATTGCTCCACTATACTCCAGCCTGGGCGACAAAACAAGACTCCATCTCAAAAAAGAAAAAAAATATATATATATATTTTCAACAAAATCAATTTCTTAAAAAAATTCTTAGGCTTTTAAAGAGAAAATCCACTATATTCTTTTCCCTAAGATATAAAGATGCATATTAGAAACTTTAACTGGAATTTCAGGGTATTCTCTTGTTAGAATAAAAAGATATAAAGATAGAGGCAATGATTTTTTTAAAAAAGACAGCAATTACTTTTAAGTGATCCAGTTAACTTTTAAGTGATCTAAAGATACTATATGAAGATATGGCTTTAATGTACAGTACTGATGGGATAAATGACCTTCGTATGATATACGTTAAATATCTTTCTTTTCCTACTTCCATATGAAAACATGAATAAGTGAATAAATAAACTACAAGAAAACTGCAAATGCAGGGCTATGAAAAAGAGGGATAACGTGCTAAAAATGAAAGACTACTAAAAATACATATGCCATAGGTCCTTTAAACTTTTAAAAATAGTATTTGGGTTTTCTTCTGATTATAAAAGTGATACAAAATGATCAATATAGAAAATTCCAATAATATGGGAAAATATAAAAAAGCAAACAAAAATCATCCATTATTTTGTTGGCCAGAGATCACTACTTGTAACATTCTGGCAGAAAACAAATCTTTCAGGTTTTTTTCTATGTATGCACATGCACAGAGTTTATTTTTAAGAAAAATCTGGGATATTCTTTTGTACCAATTTTATTCTACTTCAATTATAAATACATTCCTATGGCATTAAATATTATTCTATAATTTTTAACTCGTAAAATATTTCACCCTCAAGATTAACAGAATTTAACCATTCCTGTGTTTGTTTCTACTCTTGTATAAGTAACACTCATAAATAAATCTATGTACATATCTAATTATTTAGGAGAAATTTGTAGAAATATACTTGCTGGAACAAAGAAAAAAACTTTATAAAGTTCTTGATATATAAAGTGTCCTGCAGAAAGACTGTATAATTTATACTCCTATTGGAAGTACATGTTAATGCTTATTTCCTAAATTCATCATCAATACTTTAATCTTCACTAATAAGAATCACATTTCATTTTAATTTACATTTCCTTAATTATCATTAAGCCTAAATATCTTTTCTTGTGTGATTACTTTTCCTTTGCTTCTTCATTTATGAACTGCCTATTTTGCCTAATTCTCTACTTTTATGAATTATCTAATTTACTATTTGTGATAGTCATTATTTTTCTTACGAGTTTGTAAGAGGTCTTTACATATTAAAGATATTAAGTCTCTATTTGTCATATGTGTTATAAATATTATTTTCGATATATTACTGCAACTGATTTTTTAAATTCTTTTTTTTTTTTTAAAGATTGGGAGTCAAGTAAAATTCTTTTTTTTCTTTTCTCCCTCAGGTCTATTGAAGAAGTATAAATGACAAATTAAAATTGTGTATATACACACACACACACACACACACACACGTATACACACACATATATATATACGATGTACGACATATTGTTTTTATGTATACACTGTGAAATGATTACCACCATCAAGTGAATTAACTTATCTATCACCTCACATAAGTATTTTATTTTTTGTGGTAAGAACATTTAAGATAACGCTCTTAGAAATCTTTGGGTATACATTATTAACAGTAATTACCATGTTCTACCATTAGACCTCCAGAACTTACTCATCCTAACGGAAACTTTGTACCCTTTAACCAGCAACTCCCTGTTCCCCACCACAACCCCTACTCCTGCAATCACCATTCTACTATTTCCATGAGTTCAACTTGTTTAGAGTCCACCTACAAGTGACACCATGCAATATTTATCCTTCTGCGCTTGGCTTATTTCACTTAGCATAATGTGAGTCTCTTTTCTTCATATAGGTTTTTATTCCATTTAAAGTTCAATTTGGTATTTAAGATTAAAAAAAAAAAACCACCTAACTTTCTATTTTCTAAAAAGTCAATAAATTTTACCAGCATCACAAATTGAACAGGGAATCCTTTCTCTAATTATGTGAAATGCCATATTCATCATTAATGAAATATGTACATATTATGTATTGGAATTTGTTTCTGGACTTTATATTCTGTTCCATTACTGAGTCTATTTTTGAAATAGCATCACAATTTTAATTACTCTGTCTTATTAATAAACATGTAAGTATCTAATGGTAGAGTGTTCTTTATTGTTTTTCCCAACAATTCCTCAGCTATTCTTTAAGCTTTATTCTCTCTAATGTACTTTAGAATCATTTTTGAAGTGAAAAAATAAATCAGTGGTTTTTAATATATTCACAGAATTGTGCAACCATTGCTCTTATCTAATTTCTAATGTTTTCACCACCCCCACAAAACCCCATTCCTATTAGAAGTTACATCCCATTCCCTCCTCCCCAGCCTCTGGCACCCACTAACCTGCTTTGCCTATTCTGAACATGTTATATAAATGAAATCATACAATATGTGGCCTTGAATCTGACTGCTTTCAATCAGCATGTTTTCAAGGTTCATCCACGTTATAGCATGTATCAGTATTTCCTTCCTTTTTTATGGCCAATGTTCTATTGCATGGATACGCCACATTTTGTTTTCCATTCCTCAGGTGAGGTATTATTTTTTGGCTATTATAAATAATATGGCTATTAATGTTCTCATACAAGATTTGGTATGGAATGTGTTTTCACTTCTCTTGGGTATATACCTAGGAGCAGAATTACAGGGTCATATATGGTAATGCATGTTTTTCTCCAAGAATATGATATATATTAACTATAGTTTTATTAATATATAGTGATTCTATGTTTAATTATTTGAGGAAATGCCAAACTGCTTTCCACAGTGGCTGTACCATTTTACATTCTTACCAGCCATAAATAAGAGTTTCAGTTTCTCCACATCCTAACCAACATTTGTTATTGTCCGTATTTTGGTGTGAAGTGGTATCTCACTCCCTGTGGTTTTGCTTTGCATTTCCCTAATAGTAAAGATGGTGAATATCTTTTCATGTCCTTATTGGTGGTGTGGGTAGGTTTTTTGGAGAAATGACTATATGTGCTTTTTTTATGTGAAACTTGTAATTTGCCAGTAGTAATAAACTGCCTGACTGTGAATCTTTCCTGCCACACTACCCTCAAATATAAAAATATTTTAAAATTTACTTAAATGTTTATTTAAGCATGCAGACATCAGAGAGAACATAAAATAGAAAATTAGTGTCATAATTCCACCCTATACTACTTTTAATCAATCTTTATTCTTTAACCTTTTTCTGACTAGAAAACAAATATATGCTTTTATAAAAAATACAAGAAAAAAATCTATAGCATTGTTGTGTGTATGTATTACTATCTGTTCAGCATTTACCATGTGCCAAGCACTGTTTCAAACACTTTAAAGTATTTGCTGTCTCATTCAATGCTAATAAATACATTAAAAATTATATTAGGCTGCTGGGTGTGGTGGCTCATGCCTGTAATCCCAGCACTTTGGGAGGCAGAGGCAGGTGGATTGCTTGAGGTCAGGAGTTCAAGACCAGCCTGACCAACATGGCGAAACCCCGTCTCTACTAAAAATATAAAAATTAGCTGGGCGTGGTAGTGGGTGCCTGTAATCCCAGCTACTTGGGAGGCTGAGGCAGGAGAATCGCTTGAACCTGGGAAGCGGAGGTTGCAGTGAGCTGAGATTGTGCCACTGCACTCCAGCCTGGGCGACAGAGCAAAACCCTGTCTCAAAAATAAATAAATAAATAATAATATTAGGCCTACCCTAATATAACCTATTGTGAATATTTTCCTTTAAATCATCTTCCAAAATATACATTTTAGTCATAACAAAATATTCCAATGTGATGGATTGTAATCTAACAATTCCCTCATTATTGAAGGGCTACAGCTTTTCTAGTTTTTCACTACTATAAATGCTACTTTTATATATCAAACTTCTATATTTAATAGCCAGTGTTTATTGAGCACTTAATTAAGGCACTTTGATAGCCACTTTATATGAATCCTCCCTTTCAATTTGCATCACTCAGTGAGATGGGAATTATTGTCACCCTCCTTTTCCGGATGAGAAAACTGAAGGTTGAAGAGGCTAAGCAACTTCCTCAAGGCTACACAGCAAATTGGTGGTAAAGCCAGAATGCAAAGCAGGTCTGCATGACCACTGAGTGAAGCTTCTAATCATTCTACCATACTTCATCTTCCATTATTTCTTTATGATGAATTCCTGGAAGCAGAACTCTTAAAAATAACACCCTATTTTTAAAAGTGTGATAAGTGCTGCCATGTTGCCCTTCAGTAAGCTTATAACAATTTGAATAATGCTCATTTTCATACTCTTACTAATACTCGATGCCAGCACTTTAAAAAGTCATTTTCAATTTCCTAAGTTAAAAAATGCTGGCTCATTTCATATA
Source organism: Homo sapiens (assembly GCF_000001405.40). Taxonomy (NCBI): domain Eukaryota; kingdom Metazoa; phylum Chordata; class Mammalia; order Primates; family Hominidae; genus Homo; species Homo sapiens. The sequence goes on from NC_000009.12 coordinate 69,730,008, forward strand.
TATTTTTAAGCTGATTTAGACTACTGGTATTTTTGTGATTACCTCCTGTAACAGACAAAGCATAGTAGTAAATGTTCTAGGTGGGCCCAATGGCTTATAACAACAGAAAGGGGATTTTGCAAATTTAGGACTCCTCACTGACAACAAGAGCAAGAGATGTTGCAGTGGCAAGTGGTGAATGGAAGAATGGTAAGTCTTCCTCCAAGGGCGGGTCAAGGAAGGATGATGACATCTGAACCCAGGAGTGGACCCTGGCAGCTGAGCTCACCATTAATGAGTTATAACTCACCATTAATGAGTTATCTTTACCACCAGATGGTCTCAAGTAACCAAAAATTTCACTTTGGCCCCTTGTTCCTGATTTTATGGAAATGCCACTTGTAAAGGTCCACATCATGGCAGAAAAATTTCCAAAGATCTCTCAGTCAACCTGGACTCCGCCTTCCTTTTTATCCCCAATCCTCCCCATATCTCTTTCCTCTTCCCACACACTATCAAGTCATGGATCTGAGATGACCACCAAGCACTCCATATCCCTGACAACCCACCAAACAACTTGTAATCATGCCTCCCAACTCAATGTATCTTCCTTCCCCCGGCAGCTATTTCCAACGAGCGCATCCTAGATGAAGAACGATTTTTCTGTGCTCCCATTGTATTCTGATGCTTTGTAATTGTTGGTCTACTTTCTCAACTAGATTTTCAATTTGTTGAGAGCAAACACTTTGTTTTACTGCGTATACAGGACAGTCGGTGGGTATGATAGGGTTTTATACTTTTTCATCAATAAATTGCACGGAGTTGATCAAGCAAACTGGTAGCCAATTTTCTATCTCTGGAGAACAGAGAAAGGAACTAAAATCGAGTGAATCTCTCTCTATTAGATGCCCAGTAATTTACATCCATTAACTCAATTAACTCTCACAATAATCCACTGAGGCAGACAGTAGAGTCCCTATTTTATAAATGAAAACAATAAAACCTTGCTTTCCACATATAGGTAGTGGGGCCAAAATCTGAACCTAGGTTGATGTGATTCTGAGCCTTGGTTCTTTCTATTCCATTAGGCGGCCACCCCTCCTGAAACTCAAAGCCATGTAAACTGAATGGGGAAGGCTTCTCTTCCAGAATTATTGGCTTAAAATCCTCTGGAAGTAAAAAGTCTCCCATTTGCCCTGGCCAGGAAACAAAGAGAGAAATGGGAGCATGGGAAGAGGGATGTAGGAAGAAGAGGGTGGTAAGTTAAAATTACATAACACTTCCCCACTTATCTGAAAGCATCACCTGGGGCACTTCAATCTTCAACTTGACCTCTTTTAACTGTCTCAAGCCTGAGAAGCTTTTTAGATGAGCACCCTAGATTCTTATGGCACTGTGACGCCATCAGAAAAGAAAAAACTGAGACACCGTAGTATATAAGGAGCAAAAGGGACATGTGGCTCTCATTCTGATGAATAATAAGTGGTACAACTGTAGCTAAGTCTAAGCCATTAAAATTCTCTGGAAATCTCCATCTCCTCATTTCTAAACTGAAAGGATTAGGCTGTGAGAGTTTCCAAACTGGCTCTGCATTCAAATAACCCTGAGTCAGTGGAAAATACTGATCTCTAGATCCACCCTCATTCTGCTTTAGTAGGCTTGGAGTGGAACTTAGGAATCCCCAGGTAATTTATAGGCTCAGCCAATTTTAAAAACACCTGGGTGAGATTGTCTATCCCTGCCCTCCTCTCCCCCTTTTCAGAGGACGAGAGTGTGAAAAGACAGCCAGCTGACTTAGTATATTGTCACATAACCAAACACTACCAAGAAATAGCAATTCCAGTTCTATAAGGCTTAATAATCCCTTCCTGTTTCAGGATAAAGTGAGTTATGCTCAATCTTCCTCAGTTGGTTAAACCTGCCTTGCTTTACCAATGCACTAGCCTTAAGACTGCCAAAAACAGCACTAGTGGGGAATGCAAGCTTTTTATTTAATTACAGGGTTCCTCCAGAGGTAGCAGCTGTTGCGATTCTCTCAAGTTGCCAGACCATCAGTTTCTCTACTCCTTCAAAGCTCTTCTGAGAATGAACTACTACCAGAAGATTTTAAGGGCAGACAGGCAGTCTGCCCAGGAGACAGTAATATTCCTACCTTGACATCTAGCTTGGCCAAGTGCTGTAAAACCCAGATGCGATGGGACCAAGCATTATAGTTGCTTGGGTATCTCCCTGCTGCTTCACCACAGACCTCCATCTCTTCTTGTATGAGTCGCTGTGCCCTTTCTGTGGGAATTGTTCCCAAGTTTCCTTTGGTCACAAAGGAAGGCAAGGAGGTTTCCTGAATTAGCTGTTGTAGCACCCATCGCCTGTTAAGGCAGCATGTGGGAAAGAGAACACAGAAAGAACATAAACCAGAGAGAAAAATAACCAGTTTTCATTGTTCCTAATTTAATTTCCATTCAGAGACAATGCAAAATAATACCTGTTTATAAGTCTAGTATTTTGGAGATGGGGAGGGGTTGTTTTGTTGTTTATGATGATACTAATTTAGCAGTATGGATGAAGGGTGGAAAATGGATAAACAGGAAAAAAAAAAAACTTTAAAATCTGTAATACAGAGAATGTCATTACTTCTAAAATGACAATCCCAAAACTCCACTTGGCCAGGAAATGTAAAGGCAATTGGTGTGTGTGTGTGTGGTCGTGGTGAGAGGTCATAAATTAATGGCTGATAAATATTATAAGGAGTCATGATTCACATCTTTAAGTATATATGCATGCCTCACCCTATGTGCATTTGTTTGCAAACAAGAAGCTGCATTCTGATAGCTTTCATTCAGCAAAATTCTGTATTATAGCATAAAATCTGGAAGGTAACAAATATAATTCATTAAACCATTAAGAAGGTGTCAAAATATCCTTATCCACAAATTCTCCCTTTGTCTGTTTAAGATTTGCATTAACATGTATTTACATAAAAAACACTAAATAGTGTTTCGAGCTACTTAATGTGTTTACTTTGTACCAGTAATTTACTTATATAAAAGCATTTTTTAGACTAAAGATTTCAAACCCAAAGGTACAGGAAATTAAGTAAGAAAACTCACTTTGTCATTTTAAAATAATGGAATTTCTTATTTAACAACAAAATATTGCTTGATAAAAAAAATTAGACAAGCCAAACTGATGGATGCATATTTAACAGTTCCTTTCCCCTGCCACCATCCCTTTCCAAACCCCCATACACACAGTCATATACCCTTCTGTGGTATACTATCTCAATTTCTGGTGATGAAGAAAATATAACTGACTATGTGGTTTGGAAGAAGCTGACCTGCAATGTTAACTAAAGGCACGATTACCACTAAGACACCTGGAACGGACATAAGATCCTAAAAATGCCCACGATTTAAGAAAAATTAGAGTGGCTTAATAAACTGAGAATTTCAGAGTGACTTCTTCATTGGTCCTGACTAGCAAGCCCACACCATCCCATTTTGGTCAAATAAGAGTAGTTACACAGGGTCCAAGAGGAAGATGGTTCCAGGTGGCCAGGATTTTGAGAGTCCTAAAGTGCATTCTGGCTATCTGTCCCATGCTTTTAACCTAAAAATGTTCTTTGTATGTATGGATTTTAGCAACTTTAGCTCAGCCTACACAGCATTCGCTTCAGCTGCCCTCAGCTTTCTCTGTAAGTTAATTTTAATAACCACAACCATCACCACCAACATCTTTACCAGGAAAACAACCAAATGCTTTTAAAATCCATATTGCTCATTACAGTTGAGTATCTATAAATGCAATGCCCACAACTGCTTCAAAGAGTTAATAATAGCTAACATTTATTGAGTATTTAATATGTGCCAGGCACTGTGGGAGTGTTACATGCATTAACTCACGTAAACTTGACTGTTAACTATATGAGACAGGTGTAATTATTATTCTCATTTTACAAATGAGAAAACTGAGGCTTGGTGAGTTAAGTAATTTCCCATGAACACTTAGGTAGCAAGTTATATAGCTCCTAGATTTAAATGTAGGTAACCTGACTTCAGAATTCATGCTCTGGAACCAATAAGTAACCTTGCCTCTCACATGTCATGTTTCTTTCTCCAGCCAGTCTGAATCCTAAGTAAGAGTACTATGTTGTAAATTAACCACACCTGTGAATCCATGTTTCTGGACTCTTTGGAAACTTGGTTAAGGCGAGTTTTCCCAGATGTAAATCCTTAATTGGATTTAAAGTGCCAGAGAGGATCAGCTCTTTCCTGTAAAAAAAAAAAAAAAAAAAAAAAAAAATTAAACATTACTTTATCCTTATATCCAAAGGTTCTACATGGCTTTTAATATAATCTCATTGTGAAGCGAATGTCTAAGAATTTTAAAACAAAAAAAGAAAGAAAAAAAGCCCAAGCCACTCTGGGATATAAAACACTCATAAATGTGACATGCAGTAATCAAGAATGTATTCTCATAATCCCAATATAACAAACTAATAAGCAGAAAGAGAAGCTCTTAAATCAACAGATTTTAACGATTTTTAAATCTTAACTATTTGCGTGAGGGTAAATGGGGTTTTCTGGCCTATCTCATTTCCAAAAGTTGTGAGACCTGATATCGTACCTATAGGGCCAATCCAATACCAGCCAAAATTGGTCTAGTTTCCTAAATAGGACTTGACATGGTCTATTTCATTACAAAACCACACATACAACAAACACAATATGGTTGAGATGTAAGGGAAAAAAAAATCATTCATGGAATCACTATTCTAACCAAATTACTATTTTTTATTTTTGAATTTTCCCTTCTACTTTTCCCTATCACACATACATTTTAACATATAATTTTACATCCTGCTCTCATTATATCTTAAGAATTTCCCCATGATTCTATATAATCTTTGTAATGAACATTTTAAATGATCAAATTAGTTTTCATTTAGAAGCTATGCTTTTCCCTTCTTGTTAGACATTTAGGTTGCGTCAAACTTTTTGTTATTTTAAAACAAATCTGGGCAGGGGAAGCTTTGTGCTTATAACTTCTTTCTTTTGTATTCTTACTTTGGATAAGTTTCCAAAAGAGCTATTAACAAGGTAAAATACTTACATGACCCTTGATATACGAGGCCATTCCTTTTTAAAATATTAATATAAGCAGCAGAAGTAATAGCAATGTAATGTTTTGGTTGTTTTTAAAACTGTTCAAGCCCAACCAAAGCTTCAATGCAATCAGTTGTCCCTTGGTATCTTGTGGGGGCTTGGTTCAGGACCTCCCAAGGATACCAAAATCTGCGAATGCTCAAGTCCTTGATATAAAATGTGTTGCCATATAACCTACACACATCCTCCCATATACTTCATATCATCTCTAGATTACTTATAATACCTAATACAATGTAAATGCTATATAAATAGTTGTTACATTATTCAGGGACTAATGATAGGAAAACAAAGTCTGAACATGTTCGCTACAGAAAGCAATTTTTTCCCCAAATATTTTCTATCTGCGGTTGGTTGAATCCATGGATGCAGAACCTACAGATACAGAGGGCCAACTATATAAAGAATGTCATGCAAGAGCTTTCTATACCTGTTTCTCAGGTAAATACAATTTACATTTAATTTCTCAGGTAAGTTTTTGATAAGTGCTGATATTACACTCTCACTGAATTCTCAATGTATCTATAATTTTATAATAAAATCAGATCATTTGTTATTATTTATCTTAAAATGTCCTTCCTGTGTAGGGCTGATTATTCATTTATTTTAGAGAAGTTTAAGCCAGAGAAAACCAGAATCCAGCTCTTATACCATATCTACTTAGACGGACTTAATTCCTAAATACCACAATACATTTTCTTTCCAACAGTGACATACTATTTATAAAGTTTTATTTGATAAAGAAAACAACTATTTTCCTTTCAATGTTCAGGAAACCAATTTGTCATTATATATATATAATATATATATAAAATATATATTTTTTTCTTGCAACAGCCAATTGCTTTTGCAGTCTTGGATTATTTTTCTTCTGAAATCAGTAACATTTTGTTCATACAGTAAGTCAGGATACCTATAAAGTAAAAGGAGGAAAATATTGCTCTATGTAATTTTAACCACGTTTGAAAGCAATGTTTCTCAAAGTGAACCCTGACTGCAACATCAGCATCATCTGGAACTTATGCGAAATGCAGATCCTCAGGCCTCAGCCCAGAACCAACTGAGTCAGAAACTCAGGTGGGCACAGCAATATGTGTTTTAAAACAAGCTCTTCAGATGATGCCCATTGGCTGGGCACGGTAGCTCACGCCTGTAATCCCAGCACTTTGGGAGGCCGAGGCAGGTGGATCACGAGGTCAAGAGATTGAGACCATCCTGGCCAACATGGTGAAACTTTGTTTCTATTAAAAGTAAAAAAATTAGCTGGGCATGGTGGCACGCACCTGTAGTCCCAGCTACTTGGGAGGCTGAGGCAGGAGAATCGCTTGAACCCAGGAGGCAGAGGTTGCAGTGAGCCAAGATCGCGCCACTGCACTCCAGCCTGGCAATAATGATGCCCATTAAAGTTTAAAAAACAACTACTATAATGAATTTATTGTATTATGCTTAATTTCCATTTCATAAATTTAAGACCTCTTATTATTTATAACTGTCTACCTTTATTCCCATATATATCCATATATAAGGGGAGATAATCAAAATTTTCTTCAAAAAAGAGGCAGTTACCCTACAACTGAGTTTTGACAAAGTTTCTTAAATTATGGGCACTCTCTTTTGCAACCACTGCGGTACAGAATTTTAAAAAAAGAAAAAGAAAAAAATGGGGACTCCGTTAATATCTTTATTTTGAATTAAGCAGCATTTTTGGGAAGACATCTTAGCTTGAAACAACCTCAATCAATGTTAATATATGGACACTGAAAAAGATCACCTGATGGAATCAAGCAAAATTTTAATATCAATGTAATAAACATTGCTAGGGGTAGTACTGAACATTTGTAGGTGTTGGATATTGCTGAAACAAGTTTTTCAAAAATCACTTTAAGAGGAAATATGATATGTGGTAACATTAACAGCAATCACATAATCTAGTGCTATATATTTTTTTTTAGATGGGGTCTCACTGTCTTGCCCAGGCTGGAGTACAGTGGCACAATCTTGGCTCACTGAAATCTCTGCCTCCTGGGCTCAAGTGATCCTCCTGCCTCAGCCTCCCAAGCAGCTGGGACCACAGGCACACACAACCACGTCTAGCTAATTTTTTGTATTTTTGGTGGAGACAGGGTCTCACCATGTTGCCCAGGCTGGTCTCAAACTTCTGAGCTCAAGCAATCCACCCATCTCGGCCTCCCAAAGTGCTGGGATTACAGGTGTGAGCCACCATACCTGGCCTTAGAGCTACATTTTAAAAAAATCAACTGCTCTAATGTATTCAAATAAGAATCTGACTGGAGATACAATTTCCACTCACAAACAGATTCAAAAAGTGCTGTAGCTCAAACAACTTAGATATACTATGATGGGCTCTGGAAAAATGTGCTACAGAACTAAAAACAACTAGGTCTTGTGATGACAAAGTCACTGATGTCAATGAGGCATGTAAGGTGTTTGAATAAAACTGACTACTCTTTTTCTTTTCTCAATCTTTACTCTGTCTGAAATGACAATAATAATGGCCATCCTCATTAAAAACTACCATGTATTGAACACTTCCTCTGAGTCAAGAACCGTGTAAAGTGATTTACATATGTTACATAATTTCTCACAACAATCCTGTAAGGTAAATATCATCATTGAGCCATATGAAATTGCTGATACTCAATCTTTTTTTAAAAATAAACTTTTTATTTTACAATAGTTTCAGGTTCGTAAACAAGTTGTAAGGATAATACAAAGAATTCCCATATGCCCTGTACCTAGTTTCTCTGCTATTAACATCTTATATTACCATGGTACCTTTGTCAAAATTTATGCAACAGTATTGATATTGATATATTTTTATTAAAAGTCCATACTTTATTTAGAATTCCTTAGTTTCTACCAAATGTCCTTTTCCTCTTCTAAAGTTCCCTCCAGGATCCCTTATATTTGGTAGTTATGTCTCCTTATGCTCCTCTTGGCTACTCAAATTTACCTTGCTTTTGATGACTTTGACAGTTTTGAGAATATGGGTCAGGTATTTTGTATAATGTTTTTCTCATCATTAAACTGGAGTTACAGATTCTGGAGAGGAAGACCAAAGAGGTAAAGTGACATTTTCACTGCATCATATCAGAGGCATGTGCTATCAACATGACTTAGCATTGTTGATATCAATCTGGATTACCTGGCTGAGTTCAGGTTTCTTCACTACTTTTTGCAAGAAAGTCACTGATTTTTTTATTTGGTGCACAGCTCAACCTTAAGAAATACAGAGTTATGCTCTACCTTGTAGAGGGGGATTATCTAGATAAATTAACAGAACATTTGTCTATTGTCTCTTACTTATATATTCATTCATTCATTTCAGTGGGCTGATGGATAGGGGTATAATCCAATACTATGTTATTTATTTTGTTGCTCAAATCATTCCAGCTATGGCCACTGGAAGCTCTTTCAGTTGCTCCCCATGTCCCTTTTTCATATCCCACCATATATTTTTGAATACTTCCTTACTTTCTGGCTCTATAAGATGCTCCAAGCTCATCTTGTATACTTCCTGCTCTGGTCCTAGAATCAGCCATTTCTAACATCATTAAAGAATGGTATTAGAAACCACAATGTGGGTGCTAGAATTAAATTGTTTTTTATCTATATAAAAAAAATTTCCCTAACACCTCAATTTTTTTTTTTTTTTTTGAGACGGAGTCTTGCTCTGTCACCAGGCTGGAGTGCAGTGGCACGCTCTTGGCTCACTGCAACCTCCGCCTCCCAGGTTCAAGCGATTCCCCTTCCTCAGCCTCCAGAGTGGCTGGGACTACACATGTGCACTGACACGCACGGCTAATTTTTTGTATTTTAGTAGAGATGGGGTTTCACCATATTGGCCAGGATGGTCTTGATCTCCTGACCTCGTGATCCACCCACCTTGGCCTCCCAAAGTGCTGGGATTACAGGCGTGAGCCACCATGCCCGGCCAAATACCTCAATTTTACAGATGAAGAAATTGAATCCTGGAGAAGTTCAGTAACTTGCTCAGGTTTCTTAGCTCAAAATGTCAGAACCAAACATCAAATCTGCACAAAATAAAGTTACCAATTTAAATCAATAGGCTATGAGTTCAGAACATGAATCACTGGAGTTTGGCATCAACTATTCTAGTTGCTCAAAGGTGTTTTGCTTACTCTAAGTACATAGACTGATGAAGAAAATAGGACATTATTACTAAGTCAACCTCTTTCATCAGGTAATTCACAAATTTCCAAAGCAAAAAAAAAAAGCAGTTTTCTTTAAAAAAAAAAAAGACAGCTGAAATTCTAAATTATGTGTATCACTCACTGTAATTACAGGAGATCAGTTCAAAAACTTATTTTTGCCTCTATTTCTTTCCCCTAAGACTGCAATACCCACAAATTGAACTAGACGTCTATTGCATTATTCTTTAGCAGTTTGAAAAATGCATTAAAAAATCACTCAATGCCTTCCAGGGTTAGTACAGAAGAGATCCACTAACAATTAAAAATAAAGTTCTGTGTATTTGATACGCAATAGAGACCTTATAGGGTTAGAATTTACTTTGAAGTTGGTAGTTTGTTGCTCAAAATGTACCTATGATTTGATGTCTTTCTATGTCAATCAATCTTACTGATATGAATTAAAATTTACTAGAACACATATCCACAAAGGATTTTTTAAAAATCAAGATTCCCTTTCTACTCATCTAGCACAAAACCTTACTAATCATCTAACTAGAACAATTTTCAAGATTAACTGTCATAAACATCCCTCAAGTTAGATTTATGGAGCAACTTCCCTTCATAAGACCAACCAGACATATTTTTTTAAAAGTTTAATAGAATCATAAAAAAATTCACCTAATTCAAATCTTTTATTTCATAGATAAAAAAACCAAAACTCTTGATAATTAAAAGTTATACTCAAAGTCAGCCGCTAGTTAACTTATGAAACAGGACTAAGTTCCATGAATCTTAAGGCCAGGATTTTTTCTCCTATGCTCAACTGGTTTATAGGATATACAATGAATAACATGTGTGTATACATATATGTATATAGGTGTGTGTGTGTATGTATGTATGTAGGTATATACACTATGCTAGTGAGATCATTTTTTGTTGAAGCATTTTTGAATTCCTCTCTATTGGTGAGGATGATGAAACAGGACTAAGTTCCATGAATCTTAGGCCTAGGTTTTTTTCTCCTATGCTCAACGGGCTTATAGAATATACAATGAATAACACGTGTGTATACACATATGTATACAGGTGTGTGTGTGTGTGTGTATGTACCTATCTATGCATATATGCTAGGCTAGTGAGAATTTTTTTGTTGAAGGACTTTTGAATTCCTCTCTATAGGTGAGGAATACAAGAACATGAAGAAAAATGGCATTCCTACTTCCCTATTACTCTGATTTCTTTTTCACTGAATTTGATTTCCGTGCCCAATTTGCAAACTGCATGTCTATTATGTACCGGCACTAGAGTTAGATGCTAAGGAAACAAAGGGGAAAAAAAAAAAAAAAAAGACATGGTCCCTGCCCTTAAAAAAGCTCTGAATTTTAAGTTCATGGTACCTTCCTAAAAGTCTCCTTTGCTGATTCTTCCTCATCTTGCAAATGCTAGAACAGTGCTGTCCAATAGAAATATAATGTGAGTCACAAATACGAGTCATATATGATTTAAAATGTTCTAACAGCTATATTAAACACAAGTATAAATATATTTAATTCAATATATCCAAAATATAATAATTTCAGCAAGTAATATAAAAATTATTAATGAGATATTTCCATTTTTTGCTAGGTAGTCTTCAAAATATGATGTGCAGTTTATCACTTCGGACACATCTCAGTTGAGACTAATCACATTTCAAGGGCTCAATAGCCACATGTGGCTAATGGCTACTGTACTGGATTGTGCAACCCTAGAAAATAGAATGTCTCAGGGCTCAGTCTTTGAACTGGTTCTTGTCTCTAGCTATGCCAACACTTTTGGGGATCTTAAAACAGTTTCATGGCTTTAAAACCATCTATATGTTAGTAATTCCCAAGTTTACATCTGGCCCAGACCTTTTTCCTGAACTTTAAATTAATATACAACTACTTGGACACAAATCTAACATGTCCCAATCTGAACTCTTGGCCTATAACAAACACCGCCTACCTAAATCTGTTTCTCTTCCAGACACTGCCATTTCAGTAAATGGCAATTCCATCCTTTCAGTTGCTCAGGGAAAAAGCCAGAGGCAAGCATGACTCCCTCTTTCTCATCCCATACACTTTCCACTACACTGCAGTGCTTCTCAAATACCAATGATATAATGTTATATGCCTTATAAGCCAACCAGTTATGCCCATTGCCCATTAGTCTCCCACCCCAAAAAATGAAGGAAAATAAAAGCATGTATCAAACAGTATACTGTAACTCAACATGACAATTTATATTTCAGGCAAGAAAGTTTATGAAGACACCACACAAAAAGGGGCAAAATGCCTATTTAGAATTGTCACAGGTATAAAGAATAGGGAGAAGAAATAAGTGTAAAATGGTTTATATTTCGTTTTCAAAAGCTAACAACTTATGGGGCTTACATGTCTTCAGAAATTTGGACAAACTTTATCATATCACTAATGAAAATGACATACCTCACGTTCCATGCAGTGGTAAAGTCTGGGTTTAGAAGCAGCAGGGTACATGTGACATCTATCAATTCTAAAATAAAGAGAAGTCATATTAAAAACAAATAGTCCTACCTTTTAAAGCTTGGCTTCTCATTCTTTTAAGGTTCTCTTTCTCTCTATCACATTATACTAATATATCTCTCATGTCATACTAACTTTAATGATAAATTCCCTCTTCTAAGCTGTCAAGGATATGAAGATTACTCTCAAGACCCTCTCCTGGTAAGTGTAACTCTCTTAAAAGATGACACAAACAATTTTATGATATGCCTATAAGGAATAATCTAATTAACCTCTTCCTTTTGGGTGCTTTTTGGTACTAATTTAATATTTACCGAGGAAAGAAACAAAATTTCTATGCCACTATTCATTTAACTTCACAAATATCTCAAGTATTGACGGTGTGTGCGAATTTTCAAAAGGAAAAAAATATCACTCAGAATCCAACCCACTTAACATAATTCATTTACATTCTCCTGCAAAAATTATCCTTTCTTGCACATATTTTTACATAGGTATAGCAATGATAAATGTACAACTTTGTTCTATATTTTTCACTAAGTATTATTTCATATGCATCCTCCTATATTGCTAGAGTATGTATTTTTAACAGTTGCATAACAATCCCTTAGTCCTATATACCATCAATTACCTTACTCTTTAGGCTGTTTCCTGTTTGTTTTTAACGTTATAGGTGATACTACTATAAACATTTTTAAAAACTTTTTGTCTTGTAGGCTATTTTCTTGGGCTATATTTCCTGAAGCAGAACTACTATGTCAAAACAACTTAAAAATCAGTATGACTCCTACTAAGCATTTCCAGATTGTCTTTAAAATAGACTGTATCTATTTATACTGGCAAAAGGAACATGAGTGTACTTATGTCCCTATAACTGACCTATATATATTTTTAAAAATGAATGTGACAGATAAAAAATTACAATTCATTTGTTTTAATTTACATTTGTTAATAGAAACATTTTCATTGTTTACTACATATAGTTCATCTTATGAACCAGCTATTCACATCCATTAGCTATTTATATTTATGACAGAATTCCTATACATTCAAATAAGCACCATAAGCCTCTATTTGAAAGAACAAAATTAGCAAAGTTTAGACATATTGTCTTTGTCTTACTAAAACTGAAAAGAATTTTAGGATTAAGGTTATCTATCTAGGGGCACAGTACTAAATTAAGGCAACCCTACCAAGCTCTTATTAAATGTCATGTAATAAAACAATACAAATAATTATTACCATTTATTTAGCATTACTGTGTATGAGGCATGGCAGTAAGCACTTTATTTTATATTATTTCACTAAATTCTCATAATCACAATCCAAAATATTCTTATCCCACTTTTCAGATAGGGAAACTGAAATTCTGCAATTTAAGCAATTTGCCCGTAGTCACCCAATTAGCATGTGGCAAAGTCAACATCAAAATTGTTTCCAACAAGTCAATTATGCTGCAAACAAAATGTCTGCCTACAATAATTGGGACATTTTCAGTGTTTAAGTAAAATATAAACTTTTTAATATCTAAGAGCAAATACACATAAACACATCCAATAGTCATTTAAAAATATTCTAGCTAACAATAAAATCAATTATTTTATTCTATCTTAATAGGAGATTAACATTTATTTGGGGCCCATGATTTCATTACTAGTGAGCATATTGGAATATTCAATTCAAATGAGCAACAAACAGTAGGATCAGTACACATTTATTTTGACCTCCAAGTCATTACATACATTACAACACAATATGCCTATGAAGAATAATTAACCTCTTCATTTTTTTACTTTTAGTAGTTTTTGGCACTAACTTAATGTTTATCAAGAAAAATAAATATAATATTCTATGTCACTATTCATTTAATTCCACAAATATTCCAAGTATTGACTATGGACAAAGATTAAAGTAGGCCCTTAGGACTGAGTGATTGAATGTAATGATAAACAAGACCTAATTTTGCCTCTAGGTTATCTTCAAGTTGGAGAGACTATATAAACAAATAATTATATAAGGCAAAATAATTATGAAGTAGAAACATAAACCACATTTTGGGGCCCACCAAAGAAGCTGCAATTAATTCTTAGTGGAATTATACATGGAAGACTGTAAATAAATAAAGTGGTCACGGCACCACCTTACCATACTGGAAAAAGTATGAGCAAAGATAAAAATGCATGGAACTTCACACATAGTCTGCTCTCTAAGAGATTATGGATACCAGAGCATGACTACAACACAAGGTACTGGTAAAATGTACCAGGAAGTGAAACCTTCTGAAACCTGGTCTCAATCTCCTGATCAGCTTGGCCTTCCATTACTTTCCTTTACATGTTACATTCCACCTGAGTCAAACTCCACTGTCCTATGAACACACGTCCTACCCGCCTACCTTCTTTTCTCGGAACATAATTCAGATTTACCTGCTTGCTATTCTTTCTGGCTCATGTCTTCCCGTCTCCTAATATTTAACAAAAAAAAAGTTTAAAGGCTTTCCTAACCTACCTAGTTGGAAAAAAATCTTTCATCTCTGCTTTTTTTTTTTTTTCTCTGAGACGGAGGCTCACTTTGTAGTACAAGTTGGAGTGCAGTGGTACAATCTTGGCTCACTGCAACCTCTGCCTCCTAGGCTCAAGCGATTCTCATGCCTCAGCCTCCCCAGTAGCTGGGACTACAGGCGCGTGCTACCATGCCCAGATAATTTTTTGTATTTTAGTAGAGACGGTGTTTCACCATGTTGCCCAGGGTGGTCTTGAACTCCCGAGCTCAGGTGATCCACCCGCCTCAGTCTCCCAAAGTGCTGGCATTACAGGTGTGAGCCACTGCACCTGGCCTCATCTGTTTTATGCGTATCTTACTTTTGTTACTTACATAAATATTGTCCTCTTAACTGGACCACAAATTTTTTGCACGCAGGTCCTCTCTAATACATGTTCAAATTATTCATTCACTCAACAAATTTTGTAAGCATCTACAATAAGCCAGGTACTGAGCTGGCTGAAGATGAGTAAGCACAGTCCCTGGCCAAAAGCAGCTCCATGTCTGACCACAGCACAGAGGAGTGGTAAGAGGATAGGCCTTCCTTAAAGCCATACTACCTGGGTTTGAATCCCAGCTTCTCCACTTACTACCTACATAACCTAACCTCTTGGAACCTCAGTGAAACAAGGACTCACTCAGTGAAACCTCAGTGAAACATCAACCTCATGGTGTTGTGAGCAATGAAATTCATTCCATTTCTCCACAGCTTTTTGACACACAGTGAGTACAATTAAACGCCATCACTGACTGACAAAGAAATGAGTATTTTCAACATAAGTAAGGAAGTCTGGAATAATGAGGAGGTTGTTCCTTTAGTAAAACTGTCTAAATTTCCAAACTTGTAAAATACGCAGCAATAACAAAAAACCCCTTTGTAGTCAAGTAGTTACATGGAAAGGTTTGTAAATGATGGGAAAGCCTCTGGAATTTCTTTTGACATCTACAATTTTCTAAAAAGTGATTATTCTACCTAGGTAAATTAGCATAGTCCCTTGGAATCTCCCTTTCTACATTAAAGAAAATGTGTCTGACCAATGGTAGCTGCTATTTGTTTGTACTTCTAACACAATTTCCTTCCTCCCTCCATCACAAGTGAAGACAAGAAGTCCATCCTCCATGAGAGACTTCTGTACAGCAGCACAAGGCAAAAACTAACACAGCAAGTACTTAAGTCCCCGCTTTTCATTTTATGGTTATGTGAAGATACAGGAAGACTTATCAAAGTAACACTTCCTCTACTGGCAGGTCTCTCCCTAAGAGAGCAACAGCAGCTACTGGGTTCAGACAGAGCCCAGCTCCATCACTTACTGGGAATTCTTGGGCAAATCACTTAATCTCTCTAGGCCTTAATGTCCTTCTCGTATGTAAGATGGAGCTATCATGGGTATATTAGATGATTAAATCCTTGAAGTGTTAGTACAGTCTCTGACATACAGTAAGGACTGAATGGTAATTCCTGTTACAAAGCCTGTATTTTCTAGTCCAGTTCCACAAATGATATTGGGACTGGATGCCTCCAGAGGGAGCAAAAGATCCTCCTAAGCTGGCTAAGCAGTGACTGCTGAGCAGAGGGATACTTTTTGACTTTTAAGAATCTTCGAATTTAAAACATCAACAGCCTTGACCACCATCGGTGGTACCTAGTAACATATACAACCATAGGCCCTTCTCTTCTCCTCTTTCACAAACTGCTAAAACTTCCTCATTCAGGACTCAGGCTCAGACAAGACTTCCTTCAGTAAATATTCCAGTCTGATATAAGAAGCTAGGGGTAAAGTGCAATGACAGAAATGAGAAAGGACTAGGAGAAGAAACTAGATTAGAAGTATCAGACATAATTAAAGAATCTGATCCTCACAACAACCCTCTGAGGTCTTGATTAGTATTTCCTTCTTTTGGTGTGGAAATAGGAAGAAAGAGGTTAAGTAATTTGCTAAGTCATTGCTAAGTGACTTCAGTGTGCTGACAAGTTCAGTTTAAATCCAGGTCTGCTGTCCTGCAAAGCAGATGCTCTTTCACTCTACCACACTACAGGCAATAACTTTGCCTTCTGCAGGTCAGGACTGAACCAAAGACCTGAAAAAGAACATGTATAATCAACGGTTGTAACTATTTGACTCTCTCAATTTCATCAACAATACGCCATTTCCTCTGCAGTTTCACCCAAAAGACATGAGCTACTGAAATCTCCACAGTCTCTTGAAATTAAACAGGTCTCTCTCCAAACAACAGAACATATACCAGCAAATAAATGTTCCTTTGTTACACACACTACAATATATGACTAACCCATCATCACGCCACAGGGAGAAAAAGAAATCAGGGCACATTATACATAGAAAAGTAGCTAAATTTCAGCTATAACAAGGAGAAGATAAAAGGATGCTACAGAAGTTGGAGAAAAATCAATATGCTTTTCTTGCTGCACTGCATTCTAGAAATGGCCCAAGGCCAGTAGTCACCTGGTAATGGTCACTGGATTTGACAACTGTCTCTAACAGAGAAAGGTTTTCGTGCATCTAGAAATAAATTCAAGGCCAACTTAAATCAGTAATTCTTTTCCTCCAAAATACATTCAGGTTACCACAAGAAGTGAAGCTTGAGTTAAAGCTATATGGTAAACACCAGAGAGGCCTTGTTTATTATAGTACACAGTCACAGAATCAATAGCTAGACTAAGCTAAAAACTCTTGCTTACAAACTCTTGTTACTCGTTTGACAAATGTCTGTTGAACATGTAAAGGTTCTGAGTAAATAAAAATGATCCACAATCCCTTTTCCTAATAAACTCACATTCCAGCCAGGAAAAAGGTTGTTTAATCAGCTAAAATACAGTGTGACAAGTGATACTATTATGCAAGCCATCTGAGTAAAGGGCTTCCATAAAAGAGCAGGGAATAATTATTGCTTCCTGAAGCAGTCAAAAAGGCTTCACAGTGTTAAGTGTGTGTATGTGTATGCACGTGCATGTGCTGGCAACCACACTGATAATGCCAACATTAAGACATGAGCCTGGCCTCAGCAAAGGCATGGAAGTAAGGCAGTAGTACACACAGAGTCAAAGAATGGAAGAATGCTGCTTGTGGCTGTAATGAACATATGTATCAAATAGCTGCTAACATAAATGTTTCTAGGGTTCAAATGAACCTCAAAAAAGTAGCAAAGGAAATTTGACAAGAAGTATCAACTAACACTCTGCCGCAGTGTCTCAAGAGCTTGAAAAGGCTGTGATAAACTGGAACAGACATGCCCAGTTACGAAGAGTAGAGGCTGTATGTCCCAGCCAACTATTGCCAGGTAGAAAGTTGTATACTCAACCAAGCCTTATGATTTTTCAAGTGAAGACAGAAATCAGATTTATCCAACTAATAAAAAGCAATTTTTAAGACATTATACAAGCCACACCAAAATGTATCTAGATTAGCTTCAGCCTGTGTGCTAAGAATCTGCAACCTCTGATGCTGAATATAAACTGGAGGAAAAACTGGGGACAGACTGTGAAGGCCCTTGAATACCATGCTAAGGAGTTTCGACTCTACGTTGACCCTGTGGGTATCATGAAATAAGATGAGCATATAATGTATTTCAGAAAAGCGTGGTCAAACTGTTTTTAAGAAATGCTGTTCAAGCGTGTCTGAAATGACTGGCTACTGGCATAATGGACATGGGTCACAAAAGAGCCTGGAAAAGGGGTAGACTGGTTATGAGGTAATAACATTTGTCTGGATGAGAAATAATGAAGGCCTGGTCAGCCAAAGAAATGGAGAGCAGAAGACAGCTTTTAAAGAGAGAGCTCAGATATAGACTAAGTGGGGGCTGTGAAAAAGAGAGAGGAGCAAGAAAAGATGGCAGGAGGGCACTCCTGAAGAGTTGCACCAGAGAGCTCTGTCCAGAAAGAACTCCAATGCTGTGGTCTTCCCTCCTGCTTCTTATATCTGTTATGGATTTCTCAAACATCAGAATTACAGAATCAGTCCTCTCCCAAACCGAATGTATTACTATCACAGACTTAAAAAAAAAAAAATCAATCTCTAACTAACTAACTAAACAGGGATAATTCCTAAACATCTAAGGAATTCAGCAGGTTAATGAAAACAAGAATTCAGTTTGGTTAGGAAGAAAAAATCTATCCCAGGAGTAAAGGTCACCTTCAGTTACAGAATACATTTTTAGGTGGATGCCTAGGATTCTTGCATGATCGATCACACAGACAGACATTCAGAAACTGTCACTTAAATTGTCATCTTTCTTCACTTGGGTCTTCTTATAAATATATATTCTCTATAACAAATAATTTTAAAGGTGTAGCATTTTCATGAAATAACTGCTTTTTCCTAACATTTTTGACATGTTTTTCTTAGCAAGATTCACCTCTGTGCTCTAATTGCTTCAGTTCTTAGGTTTGGCAGAATACTCTTTTATTTTCAGATATCTTTTTCTGTCAAACCCAAAATTCACTTTCTTATATTTACTGATAATACAATATATAACCTGAGTAGTATGTGACACCATACTAAATTATGCTATCCACCCCCCTCAAAATAGTCAAATTAAAAACTGCTTCCATGGGGATGTAGGTTAGGATCAAATCAAAAGCTGCTTTTGTACACATGCACGGTTGCAGCTGAATTCAAAGTTTAGATGCCAGCTATTCATGTGAGTGAGCTTAACCATTTAATATTCCGCAAGGTTCCTTATGAGCCTACTAAAACTAAAACTATGTGGTAAGAAGACACAGCAAAGCCTGCAATAGTGTCCAGAAGGACAAAAACAGAGAAATGGAGAGGACTTGGAAGACCACAGAAAGGGTAGGTTGAGCTAACATACATAAATGGGCAACTATAGCCTCTCACTTTTTAAAATTCAGTTTCTTTTCTATAAGATAATCATTCTATCCCCTAACTAAAGTTAGTTATACATTGGTTCGATTATGCATTTCTGTGCACCAGAATATAAACAGTACAGCTTTGTTTGGCAAAAAATAACT
The DNA here is from genome assembly GCF_000001405.40 of Homo sapiens. Classification (NCBI taxonomy): domain Eukaryota; kingdom Metazoa; phylum Chordata; class Mammalia; order Primates; family Hominidae; genus Homo; species Homo sapiens. The sequence continues at coordinate 69,749,380 of NC_000009.12, forward strand.
TGATGGAGTCATATGGTGTTACTTTTTACCTCAGTGTTACTGAAAACTACAGCACGGTGATGGAATGCAGAATTAAAGAGGGTCTAACAACAGATAAACTTGCTTACCTTTAAGTTTATCCCTAAACCCATGCCTTAAAGTGTATGCCATAAATTTGGGCTATGGCTAAACTTAGGCACAGCCTTCTAATAAGAAAATATATAACAAAGGACTGAGTGAAACAGTCACACAGAAAATAGAAAACACTGCTCATTAAACCTTCAGAGTCCCTTTCTATGGTATAAAAAGGGAAAAGTGTTATTAACCAATTAATGACAGTATGTTACAGATAGTGCTGACAGAAATTCAAGGAAATCAGTATGTCATACATTAGGCAACACTCTTCTGTACATCTCTCGCCCCCAAAGAGATTATCACTCAACTGTAAGCTTCCTGAATAAAGGGACCATGTATTTATTCATCTTTTTATCCCCCACAGTACTCAGGACAGCATCTGGTATGAGTAGACCCTTGGTAATGGCTACCAAACTGGCAACTAAAATTCTCTAGGAAACAAAGTTCTTATTCAAAATCAGCCTCCAGGCATATTGAGCGCTTTTGAAGGTACTGCCGTACATGGGAAGGGGAAGAAGCTTTACAAAAACAGTAAAGGACATGGTCTTAAATTAGTCTTCTCCCAAAAAGTGAGACCTGAGGTGGGCATACAATGATAAACAGAATTTGTGCACATGGAGGCTTAATATGGCAGAACACCAAGAAAAGAGACCAGATGGAATGATTAGGGATTGTCTGATGCAGTAAAAAAAAAAACTGTCTGAGAGAAATGGAAGAAGTGAATGCCGGATAGTTTTGTTTTGCTCATTTCAGCACAGGAACAGGATACAAACGGCCAGAGCTCAACTGGAACTTGCAGTGGAATGGCACATCCATAAATCACTGGGCTGGTTCATAATATCACTACCACTATCATGCCTACATTATCTCATTTGGACTACTATGAAAATGAGTTTTGCTGCCTATAAAAATACTAAAGGATTAGAAACCAGAGACTGAGCCTATAGGGACTAGAGTCTTCTTCAGTGACATTCAGATTTTTTTTTTTCCTTCAAATGAAATCTTACCAATGACCCCAATACATAAACTGATAAAATCTGAACTGCTCTGGTTACAGGAGGTGCCCTGAAATTCTGCTTGAGGGCTTCTATATAATCACTGTGGTTGTAAAATTTGTCCAGGTGAGTAGAAACTACTCACTTGACAGAAAGGTTAGCACCCACCGAGACAGTGAACAGAAGAAGCAGAACTAGAATCCAGGAATGCTGACACTCAGAGAAGGGCTCTTCCTACTATATTCCATGTCGCTTCTAAAAACCAAATGAAGAAAATATGATTCATACTTACCATCTCTGTTCAGCCATTGCTTTCTTGTTCTGTACAAAAGGAGCTTGTTGTGGACATATGGTAAAAGGAACTTGACACACCAGCTCTCCACACCCAGTTTGTTTTCAACCAGGACTATGGGACTCCGGTTATACCTAGCTTCAGGACATGGGATCAGGCCAATTTCATCTCTTAATATGTAAAACATAAAAAAGAATTAAAAATAAGGATACTAACCTTTTCAACATTTTTCTAATTTCAGAGTATTTTAAAAACCCCACATATTTCCCCCTTCCTTACAAATATTATTTAGCTCACTTACTGGGATTGGTAGATGCTAATAGTGGCAAGAGTATGAGAAAACCAGTATGCTGTACTCTCTGTAGACAGGAGTGAAAACTGGTCTTGCCTTTGGATGGCAACTTAAAAAAAAGTCTTTCAAAATTTTGAAGGAACATACCCTTTGATCCAGCAATTCAACTGCTCAGAAATTATCCTATGCCAAAATATGTGAATCAGATGTTCACTGCAATGTTGCAACAAAACTAGAAACAATCTAAATGTTTATCAATATAAGACTAGTAAAAAAAAAAGGCCCATCCACATAATCAAGCCATTAAAAAACAATGAGGTAGATCTGCATATGCTGACATAAAAAAAGTTGCCAAGATATATGAAATGAAAACAAAAAGCAAAATGCTGAACACAGTGTACAGCACAAATCCTTTTGTATAATTTCTTTAGAAGATATATAGATGCATTAAAAATTTTCTTGGAAGGATAACAAGAAATTTTTGGAGAGAGAAAGGTGGTAAGGAAGGATTTTATTTTTATACAGTTTCAATTATCTAATAATTGTATGTATTTCTATTTTTTTAATGTCAACAAATGTGTTTATGCTTGCTTGCTAATAAATGCATGTGGACCAGAAACAAAGTATCAAAAAACGTTATTTTATCAGTGAGATTTTGGGCCATTTTTTCTTCTTTATATTTTCCTGAATTAAAAAACCACCCAAATAAATGTTAAAACACAAAATACATTTCAGAATTCAATAATTTTCCTCTGTGGTAGCATCTATATCCCTCAATCCACCTCAACTTAAGCTGAAAATTTACATTAAAGGCAGAGATTTAATAAACAATATGTAGGGCATTTGACTTACTTAGTAAATGAACCAGCAAACGTAAAAAATTTGTGCAAAACACATTCACATGCCTTTCAACTCTAAAGGAAGTTATAATTCTTGCCTACACAAAGGATCCTTTCTCAAACAGAATGTCCTCTGTTTAATTAATGAATAACAAGAAACTTTTTAACAATAAGAGTAGTTGAAATAAATGTTTTTAGAGTGTCTATATAGATATTTTAAACATGTCTTTAAAAAGCAGAATAATGAACTGGTTTTCAGAGTTTGTGTGTGACATTATGTATTATGTCCCTGGCATCCCCTTACCAAGAACACAGTGGTTTGATAGACCCAAAAGAGGGAAATTGGTTGAATTACAAAGTAGGAGAAACACCCTGTCTTTTTGTTGGGCCACTATCACAAATTGGTAGGAGGCTGTGGATTTAAAATAAAACCCCTCCTGGAAACTAAACTGAATAGCTTAGAGGTAATCTACTTTCTACTGATCACTTCATTAGTGGCACAGGGATTTATCAATAAAAAGGATATCTTAGGGGTTGCAAGACACTAACAATTCTTTCAAGCTAATTTAACTCTCAAGAAGACTGTGGGATCTATGGGTTTTTATCCTTACAATTGGTTCCGTTGACTCAAAGGTGTTTTGATATACTATATCAATACTATCATAAGTTTTCTGATTAACTACAATGTACTGGGTGCTTTCTTAGGTTCTAAAATTCAAAAAGAATAAAGCAAAGTGGTCTCAGACTTCAAAGAGCTAAAGTCTTGCTGGGGATCTGTGTCAATATCCATAATAAAATGTTACCACTTTACTACTCCAATAATATAAACAAAGTCCTGTAGGAAGAATAAGGACAAAGCTGAAAGAGCACCTGAGGTCAATGCCCAGTATTTCAAAATATATTTTGTGCATCTCTATTTGGTAGTATCCTGAAATCTATCTAATTCATTATTATGACCCCTAGCCATATCTAGCTATACTTGACTAATATATGACTGAATCTCTGGTATTTTCTGATGTTTGTGTTTTACTACATGAAGAATATTAAAAAATAAAGTAAAACTAAATAAGTAAATAAACTCAATGTGATTATTTCAGGAAATTCTGTTCTCTGAGATATAATAACCTACTTACAACACTTCAAAGAACTGCAAGAGTCAACAATATAACTGTTATAGTAACAAGAATAAAAGAATCCTGTTTCTGGGTATGGTTTGTTTTTGGGGGGGATTTTTTTTTTAAACTTAAATTCACAATATAAAAACCTGTCTTGCTCACTAATTAAACTAGGATTAAAATGCCCAGCTAATAATTTGGTATCTAAACTACAGAAAAGAGCCATCTGCACAATTAAAAAACACACTGCTTTGACTGTCTGTTCTTTCAAGAAATACTTTATAAAATAAGAATGGCTTGGATATAGCAGGTGCCCAATAGCTGCTTCCTGAAAGGCTGATTATCCTGGTACTTTAGTGATAATATTCAAATTAATAGTTTTCACTTCTTGTCCCTCTAAAAGAACATTATCTCTGATTTTCTCCTAATAAAGTATACTGAAAACAGCATGTGTCCAAGTCCTGGATGGAAATAGATATATACACACACACATATACATACATATCAGTATCAGGTCATTTTGGCTTCTGTAGACTTCAGTTTCCTCATTTGTAAAATGGTAGAATTGTATTATACCTCCAGTAAGGCAAATGGGATAGATTTCACCCAGCTTTCAAATTTTATGACTGAGAAACCTAGCAGCTATTTTCATGTGAGGAGAATAAAAACAGTCTTAACAGATAATGTAGAGCACTAGGGGGAAAAACACATGAAGAGGTAGTAGGGTGTAAAGACAAAAGTACTTGATTGGAAGTCCAGAGTTCTAGTTAGTTTCCATTCTATCCACTGACAGGCAATGAGAATTCGGCAAGTCACTTGCCATCAGTATCCTCATCTGAAACACAGGAATAGTATCTTCCCTGCCTGTTATGGAAACCAAATAATGTCATGTGAAAATGTGGCAAACTATGAAGTGCTAGACAAAGATCCACCAGTAGAGTTCATTGGTTAATAATGGAAAGCCGAGGCAAAGAATTTAAGCCTTTGTCAAGTTATGTGACCCTAAGACACAGTGTTATGCTGCTTTCTAAAAAACATTACACATACTTTGTAAACATAGGTAGGTCAGTAAGCTTCCAAATAATAGTGTGTTTGACTTCAGACTTCTGTGTCTCATCCCTTAAGTCACAGTCCACTTTTTTCTAGCCAATTTCGAATAGGATTCCTTCCAAAATCATTTTAAAGTTGGAAGGGACTGCATTCCTCTGTCATTTCATCTGATGAGGAAACTGAGGTACAGTGAGGTTTATGAGGATTATCTAAGGTCATATTGCTAGTGGCTAAGTTAAGAATCTGGGCCTCCTAATACTTAGCCCCAAACCCCTGACACTAGAACAAAGAGCAAAACAGGATTTAGATCAATTCCTTCTATTTTTCTGGAAATTTAAGTTCTAATTCCATACTAAAGAAACACTGGAAAACTCAGGAAAAACAAAACAAAACAAAAAAAACCCTAAAAGTCACTTGTAATCCCTGTTTTGCTATTAACATGTTTGGGTATATATCTTTTTTTTTTTTTTTTTTTTTTTCCTGAGACAGGATCTTGCTCTGTCGTCCAGGCTGGAGTGAAGTGGTGCAATCCTCACTCACTGCAGCCTCCAACTCCTGGGCTCAAGAAATCCTCTCACCTCAGATCTCCTGAGTAGCTGGGACTACAGGTATGCACCACCATGCCCAGCTAATATATATATATATATTTTTTTTTTTTGGTAGAGATGTAGTCCCACTATGTTGACCAGGCTGGTCTCAAACTCCTGGCCTCAAGTGATCCTCCCACTGAGCCTCCCAAAGTGTTAGGATTACAGGTGTGAGTCACTGTGCCCAGCTGGGTATACATCCTTTTTTCCTGAGTATTTTCAAAAAGTGGGATCATATTGAACATATTCTATAATCCTTTATGGAAAAAAACTGAGCAATTCCCATTAAACATTTTCCCACATAATCAATTTTGATATTTTTAATGGTTGCAATGAATGTGCTATAAATATCAAACATATCTCTAGTTATTTCTTTACAAAATAGTCTTATGAGAGGAACTACTAATAAATTTCACTCTTTTACACTGTTAGGTTTCTGGCCATTTACATTCCTGGTATTTAACAAGGTATTCAATTACCTGCATAACTAAGAAGATCATAGGATTTTTAAAGATATGATGGTTTGGGACAGCAATCAAGTTCTAATGGTGCTCACTTTTTAGGTCACCTTCATCACAGACTGCTCCAAAGGCAGAGCAATGTGGAACGAACCAGCACATTTACTTAAGATCAAAGTATGATACATCTCTTTGAGCGCCTCACTTCACAATAGGGATCCATTCATTGGCTTCCAGATGATGTTCACAGTTCATGTAACACTGATACTGACTTTGTTCCTTATGTTTAGACAGCTTCTCTGTCTATACTTCTCAGAAACACCATCAACCAGAACAGAGCCACTTATTATCCACAAAAGTTGCATCAACCAGCTTACCTTCTGGGAGGGATGGATGGTACCCAAATACTCAAACTGAATCCTATAGTGTGGAGCAACCAAACAGAAAACAGTCCAAGGATTCAGGAAATGGTAAAAACATTTTAAATCTAAATAGTAGTTATTTTCATTTTGTTCTGCTCCCACCCCCCAAAAGAACTGGAATTCTTTCCAGCATGACCAAAAAGGAAAGCTAGTAAAATATATCTAAAGGAACTGACCGTTGCATATTGATAATTAAAATTCTCCTGGTGATTTAGATATTTCAGAAACCTTATAGGCTTTCTCATTAATTCCAAAGATTATCAACTTATGTTTCACTGAAATTATATTACTGACCTTATTTAGAAAAAGCTACACAAATTACTAGTGTTTATTGTTACTTGCCATGCACGGTTAGGTTTTACATATATTTTATTCTGCACAATAATCTCATAAAGTAGGAATTTTGACCCCATTTTACAGAGGAAGAGTCTTGTCTAAGTCTACTCAGTTAATAAACGACAAGCAAAGACTCAAATCCAGTTTGACAGCTTAGACTATCAAACTCTAAACTCAAATTTTTACAACTATACTACACTATTATTTAAATAAATAAAAATCAGGTATAAGAAGCCCAGTAGACTCTGGCTTTCTATTCTTCAGTTCACCTTGCAGACGATCTAAAATTGCCTTTCATCATTCTTTACTAAAAAATGTTCACTGGTGCCTACCCATTGCCTTAGAAGTGTACATCCTTGAGCCAGCTTTTCTTCACCCCTCATGTCTCACTCAGTTTAAATGCTATTGCCTCAGAAAGAACCTCTTGACCTTATAATCTAAATTGGGTCTCCCTGTTTTTATTCTAAGTACCCTTCTTACTTTTTATGACTCTTTTCATAATCTGTATGTTGACTGATTAAAGTTCCATTAGGATAGGGACCATGTGTGGTTTGTTCATTAAACCACCCAGTTTTTAACCCTGTATACCCAGAGACCAGCATTGTGCCTGTCAAATGGAGGTACTCTTTTGCAGAATGTATGAATGGAATGAAAGAAATTAAATGAGAGTCAAGGATCTCCATAATCTGGCCCTACTGTACCTTCTCAGCCACACTTTGCTTGTTTAGGTCAATTCACTGCTCCCTGTGGAGGTCTCTGGCTCCCTCTGAGACTACAAATCCTACCCAGACTTTAATACTTGGCTTAAAACCCACCTCCACTAGCACCCCTATCCGAGACATAACCAGCCTCCTCTCCACTTCTATTAGACTCCCATAGCACTTGCTCATCATGCTCCTATCCAACTTTTACTATAAACTACTTTGGAGGGTTAATTTACTGTTCATGCAGTTAGTCTTAGGTCTCATCTACACCTGCACTATGCATCACAGTAGTCACTAGGCACATGGAGCCACTACGTACAAATCCATTTAAATTAAATAAAATTTAAAATGTGGTCCCTGTTCATATTAGGGACACTTCAATTGCTCAATAGCTACTATGGCTAGTGGCTACCATATGGAACAGCACAGACACAGAAAATTTCCACCATTACAGAAATTTCTGTTAGTGCCTTGGGTTCAAGAACTGTATTTTAAACTTCTATTTCACACAGTAAAGATGGTACCCACAACACTTCATAAACAGTGAGTTCAATATTTAATAGAAAAAACAATAACTTGCTGGATAAGATTAATTTTAACGTGACTGTTTACATTATAAACTGTTGTCTTCTACATTAGCACAGGGTCCATACACTAAGTTAAAGACTATCCCTAGGTCAAGTTTTCAGTTTTAGAGAATCCAATATGATTATCTAATACTCAACCATACAAACAGCATTTATATAGTATTATCCAGGTTTATAAAGTGCTTCATATTCACCAATCATTTGTCCAATATATTTTTGGTGAGGAACACAGAGATTCAGGGAAGGTCTAATATTTATTGAGTGGCAACTAAGTACCACTGTGTGAGGTGATTTTCCTGTTTTCATCAGCCTCACAAGATCAAGAGGAAACTGAGGCTGAGAGAAGGTACCTATTCACATCATACAGTAACAAAATCCACATCTCACCACTGCATCCTCAACTCCTTCTGGCTAAATATTTCTACATAAACAAAGTCAATGTATTTAATGAAGTAGATGTTGGCCAATAAAATTACAACCGATCTTAAGTTTGGACAAGAAAAACAAAAAAATTTTTGTATAATACTGAAAGTGTAATTAGATACAGTAAAGTTAGATACAAACGTTACAGATAAACAATGCCTTAAAAAAAAAAAAAGAAACACAGCCTCTTTATTTTGGGAGTAAATGGGCTAAATTAAGGGAAGAAAGCGCAGGCAATTTTTAAAAGCCCAAATTATAAGGCACTTACAAAGATGCATAGTAATATTATTGAAAATAGTTTTACTGTGGGGAATATGTATTCAAATATAGCTGATGACTAGTCTTAAACAATGAGTTAAGCTATTTAAATGTTTAAGACCTATATTACAAATCATTACATTATTCCGAATATCCAACTTATCTCAAAGTTTTAAATCTCGAATGACCCAAATCCTTATTACTAATAAATTATACATTGAGGATATATTAATGAGGTTTTACAGTAGAAAAAGGATTAGGGAGGGGCATTAAAGTCCTTTAAGAGTTTCCATAAATGTGATCCACAAGAACTGGGACATGTTCCAAACTGCACTGTGTTAAAAACTGCCAAGCCAATGAACATTCAATCTTGGTTTCTTCAAATATAATGATGCTCTTTTAGTCTACCTCAAAGAAGAGAACATAAGATGATTACGACATTTTGTATTAGATTTCTAATCTCTGCTGTAATTTCTTCTAGAAAAATACCAGTGATGAGAAAATACACTCTTCATTTGTCCAACTTTTTTTTTTTTTGAGGTCGTCTCTTACTTGCACTAAGGCTCCCATTCTCAAAAAGAAATCGAAAGACTGATATACAGCAAGGCATCAAAGCATTCTTTAGAAGGCTCAGCAACCACTATGGATACTGCCAGGAAATCATTCCAAACACTCTCATTTTGAAAAAGGCAGCAGTCATAAGGGGGAGGGAAGTGGATGCTGTCAGAGGTGGCAGGTGTGTTTTGAGGCCAGCAGTGTTTTGTTTTTAATGTGGCACAGTTGCACGTCTCCAATTGTGTGCCACAAGGGAGCAAAACATCCAACGGCTTCTTAACTGTTTTACAATCATCACCTTGGAGGAAAAGAACACTTTGGTAAGATACACGTTTGGCAACTTTTTTAGGCAGAAAAGCTGAACCGGTTAGAATACTTAAAAAAAAAAATCATGAGCTCCAGTCTAAAGAATAAAATAAAAATAAATTAAATAATAATAAAAAATAATAAACTAAAAAAAAAAAAAATAAACTCCAAAAACAACTAGCTAAAATGAAAGTAATGCAGAACTGGATGCCATGTTTCTTTTCTTTGAGGAGGAAGAGGTATGGGAAAGGAGGTACATTGTTGCTTCTTCCCTACACCTTTGTATAATGTAGATCTCTCTCTCTCTCTCAATAGCTTTCTTTTCACTTGTTACATAAAAGCAAAGTGTTACAAAAAGTAGACTCTTGCGGTATCTTCCCACAGTACTTCAAGTAAAATGGAAGAGATACATATGTCAGTTCTGCAGTGTCCCGTTAAAGAGGGCAGCAGTGTTGGGATAAAAATGAGTTAACATGCTCCTTGTAACTATGAATCCGCTTATGCTAAAAAGTATCAAGGTTTCATTTGCTTTATCCCAGACTCCACACTGCGCCCACAGAAGCTTCTCTTGAGAATGTTCTGTTCACCTTTCAAAACACAATGTATTATCGGAGTCACTTTACAATTTTGTGGCAAGTAAGGCTAAAGTCAAAAGCAGCCTCAAACCACCTTTAGTTAGTAAACTGAGGGGTTTGAGGCTCATTAAAAGTAAGAGGATCGGTTACCCCCTCTTGCCAACGTCCGGGATGAATCTCAAGAGTTGTGTTTACAAGGCATACACGGACCCACATCGTTGTGTGCGCCCGAGTACCTTAAACACAGGAAGGATGTCGACCTACGGGGGACGTCTCTGGAGTTTCGTGAACTCCTATGAAAAGGTGGGGAGGGACAGAGAAAGTAGTTCCGTTTTGATTTTTTGAGGTCACTTCTAGGGACTCGACCGCGAGCGCGTCCCGGTAGCGGAAAGCCGGGCCAGCGGCGGCCGACAACGGTCCCGCCCGACACGGCTCTGCCTCCTCCCTAGAAGGGCTCGTGGGCCAGGACCCGCTGTCCGCCCGCCGCCCGAGGTCGGGTGGACGCTTGGCCCCGCCCCCGCCCGCTCCCGACGACCCTCGGAGGCGGCGGAGGCGCGCGACTCACATGTGTGGGTTCCTCCTGAAGGCGTTAGTGATGTCCTTCACAACCCGCTGCACCAGCACCGCCACCTCCTCGCTGGTCTCGGCCATGTTGGCGGCGGCCGCGACAGTTCGGGCGCGCCTCCGCGTGAGCCGGGCCGCCGGCGGGAGTTCCGCGGAGAACGAGCGCGCGCGCGCGCGCGCGGGTGCTTCGGCTAGGCCGCGTCCCCGCCGCCGCGGCCGCCGCCGAGCACTTCCGGGTCAGCCAGTTGGCGGCCTGGGCGTGGCGTTAGCTAGGGTTGGTGGCCTTCCAGTGAGTGGAGAAGTTCGCCTCCGCGCGGGTAACGGACTTTCTAAGCGTCAGAGAAGATGCTGGACATTTGTTTGCAAAGTTCTCTCAGGCCTCCGATTTTCTTATTTTAAGTTTTAGGCGAAACCTCAAGACACACTCCCAGAGAGTCAGACACCTTCCTGAACCCCCCCAGCAAGGTCCCCGGGCATTCCTGAAGGAATGTTCAACTGAGGATGCAGGGCCTCTTAACAGTTAGTCCCGGGCGTTTTTCAGAGCTTGTCTGCTTTATTTTCCCAGCCTGAGAGATGAAGAGGTCCAGAGGCATTGCGGCGGAGCGAGTCCCTATTTGACCGTGTTGGTGACCTCCTTTCTAACTGTGCCAATTTTTGTCTCTGAACTTGAAAGCAGCCTTTTTAAAAAACATTAATTAAAATTCTTAAATTTATTAAAGGAAGAGAAAGGAAAGTGAAGGAAAAGTTATTTGCCATCTGTATGTAGGAAGTAGAAGTGAAATCGTTTTTAGATTTTTCGACTTCATTTTGTACTGCATTTGGTAGCCTTTGCGTCAATTTTGGAATTTAAAAAAAAGGATCAAGGCTCTGACAGGGTTTGTTCATAATAGCAAAAATAAATTTTTGTAGGAAAAACGAGCTTTCTAGTTTATTTAGGATTTTGAAATGCCATAACTAAAATTTTTGTGTATCAGGTTTTCTTTTGCACCTCTGGTAGAAAAATCTGGCTGCCCTTGGTTCAGTTTTATTCTTCCACCCTTGAAATCTGGCCAGGTGCGGTGGCTCACGCCTGTAATCCCAGCACTTTGGGGGGCCAAGGCGGGCGGATCACAAGGTCAGGAGATCGAGACCATCCTGGCTAACACGGTGAAACCCCGTCTCTACTAAAAATACAAAAAAAAAAAAAAAAAAAAAAAAGCCGGGCGTGGTGGCGGGCGCCTGTAATCCCAGCTACTCCCCACTGCACTCCAGCCTGGGCGACAGAGCGAGACTCCGTCTTTAAAAAAAGGCCGGGCGCGGTGGCTCACGCCTGTAATCCCAGCACCTTGGGAGGCCGAGGCGGGTGGATCATGAGGTCAGGAGATCGAGACCATCCTGGCTAACAAGGTGAAACCCCGTCTCTACTAAAAATACAAAAAATTAGCTGGGCGCGGTGGCGGGCGCCTGTAGTCCCAGCTACTCGGGAGGCTGAGGCAGGAGAATGGCGTGAACCCGGGAAGCGGAGCTTGCAGTGAGCCGAGATTGCGCCACTGCAGTCCGCAGTCCGGCCTGGGCGACAGAGCGAGACTCTGTCTCAAAAAAAAAAAAAAAGAAATCTGTATCTTTAAAAAGCTATTAAAAAAATAAACTCATGGTGTGTTTAATGTGAACATATGCGGAGCGTTTGAAGTAGTTTTTATGATTGTAAAAGTAAAAGCTATCTATTGCATGTAAAGTGAATGAGAAATATAAACGAAAAATATAAATTTACTATACTCAGTGGCCAGTATTTCCTGTGGGTATGTTTATAAAGGCTGGAGTTAGCCTTCTGGTTGTAAAAGAAGTGAGATAGGACCGGGCACGGTGGCTTACACCTGTAATCCCAGCACTTTGGGAGGCAGAGGCGGAAGGATCACGAGGTCAGGAGTTCGAGACCATCGTGGCCAAGACAGTGAAACGCCGTCTCTACTAAAAATATAAAATTAGCTGGGCGTGGTGGCACGTGCTTGTAATCCCAGCTACTTGGGAGGCTGAGGCAGGAGAAGCGCTTGAACGCGGAAGTAGGAGGTTGCAGTGAGTGGAGATCGCGCCACTGCCCTCCAGCCTGGCGACAGAGCAAGACTCCATCTAAAAAAAAAAAAAAAGAAGTGAGATAGAAGTTTCACAAAATTGTAGCCAGCAAGGTGGGACAGGATTAAGAATTAGTAAAGTCGGCCGGGCACGGTGTCTCACGCCTGTAATCCCAGCACTTTGGGAGGCCGAGGCGGGTGGATACCTGAGATCAGGAGTTTGAGACCAGCCTGGCCAACAGGGTGAAACCCCGTCTCTACTTAAAATACAAAATTAGCTGGGCGTCGTGGTGCATGCCTGTAGCTCCAGCTACTTGGGAGGCTGAGGCAGGAGAATCGCTTGAACCCGGGAGACGCACGTTGCAGTAAGCCAAGACTGTGCCCTGCACTCCAGCCTGGGCAACAAAAGCGAAATGCCATCTCAAAAAAAAAAAAAAAAAAAAAAGAAAGAAAAAAAAAGAGTTAGTAAAATCAATCAAAATTTAACCGATAACAAGTTCTGGAGTGAAGCAGTGAAAAGAGTGGAATGTGTGTTTAGATTTCAAGGCAAAAGACAACTTTAAATATCCTGATTAAGAATGTAAGACCAGTTCTTAAATTAAAATTCTTAAACTTAGTAAGTTTTCTTAATCAGGACCTTGCATCCTAATGGCAGTGGGAAATAAATCCCAATTTCTGGAGGCAGAGATCAAAGCAGCACACTCAGAAATAATGATTTTCCCCGAAAGGCTTTATTTAACAGGGAAAAAAGAAAACTTTGTCCCCAAATTTTGATGTAAAACAGCTATTTCAGAAACAGAATTCCTCTGTATGATTCTGTGTATGCCCTCTCCACATGCAACCTCTTTATAGTCATTTGAAAGGCATGCATTGTATCTTGTTTCCTCTAAGAATTCACAAATTGTTTTACCCCAATTATTAAGAATCTACTATGTTTAGAACTTGTTTTTTTTTTTAGAATTGGAGCATAATTAGAACTCTGAGCCAACTCTCTAATTTTACAGATAAGAAAACAGAAGTCCAAAGGATTTAAGATTTGAAATTCATAAATCCTCAATAATGATATATATGTATACAAGAATAGGGCATAATAAATTCAGCGTGATTTTGTCGAAGGACTACAAGATTTATGTTCATTTATTGATAATAAAATACAGTAAATAACTTAAATGCCCAATGAGAGGGGATTGATTAAATTATAAATTTATATGGTAAGATGCTATTTAGTATTTGAAAATGTAGGGGTGGGTTGCCCCTACACACTTGTGGGTGTTTCTCGTAAGGTGGGACGAGAGATTTGGAAAAGAAAAAGACACAGAGACAAAGTATAGAGAAAGAAATAAGGGGACCCGGGGAACCAGCGTTCAGCATATGGAGGATCCCGCCAGCCTCTGAGTTCCCTTAGTATTTATTGATCATCTGTGGGTGTTTCTCAAAGAGGGGGATGTGTCAGGGTCACAAGACAATTGTGGGGAGAGGGTCAGCAGACAAACACGTGAACAAAGGTCTTTGCATCATAGACAATGTAAAGGATTAAGTGCTGTGCTTTTAGATATGCATACACATAAACATCTCAATGCTTTACAAAGCAGTATTGCTGCCCGCAGGTCCCACCTCCAGCCCTAAGGCAGTTTTTCCCTATCTCAGTAGATGCAGCATACAATCGGGTTTTATACCGAGACATTCCATTGCCCAGGGACAGGCAGGAGACAGATGCCTTCCTCTTGTCTCAACTGCAAGAGGCATTCCTTCCTCTTTTACTAATCCTCCTCAGCACAGACCCTTTACGGGTGTCGGGCTGGGGGACGGTCAGGTCTTTCCCTTCCCACGAGGCCATATTTCAGACTATCACATGGGGAGAAACCTTGGACAATACCTGGCTTTCCTAGGCAGAGGTCCCTGCGGACTTCCGCAGTTTTTGTGTCCCTGGGTACTTGAGATTAGGGAGTGGTGATGACTCTTAACGAGCATGCTGCCTTCAAGCATCTGTTTAACAAAGCACATCTTGCACCGCCCTTAATCCATTCAACTCTGAGTTGACACAGCACATGTTTCAGAGAGCACGGGGTTGGGGGTAAGGTTATAGATTAACAGGATCTCAAGGCAGAAGAATTTCTCCTAGTACATAACAAAATGGAGTCTCCTATGTCTACTTCTTTCTACACAGACACAGTAACAATCTGATCTCTCTTGCTTTTCCCCACATGAAAATCACATTATAACTAGAGGAATATATACCAAAGTGTTAGAGGTATTTTCATAGGACAATTTGACTATGTAATGTAAAGAGCAAAGTAACATTTGTAATTTAAGAATTTTTTTTTTTTTGAGACGGATTCTCACTCTGTCGTGCAGGCTGCAGTGCAGTGGTACAGGTTCAAGCGATTCTCCTGTGTCAGCCTCCTGAGTAGCTGGTATTACAGACACACGCCACCACACCTGGCTAATTTTTCTATTTTTAGTAGAGACTGGGTTTCACCATGTTGGCCAGGCTGGTCTCGAATTCCTGACCTCAACTCCTGACCACCCACCTCGGCCTCCCAAAGTGCTGGGATTACAGGCTTGAGCCACTGCACCTGGCCTAAGAAAAGTTTTTTAAATTATATATTAATAAGGAGCTGATATATTTGTTTGTTAATTAGCCAAATATATTATGTGCATACTAATTTTCTTACAGATATATTGATTTTTTTAAGTGACCATGTCTATTATTATCATTTACATGGTTGTGAATATATTTTGACAATCTTCCTACCCACTCCCAAAAACCACACGTTTCTTATTTTAGAAGACTAATTGATGATAGAGGAAAATGTGGATATGTAATGACCAAAACAAGTACCAAATACAAATACAATACAATATAATCCTAATTTCATATATACCATACAAATTGTATGTAATATAGATATAATTGTACATATATATAAAATAGATGGGGGGATACAAACTAAAATGTTAACAATGATTATCTCTGTATGATAGAATTGAGATAATTAAGACCAATAAATACATATTCTTTATACGTTTCTGGATGTCCCAAAGTTTTACAATGAAAAACCTAATGTATGTCTTGAGGACCCTGGAGGGAACGAGGACAGCGAGGTAGTTTTAGTGACTTTTGTGAAGAAATGAAGATGCCTTGTCATCCATTTCCATCTTTGCTTTGTATTATGCCGCTTACATTACTGACATGTTGTTTATTACTCCATTTATTTTTATTTGAATCTCATTTTCTGATAACATTTTACAATATAGAATTCAAATAGTACTAAATATGTTCTACCATGTGCTAGCTATTATTACGGAAAGAACAGTCTTATTTCCTCCATTACAAAAATTAAGTAGCCAAATGGGGAGGCACACTTCTGTAGTCCTAGCTACTCTGGAGGCTGAGAGGATTGCTTGAATCCAGGAGTGTGAAGATCAGCCAGAGCAACATAGTGAGACCTCATCTCAAAAAAATTAATGCCCAATTTTGAATGGCTTATTATATTGTCATTGTGGTTACCTATATCTTAAATTTTGCCAGACCTCAGCCCTATCCACTATCTTAAAATCTAAAATTTAAAAACTTACTAGCAAAGAAATAGTAGAAGGGTAACAAAATATTAACCAAGAAGCCACAATATTGATGTGTTTTATGAATTCTTAAGAAAAATCAACAGGAATGATGCCCATCTTTAAAATTTTTATTAGGCTGGGCGCGGTGGCTCACGCCTGTAGTCCCAGCGCTTTGGGAGTCCGAGGCGGGCAGATCACGAGGTGAGAAGATCAAGACCATCCTGGCCAACATTCTGCTAAAAATACAAAAAATTAGCCGGGCATGGTGGCAGACGCTTGTAGTCCCAGCTACTCGGGAGACTGAGGCAGGAGAATGGCGTGAACCGGTGAGGCGGAGCTTGCAGTGAGCCGAGATCTTACCGTGCCACTGCACTCCAGCCTGGGTGACAGAGTGAGACTCAGTCTCTCAAAAAAAAAAAAAAAAAAAAGTATTAAAGATTATTTCAAGAAAAGGAATAGAACTTAATAAATATACTTTAAAAGATATGTACATTAAACTTAAGATATTTGTATACTCTTTGCCTTGGTGTGTTGGTTTATTTCCCCAAGTATGACTTACTATATATTCAAGAACTGTTTAAAAATATACAAAACCACCCATGCATGGTAGTGCATCTATTGTTATTAGTTGATATTTCTAGCTCTTCATTATTCCAGTTGTTGGGATAAAAATGAGAAAATACATGTGATAGCATCTTTAAACTGAGAAGCACTGTTCAAGTTATTTATTTCTATGAATAAAAGTGTCATTACTAGTAAATCCATATTAAAACATAATAGTAAACTAAGGCTAAGCTAGATAATTTCAATATGAAACTTGTTTAACACTTTTAAAGAGAATTGGTATACTGCAATTATAATTAATCTAGTTAAAGCATGAACGTTTTCTGTGCTGACAAAGTGTGTAAATGTTATCAAGTTGATAATAATGAAGATGACTTTAAATGACCAGTTTATGCTGATATTAGAACCCATGAAAATACAGGAATAAGGATATTAGTTACATAAATGGTTTTCGTTGCTGAGTAAGTGATGTTTTATTTTATTTGATAGTTCCAAAATATCATCCTTTTCCTTTGCCCTGTTCATCCTTCCTACCACAGAGGCCCAGGAGACTCATTATGTAATCTTTAGAAAAGAACAGAAGAAAATGTCTAGAGAGAAAGCGCCATTCCAGGATCTGCATATAGAAACAGCTAAGGAGATGGGTATCTCTCAATCATGCAATTAGTTTCTCATGTACAGTACTGAAGATGTCAGATTGTCATAAGAATTTTCTTAGTAATAAAGCCTTTTAATGGATGACTAAATTTTTAAAGTATACAAATATAAGTACATCCTTAAGTTTTTTTCTGCTTATTTTTCAGTGTAACTGTGACAGAGGTGAAAGCCATAGACAGGTTCAAACATAACTGGAAATTTAGAAAGGGAGTAGGAACTTCATTTTGGCCACAGTAGAGGTTCAGTCTGAAACCTCTTCAGTAACTATCTAAAAGTAAGACAAGGCTATACCTCCTTTCATCTCCCTTCTAAAGTTAATTTTTCCATTCAGAAATTTCCTAATATACCTTATATCTCAGTTTCTTTCTGTTTCTATGTTTTAAGCTATGTCTGAGACACATCAAAATTATTAACACCAGGCCAACATTACCCATAGGAAATGATGAGCTTTTTTTGTTATTTGATTTATGCTCTTAATTTGCGGAATAATATTTATAGAGACTGATAGTGTGAATTTTAGGAAGGAATGTCAAATAATAAGTCTCCAAATGATGGCTTCTGACTTTAAGCACTTTAATTTCTATGGTAAGTCCTCTGAGTCATCAGTGTGCAAAAAGGACAGTACAAAAGATAATCTCTTTGGTTTGTAGGAGGAAGAGGCTAAATACTATCCCTGAGAGGACAAGACGCCAAACAATTTGATTTATTCCATAAATTTTAATGAGTGATACTGTGTATTAGACATTGTGCTAGCTGCTGGGTATTCAATGGTGAGAGAAACAGAAATGGTTCATGCCTTCTGTGGGACTTACAGTCTGATAGAAGAGATAAACAATATTCAAGTAAACAGACAAATATCTAATGAAAAATTGTAATAAATGGCACAAAAGGAGAAAGCAGGGTACCATGGTAGATGATAAAAGTGTCAGGGTAAGGACATAGCTTTGGATGCTGTAGTCAGAGAAGCCTGCTCTGGGTGGTGATGTTTAAGCTGAAACCTAAAAGATGAGAAGAAACCAGCCCTGTGAAAAGCAGGGAAAGAACCTCACTGGCGATGAAACATTAGGGTGAAGGCCTAAGAACAGAAGAGCTAACAGCATGTCTGAGGAATTGAAAGAAGGCCAAATTAATAACTTTTACCAACCTTACAGCGTTTGTAAAGTGATTTCAGATTCAGGATGGTGGTTACCCAAATGACAACAATGAAAGTGACTGCCTAGTTCCAATTTTTTTCCATTCTGTATACTCTGTGTTCTTTATTGTACTACACTGAACAGTTTTCTGGGCTGAATGTTAAATATGTTTGCAGAATAAAAACTTATGTATTATGAAGTATATAGTTAAGGTCCTGTCAGGAAAACAAGTCATACTCTGTATTCTAAGTAAGAAGGGTTTAATATAAGTCATTTGAGGCTTACATACCTGTTGGAAGGGTGAGGTAACAAGTCAGGGGAACCGTCATCAAATATCTCAGTCTTCAGCAATAAAACAGGGGACTATACCTTGTCCAGAAGCTACTTCAAGTCTCAAGAACCTCTAGGAAGCTCCTACCAGCCTTTTTATGGCACCTACTCAAGTGTTTCTCAAGAAACTCATCTGGAAGGGTGTCAGACCTCATGCTGGCTCTCTGTACATGCTTCTCCTTGCAACTGTCCCTGGAGAATAATGGTCTCTTCTTTCTGCTTTCCAAATCTTGTGTTCTTACTAGCAAACTCTGCTATGTTATGAAGGAGAATTTAGAAAGGGGTAATGATAATGCCTGGGTGACAATCCCAAGTTGCCAACAGACAATTCAGTACAGTTCACTCATTTTGCTTTGGTGAGTGAAAAAAATTGTGAGGTTCATTAGGGGTAATGGTAAGAGAAGCCACTGGCCCTTGGTCCCTGGATACATGTATTCTAGGTATGGAAAATATGACATAATGCACTGGATGGTGCTTCAGATTGCATATCGATCTTGTAAGACAGCACCACAACCCACATTGTGCTGCCCAATCTAGCACTGTATTTGAGACTTCAGTAGGTCATTCTGCTGCCTAATTAAGTAAACTGCTTTAGAATGGTGGGGTATGTTATGGTCAGTGAATCCCATGGGTATGAACCCTATTCCTGTGCTCCTTTTGTTTTAAAATGAGTTCATTGGTCAAAAATTAGGTATGCTAGTTATGTATTGTTGTGTAACAAATAAACCTCAAGCTTAGTGGCTTAAAACAATATTATTATTTCTGGCAGTTCTGTGGATTGACTGGGACCAACTGGGCAGTTGTTGGTTAGTGTCATGCAGTTACAGAAAGATAATGGCTGGGGCTGAAGTCATCAAAAGCCTTGACTGGCCTAGATGTCTGATTGTTTCTTTACTCACATGTCTGGTGCCGTGGTGCTTCTTGTTCTCTCTTTTCAACTGGCATCTCATGCTCCAGGGCTTTTCAGTGCATAGTGAGCTCAGGAAATTATACACAGCAGCTAACTTCCAAGAGGCAGGAAATGAGAGCTCAGGTTGGTTAAGGGTACAGCATCAATTTTGCAATATCAAAATGGTCAAAGCGGTCACAGTACTTCCCCAGAATCAAGGGGATGGAGGAAGTCCCATGGGATAGTGTGAAGGTCACATTGCAGAAGAGAATACGGGATAGAAGGTGGTGCTTTGCCTGTCTTGAAAAGAAAACCTATCATGTGTTAATTGGGGTACTGTATTAGGCTGTTCCTGCATTGCTGAAAAGGAATACCTGAGGCTGGGTAATTTATAAAGGAAAGAGGTTTAATTCACTCATGATTCCACAGGCTTTACAGGAAGCATGATGCTGGCATCTGCTTGGTGTCTGGGGAGGCCCCAGGGAGCTTACGATCATGGAGAAGGCAAAAATGGAGCAGGTGTCTTACGTGGTGAGAGTGGGAGTAAGAGAGAAAAGGGGGAGGTTCCACACACTTCTAAACAACCAGATCTCATGTGAACTCAGAGCTACAGTTCCCTAATGAAGGGGATAGCACCAAACCATTCATGAGGGATCTGTCTCCCATGATCCAAACAACTCCCACCAGGCTCCACCGCCAACACTGGAGACCACATTTCTTTTTTAAAAAAACTGTTTTTATTTTTATTTTTTCTGAATACATAGTAGTTATATGTATATATTAATGAGGTAGGAAATGACATTTCAACATGAGATTTAAAGGGCACACATATCCAAACCATATCAGGTATCATGACTGTAAACAAGGCATTCAGTATATCTATGGATAGTGATGAAGAAACTGGGGCAGGAAAACGTCAAATTGCTGTCCTGATGATGGAAGAATCCATTGTAAACAACCTGCCATCAGGTAGCTTGTCGGTTACTTTTGGTCCCTGTTGTTGAAAGCTTGGGCACCTAGCAATGACTCTAACAAGATCAGCTTTGCATGGGGGTTGGAGGGGGAATAAAACCTGCATTATTGCGCATAGGTATAATCTCTATGGCCACTATCATCATGAGCCCATAAAGCAAACATTGTCATGGCTAGGGAAAGAGGCTGAGTATCAGCCGTCGAATAGAACACTTTGTCCTGATTATTGAACATTTTCTGCAATGGATGGCCTTTTTTGAGCATTCATATGGAACACAAATAACACCAGAATCTATGCCTATTCAGAGAGGTCTCTCCTCATACCTCTTCCCCAAACTTCTTTATCATCAATTACCAAATTTTGCTAATTCCTGTATAATTAGTTCATACATTGTATTAGTCAGGGTTCTCTTAGAGGGAGAGAACTAATAGGATATATTATATCCTATAGGATATAATATATCCTATTAATATATATATATACTGAGAGAGACAGGAGTTTATTAAGTATTAACTTACATGATCGCAAGCTCCCATAATAGGCTGTCTGAAGCTGAGGAGAAAGGAAGCCAGTCTGAGTCCCAAAACTGAAGAATTTGGAGTCCGATGTTCAAGGGCAAGAAGCACCCAGCACAGGAGAAAGATGTAGACTAGGAGGCTAGGCCCATCTTGTCCTTTGAGTTTTTTTCCTGCCTGCTTTATATTCGCTGGCAGCTGATTAGGTTGTGCCCACCAGATTAAGGGTGGGTCTGCCTTTCCCAGCCCACAGACTCAAATATTAATCTCCTTTGGCAACATCCTCACAGACACACCCAGGGGATCAATACTTTGTATCCTTCAATCCAATCAAGTTGACATTCAGTATCAACTGTCACATAAATATACCAGAGTCCCTGACTATCTAAGCAAACTGTTAGCCACTGTCCATGAATCAATGTTGACCTACTCCTCTGCCATGTCTCTTTTTAGTCTAAGTGGACTGCTAGATATACAGTCTGAAGTTCTGCCTACTTGGAGAATCTCCCTTCTCAGTTTTTAAAGACTATTTCTGAGTGAGGCTGTCATGCTAAAGCCATCCACTTTTGGGTAGTACCAACATATTGTGGAGAGCTGTTTGGAAACAAAACGAGGCCCAAATTTTCTCTTCCTCAGTCACATGTCATAGAGAATTCTCCATGAGGCCATATATGTAGATCGAGGGAGAGATATCAATGCAATAGGAGTAAGTACAGTCATTCCTCAGTATCTGTGGAGGATTGTTTCCAGGATCCCTGTGGATACCAAAATCTGTACATGCTCATGTCGCTTATATAAAATGGCACAATTTTTGTATATATCCTATGCACATCTTCCTATATAGTTTGCTTTCATTTTGTTTTTTGGTTTTTTTGAGATGGAGTTTCGCTCTTGTTACCCAGGCTGGAGTGCAATGGTGCAATATCGGCTCACTACAACCTCCACCTCCCGGATCCAAGCGATTCTCCTGCCTCAGCCTCCCAAGTAGCTGGGATTACAGGCACGTGCCACTACTTCCAGCTAATTTTTTGTATTTTTAGTAGAGACGGGGTTTCACCATGTTGGCCAAGCTGGTCTCAAACTCCTGACCTCAGATGATCCACCTTCCTTGGCTTCCCAAGTGCTGGGATTATAGGTGTGAGCCACCGCACCCAGCCTATACTTTAAATCATCTCTAGATTACTTCAAATACCTAATAAGATGTAAATGCTATGTAAATGGTTGTGATACTATATTGATTCTTTTAATCTGTATTATGTTTTTATTTTTTCTGAATATTTTTGATGATCATTGAGTTGAATCCAGGAATGCAGAACCCACTGATACTGAAGGTGTCTGGGTCACTTACTCTTGCAACTTGTGTCTTTGGGAACTGTTTGAGCCTGATCTTGTATATCTCATTTACAGCATTGTGGTCCTGAGTCAGGTAACACCGTAGCTCTCTATGGAAAGCTCATGTCACATGACTAGTTAGTGTTTCTTAGTCAGATATTCAGTCCTGGGGGCCCAATAGCAACCCCAGAACGGTTTCTCAAAAGTGTAATGCTTATCAACGAAAAGGGTTGGCTTTTCCCCCAAAACCCAAGGGGTATTGCCATGGCATTTTTTATTTGCTACTGTTAGAACATTTCAATGTGCTCTTTCAGCACCATTCAATCTGCTGAGTCATGTGGCCCAAGATCAGCTTGCGTAGAAGCTTAGAGCTGCCACAGAAGCTTCTGTTGCTCTGGAATCCATTCAAATCTATGGGTTACTCAGTAAGTGACTCAAAGTAGAACATTCAACTAGGGTATATGTCACAATTTGAATCCAAAGTGGCCCTTGTGTCTCCTTCTCAGTGGTAGAGTGTGCAAGATGAAGCAACTTGCCCTTCACCTTGGTAGAAATGTGCCATGCCTCAACTAATGGACTCCTAGAAACTTCACTAAGGTGGCAGGCCCTTGAATGTTTTAAGGGTTTATCTTCCATCCTCTGTCATGCATGTGTCTAGCAAGATATCTAGGGTACTTCCGGCTAATTCCTGCACACAAAGTTGAATCCCTCAAAGTAATAAAGGAGTAAAAGCCCTCATTATATTCTCATAGACTCCTTTATATATCAAATGCATTTAAACAGTTGTCTAATTAGTTCCATATCTTTATCCATCTACAGAGTGTAAATTTCACAAGGGCTGGAACTGTATTTCTCCTGTTTATTTTATGTACCACTGTGTATGTTGCATTGCAATATAGTGGGCTCTGAGTACTTAAATGGATGGATGGATGAAAGGAAAGGATGGGAAACAATAGGGAAGGGTAGAATAACCTACATGTATAAATGTAATAAAGAAATAGTAGAGGAAGTCACTTGGAATTTAGTCAGAGGCCTAATCATGAGGAACCTTGAGGCCATATTTTGGCAGTGCCAAGGTGGGCGGATCACTAGGTCAGGAGTTCAAGACCAGCCTGGCCAACATTGTGAAACCACATCTCTACTAAAAATACAAAAATTAGCTGGCTGTGGTGGCATGTGTTTGTAATCCCAGCTACTTGGGAGGCTCAGGCAGGAGAATCGCTTGAACCCGGGAGGCAGAGGTTGCAGTGAGCCAAGATTGCACCACTGCACTCCAGCCTGGGCGACAGAGCAAGACTCTGTCTCAAAAAAATAAAAAATAAAAAATAAAAAATTCTGAAGAGTTAGAGCCATTGAAAGCATTTTTGCTTCTTTGTTGAAATCCGCTCATTCTTCAAGAGTGTTCTTATTAACTTATACATTGTTTTAGTTATACAAAAATATATAAATGCACACACACACACACACACACATATATATGCTTCTACACTCCTGGGTTTTATCACATAACAAAATGAGATAATCCATTTCATCTTTATTGTTGTTTCCCTGGTACCTGGTACAGTTCCTGAATATAGTAAGCACTGCAAATGTAGTGCTGAGTCAGCTGAACAAACAAAGACCCAATTCCATTGCCACCTTTCCCATGAAGTCTTCATTAATCACCTCAGTTCGAAATGCTCTCCTAGAAATAGGAATGCTTTTACACTATTGGTGGGAGTGTAAATTAGTTCAACCATTATGGAAGACAGTGTGGTGATTCCTCAAGGATCTAGAACCAGAAATAGACCCAACAATCCCATTACTGGGTATGTACCCAAAGGTTTATCAATCATTCTACTATAAAGATACATGCACACATATGTTTATTTCAGCACTATTCACAATAGCAAAGACTTGGAACCAACCCTAATGCCCATCAACAATAGACTGGATAAAGAAAATGTAGCACATATACACCATGGATAAAGAAAATATGGCACATACACACCATGGAATACTATGCAGCCATAAAAAAAAATGTGTTCATGTCCTTTGCAGGGACATGGATGAAGCTGGAAACCATTATTCTAAGCAAACTAACACAGGAACAAAAAACCAAACACCATTGATTCTCATTCATAATTGAGAGTTGAACAATGAGAACATATGGGCACAGGGAGGTGAACATCACACACCAGGGCCTGTCGTGGTGTGGAGGGTAAGGAGAGGGATAGCATAAGGAGAAATACCTAATGCAGATGATAGGTTCATCGGTGCAGCAATCCACCATGGCACATGTATACCTATGTAACAAACCTGCACGTTCTGCACATATATTCCAGAACTTAAAAAGTATAACAATGAAAAAAAAAAAAGAAAAAAGAAATGCTTTCCTATAATCTTGGACTCCACTGTACTTTTATAGCCTTTGTTTGGCACTTTTCATATATGACCTTGTTTTACAGTTATTTTTGTAAATCTCTAATATCTTTTTCTAAGTTGAAGTCATTGTCAGATTCATTTTTGTAACCCAACAACATGGTACAGTTCCTTATATGAGGCAGATATTAAGTATATATGTATTGAATGAAAAAAAGAGACAATGTATTTACTTTTTTATGGTTCATGTTATGAGTAGCAAAGAATTAATGTAATGAGAATCATAATTCTTAAAATTTGTCATCAATTTTCACAATTACCGTAGATATATTTTATTCTCTAATTCGATGTTATTTTTTCACCAATTGTGTGAGCGTGGAGAATATAGGAAAACCTTCATTTTGTAAAAAGTTATAAATAATTATGTAAGTCTTTTTAAAATTATTTTTTAAATTGAGATAGTCCCAAAACATAAAATTCACCCTTTGAAGCATGTAATTTAGTGGTTTTTAGTGTATTAACAAGATTATACAACCATTACCACTAATTCCAGAATATTTTGTTTTCTTTTTTTCTTTTTCTTTTTTTTTCCTGAGACAGATTCACCGTCTGTCACCCAGGCTAGGGTGCAGCAGGGCGATTTTGGCTCACTGCAACCTCTGCCTCCCGAGTTTGAGCAATTCTTCTTGCCTCAGCCTCCCGAGTAGCTGGGACTACAGGCGCCTGCCAACACGCCTGGCTAATTTTTGTATTTTTAGTAGAGACGGGGTTTCACCATGTTGGCCAGGCTGTTCTCGAACTCCTGACCTCAGGTGATTCACCCGCCTCAGCCTCCCAAAGTTCTGGAATTACAGGCTTAAGCCACTGCACCCAGCCAGAATATTTTCATTATTCTTCTCCTCCACTCTCCCCTTCCCCTGGACGTAGCTTTGATGAAGGTTCTTGCTTTGTCTCTTCAGACTGCTTTTTCTTGCCCTTTAGCTTGCCTTGTAATCTTTTGCTAAAAACTTCGTATAATGTATGGGATAATAGAAAAGTTATAATGGTAATGTGGCCAGAAGCTGGGCTGTGTTTAATGTTTGCTGAAACCGTAAGCGCCAGTGGATTCAGTTTCCTCAGGTGTACTTGTATCTTTCTTCCTTGTTATCTTTAGGTTTTCCTAAGAACTTCTTAGATAGAATCTGTGGCCTGTCACTTTTTTAGTTGAAATCTACTGGTATAAACTGGAGCCTTGCAGGTGTGGTGGTAAGGTCCTATGGGAAAGGAATCTATAATTTTGTGATTAACTCTTAAGTCATTTAGTGGGCCTGAGTCCTTGGGCTTTGACCTTCAGTAGTGCTTCTTAGCCTTTTACATTTCTTCTCTTAGGTGAGATAGGGAAGCTAAGGGGCTGGGATCGGGTAATTGCCCTTTCTTTGGTCAAAAGACCTGGTAACATCATTTCATTTGGAGCATTGGTTCTTACTATGAAGATTGCTTTGGGTATATTTCAACATGCCCCTCCCCTTGACTAAAATGTGAAGGTGTTGTTCTGGGGTCATCTCCATGAAAGCCTGGTGTGGTTGCTGGAAGTAAAATACATAAAAGTGTGGGAGACCCCTAAGACTGGGCCCCTAAGGATTTTCTTAGTTTAGAGCAAGTCCACATTCAGGCTCTAGCAGTTGGTCAAGATTACCACTTAAATGTTCATACCAGTTTATGGATTCAATGTCTTCTGCTCCAGGTAAGCTGTTATCAGCTGTGATTCTCTGTATTTTCTTCTCTCTAGATTTCTGCGTGGCAGTTTGTTCTGTGACCTTAATTTTTTAACAGGTCTAAGAAAAGTAATTGATTTTCAGTTTCACCTTTTGTCTTATTGTAAGGATGAGAGTGAAGACTTTGAAGCTTTTACATGTTGGAGCAGAAAGCAGAATTCTTCCAAACCTTTTATTAAAGGGCTAGATAGGACATATTTTAGACTTTGTGAGTCATATACTCTGTTCCAATTACTAACACCTACTGTTATAGCATGAATGCAGCCCTAGCAATGCAGAATGAATAAGAGGCTCTCTATTTTGCTGCTGTTTTCATTTATTTCTGTTCGATCTTTACTATTCCCTTCCTTTTATTTACTGTGGGTTTAGTTTTCACTACTTTTTCTAGTTTCTTCTTTTTGGCTACTTTTCATTTGAAAAAATTTTTATTTCAATAGTTTTGGGTGGACAGGTGGTTGCATGGAAAGGTTCTTTAGTGGTGATTTCTGAGATTTTGGTGCACCCATCACCTGAGCAGTGGACACTGCACCCAATATGTTGTCTTTTATCCCTCACCCCCCTTCAATCCTTTCCCCCAAGTCCCCAATGTCCATTGTATCATTCTTATGCCTTTGCATCCTCATAGCTTAGCTCCCACTTATAAGTGAGAACACACAATGTTTAATTTTCCATTCCTGAGTTACTTCACTTAGAATAATGGCCTCCAACTCCATCCAGGTTGCTGCGAATGCCATTATGTCATTCCTTTTTATGGTTGAGTAGTATTCCATGGTGTGTGTGTGTGTGTATATATATATGTATATACATACATATACACACATATATACATATATACACATATATACATATACACACATATATATACATATATACACATATATATACATATATATACATACACATATATATGTGATATTTTCTTTATTTACTCATTGGTTGATGGGCATTTAGGCTGGTTCCATATTTTTACAATTGTGAATTGTGCTGCTGTAAACATGCATGTGCAAGCGTCTTTTTCATATAATGACTTATTTTCCTCTGGGTAGATACCCAGTAGTAGGATTGCTGGATCAAATGGTAGTTCTACTTTTGGTTATTTAAGGAATCTCCATACTGTTTTCCATAGTGGTTGTACTAATTTATATTCCCACCAGCAGTGTGGAAGTGTTCACTTTTTACAACATTCATGCAATATCTGTTTTTTTTTTTTTAATTTTTAAATTATGGCGATTCTTGCAGGAGTAAGGTGGCATCTCACTGTGTTTTTGGTTTACATTTCCCTGATAATTAGTGTGTTTAGCATTTTTTCTTGTTTGTTGGCCATTTGTCTAACTTCTTTTGAGAGTTGTCTATTCATGTCATTTGCCTACTTTTTTGATGGGATTTTTTTTTCTTGCTGTTTTGTTTGTGTTCCTTGTAGATTCTAGAATTAGTCTTTTGTTGAATGAATAGTTTGCAAATATTTTCTCCCATTCTGTGGATTTATGTTTACTGTGATGATGATGATGATGATGATTATTATTATTATTATTATTTTGCTGTGCAGAAGCTTTTTGGGTTAGTTAGGTCCCATTTATTTATCTTTGTTTTTGTTGCATTTGCTTTTGGATTCTTGGTCATGAACTCTTTCCCTAAGCCAATGTCTAGAATAATTTTTCTGATATCATCTTCCAGAATTTTTGTGGTTTCAGGTCTTAGATTTAACTTTTTGATACATCTTGAGTTGATTTTTGTATAAGGTAAGAGATGAGGATCCAGCTTCATTCTCTGCATCTGGCTTGCCAATTATTCCAGCACTATTTGTTGAATAGGGTATCCTTTTCCCACTTTATGTTTTTCTTTGCTGTTGGCTGTAAGTATTTGGCTTTATTCCTGAGTTCTCTATTCTGTTCCATTGGTCTACATGCCTATTTTTATACCAGTACCATGCTGCTTTGGTAACCATAGGCTTGTAGTATAGTTTGAAGTTGGGTAATGTGATGCCTCCAGATTTGTTCCTTTTGCTTAGTCTTGCTTTTGGCTGTGCAGATTCTTTTTTGGTTTCATGTGAATTTTAGGATTGCTTTTTCTAGTTCTGTGAAGAATGGTGGTATTTTGATGGAATTACATTGAATCTGTAGATTGCTTTTGGCAGTTGGTCATTTTCACAATATTGATTCTCACAATATTGATCCCATCCATGAGCATGGAATGTGTTTACAATAGTTTGTGTCATCTATGATTTCTTTCAGCAGTATTTTGCAATTTTTCTTGTAGAGATCTTGCACCTCCTTGGTTTGGTATATTCCTACGTGTTTTTTTTTTCCAACTATTGTAAAAGGTGTTGAGTTCTTGATTTGATTCTAAGCTTGGTCATTGTTGGCATATAGCTACTGATTTATGTATATCAACTTTGTATCCCGAACCTTTACTGAATTAATTTATTAGATCTAGAAGCTTTTTGGACGAGTCTTTAGGGTTTTCTAGGCATACAATCATATCATCAGTGAACAGCAACAGTGTGACTTCCCCTTTACCAATTTGAATGCCCTTTATTTCTTTCTCTTGTCTGATTGCTCTGGCTAGGACTTCCAGTACTATGTTGAATAGAAGTGGTGAAAGTGGGCATCCTTGTCATGTTCCATTTCTCGAGGGGAATGCTTTCAAATTTTCCCTGTTCAGTATAATGTTGGCTGTGGGTTTTTCACAGATGGTTTTTATGTGTCCCTTCTATGCCAACTTTGCTGAGGGTTTTAATCATAAAGGGATGCTAGATTATATCAAATGCTTTTTCTGAATTTATTGAGATGATCATATGATTTTTGTTTTTAATTCTGTTTATGTGATATATTACATGTGTTGACTTTCGTGTGTTAAACCATCCCTGTATCCCTGGTATGAAACCCACTTGAAAATGGTGTATTATTTTTTTGACATGCTTTTGGATTTGGTTAGCTAGTATTTTGTTGAGGATTTTTGCATCTAGGTTCATCAGGGATATTAGTCTGTAGTTTTCTTTTTCTTTTCTTTTTTTCTTTTTTTTTTTTTTTTTTGAGATGGAGTTTCGCTCTTGTTGCCCAGGCTGGAGTGCAATGGCGCAATCTTGGCTCACGGCAACCTCCACTTCCCGGGTTCAAGCCATTCTCTGCCTTAGCCTCCGGAGTAGCTGGGATTACAGGCATGCGCCACCATGCCTGGCTAATTTTGTATGTTTAGTAGAGATGGGGTTTCTCCATGTTGTTCACGCTCATCTCTGTAATTTTCTTTTTTTATATCCTTTCCTAGTTTTGGTATTAGGCTGATGCTGACTTCATAGAATGATTTAGGGAAGATTCCTTCTTTCTCTGTCTTTTGAAATAGTTTCTTTAAGATTGGTACTAATTCTTCTTTGACTGACAGAATTAGGCTGTGAAACCATCTGGTCCTGGACTTTTTTTGTTGGCAATTTTTAAATAACTGTTCTAATGTCACTATTTATTATTTGTCTGTTCAGAGTTTCTATTTCTTCCTGATTTAATCTAGGAGGGTTTTATATTTTCAAGAATTTATTAATGTCCTCTAGATTTTCTAGTTTGTGCACATAAAGGTGTTCATAGTAGACTTGAATGATCTTTTGTATTTCTGTGGTATCGGTTGTAATATTTCCTGTCTTGTTTCTAATTGAGCTTATTTGGTCTCATTTTCTTGGTTAATCTTGCAAATGGTCTCTCAATTTTGTTTATCTTTTCAAAGAACCAGCTTTTGTTTCATTTATCTTTTGTATATTTTTGTTTCAATTTTCTTTAGTTCTGCTTTGATCTTTGTTATTTCTTTTCTTCTGCTGGGTTTCAGTTTGGTTCATTCTTGTTTCTCTAGTTCCTGGAAGTGTGACATTAGGTTGTCTATTTATGCTCTTTCAGACTTTTTGATGTAGGCATTTAATGCTATGAACTTTTCCCTTAGCACAGCTTTTGCCGTGTCCCAGAAGTCTTGATTTTATTGTTGATCCAAATATCATTCAGGAGCAGATTATTTAATTTCCATGTATTTGTATAGTTTTGAGGGTTCCTCTTGGAGTTTGGAACTCCAAAGGATATTCCATGCAAATGGAAACCCAAACCAAGCAGGAGTAGCTATTTCTATGTTAGACAAAGCAGACTTTAAAGCAACAACACTTAAAAAACACAACGAGGGACATTATACAATGATAAAACAATCAGTCTAACAGAAAATATCACAATCCTAAATATATATGCAACAAATACTTCTGTGTCCAGATGTGTTATTCAATTTGCATAGAATATTATTCCACTGTGGTTTGACAGTGTACTTGATATAATTTCAATTTTCTTAAATTTATTGAGACTTGTTTTGTGGCCTATCATATGGTCTATCTTGGAAAATGTTCCATGCGCTGGTGAAAAGAATGTATATTCTGCAGTTGTTGGGTAGAATGTTCTGCAAATATCTGTTAAGTCCATTTGTTCTGGGGTATAGTTTAAGTACATTGTTTCTTTGTTTACTTTCTGTCTTGATTACCTGTCTAGTGCTGTCAATGGAATATTGAAGTCCCCTACTATTATTGTGTTGCCATCTTTCTCATTTCTTATGTCTAGCAATAATTGTCTTATAAATGTAGGAGCTCCTGTGTTAGATGTATATATATTCAGGATTGTGATATTTTCCATTGGACTGATCCTTTTTATCATTATATAATATCTCTCTTTGGGTTTTTTAACTGTTGTTGCTTTAAAGTATGTTTTGTCTGATGTAAGAATAGCTACTCCTGCTTGCTTTGGGTTTCCATTTGCATGGACTATCTTTTATCACCCCTTTACCTTAAGTTTATGTGAGTCCTTATGTGTTAGGTGAGTCTCTTGAAGACCGCAGATACTTGGTTGGTGAATTTTTATACATTCTGCCATACTGTATCTTTTAAGTGGAGCATTTAGGCCATTTACATTCAATGTTGCTATTGAGATGTGAGGTACTGTTATATTCACTGTGCTAGTTGTTGCCTAAATACCTTGTTTGTGTGTAGGTGTGTGTTATTGTTTTATAGGCCCTGTGAGATTTATGCTTTAAGGAGCTTCTATTTTGATGTATTTCGAGACTTTGTTTCAAGATTTAGAACTCCTTTTAGCATTTCTTGTAGTGCTGGCTTGGTAGTAGTGAATTCTCTCTAAACATTTGTTTGTCTGAAAAATAATTTATCTCTCCTTCATTTATGAAGTGTAGTTCTTAGCTGGCAATTATTTTGTTTGAGGAGGCTAAAGATAGGACCCCAGTCCCTTCTGGCTTGTAGGGTTTCTGCTGAAAAATCTGCTGTTAATCTGATAGGTTTTCCTTTATAGGTTACCTGATGCTTTTGCTTTTAAGATTCTTTCCTTTGTCTTGACTTTAGATAACCTGATGACTATGTGCGTGGGTGATGATTGTTTTGAGATGAATTTCCCAGGTGTTCTTTGAGCTTCTTGTATTTGGATGTCTAGATCTCTAGCAAGGCCAGGGAAGTTTTTGTTGATTATTCTCTCAAATATGTTTTCCAAAATTTTAGAGTTCTCTTCTTTCTCAGAAATGCCAATTATTCTTAGGTTTGGTTGTTTAACATAATCCCAGATTTCTTGGAGGCTTTGTTCACTTTTTAAAATTCTTTTATTTCCTTCATCTGATTGGCTTAATACAAAATCCTT
Source organism: Homo sapiens (assembly GCF_000001405.40). Taxonomy (NCBI): domain Eukaryota; kingdom Metazoa; phylum Chordata; class Mammalia; order Primates; family Hominidae; genus Homo; species Homo sapiens. The sequence continues at coordinate 69,781,623 of NC_000009.12, forward strand.
GTGTTTGAACTCCAGAGTTCTTTCTTCTACTTGTTTGACGGTATTTCTCTAAGTGTGTTTTTCATTTCCATAAGTTTTGATTGTTTTTCCTTTATGATATTTATTTCTCTGGAGCATTTTTCATTCCTATCTTGTATTTTTTAAAGATTTCTTTAAGTTGGTTTTCACCTTTCTTGGGTATCTCTTGGAGTAGCTTAATAATCAACCATTTGAATTCTTTATCTGGTAATTCCGAGATTTCTTTTTGGATTGGATCCATTGCTGGGGAGCTAGTGTAGTCTTTCGAGGGTGTTATAGAACCTTGTTTTGTCATATTACCAGAATTACTTTTCTGATTTCTTCTCATTTGGGTAGACTATTTCAGTGAAAAAATCTGGACTCCAAGGGCTGCTGTTCAGGTTCTTTTGTCCCATGGGGTGGTCCCTTGATATGGTACACTCCCCCTTCTCCTAAGGATGGGACTTCCTGGGAGCCAAACTGCAGTGTGTGTAATCCCTAGGACAACTACCAAGAATATAACTCAAAAACTAAATACTGTAGGGCTGGGTGTGGTGGCTCACACCTGTAATCCCAGCACTTTGGGAGGCCAAGTTGGGTGGATCACATGAGGTTAGGAGTTCGAGACCATCCTGGCCAACATGGCAAAACCCTGTCTCTACTAAAAATACAAAACAAAAAAAAAATTAGCCAGGAGTGGTGGCGCATGCCTGCAATCCCAGCTACTCCGGAGGCTGAGGCAGGAGAATCATGTGAACCTGGGAGGTGGAGGTTGCAGTGAGCCGAGATTGCACCACTGCACTCCAGCCTGGGTGACAGAGTGAGACTCCATCTTAATAAATAAATACAGCAAAAGAAATGACAAGGTAACTTAAATGGTACACATAAAATAACTATTTAACATAAACAAAGGCAGCAATGGGGGAATAGAAGAACAAAAAGACACAAGGCATAGAAAACAAATAGCAAAATGCAGCAAACATAAATCATTACTTTTCAGTAATTACATTAAATGTACATAGAAGAAACTCTCCAATTAAAGGACAGAGATTGACAGAATAGACTTAAAAATAGATCCAACTGTATACTGTCTACAAGAGTATACCACTTAAATTACCTTGACATTCCTTTTACTGTATTTATTTTTTGAGTTATATTCTTGGTGATTGTCCTAGGGATTACAATTGAAATTTAATTTTATAACAATCTATTCAAAATAAGAACATAATTACAATCATATTAAAAAAAACTTTGCTCCTACAGATCCTCATCTCCTTCTCCTTCCTTTGTGTTGTTATTGTCATACAAATTACATCTTTATACATTATCTGTCCAACAACATTGACTATAATCATTCCTTTATAGAGCTGTTTTAAAAATTAGATTTTATAAAAAAGAGTTCCAAACCAAAAAATACATGCATGCAGCCTTTTATATTTATTTAGTTACCTTGACTGGTGCTCTTTATTTTTTCATGTGAATTGAGTTGCTATCTAGTGTTCTTTCATTTTCTCCTACAGGATTCCCTTTAGTATTTTTTGTATGGCAGGTGGGCCTCTGACAAATTCTCTCAGTTTTCTTTATTGGGAAAGTTCTTAATTTTTTCTTCATTTTTGAAGTATAGTTTTGCTGGATGATGAGATTCTTGGTTGATAGTCTTTCTTTCAGCACTTTGAATATGTCTGCCCACTGCCCTCTGACTTCCATGTTTTTGATGAGAAATTGGCTGTAAGTTTTATTAAGGATACTTTGTGCATGATAAGATGCTTCTTTGTTGCTGCCTTCACATTTACTCTTTGTTATTGACTCTGGCCAATTAGATTATAATTATATTGTTTTACAGATATATACATATATACATATGTATCTGTATATATATACATATATAATTATAATGTTTCTAGTTGTGGCTCTCTTTGAGTTTATCCTACTTGAATTTTACTGAGCTTATTACATGTGCTGATTAATAGTTGCATCAGATTTTAGAAATTTCCAGTCATTCTTTCTTCAACTATTCTTTCTACACCTTTCTCTTCTCTCCTTCAAAGACTGCCATGTTGCTTATGTTGTTATGTTTGGTGATGTCCCACAGGTCTCTGAGGCTTCATTTATTTTTCTTCATTATTTTATTTTTTTGTCCATTGGATTTGATCATCTCAATTTATCTATCTTCATGGTTCATGATGCTTTCTTCTACCTGCTTCAGTCTTTACTTGACCCCATCAAGTGAAACTTTCATTTCTGTTATTGTACTTTTCAAGTCCAGAGATTTTTGTTCCTTTTCTATAATTTCTATCTTTCTCTTTTTTAAAAAAATTTCTGTTTGGTGGGACATTGGTCTCATATTTTCCTTAAGTTATTTATTTGTTTATTTATTTATTTATTAGACAAGGTCTTGCTCTGTTGCTCAGGCTAGAATCTGGTGGCTCAATCATAGCTCACTGCAGCCTCAAAGCTCTGGGCAAAAATGATCCTCCTGCTTCAGCCTCCTGAGTAGCTAGGACTATATGCCTGTGCCACTGTGCCTGGCTAATTTTTTAGATTTTGTGGAAATAGGCTATCACTATGTTAGCCAGGCTGCTCTCAAATTTCTGGCCTCAAGTTATCCTTCTATCTCAGCCTCCCAAAGTGCTGGGATTACAGGCATAACCATTGTGTCTGGCCTCTTAAGTTCTTTAAACATGGGTTTCTTTACTTACTTTAACATATTTAAATTAGCTAATTTAAATTATTTGTCAGGTGCAGTGGCTCACACCTATAATTCCAGCACTTTGGGAGGCAGAGTCTGGTGGATCACCTGAGGTCAGGAGTTCGAGACCAGCCTGGCCAACATGATGAAACCCCATCTGTACTAAAAATACAAAAATTAGCCAGGCATGGTGGCTCACATCTGTAATCCCAGCTACTCTGGAGGCTGAGGTATGAGAATCAATTGAACCTGGGAGGCAGAGGTTGTAGTGAGCCAAGAGTCCACCACTGCACTCCAGCCTGGGTGACAGCGTGTGACTCTGTCTCAAATAAATAAATAAATAAATAAATTAGTTGTCTGGTAAGTCCAACCGTTGGTTTTCCTCAAGATAGTTTATTTTTACTATGTTTCTCCTGTGTATGAGCCATACTTTCTTATTTCTTTGCATATATTATAATTATTTTTGTCAAAACTTGGACATTTAAAATAATATAATATGAAAACGCTGGAAATCAAATTCTTCCTCCTCTGTAGGATCTGTTGTTGGTTGCTGCTTATTGTAGTAGATAGTTGTTTATTTGGCAACTTTTCCAAATTGATATGGTAAAGTCTGTATTCTTTGTTATTTGTTGCCAGTGAAGTCTCTGCTTAGCTAGGTTAGTAATCAAGTAATGATTGGATAGTGATTTTCTTAAATGCCTGCAACCAATAAGACTCCAAGTCTTTTCTGAGAGATTTTATATATTTGTGGTGGCATGCTTTCAACATTCATCCAGGCAGTTAACAAAAAGTTAAACTTTATGTTCTCCTTGCAAAGAGCCTCCATTTTAGCTAGAAGTGAGAGGGGTTGAACCTTCTCAGGATTTTCCTGAGTATTTACAGAGTCGTAAATATATGCTCTTCCTTCTAGATTGCAAGAATATGTTGAAGCTTTTCAGAATCTCCTACAGACGTCTAATTCCCCAGACTTTCCTTTTAACCTTTTTGGCTAGCCTGTTGTTGCCCCAACCATTGTATACAATTTTAGGCAATTGCCCTTAATTGTTTTTGACAAGTGCATCTTATATGGTTTGAATGTGTGTCCTCTTCAAATCTCATACTGAAATATAATTTCTGATCTTGGAGGTGTGGCCTAGCGGGAGGTGTTTCAGTCATGAGAATAGATCCCTCCTGAATGGCTTGGTGACCTCCTATGGTAATGATGAGTTCTCATTCTGGTAGTTCATGTGAGAACTGATTGTTTAAAGGATTCTTGCACCACCTCCTCCCTCTCTTGTTTCTTCACTTGCCATGTGACACACTGGCTCCCCCTTTGCCTTCTGTCATGATTGTAAGCTCCCTGAGGCCTTACCAGAAGCTGAGGACATGCTGGTGCCATGCTTGTACAGCCTGCAAAACCTCTTTTCTTTATAAATTACCCAGTATCAGGTATTCATTTATAGTAATGCAAGAAAGACTAATGCAGTCCCTAAGGATATGGCTGTTTACACTGAATGAGCTCTGAGTCAGATTAAATAAAGACAACTTTGTGGATGTGGTCTTCCAGGGAACCACCAACAGATAAAAACAACAATCCTCTGGGAACAGGGCTTTGAAGGAAGCTTAGCTCCATTCTTCCCTCTACAGGCTGCTGGTTTTCACCATGATTGTGAGCTGTTCATTTTCAAGGTGCTGAATAGCTGAGAAGGAAGAATAGGAATAGGGTAAGTTACAACAACACAAAGCTCACTGTTCTTATCAAGTTTCAGTTGTTTTTCTTGAATAAATATTTCCTATATTTTTGCATTTGATTAATTTCTAGAATTCTGAAAAATTCAGAAATGTCTGTCAAGTTTTGCACTGTTGCTCATCGCTTTTAGGTACAGAAAGAATTTTTGGAGTCTTTACTCGCCATTTTTACTGATGTCACCTAGCTTCATCCTTATTCTTGAAAGGTATTTTCACTGAGTTTAGAATTCCCATTTGGCAGTCTTTTTCCCCTTGCGTATTGAAGAATATCTCACTGTCTTTTTGACTCATATTTTCTCTGCTGAGAAGTCAGCTATCAGCATATAACTCCTTTGAAAGTTATCTGCTAGTTGTTTTTTTCTGGCTGATTTTAACATTTTTCCTTTTGTCTTTGGTAATACATAATATCAGTATGACATTTCTAGTTATGGTTTTATTTTTATTTGTCCTGCTTGGAAATCACTAGGCTTTTTAAACTAAAGAACTTGTGCATTTAATCAGTTCTATAAAACTCTCAGCCTATATATTTTAAAATATTGTCTCTGTACCCTCCTCTTTTTCCTTTCCTTCACATTAAAAGAATGTTGGAATTTTTCACCTTTTTTCCATGTCTCTTAGCATTCCTTCCATATATTCCATACTTTTGTTTCTTTTTGCCACATTTTGGATCATTTTATATGTCCTGTCTTTCGTTTTACTAAATTACTCCTTTGCAATATTTAATGTACTTAGAGTTTTAAATTTTATTATTATTTTTTAATTATACAAGTTCTTTTTTTGTTTTTCTACAAATATACTAGGTTTCGTTTTAGAACTCCTTGTTTTTTGAAAATACTTTCAGAGTTATCTTTTTATTTGTTCAAATAGACTAAGCATAGTTATTTTATAAACTGTATATAATAATTCCAATATCTGAATTCTTTGCTTATGTATTTCCCTAAATTCTTGTTTTGGTTATTTATTGCTCATGATATTTCTGCCTTCTGTGCTTATTATCCCTGAATAAATATTTTGGGGGATTCTTGAAAGCCCAGGATGAAAAATGCCTTTTTAATTAAAGGATTTGCTTTTGCTTCTTCCAGGTACCTGGTGCACCACCAGTCTGAAACCACCTTTAACCAAGTTCACAGTTTGGGTTCCCTGGATGTCTTAGTCCGTTTATGCTGGTAAAACAGAATACCACAAACTGGGTAATTTTAAATGAAATACATTTATTAGCTTATGGTTCTGAAGGCTGGGAAGTCTGAGAACAAGGGGCCAGCACCTGACAAGGGCCTTATGGCTGTGTCATCTCGTGGTAGAAGGGCAAAGAGAGGGTGAGAGAGATCAAGAGACTGAACTTGCAACCTCAAGCCCTTTTATAATTGACATTAATCCATTCGTGAGGGTGGAACCCTCATAACCTAAACACCTACCCTTAGGCCCCACCTCTCAATACTGTTGCATTGGGGATTAAATTTCCAAAACATACTTTTGGAAGGAGACATTCAAACCATAACACTAGATATAAACCATTAACAAAAAATTTGTGTCAGGATCTTAAGTTCTCTGGGATATTTTTCCTTTACCATTTTTAGCCTCCTATACTCTACAGTGTGCTAGAAGTAGGGATGGGAAATGTAATTTTGTGTTACATGTAAAGAAAATATTAACATTTTACATGTTTTTAAGGGGTCCTATATTTTATAGACAGGATTGATTTCTAGATTTTTTTTTAATTTTTGGTCTTTATTCTCTTATATGTTTGCCAAGTTTGTGAAGTCATATTGTCATTGGGTACAATGGTTCATTTGAAGTACACATAAAAAGGAAATTTGTCACAAAGTCGCAAATCACTAGTTGATGGATTTTTAGCTTAAAAAAAGAGAGGCATTTAAGAAAACTTACCATACAGCACATTAAGACAGCAGAGATTTCTATCCAGAACTTACCCAATGACCTTACTGAGGCGTTTTTTATTTGTTTCATGTCATTCACTAATTCCTAATTAAACACAAGTCGATTTTTGTGTATGCATTATAACAGTGTACTTTATTTGCAGAAAAGATGTTTCATTCTTAGCAATATAGGAAATTCTGAAAAAATCTTGGGCAATAAAATAATAGAGGTGTTTCTTTGCTCAATAATTTAATACATATAAGCAATGATTTAGGAACTATAGAGTTTTTAGCTTAAGTAACTATTAACTATTGGTGAGGTATTATAATGAGGGATGTTAATTTACTTATATGCTTAAACTACAGTGAAATATTTTATTAATGATATAGTGAATTACTGTAAAGAAAACTGTAATATAGAATTCTGAAGTTCTTATTCCCTTATTCCATTTTAGACTGAGTGACAAAATTACCATCAATACATGCAATGTTGCTCAGATTTTTAAATCACATTTTGTTTCGTTAATTTATCCAACTTTTCTTATTTTATAGGGAGCCACTGTATATAAAATTTCCTGTATGATAGACTTACGAAGACTTACTTAACATTATATTTTTAAATTTTATAACAGGCTATATTTTCACCATGATAAATTGAATTCTGCATTTGTGGTTTCTCCATGCTACAAAGAATGTATGTAGTGAAGCTTAGCTTGTCATATGGTGAACTGGTGAAAATGGCATCATGAAAATGGTGTCAACATTGTTCTCTAATGAAAGAGAAAAAGAGTAGACAAAAAACCTCTCATGGGAGTATAGAATACTTTTGGGGAAAAGATTCTGAAAAATCATTCAGCTTCTACAGTTTAGTTATAATGAATAGGAATCATGAATATTGAATATAGTATGACTTCAAAAAAAATCTTGCTTCCACTTTTTTTACTGCTGCTTAGCAAAGAAACGTATATTGAACTAAAAATATAAGCTAGTCTGTTCAGATGTATCTTATATTTTTAATGTAAGGTGGAAAGCTGGCTTACAGAACTTTTTAATGCACAAGAAATAATGAATGCTACAAAATCGTACAGACTCATGGTAATTATTAGCTTTAAAATTCCTGTATTTCATAAACTCTAGTTAAAATGACTTTGTGTTACTTGGGCAAATTTAATCTTCTGCTAATGAATATGTTCTTTACAAGAAAGTTTAAATGAAATATTTAAAATTCAGTTAAGATGGTTTAATAATTTTTCTCACATTTTTAATGAGATTTAATTTTGACCAAGAATAGTTCCGACCACATTGTACTCACAGCCCCCCAAAAGTCCATATCCATTTATATCTGTGTCAGAGTGAGTTAGATTTTTGTTGTCATTAATGACTGACGTATATTTGAGCCATAGGTTTTTGGTTATCATTAATGACTGATATATATTTGAGCCACCAGACCATATACAAATAATATAACCAAGTAATGTAAGTTTTCTTATAATCCTTTTTTTACTATTACAATCCTTAGGTAAGTCTGTAAGGCAGTGACAACTCAATACCAACATCAACAACAATACCAAGAAAGGATTGTTCCTTCTTACTGACTCTAACAGAGCTGACAGCTCTCTTCTCTTTCAACAAGAAAAGCGTTATTTCATGAACCTTTTTTAAAAAAGAATGAGTGAAATTATTTTAAATATTAATTTGACACCCTTCTTTAAGACTTATAGAAAAATTATTTTATTAAGGAGAGTCAGTCTGACTAGCAATAAACCTAAATTGTAGAAATAATTTCAGTATGATATCGTGTCTTTCAAGTACTCCGTATTTGGTAGCTGGAACTATTAAATAAGTATTTTTAGCTTGATGCAATAAAAAGATGAGGTTCATTTATGGTTAACACTATCTATCTTCACACAAATAATCTATTTGATGAAGTATTTCAATTGAGCAATATTTGTTGGGGATCTGCTGTAGGCATGGCAGTCCATCGGGGTGACAAAGCTGACCAAAACCTAGAACCTGATCCCAAAAACTTGTTTTTAGAGCAGATTAACCTTATCCACCGACAGTCTTATTAAGATGTAAATCTACTTTGCAAAGCAATAATTTCTTTTGAAATAGAACAAATGGAAACTTTTGCTTGTCCACTGATTGAAAGATTAAAAGCTCTTAATCAGTACTATTCTAATAAAGGAGACATAGCTTGTTTAAACAAAATGTATTTCAGACATTTCAGAAATCATATTTGGAAAAATACAAACTGCTCTCTGACACATTTTTGACTGTGTAAACTAGGACTCTTTCATTTCAAATTATAAACCTGAATTGGAACCCAATGCCATGCAATTCAATTCCTTTGTTTTTATTATAAGAGTAGTTAATTGATGCCTGTAATCCCAGCACTTTGGGAGGCTGAAGTGGGTGGATCACCTGAGGTCAGGAGTTCATGACCAACCTGGCCAACATGGTGAAAGCTTGTCTCTACTAAAAATACAAAAATTAGCCAGGTATGGTGGTGGACACCTGTAATCCCAGCTACTCGGGAGGCTGAGGCAGGAGAATCGCTTAAACCTGGAAGTCAGAGGTTGCAGTGAGCCAAGATTGTGCCACTGCACTCCAGCCTGGGAGACAGAGTGAGACTCCATCTCAAAAAAACAAAAAACAAAACAAAAAAAAGAGTTGTTAATTGCATGAGTAGCCAAATGTAGATTTTAGGACTAAGATGCCTTTTCAAAAATCTAGATTTGTCCTTCTAAATGCAAGCACAGAGTTTTACAAGCAAGCTCTCAATTCATTCCTGTAGCAGCCCCCTCTTATGTGCTATTCCACTTGCTGAGGTTTCAGTTACCTGTGGTCAACTGTAGTCCAAAGATACTGCAATATTTTGAGAGAGAGACAACATTCATATAACTTTTATTACAGTATATTGTTATAATTGTTCTATTTTATTACTAGTTATTACTAATCTCTTACTGTGCCTAGTTTATAAATTAAACTTGATCATAGGTATGTATATATAGGAATAAATATTGACATATAGGGTTTGGTCCTATCCATAGTTTCTGGCATTCACTGGGGGTCTTGGAATGTATTCCCCGTGGATAAGGAGGGACTACTGTACTGTCTTTAAGACAAGAACTTAAGTCTTTAGAATAAGTAATTTTCTAGCCTAGGATATTTCAAACTTTAAAGAACTAATAGAGGAGAAGTTTTTAAAAACAGTGTACATTATTCTAGATAGCTATTTGCTGGTAGATATGACATTGGAAACCCATGAATTGCCTAGATAGGGAAAACTGGTTTTCTTGAATTCCTAGATTCTTCCCTTTCTTACCAGCATTTAGATGGACTGTGCTGCAAGAAAAATAAGGGAACTAACAAGCTCCATGCAGTACTTTGAGGCATCATTTGCGTGTGTGTGTGTATGGACATATTTTAAGATCACTCATATAGGAGAAAAGTCTGTCTCATGCCATTGACCTTCCCTCTTTCACACCTCAACATGGAGAAAGGATGGGAAGGGAGATTACAGTTGAAAGTGTTTCTTTCTGTGTCCTATTTTTTAAATTTCTTTTTGTTTCTGAACATTCCTTACATAGCAGGCTATGCAAACCCTAAGCTCTGAAGAACACAGAAGGTGAGGGCACAGACACATTTAATGAGCTGTTTTGAAGAATAACTTATTTTTTCTGGTAGATGACTGATTTCATGGTTGTGATGATGGTGGTTGGATAATCATATTAGGTTTCTGACTATTTTGAATTTTTAAATTCATGTATTTATTCAACAAATATTTGTTGAGCACTAACTGTGTTCCAGCCACCGTACTAATCACCAAGGACAGTTCTTATGGAGAACATAATCTTGTAAGTTTTTTCTCACCTAAGAGTTTTTTCATTATTCTATTAGTAATTATGCACCTTTTTCCATTGTTTCAGTTCATTTGCATGCATTTACTCATGTTAGAATCCAACATAATTATGTAAACACGTAGTTGGGTCTTTTTTCTTTTTTTTAATCCACTCCGACACAGTGGATTACAAAGTAAAAGACAGAGACCACTGTCTTTTAATCGCTGTATTTAGACCACTGATGCTTAAAGTTAGAGCACTAATGTTTAATGTGACTGATGTAGGTGGATTTTTATCTACCATATTTGTTACTGTTTTCTATTTGTTACCCTTGTTCTTTGCTTTTATTTGTTTATTTTTTTGTCTTTCTCTGCTTTCTCTGGTTTTAATGGAACATTTTATATGATTTCACTTTCTCTCCCCTCTTTAGTATTAGTTTGCTAAGGATATCATAACAAAATACCATAGACTGGGTGGTTTAAACAAGTGAAATTTATTTTTCTCACACATCTGGAGCTAGAAGTCCAAAATCAAGTAGTTGGCAGAGTTAGTTTTTTCTCAGGCCTTTCTCTTTGTTTGCAGATGGCTGCCATCTCGCTGCGTCCCCACATGGTCTCTCCTCTGTATGCACACATTCCCAGTGTCTGTTCATGTGTCCAAATTTCTTCTAAGGACGTCAATAATATGAGATTGGCACTCACCCTAATGCTCTCAATTTAACATAGTTGCCTTTTTAAATGCCCTATCTGCTAATCCAGCCAAATTCTGAGGTATTGAGGGTTAGGTACAAAACTCAACTTATGAATTTTGGGGGGAATACCATTGAGAATATATCACATATCAATTATACTTCTTTTAAAATTTTTTAGTGGTTGTCCTAGAGTGTAAAATATATATTTACAGCTATTCAAAGTCTACTCTACTTCTTAAAGAATTGTGCAAGTGACCGGGTGCGGTAGCTCACGCCTATAATCCCAGCACTTTGGGAGGCTGAGGCAGGTGGATCATTTGAGGTCAGGAGTTTGACACCAGCCTGACCAACATGGTGAAATCCCATCTCTACTAAAAATACAAAATTAGCTGGGCATGGTGGTGCGCACCTGTAATCCCAGCTGCTTGGGAGGCTGAGGCAGGAGAATTGCTTGAACCTGGGAAGCAGACGTTTCAGTGAGCTGAGATTGTGCCACTGCACTTCAGCCTGGGTGACAAGAGTGAAACTCCATCTCAAAAAAAAAAAAAAGAAAAAAAGAAAAAAAAAGAAAAAAGTATGGTGCAAGTACCTCATAACAGTATATTCCCAATTTGTCCCCCATCCCTTATAGCATTGCTGTTTTTTATTTTACTTATACATAAGTGATAATCACTGAATACAATGTTGCTATTATTATTATTTTGAACAAATTTAGCTTTTAGGTTAAGAATAAGAAAAATAAAAGATTTTATTTTACTTTTATTTTGTTCCTTCTCTAAGCCTTCTCCTTTGTGTAGATCCAAGTTTCTGGCCTATATTATTTTACTGCTCTCTGAAGAGCTTCTATTAACATGACAAATTCCTTCAAATTCTATTTGTCTAGAAAGTCTCTATTTCTCCTTCAGTTTTGAAGGATAATTTCACTGGATACAAAATCTAGGTTGGTGGTTTTTTTTTTGTGAACACTTTAAATATTGTATTCCATTCTATTCTTGCTTGCATGGTTTCTGAAGAGAAATCTGATGTAATTCTTATTCTTGCTTCTTTATAGGTAACATGTTCCCCCCCCCCCCCCGGCTTCTATCAATATTTTATTTCTGTCTTTAATTTTCTGCAGTTTGAATAAGAAATATCTAAGTTCAGATTTTTTGGAATTTATCCTGCTTGTTGTTCTCTGAGCTTCCTGGATCTATGGTTTCGTGCCTAACATCAATTTTGAAAATTCTCAGCCATTATTATATCAAACCTTCCTTCTGTTTCTTTCTCAATGTATGTTATGCCTTTTATAATTGTCCCACAGATAAACATACAATTTCAACATCTTGCGATGTCCAAGAAATATATTTTCTCAAGAATAAGGGAAAACCGAAAGTTGGATTTAGGAACCATGGTTCTAATTCATTTGCTCCTCCATTTATGTATTCAACTTGTATTTTTATTGCATACCTACTTTGCGTTGGTTCTGACAACCTTTATTTAAAAACATAGCCTTGCATGCATTATGTCCCTTCAGCATTTCTCAGCAGTGACAACTTCATCACTTTGGTAATGAACCAGAAATTAATAATTCTATCTTTTGTTGTTCATTTCTAGAATTTAACAGAAACAAGTTCGAAGAAAAACCATGTAAAAGCCTGCAATGATATTTTCACCTTTTTTGTGGAAAGAAATAGATACAGAATTGGTAGTATTTACTATTATGGCATTTTGCTTTTGAAGGAGAAGAACCTGTATGGTCATGAAAATCCACCAAAAAATAAAAAATACAAATGACTATGCGAGATTTGCCAGTTAAACACAGTTTTTTAAAATGAAGAGGACATCTAATAAAGGGGAAATATGTTCATACATCTTAATGACTTACCATTAAAAGTACCAGTTTAAAAGAAGAAAATGAACACCACCACAGATGGCTTAATTTTACCCCTCGAACATTGTTCTTTTTGCCATATGGAATCACGCATGAAAAGCAGCTCATTCTGCAGTCTATAATAGTCCTACCAAAAGGGAAGCCTTAACAGAACAATATGTATTAATAAGAAACACAAACACAGAATTGCTTAATATTTTGATTTATGTTTTTGGCTTCAAAATTGTTGCCTTGGGAGTGCTTTTGATATCTGTGAATATCCCTTCATTCTAAGGGGATAAGAAATACTATGGCTATGGATGACACTCTCTCTGTAACCAGGCAAAGATAGCATAATTTTCTAGTGTTGTACTTTGCGAAAGAGCAGCTGTAAATATTCAGGGGTATCTTGCTTTATGTAATAGAATATCTCTGAAAAGCCTGGTTACATGTAACTCAGCCATTACATTCAAAAAATATCTTAAATGTAGTATGGGAAAGCTAAAAACAGCCCGTAAAGTCCTTTCACAGTCTATAGAAATCACTGATAATGTTTTTCTCTTGCTGGCTTTGATTTTTAAAATTATTGATACTATTTGAAAAACATCATGTTTTATTCAAAGACAAGGTGCTCTGTATAACTACAGTTACTTTATATGATGGAGGTCTACATTTCTAACTTCTAATGCTTTTAAAAATGTCAAGGTGGCCAGGCGCAGTGGCTCATGCCTGTAATCCCAGCACTTTGGGAGTCTGAGGCAGGCAGATCACGAGGTCAGGAGATTGAGACCATGCTGCCTAACACAGTGAAACCCCATCTCTACTAAAAATACAAAAAATTAGCAGGGCGTGGTGACGGGCGCCTGTAGTCCCAGCTACTCGGGAGGCTGAGGCAGGAGAATCGCTTGAACCCGGGGAGGCAGAGGTTGCAGTGAGCTGAGATCATGCCACTGCACTCTAGCCTGGGAAACAGAGTGAGACTCTGTCTCAAAAAAAAAAAAAAAAAAAAGTCAAAGCATCTCTATTTACTGTTCTGAAAAATGCAGGCTCTAGAGGTGGACTCCTTGGTTTCAAAACGTAGGATCTACAAGTCACTAACTCTGACCTCGTCTATAAAATGCCTCAGTTTTCTATAAAATAACTATAATATTTCAAAGATTTTTTGTGCATATTAACTAGATGATGCATGGAAGTACTTAGCACAATACCTGGCTTACTAGATCTTAATCACTCTCATTTGTCACATGGTTTGAAGGGAAAAATACAGATTGCAGAAAGCAATTATCATATTGGTATTTAACAATATGCATACAAGATATTTTTTCCATTTTTTTAGATTATAAAAGCAAGAAATGCCAATGGTATAAACAAAATCAAGTAAACTAGTACAGAAAGTTTTAAATTTAAAGTAAGGTCTTATGCTACTACATGTATGAACATTGAAAACATTTTGCTAAGTGAAAGGGGCCAGTTACAAAAGACCACATATTATGGTATCTATTTATACGAAATATCCTGAACATATAAATCTATTTAGACAGAAAGTAGATTAGAAGTTGCCAAATGTTGAGTGGGAGATGAGAGTAGTTGGAGGGTGGTGGCTAAATCGGGTGGGGTTTCTTTTGGGGGTGATGAAAAGCTTTAAAATTGATTGTGGTGATGGATGCACAACTTTGTGACTATACTAAAAGTCATTCATTTACACACTTTAAAAGGGTAAATTGTATGGCATGTGAATTATATCTCAAGCTATTTTTTTTAAAGTAAAGTCTGCCACTCTTATTCCCACTCTTAGGCCCACTGCTCATAGTGTCTACTTTTAGTTCTTCTGGGCGTTCTCAACTTACCAACTTTGGATTGTATGTGTTGACTTCCTATAAGAATTCTTCCTCATATGTCTACCTCTGTCTGTGGATCTTCCTTTTCCTGATTTTTAAAATGTTTTTATTTGTTTTCATATCTGATCCTCCCTCTCTCTCCTCGTCTCTCTCCACATGCATACGACACACATCCAGGAAAAAAATCTGCCGATAGTTGTATTCCAAAATGTAGTTTATCTCTGAGAGGTAGTATATGGATAATTAATTTTTCTCCTTTTATCTCTCTGTATTTTCTAATTTTCAGTAACTATTAGGTATTAATTATATTATTAAACATAACTACATCAAATGTTAAGGATATTGATGAAAATATTTTTAAAAATATTTTAAATACTTGCCTTCCTAATTAGGCAGAGTTCTTAGACTATTTTCCCTTTCCTTGATTATGTTGATTATGCAGGTTATACCTGCAGGCCAAACTTCCTCCTTCCACAACTTTCAGAGTGATTTTTCTAATACACAAACATGATTGTGTTAATTCTATGCTTAAAAGCTTTGACTTGCTCGTTATCACCCCCTGAAGACATATCTGGATTCTTGCTCATGACACAGAAGGCTGTCATAGCCCAACCTAACCTACTTTTTTTAGAGTTAATTCTTAGTGTTAGACCCTGTGCTAGGGTTGCAAAGAAAAATGAGAAATTGATATCATATCCTTGGAGAGTTCACAGATTGTGAACTGGTTCTGCTTCTTAGTAGCTGAAATTGTCTGGTTAGCACATAGAACAGGAATCACTGTGGCATTTCAGAATCTTGGGCTATTATGTCCAATGAACAAATAAAGGCTATTCACCTGTCATCTGTTTTGGTCCAAATAAAGGAGTCCAGAATCGGAAAGAGAAATGGCTATGAGGAAAATAAGCCTTGAAAAATAGTGGGAAGACAATGAGGCTCTGCTAATAGTAATGCCACTTTTACATATGCATTTGGAGTGATGAGTAATTATAACCCATATTGTATGGACTTTTTGAGTCTATAGAGGCTTTAATGCAAAAATAACCATCTCTTACCTATCTACTTTATTTAGCACTCAAAACAACTTCATGAGATCTTACTGGTATCCTCAATTCACAGATAAGGAATGAAATTCTAAGAGATCAAGTTGCTGACTCAATATTACACACCAAATTAAATCAGACTTCCTTCTGTCTTCAAATTCTGTTATCATGGAGAAAACATCAGGGTTTACTCTTTGGTTTAAGAGCAAAGAATTGGAAAGAAGTGGGATATTAGTTTCGAGAACTAAAAGCCACCATAAAGAAATGTCTTAGAACTATCTATGCTCCTTATTGTGACAAAAACCACAGCAAGAGATCATTATTCTGCTTACCTTGTGCCCAGCACTCTGCTAAATGCTTTACATATACTATTGAATATATTTTTGAATTTAATTCTTAGGAACTCTATGAGGTAGCTACTGTCTTTTTCTCCATTGTCTAGATGAGGAAAGCAAGGCTTAGATAAGTGGCTTAGCCTAAAATCTACAATAAGTGGCAGAGCTGGGACTTGCACCATAACAGAGCCCATGTTCTTCCCTTGAGCTCCACAACTTACTGTGTGCTTTCCTTTGAGAGAGTGGTTAAAAGCAATATTTTTTCTTTTTAAAATCCAGAAAAGCTGTTTCCAGAATTTTGGGTGTCACACATTAGCTTTTTGCAGTTCCTCTTCTCTCTCTGGCTCAAAGCCACCCTGATTAAACAGATGGAGGGTGTTTAAACAGATGGGTGGATATGATGACAACTTGTTTCTGCTATGATTTTCCTGTTGCCTCGACCTTATCTTCTTAATGCTCTAATATTACCAAGCCATTGCAATTGTTTGTAACCAGCTTATCATTTGGCCTTATTACAAAATCTGAGAAAATGAGAAATTTATGGTAAAGGAGTAGAAAGAATACCAAAATTATAATTTGAAAACATGATTTCCAATGTTAGTTCTGACCCTTTTTAACTTTTTTGAGGTGTCTATTTTCCTCACTTTAAATTGTCAATTTCCCCTGACACATAGAACACATAGAAGATCCTAAACTGATTAGTAATTTATTAAAAACAAAACAACCCAAAACACCTGTATCCTGAATTCTCTCACTTTTAAATCAACTTCTACAAAAACTCTCAGAGTACTGCACAAGAAGCTTTTTAAAATTTCATTGATTTACCTCTGGAAATTGAGCCCAACTCACTTCTGCCTCTCTTTTTTTAATTTACTGGTTTTAATTTTTGAATATAATATAATTTTTCTTTAAAAAGTGGCAAACATAGCAATCTCTTTATGAAAAAATAGATGTATAAGATATACTCAGATGGAAATGACTCTTGAACACATTTTCCCTCTTTTTCAGTTCATGAATTATGACAGGTAAGTAGGTGTATATTCTTTAATCATTATAGAAATCCTGATTGCCAATTTCCCATCCAATGCATAGTTCAAGAAGAAGCCATGAATACTTCCTTGTCTCAGTCCTTCCTGCAGTTTTTGATTTTGTGGTTCCAGATAGCATTCTTGTTTCTTGCAGCAGGAGTTTAAAGCTGGAATCCCTTTGACCTTGGCCACAGCAAACAGAAGATTAATGAAATGAAGCTGAATGACAGTGCTGGCCCAACATTAGCAACATTCATCTTTTCCCTTCAGTTATTTTACCACTGGGTCTCAATTCATTTCACCTGACTCTTCGACTCTCTTCTACTTCTCATGACTCGGGGAATTCGTTTACATGTTGGACTGGAAATTTGGATTTGGTGGTCATCAGTGTGAATGTAGTAGCTATGAGTGATGATGATGTCATCCAAGGAGAGTAAATAAATGTGAAAGAGAAGAATGTCATCAATAGGACAAAGCCCTGCCTGAAAGCCCTCATTTCTCATGTCAGCTTTAATGTATTGCCTCAATAATTTTTTTGTCAGTATTTGAAAAGTTTTCATTAGCTAAATATATAAATACATAAATAAAGCTGACATTTACGGTAAAACTAAAAGGCTTAAGATCCTTGAAAAGAATGAGTGGATATACATACCTAATCCCTGGATGAGAACCCTTTCTAAACATGTCACCCAAGGCAGAAAGTCTTAAGAAAAAAGATTAATAGAAGGTATATCATCTGTATCTCTATAGCTATTAATAGAAGATATATATCTTCCATTAATCTATGTATCTTCTATTAATAGAGATAGAATATGTAGAAGGTATGTATTTTCTAATTAATAAAAATACTTAGATGGATAAAACGATGTAGATTAATAGAAGATATATACATGGAAAAAATAAATATATCTATCCATAGATGGATAGATAGATATTTCTAATCAAGTCTGAAAGACAGAAAAATAATATGAAAAAGATCTGGTAACCCATATAATACATAATCGAAAATTCTAATATATAAATAGCCCACATAATGTGAGGAGCGCCTCTGCCCGGCCGCCCCGTCTAGGAAGTGAGGAGCGCCTCTGCCCGGCCACCTTGTCTGGGAAGTGAGGAGCGCCTCTGCCTGGCCGCCACGTCTGGGAAGTGAGGAGTGCCTCTGCCTGGCTGCCCTGTCTGGGAAGTGAGGAGTGCCTCTGCCTGGCCGCCCCATCTGGGATGTGAGGAGCTCCTCTGCCCGGCCGCCACCCCATCTGGGAAGTGACGAGTGCCTCTGCCTGGCCGCTGAGCAATCTTCCAAGTGTGAAGTGACAGCCTTTCTGCAGGTGTACCCAACAGCTCAGAAGAGACAGCGACCATCGAGAACGGGCCATGATGATGACGGCGGTTTTGTTGAAAAGAAAAGGGGGAAATGTGGGGAAAAGAAAAAGTGATCAGATTGTTACTGCGTCTGTGTAGAAAGAAGTAGACATAGGAGACTCCATTTTGTTCTGTACTAAGAAAAATTCTTCTGCCTTGGCATGCTGTTAATCTATAACCTTACCCCCAACCCCGTGCTCTCTGAAACATGTGCTGTGTCAACTCAGGGTTAAATGGATTAAGGGCGGTGCAAGATGGGCTTTGTTAAACAGATGCTTGAAGGCAGCATGCTCGTTAAGAGTCATCACCACTCCCTAATCTCAAGTACCCAGCGACACAAACACTGCAGAAGGCCTCAGGGACCTCTGCCTAGGAAAACCAGAGACCTTTGTTCATGTGTTTATCAGCTGACCTTCTCTCCACTATTATCCTATGACCCTGCCACATCCCCCTCTCCGAGAAACACCCAAGAATGATCAATAAATACTAAAAAAAATAAAAAATAAAAAATAAATAGCCCACATACCAATAAGCAAATGGTAAAGAATGCAATAAATGGTCAAGTATTATTGTCCAAAAAGGAAATCATTTTCAGAAGAGGGAAATGTATTATTATCTAGTTATTATAATTAAAGTATATTTAATTAGTGACTGAAATAGAAATATTGGAAGAAAACAGATAAAGATAAGGAGAGATTGCAGTGTTTAGTGCAGTTCACATTAATGAAGCTGATGGTACAATTAGATTAATCTATTTGTATCCATTCTCAGTGACATCAATGATTTATCAAGTTAATGATATTAGAATAGAAAATTTCCAAGCAAACAAGTGTAATTGGAGCCAGAGCCATGCGTCATATAACTTTTTCTACCTTAAAGGAAGGTGTGGGGAGGAGGTTGTAAGAGGCCTAGGACATAGATTACAATATGAAATCACAAGGGAACGCTCTTGGGTTGTTGTAAAACTTAAGAAACTTCTTGGGAGCTGCAGTCCTCTTGATTCTCCTGCTATTAAACATATGGTTAATGCAAATAATAAATGTTTTGTGAATTCATATTGCTGTATCTGTTCTACTAGTGGTCAGTGTGCTTGGAGGAAGGTTGTGGACTTGGAAATGTAGAGGGAATTTGATCAAAATAGTGGCTCTTATAAACTAGCTGGAGTTTTTAGTAATGATATCAGCCTGCTACTTGGATTATTTTTCTATTATTTTTCTTTGCTTTTTTGCTGCCACCAAGAAGAGTTGAGCTCTCCCAAAGGAGTTAAAAAAGGATAGAAAGTGGCCAGGTGTGGTGGCTCATGCCTGTAATCCCAGCACTTTGGGAGGCGGAGGCAGGCAGATCACTTGAGATCAGGAATTTGAGACCAGCCTGGCCAACATGGTGAAACCTTGTCTCTACTAAAAATACAAAAGTTAGCTGGGCGAGGTTGTATATATCTGTAATCCCAGCTACTCGGGAGGCTGAGGCAGGAGAATCACTTGAAGCTGGGAGGCGGAGATTGCAGTGAGCCGAGATTGCACCACTGCACTCCAGCCTGGGTGACAGAGCAAGACTCCATCTGAAAACAAAACAAAAGAGGATAGAAAGTTAGCAGAAAGTATAAGAAAATGTTAATGTAAACTATTAAAGAAGTGCAATTTTAAGGCCGGGCATGGTGGCTCATGCCTGTAATCCTAGCACTTCAGGACTCCAAGGCGGGCAGATCACCTGAGGTCAGGAATTCGAGACCAGCCTGGCCAATACGATGAAATCCTGTCTCTACTAAAAAATAAAAAAAACTAGCCAGGCGTGGTGGCGCATGCCTATAATCTCAGCTACTTGGGAGGCTGAGGCAGGAGGATGGCTTGAACCCAAGAGGTGGAAGGTGCAATGAGCGGAGATTGCACCACTGCACTCCAGCCTGGGCAACAAAGCCAGACTCCGTTTAAAAAAAAAATGCAATTTTAAGTAGTAGTTCTTCACCAAATTGTCAAAGTTTTTTCTTTTTTGCTTTTCTTTTTTTCTTTTAATATTAAGACTCAAAATTTTTGTCTACGCAGATCCACCTCACCCTAACTTCTTCCTTACTGGTGGAATACCCATGCAACTCTGCTCTACGGTAAAATCCAGGTTGGTTTAAGGCTTAGATAGAAAGAATTCCTGTTAATCCCAGTCCTCTTGTCAGAGATTGGTTTAGGAGAGGGAATGTCACCCATTTCCAGCCAATGAGACCTGAAGGAAGTCTGCTCTCAAGCTTCTGAGAAAGATTTCTTCATACTAGGAAGGAAACACCAGAAAAGATGATTCATTTTTACCTCTGGTTATGGCCTTCCTGGGATATACAGCCCAGAGCTGTTCAGCTGTCCTGTAAGTCTGAGGGGAGTCAGCCTCAGGGCAAAGTACAAAAAGAAAAATGACACCATCAAGCCATGGAATCAAGCAATTCTGAAAAGTGTTCCATTGGTCCTTTGTTAAATGCGATGTTTTTTTCCCTTATTAACTGATTTCTATTAGAGTTTTCTGTTCCTTTTAGCTGAATGCAATCTGATATACCAGATATAAGGACTTTAGTTCACTGCTGATGGAAAATAAATTCTTTTAATATTTCTGGAGGGAAATTTAATGAAATATATAAAAAACATTTTAATCTAACAAAGTCACTTTAGTAATTTTAATAATTATATATTAGCTTCAAATTTACATATGTAATATGGCTTATAATAGTGAAAAGGGTGAAATATAAATTTCCAATAATAAGGGACAATGATTAAATAGATTTTTGGCTATTCAAAGAATGCCACACTGCCTTTTACCAACAAATAAAAAATTACTTAAAATTAAGTGCCCCCCTGGTTACACCCATAATGATTATATGTGCATGTAAGAAAACCTATTACCAGAACGAAAATGTGGTATATACCTTCCATTTATCTATTTATCAAACATTCTTTGGGGGTCAGCAATGTGCCAGGCATTCTACTAGGTGTTAGAGATGCAAAGGGTCAGTGAAAAGTAAGTCATTGGAGTCACAGAGATTACATTTTAGAGCGGAAGACAGTAACCAAGCACGCAAATAAATAAAAAGGTAGTTTTGGTTTTCTAATAAAGGAAAAAAATAGGGTTGTGTAATGGAAAGTAAATGGGTTGGTGGGTGGGGATGGCTTTAAACTGGGTAGTCAGGAAGGTACTTTCTGGGATGGGACATGATAAATGAGAAGAGCTACACAAGTAAAGAGTGAAGAGAAGACTGGTCAAGGAGGTGGAACAGCAGAAACAAGAGTTCTAATGTGAAAAAGAACTCAACATGCTATAGGAGCAGAAATGATGCCAGTATGGCTGGTGTAGAGTGATAGAGGGGAAGGGTACTGCTAAATGGTGTTGGAAAAGTGGGCAGGATCCCCTTCATGTGTAATGGCTTATAAGCCTCATAAGGAGTTGAGGTTTTATTGGAAGAGTTATAGGAAGCTGTTGGATTATTTTAAGCTGGGAGATAACACGAGGTGACTATCACCCTTTGGCTGCTGTGAGGAGAATGATTGTAGAAGCAGGGAGAACGATTTAGAGTCAATAGCCAGATGGGAGATGGCAGTAATTTGGAGAAAAGTGGACCAAATTATTTTAGAGGTAGAATTAATAGGTTTCTCTAATGGACTCTATGTTGGTAATGTGGTGATGAGATGAATAGCTAAACAAGTGAAAACCTGAAAATAGGTAGTTACATACGTTAAGTTTGGAGTTCAGGGATAAAGTCTACACTGAATATAATATCCAGAAGATGGTGCAAACATTGAGTGACTTCTCCAACCGAGTCACCTATTGCTCTACAGAGTCTTTCTCAGATGAATAACGAAGGGCCAATTTTTATTTTTCCTCATTGTCCCCATTCAGACCTTTTTTTATTACTCTGCTTTTCCCCACAAAGCCCCTGATCTATCCTGGAGAAGTCACATCCTTCAGATTCTGTGTATCACTAGTCCTTGGGATGCTTTTGATGAAGTGTTTATAAGACAAACAAACCTTTCTTTTAGCACAACTTTGGCATATTATTGTGTTCATAGTTGGCAACTAGTAGGAAAGAAAGGCCAAAGAAAGGGGAAAAAGACCTTCTTAAATATGATGTTCATAACAGCCAGGCACGGGTGGCTCATGCTTGTAATCCCAGCACTTTGGGAGGCTGAGGTGGGAGGATCACTTGAGCCCAGGAGTTCGAGACCAGCCTAGGCAACATAGTGAGGCCCAATCTTTAATTAAACAAACAAACAACAACAACAAAAAATATATACATATATATATATATTGCTCATAACAAAGAGAATTTGGGGAAATTAGTATACTCAGGCACTGCTGGAGGGAGTATAGATTCTTTCAGCCTTTCTGGAAGGCTATGTGCTATAGAGATCAAAAGTCATAAAGATGTGCTTAGTTTTTGATCCATAAATTCAGTTTCTACCTATTTTCATATAGAGATAATTATGCATGCATGAAAACATTTAGTTAGAAGGATGTTAATGGCAGCATTCATTATAATAATGAAGACTAGGAAATAATAAATATCTAACAATAGGGGATATTTTTTGGACTACTCAAACAATGAAATGTTCTCCTGTCATAAAGTATTATATTTGGAATATATAATGACAGGGAAAATTTTAACTTATTGTTGAGCAAAACATATTGTTGAGCAAAAAAATTACAAAATGGTGTATATATTGTCATTACATAACAATAATAAAGATTATTAGTACAAATATTAACAGTGGTGTTGGTATTCTTTGTGACCTTCCTTCCTTCTTAGCTTCTTTCCTTCCTTCCCTATTTTCTACATTGTACAAAGATAAGATGAAAAAATCTTGAGAAAAAAAGAAAATTGTTGTTATTGAATGGTATATGCAAATTGATGGAATTGGAATTGGGAGCTCTATTATGGATAATGGGATGAATGTTAGCAACTGCGATTAATATCAAATAGGAAATTGTCAATGCAGAGAGAGAGAAGTACACATTCATAGTTAGCAAATAGTTGTTTTAGCTAATGTTCCCTCTGAAAATATTTGTTTGTTTATTTAGGTCTCATATTTTTGAAAATGAACATTTTGATTGTGTCAAATTCCCACTTAAGAGTCAAATGTGACTGTGGTCCTTGTGCAGTGCGAATGAAGGAGAACAACATCCAGAAGGCAATGTCTTGGGGCTAAGCTAAGCCTATGATGTCGCTTGCCCTCCTTAGTGCAAGAGAACCTAGAAATAAGCGGTCTTAAGAAGGCTCCCCTTAGGGCACAGCTGTTTGCTTCAGTCTTTTCTTCCATTAATTCCTCTGCCTGTAGAAGACGAAAGCTTGCATTTCAAATTAGATGTGAACAATATGCCGTGTTGCAGAGGCCTGTGAGATGCATCACCTTGCTCTGTGCCTTCCTGCCTCCTTGCCTTTTCTAATGCTGCTCTCTCTGCCTAGAATGCCCTTTCTCCCCTAAATGATACCTGGCCCCAGGTTAACAAATACTACCATAAGCAGTCATCTATTTATAAATTTTACCCATGGACAGAAGAAAAAGTCTCTATATTCATCCCCAAAATATATAATCCCTACCTATCCGAACTGAAAAGTGGAAAGTGCATGACCATAGTATTGACCAATGCCAGTTGTAAGCTCAGAATGGTGGAAACACTGGACACATACTCCTTGGGTAGATCAAACAGGGTTTATTTATCTAAAGGATATAAAAGGAAATCAACACAGTTGTGATGTACATTATAAAGATCAACAACATCATTCAGGACAGATAGAGGTTTATTCTTCTAAAATCTTCACTACAGGGTGCATAGTTACAGATGATAACATCTGAGTAAAGGCCATAATCGGTCCTTCTGGGGACTAAATGGTCTTTCTCTTTACATCTATACTTACACCCAATCCTGGATTAGTTCTCTAAGTAGGCTAGTCTGAGTATGTTCTAGGGACCACCTCATTGGAGCCAGGAGCACCCATTAAACTTAGCTTTATACCATGGAAGTAATTGAAGACCAACCAAATGAGAACAAGCAAAAGCTGTTTAGAACAAGCTTGCTGTAGCAAAGGAGTCAGCCACTGTCAGTTGCATTTTGGCAGAGAACTCAAAGGCAGGCACAGGACTGCAAAAAAGGGAAGACTTCAAGCATGCTTGGATTGGAGGGTTTTGGCATGGGGAAGCTGTAGACATGCTGGGGACAAAAATTACGAAACTGTCAGCCAATTATCAAGTTGATGATGGCAAACCCCAAAATTGGAGCTCAGCCCAGGGGGGTTCTTGGTTTCACTCAGGAAGGAATTGAAAAGTAAGCTGACAGTGAAAGAAAGCAAATGTACTAGAGCCACAGTGAACAGAAAATGACTGCTCCATAGACAGAGCAGGGCTACCCTATAGGCAGAGTGGCCCAGAGTAGCACTTGTGGATTGGTGGCTATTTATACCCGCTCTTAATTATGTGCTAAAAAGGGATAGGTTATTCACAAACTGTCTGGAAAAGAGGTGAGGAGTTCCCAGAACCACATAAGGTAACTTCTGGGTCATTGCCACAGCCTCATTTATAAACTGTCACGGTGCTAGTGGGAGTGTCTTATGCAAACACATTATAACTCTGGGTATGGGAAAGCTGTAGGCATACTGGGGACAAAAATTAGGGAAACTCAGTTAATCAAGTTGATGCAGGTGAACCCCAAAATTGGGGCTTAGCCCAGGAGGATTCTTGGTTTCACTGAGGAAAGAATTCAAGAGTGAGCTGATAGTGAAAGAAGGCAAATTTATTAAAGCAACAGTGTACTCTAGCTAGTTTTGGCCAGTTTCTTTGCTGCGTCCTGTTTTAATCACCAGGGTGGCGACCAGTGCTTGGAAAACAAGTTGATCTGCTGATCTCCCACCTCATTTCCCCCTCACAGATTATATACTCCTCCTTAATCTTTACGGGTTATTGAAGGGTGGAGTCCATCTCCTCAAACTGCTTCCTGCTGATTTTACGAGTGTAGGCCCGGCCTAGCATTGGAGAAGTAAAAAAATCTCTAGAGGCTGAGTGTGGTGGCTCATGCCTGTAATCCCAGCAGTTTGGGAGGCCAAGGCGGGCAGATCACTTAATGCCAGGAGTTTGAGACCAGCCTGGCCAACATGGTGAAACCCTGTCTCTACTACAAGTATAATAATTAGCTGGGCATGGTGGCATGTGCCTGTAATCCCAGCTACTCAGGAGGCTGAGGCAGGAGAATCTTTTGAACCCAGGAAGCAGAGGTTGCAGTGAGCCAACATCACACCATTGCACTCCAGCCTGGGCGACAGAGTGAGATTCTGTCTCAAAAAAAACCCGAAAAATCTCTAGATGCCTGAATTAAGGGACCCAAAGGCAGGATTTCTTATTTTTTCAGTTAGAAGATGGGATGGGTTGGAAGTCCTGTGCCAATATCACACTCACATGGAATTGTTGTAATCTAGAAAGCACAAACTTTACAGAGGTTAAATAAGCCAGGGCCAAAGATTAGTAATAAGATAGCTAGTAAAGGGCCTAGGAAAGGTTAAACAAATCCACATTACACTTGGTAGGTATCCTTTGACAGAGTCCCAGATGTTTTGAGTGGTGGGGTTACTAAAGTTATTAAAATTATGTAACTAGGTAGTCTGTTGGTAAATCTTTTGAATTTGCAATTCAACTAACCCTGAATTGTTAACATAAGAACAGGTGTGGTTTATTACTGCACATACTCCTCCTTGCCATGCTACTTATCTATGTGTTTGTGAAACAACAAACAACAACTTTTTTTTTTTTTGACGGAGTCTTGCACTGTCTCCCAGGCTGGAGTGCAGTGGCGTGATCTCGGCTCACTGCAAGCTCTGCCTCCCAGGTTCACACCATTCTCCTGCCTCAGCCTCCTGAGTAGCTGGGACTACAGGCGCCCATCACCACGTCCGGCTAATTTTTTGTATTTTTAGTAGAGACGGGGTCTCACTGTGTTAGCCAGGATGGTCTCGATCTCCTGACCTGGTGATCTGCCCACCTCGGCCTCCCAAAGTGCTGCGATTACAGGTATGAGCCACCGTGCCCGGCCTGCGAAACAACAGCTTTAGGTCTTCTAGGGGTTCATAAGTATAGGTCATGGTGTCCTCCTCCTGTGTCTCCAGAGACTCATAAGAAACAGGTTTAATCCTGGGCAGGTGTATCCAGCTAGTGACTACCTTAAGTTTCACAACAGTGGGGTACTCAACAACATCTGATAGGGGCCCTTCCATTTCAGTTGTAATTGATCCTCAGAGGATCCTTCTTTCCAAGTTTTTAGTAAGACTAAGTCTTCTGGTTGAACAGGGATGCTATTCTTTTCCTTTGTGGAGAATAACAATACTTTATTTCCATAATCTTGAAGGGCCTTTTGAACCTGACCTGAGTTGATAATATGGGTGAGTATTCTATGTGTCTCCTCATAAAACAGGAGGTCTGAAGTTAAAAAGGGCCTCCCATACATCGTTTCAAATGAGCTAAGTTTTAATGTTCCCTTTGGAGCCATGCTTATGTGCAAGAGAACTATAGGTAGGAGAGAAACACAGGCCTCCAAGGTCTCCTGACGGAGCTTCGTTAATATCCTTTTTGAAACAGGGTTGGCTTTTTCTACTTTATATGAGGATTGAGGCCTCCATGAGGAGTGAAGATGATAGGTAATGCCTGAGGCTGAGGAAGCCTAAGGCTGGGTCACCCTAGCTGTGAATGAAGGTTTGTTATTACTTTGCAAACTTTTTGGTAATCCAAACCTTGGAATGATTGAAGTAAGAAATTGCACACTTCCAGTGCTTTTTCTGTCCTTGTAGGGAAAGTTTCTATCTACCTGGTGAATATGTCTACAAGTGCTAGCAAATGGCATCTGGGTGAAATCTATTTGCAAGTCTTCCCTAGGTTATATTTCTTGGTGTTAACGTAGGTTTGAGCAGGGGTTGGGGCATGGGGTGGCTTTCTGGGCTATTATGAGCACAGAGTTCACAGGCCCTGGAGATCCTTTTGCAGCCTGGAATAGTCCCTTCCCCAGGAATATTTGGGAAACCAATTTGAATAGAGAATCCCATCCCAAATGTGAGGAGTTGTGGAAAAGCTTAATTATTTTTCATTGCTCAGCCTGCCACATCAAGGGTTACCGGGGGCTCCTCTGTGGAGATGGTAAGGTATCCTGTGGGAGCTGAAGAGAACCTTGGGCCCTGTCAGCCTCTGTTGTCTTGGCCGTTATGGGTTTGGGTGGCCCAGGCTCTCTTGGGAGCCTGGGGTAGTCTCTTTTCCAGTGCTACTCTTGATTACAGAAGGTGTGCTGATTCTGGCCCAAGGGCCAGCAAGTTGAGGGCTCTCATCTGGGCATCCCAGATGCTGATCTCATTACACTTAGTCGGAATGGGTAACCTTCAGGTGGCAAGGGGCTTGAGGCAGCCACGGACAATTGTGCTTTTTGGTTATTTCTTTTGTTTTTCTCCGCCTCTTCTACCCTGTCTCTATTGTAAACTCCAAAGGCCATCTTTACGTGTTGGCTCATAGGGGTTTGAGGTCCCATTTTTGCCTTTTGCAGCTTCCTCCTAATGTCACGAGCAAGCTGAGTAATAAGATTTATACCCAGGAGATGGCGCCCTTCCGGGGAGTCTGGGTCTGCATTTGTATATTTCCTGAGGGCCTCAACCAAACAGCCCTAAAACAGAGCAGGATTTTTGTCCTTCCCCTGAGTTACTTCTCTAACCTTTTCATGATTGAGTGGCTTAACCACATACTTTTTCATACCTTCAATTAAACGAGCTACCATGTGATTTAGCATTTGAGGTCTTGGGAAGCCCTCTGGTAATACCACAGAAGGTCCAGATCTGGAACTGGATCTCCCCTCACACGATAAATGGCATGGCCTTAGTTATGAGCAGCCACTCCATCTGCATATTCACAGGCAGTTCCCAGAACCCTTTTTCTCCTCTAAAGTAGAGTACAGGTGGACAATAATATTTGTAACTCATGTCAAGTTAAGTCAAAGGACATGGTCAACTTAACAAACTATTCTACAAACTTCCCTGAGTCCTCTGAAAACTCACCAAATTTCTCTTTGCGTAAAGTCAAATCAGACTTAGAAAAAGGCACATATACTGGTTGTCCCCACATCTCCATCAGCTACCTCTCAAAATGGACACAGGCTCAGTTTTAGGGGCTGATATGGGGACCTACTCTTGGTGGTATTGGTTGGACTTACTTCCTTGGGCAGCAGTGGTTACAGGCTGGGTTTAGTTGGATAAGGGAGAAGGGTGTTTGGTAACCTTGGATGGGAGCCACTTCAGAATTGGGGAACTGAGGAGGCTCGGCACTGGGGAGGAGGCACGGGCCTTCTGAGAGGAGTCACTGGGAGGGCATTATCTGGGATATCTGGTGTGGCTTCTTTGTGCCTGGAAGTGAGATGAGCCACACGAATCCTACAGTTGTCCCTTAAGTCCGGATCCTGGTAAGGGGCCATAAAAGCCGGTACATACACGCCTGTAATCCCAGCACTTCGGGAGGCCGAGGCGGGCGGATCACGAGGTCAGGAGATTGAGACTATCCTGGCTAACAGGGTGAAACCCCGTCTCTACTGAAAATACAAAAAATTAGCCGGGCGTGGTAGCGGGCGCCTGTAGTCCCAGCTACTCGTGAGGCTGAGGCAGGAGAATGGCGTGAACACGGGAGGTGGAGCTTGCAGTGAGCCGAGATCGCGCCACTGCACTCCAGCCTGGGCGACAGAGCGAGACTCCGTCTCAAAAAAAAAAAAAAAGAAAGCCGGTACATAAAGAACCTCTCCCTACTTTCCTTCCTTTTTTACAGAATAAGTCCAGTTATAAATAATATCATTTTAGGCCAGATTTCTTGGTCTCCCAATTTGTATTGAACCCAAATGGTGTTGCAATAGAAAAAGAGTTTCTTTCACTTTGTGCTGTCTGATTGGAATTTGTTCCAATTGCCTAAAAGGCATCCTAGCAGCGAGTCCCTTGGGATGCTTGGTTGTCGTCCCCATGTTTAGCAAGGATCTGTACTAGATGCAGAAACTTTTCTAAGTCTAGCGAGAGCCCACTTATTTTCCCTTTCAGATTCCCACCTCCCTTTTCCTCAAGAAAGGTCAGTAGGGGAATTTTCACCAATTCTTGCAAAGGGGGCATAAATACAGTTAGCAGGGCATGACAAAAGTGAATTTTGAGATATGACTGGGCAGTGGAGTGGTGACTGCTTCTACCAGTAAGTGGACTATGACAAAAGAGGTGTTTTAACAAGGAAAATATAGAAGGAGAGGGTAATGGGATTCTCATAGTCTGAATTCTACAAAAAGCAAAGAAAGTGTTTACTGAAATGAGCAGTATGACAAAGGCAAACAACGTTAAAAGGGTGCCTACTGCCAAAAAACCTGGAGCATTGGCCAACGAGGGTCCCTTTCCCAAATGCCAAAAACCCTGGGGCATGTGAGGGTTGGCCAACAGTGAACCACAAAGACCCAAGACCTAACATAACTGGGGCCACAGAACAATGTGACTCTGGTGTTCCACAATCAGTACAATGCGAAAACCTCTCAAAATAAACAATTGTTCCCATAGCCAAAGCAAAGACCACAAATGCGATAATGAAATTGGTGTAAAAGTAAAATGGCTGGCCGTTAGAGACGCAAAAGAGAAAGGTCTGAGAGAAAGAGCAACAAAAACATGCCAGTCATGCTCCCTTCTGGGCCACCTAAATGACAGGGGATAACAAATTATCAAGCCAGAGGTCCTGTTTCCACTTCCTCATTCACCCAGAAAGGTCGATATCAATGGGGAACAAAAGAGAGACTCAGCCATCCGTGGAAGCCAGTTGGTGCCGATCAGTTTTAATTTGGGTTATGGGTGAAGATTTCCCTCAGGTTCCCTCAGCCTGTTAGTCACCAGGAAACATAATGGCTCTGAAAGGATGCTTTGGCTACTGCTGCACAGCTCCATAGCATTAAAGCCCTATAGACTTACAGCTCCCACCTGTAATGAGTCCTTGTCTTGTTTGTCTTGTTTGTATTGTTTGTTCCTTCATCCCTTCATGGTCACTAGGCTGATGCAGGTGTACCCCCAAATTGAGGCTTCACCTGGGAAGGTTCTTGGCTTTTCTCAGGAAAGAATTCAAGAGTAAGCCAACAGGGAAAGAAAGCAAGTTTATTAGAGAAACAGTGTACACGTAAATGCCTGCGCCATAGACACAGCAGGGCTACCCTATAGTTAGAGTGGACCAGACTAGCACTTGTGAATTCCTGGTTAACTGTACTTATACCCACTCTTAATTGTATGTTAAATAAAGGGCGAATTATTTACAAACTTTCTGGAAAAGGGACGACAAGTTCCAAGAACCATATAAGGCAACTTCTGGTTCATTACCATGGCATCATTTGTAAACTGTCAAAGCACTGGTGGGAGTGTCTTATGCAAATGTGTTATAGTTCCTAGTCCTGGCAGTTTTGGGTCAGTTTCTTTGCTACATCTTGTTTTATCAGCAGGGTCATGACTGGTGCTTAGAGGACAAGTCCTGCTAATCTCCTACCTCAAAGTCCTGGCCATTTGGGGTTGATTATTCTAGGAACCATCGTTTGGCTTTCAAGACTGTCAATGGAGATAGTAGTCTGACTTTCCACAAGTCTGACTTATAGCAGGCTGGCTTCCTGGGCTGGTTGAGTTCCAGGGCCGGTTGTTACAGGCTGTGGGTCAGAGTTCTCCTTTTATGTGTGGTCTGGTCATTTTTCATTTGTATATTCAATCTCTCAATACAACACAAAAAATGATTACAAGGGGCAATACAATACAGTACAGTAAACCTAGGTGTGAACAGTCCTCATTTATCACCTTTGGTCTCTCCAGACTACTGGATTCTGTTCTGGTCCAAGTATACATACTCTTAAATTTAACACTGCAGAGCCAGAATAGGGTCAGTTTCCTGGTAGCCTCAGAGACTCATGGTAAGAAACCCTTAGGTCAGCTATACAGCTTATCCTTCAGTTCAAAAAGGAACATGGGCAGGAAATGAAAGGCAAACAGAAGTGACAACTGTTTTTTCTCCCAAACCACCTCATGGCCATCGTGTTTTATCTAGAAACCTTAATGAAATTACTGTGTGAATCTTTGAAACTGCTTTTTATTACTCTCAGATTTAGGTGATTTAGGACTATATCACTCAAATAAAACTATTTGTGGAGCCATAGTGATAAGGTGCACAACTTGCTGAAGGGCTTGATGACAATAAATTCTGACAGTCAAATTGACCTTGGACAGGACGCCACATGCAGGTGCTTAGAAACTTTCTGGGAATTGTGGAGGCACTGCTACATTCCATGTGTGGGAGTTTAGATTAGAAAAAAGCAAAAGGCACTTGAAGGTAAATGAACTAACAGTTCTGCTTTGGGTCTTCTTTGAACAGGAAGAGAGATTGATTGTCAACTACCAAACTTATTTTTGTACATACATTTAAAAATGTAGCACTTTGATGGCTCTCAACAAAGAGTAGTAAGCAAAAGTAATGAAACTTTGGCAGTGTTTTCTTACTACTAATTTAGAAACATTTCTATTTGCATTATCAGAGACCATATTGCTTTTTTTTCTCTGAGCTGTCTGAGATGTTGTACAAATCCCATGTCTCAAATAATTTCAAATGAGATTGAGAAAAACTAATTTCAACTCAGTCTAATAGAATAAGCATTTGTTGATGTCATACCTTGTTCTCAGCACTGCCATCTTAAGTAATGTCAAAAGCTAACATTTCATTCTTGATCTTAATATAAATAGAGAAGTACAGATTAAAGAAAGTGAAAAGCTTCATAGGAACTACTAGAAAAATAAAAATAGAATATGTGCTTTTAAGAGTAATGAAAATACAATAGCAATTAAAGTCTGGTCTATAAACAACAGAGAAATAAAAGGAAAGTGAGAAAACATTGAAAAACAAGAAAAAGATGTCATCAGACAAAAAATAAGTTATCACAACCAAAAGAAATGATTTGAACATTTTTTATAAGCAAAGATTAATTATACTCTCTCTCTATAAATGAAACCCATCCTAATAATCCTAGATGGCTTAGTATAAAAAGATAAGCCAAGATGCACTGGAAAAACCACCAATAATCAAAATGTTGATGTTGCAATATTAATATCAAACAAGGATAATTCCAGGTCAAAATAATTAACATAGCACAAAGGATATAATTTTATATTGATGGAAATAATAAAAATATTATCTTTTGGCAAAGATTACAAGACATAGGCTCATTCATGCTGTTGGAGGATATACACTAGTCAATTCTTGTCAGCCCTCCTCTTCTGCTATGTCAATCACAAGGGGGCCATCTGATAACATTTACCTCTTTTCCTAATCCATTTCCTGCTCATTAGGGATAGTTCCTGTACCTCAAGATGTTACTCATCATCTTCAAAAACAATTTTTAAACCCTACTTTCTGAAATATCATTTTGGTTTTCTATTGCTGCATTAAAAATCACCGCAAATGAAATGGCTTAAAACAACACCCATTTATTAGCTCACAATTCTATAGGACAGAATTCTGGAAAGGCTTAATTGGGTTCTCCCCTTCAGGGTCTCACAAGGCCAAAATCCAGCTTGGGATGTCTTATTGTTACTATCTGCAGTGGGTATCTATTATTTTTGCCTGTCAGGCACACTTTCCCTTACTTTGGAAGTAGCAACCTATTTTTCCCTTTAGTCCAATTCCATACTTTCAGTCCAGATTGTTTAGAAGGGATGGGCATCATCCTTCAAGTCTAACCTCATGACACAGACCCAGCTGGAGAAAGTACAACATTACCTCTGGGCCTGACTCTAGTGACATTTTCAGAGTAGATTGCATGAGTCAAGTCAGGTCAACGAGTGACCAAGACTTTTGCTAGAGCTTGAAGGAAGAGGAATGCTTCATGTTGTGGGGAGTTAGGGAATAATGTAAGTCAATGGCCATCTTGGAGAGGGCTTGGTTGAGAATAAGCCAACCCAAAAAGTAAAGCAGAACCAAGAAATAGAGAGACAGTATCCCAAAGACATTATTAAGCCCTGGGATTCAGATGTGCTTAAACCAGACGTACCCCTGGAATTCCCAGTTATGTAAATCAAAAAATTCCTCTTTTTGACCTAATTAGTTTAACTTTCTGTCATTTGTCATCAAGAGTATACTAGCTCAATGCTAGGCATAGTGGTTTGAGCCTGCAGTCCCGGCTAGTGGAAAGGCTGAGGCAGGAAGATCACTTGAGCCCAGGAGTTCAAGTGCAGCCTCGGCAACATAGCAAGACTCCATCTCTTAAAAAAACAAAGCTGAATCACTACTATTATAGAAACTTTAACTGGAAATTATCATTTTACTTGGAAACTCTCTGGACCTCATTTATATTAAAGCAATTAGATGACTACTTAAAATTCAACCCAAAAAGCAGGGAAAATTTCACTTCCTTTTGTACTTTTTTCTTTTTCAGACAAGGTCAAGAAATTTTCCAGCTTCTTCCCTGAACCTTCCATTACCCCCAGATTGGTGACTAGGTGTCCTCATCCTAGAACAGCCTCTGTTCTACGCAACAACCCAGAACTGCCTGCTCACACCTGACCCTCTGGGGGAAGCCTCTCAGTCAGTTCATTACCAGCCTGCTCACCACATGGTTGGTGGCAGGGCTTGTCAGGGATATGGGCAAATTTCCATCACCCTCAGAGTAGAAAAGACGCCCTGCCCCACCCCCCTGATTTTCTCTGAGCTTTTTCCCTGAGAGATGAGATTCCTTCAACCAGATTAAAGGCCACAGAGAACAAAGAAAACCACAAGGATACGGAGTTTAATTTCAAGTACCACTCCTTTCATAAGAACTCTTAACTGGTAGCTAAATTGTTTCATTCTTGCTGCTAATAAACAATGAAGGTTGGCTTATATGGTGAAACCCCATCTCTACTAAAAACACAAAAAATTAGCCTGGCGTGGTGCTGTGCGCCTGTAATCCCAGCTACTGGGGAGGCTGAGGCAGGAGAATCGCTGGAACCTGGGAGGTGGAGGTTGCAGTGAGTCGAGATCACACCACTGCACTCCAGCCTGGGCAACAAGAGCAAAATTCTGTCTCAACAACAACAACAACAACAACAACAACGAAGTTTCCAAAAAGCAAAGCAGCACTGGGGAGAAAATAACGAGAATATTTTATGAAAATGGATATTCGGTCTTTGAATAATTAAGGATATCCAACTTATAGGATATTTTAAAAGTCCCTAAGCCACCTTTATGCTAGACTATGTCATTACTGATCTTGGGCATTAAAATTTATCATAATAATTATGAATAACTCTGTCAAGGTATTTCACTTATTGGCTGGATTAGATATTAAAATGAAGGAAATGTTGAATTATAGTATACATTGAATATTTAATAAATTAATCCCCCATGCTGACAGTAGGAGTTCCAGAAATAATGCCTATTGCATGTTAGCACTTAATCAATGCTAGTTAGTGATAATGGCTTAAGGACAAGTAGATGCCAAATTGATTCACAGTCCAAATTAGAAGCACAGAGGAATCATACTCAAGGTTAAAATCATTCTAAAAAAGACTGTTGGTAGTTACAGTTACAGGAAAGGAAAGAAGATTGAAGTTTTGCTGAAGTTGATTCCTTTGAGAGTTGTGAGACATAAACTTATTCATATAAATTTTGGCTCTGGTTTCTAGATCTGATTATTTTTCTTTCATTTGATTTGTACCTGGGTTTTCAACAATAGATTCTGACTCCAAAATCCATACTACTTCTCAAAGTTGGAAGAAGAGAGGAAGGAAACAGAGAGACAGAGAGGAGGAGGAGAGGGAGAAATAGGGGAAGAAAGAAGAAAAGGAGTAGGACATGGAAAAGTAAGGGATGAGGGGGAAAGTGGGAAAAAGCAAAAGAAGAAGAGAGAGGAAGAGGGGAAAGAAAATAGGGATGGGGGGAGCTGGAGATGGGGAGGTCTGGTTCCTCACCAGCCCCAGTGTGTCCCCCAATCCCCCCTTTTCTGAGCAAGAACCTCTTATTCATTTTGACGTAGCAGGTGGACTCCAACTTTTTGTAAAGAATACTCAAAAGGAAAACCACAGATGTATATGTGAGTAACAGGAAGTCCCTATTCCTGGAGTAGTAAAAAAAAAAAAAACTATACAATCCTTGATTAGGACATCACTGCTTAGTTTTTAGTTTCTGAGTGCTATACAATTTAAACAGGAGTTTTTAATATATTTAAACTGTATTTGACATAGAGATAGTACAAATTAGTTTTCTTAAGCAACGTTAAATTCTTGTCTCTCAGCATAATTAAAAGACATTTGATAGAGAGAAGTAATTTTAATGGTGGGGGAAAACATGCTACTGGAGACTTTAGGAGATCCTGAGTAGGGGCTTTTCCAGGAATTGAGCACAGATCAAGACAGGAAGGGAAAGGAGATGGCAAAGAGGTTTGCCCCCACAGACGTTTGCATCTGGTTGGTTTACATCTGTTTTAGGTTTGCTGCCCTGTTCAGTTCTTGGCAATCTCTTCAGGAATCTGATAAAGCTAATAAGGAAATTTATTAGCATAAGCTCACTTCCTGAGTTGGCCTGCCTACACTTATCTTACAGAAAAGTCCCAATTCCTCCCCAACCTGAGCCCTAGTTTTCTCACCATAGGGATATTACAGCACGAAGGGATTAATATAAATAGAAGGCATTGCTTTAAGCTCTATACTTCAGTGGTTTGATAAAGTTTGAGGAAAACAGGGATAACTCAAGTATGTTGAGGATCAGTGATTTCACATTTAAAAAGTATAAAACTTACTTATAGTCTTGAAGAGAAAGGATTCTATAGGAATGCAAATTTATCGTTATCGCTGGTACCATATCCAAATTTCTTGCCTACATTTTTCTGATCCAGGCTATTAAATTTCATATTAAACTAGAATAAAAAAGATATTCATTAAAAAGAGCTTGTAAACAGATAAAGGTTGAAAACAGTGAGTATAGGAAACTCCACACAAAAAAACCCACCACATTTTAGGATATTTTTACAAATGATAAAGACAAAGTCAGGATGTAATAATACTAGCAGCAGAAGTTTAAATTTAAGTGAGGACTGAGCATCTATTAGGCACTGTTCTACCTGCTTTCAATGTATTTATTATCTTATGTAATTCTAATAAGAACCGTTGGCCGGGCGCAGTGGCTCACGCCTGTAATCCCAGCACTTTGGGAGGCCGAGATGGGCGGATCACGAGGTCAGGAGATCGAGACCATCCTGGCTAACACGGTGAAACCGCATCTCTACTAAAAAAATTCAAAAAATTAGCCGGGCGTGGTGGCGGGCGCCTGTAGTCCCAGCTAATCGGGAGGCTGAGGCAGGAGAATGGCGTGAACCTGGGAGGCGGAGCTTGTAGTGAGCTGAGATCGTGCCACTGCACCCCAGCCTGGGTGACAGAGTGAGACTCCATCTCAAAAAAAAAAAAAAACAAAACAAAAAAAAAACAAAAAAACCCTCTGCAATAAGTGCTGTTCTATTCCTATTTTATTGATAAAGAATCAAGAAACCAAAATTCTACAGTATGTATTGGTGTATACAAAGAGAATGGAATGCACATAAACTCGAGGATATCACAGAATTAGTATCCTAAATCCTAGGACAAGGATGTTGAAAAGTATTTAGTAGACACAGAAGACAATGAAGTTTATAAATTTGATACAAACAGGAAAGTGAGTATAACAAAAAGCATATTCACAAACTCTAATAGGTGGTTGGCTTGGCTTAAGGAACTCTAAAATAACCAGCTATGTTTGTTTTGCATGTTTTCTTAACTTATTGCTCCTTGGTGTGCTGAAAAGCTTTTAAATCTCTGTGGTACTTATGCACTGTGGAAAGAGCTTGGCCTTGGGCAGCTTCCATCTTTGAGAGAAATTGTCTGCAGAGATCTGACATATTGGTTTCACATATATTATGTTACCGCCACTCTAAACGTAAGTAAAATGAACACATGAACAGATGACAGCAATGATGATAATATTTTTGGAACAACAGCAATATTCTGTGCTTTGATTGGACAGAATTGAGCTTGACATGGATCATATTTCCCCTTTTAAAGTTAACTTATGTTTTTCTTTTCATTCTGCCTAGAAGAAAGCAGCTAAAATAGCAGTCAGCACTCTCCTAGCATTTGGCTGGTGATGGTGGACTGTTTATTTGGTTTTAAGAAATATATTTTAACTGTGGCTGTCAGTAAAATAGAGACCTTAGCATACCACAGGCACCCACACTATGAACCACAGACCACGGAAAAGCACTTAGTAGTTATATGTAATCAAATTTGTGCCATCTGATACAGAAGAGTGCCTCACTATTTATGGGAGCACTATAACACATCTTTTATAAACCGAGAATCTATTTGTAGTGTGAATGGTCTCTTACTCTGTTTTAAAGTTTGATTTTTTTGTGTAGATGTGGTCTTCCTCAAGTAAGACACTTTTGGAAAGTAAACCTAAGGTAATCAAACATAATGAACATTCATTCATTCATTCAACAATGAAGATATCTGTATTAAGGACTATGCTGGGTAAGTGATTGCAAGGAGGAAGTGCTTTAATGCCCCTCAGGTACTCGACTAAGGCCAGGGAGGAGAGAAGAATTCTGATGTGTTACATATTCTTTTCCTGCAAAGTCAAAAATGAAACAAACGTCTTTTCTTCTGTAACATATCTATCCAATAACTTCTTGAAGGCAATGTTTTCTTCTGTAACACAGCTATCCAATAACTTCAAAAGGCAATCTTTTTAAAATCTCCTTCCCACATATAACACACAGCACAAAAATGTGATGAATTTGTGTTGTCACGAAATATCAAAAATGTCAATGAGGAGAACTTGACAAGTCCCGGGGATCTGAATGCCCGGAGTCCTAAACTGTACCTAGAGTCTTGCAGCGTCATAGCCAGAAGGGACTTGCGATTCTTGTGCCCACTCCACTCTACGGTCCCGTTCCCTCTTTCGTTTTTCAGAGGAAGAAACTAGTGTTCAGAAAGGTAGGGGAAGGATCTGAAACTGGAGCTAGGCTTTTTGATCTTCAAACTTTTTAGGTGATTTGCTGGATGAGTCTGCTCCTCCTCTTTTGCAGGCAGGAAAGCTGTATAGAATGACAAACTTTGGGTTTCAGGGGATGTTCTCTCGTTCTCTTTTAGTTAAACTTATTATAAATAACTCGTAAGCAGAAGGTGTGGTGGCAATGGATGATGGACGGTAAAAAGAACTTCCCCAAAGGCTGGGCGCGGTGGCTCACGCCTGTAATCCCAGCAGTTTGGAAGACCGAGGCGGACGGATCACTTGAGTTCTGGAGTTCGAGACCAGCATGGCCAACATGGTGAAACCCTGTTTCTACTAAAAATACAAAAAATTAGCCGGGTGTGGTGGCGAGACCCTGTAATCCCAGCTACTTGGGAGGCTGAGGCAGGAGAATCGCTTGAACCTGGGAGGCGGAGGTTGCAGTGAGCCAAGATCGTGCCACTGCACTCCAGCCTGCCTGGGCGACAGAGTGAGACTCGGACACACACACACACACACACACACACACACACACACACACAAAAGAACTTCTCTAAAGACAGCCCGAACAGACCCACTCGGGGTTCAGGGAATTTGCTCTTCCCTTGGTCCTTAACTGACCTACCACTCCCCAATAACTGCGCTCAGCCACTCTTAGGATTTGGCGGGTGGACAGGCGAAACTGCGGATCCCAGGATGCAGTTCCCCCCTTCATCACCTGTGTAGCCCGGTCGCTACCCTCACTGCATTCTGGGAAATGTAGTTTCTTATCAGTAACGACAACGTCTAGGAAACGTTTGGCCGTCAGGTTGGAGGGATCCGCCCCTCCACTGGCCCCGCCCCAGGTTGCTTAGGAGATAAGAGACGCCGAATCTTGGTACTTACGTTCCTGCCGGGCAGGACAGGTGCATAGGGAACTCCTCAGAGGTCTGTACCTCGAGGGCTCCCATGGATAGCCTTGACAGATCCTGCCAGGACTGGTGCGACAGGAAGCAACACTGGTTGGAGATCGGACCACCGGACTTGGTGGAGCGCAAGGGCTCCCTGACCCTCCGCTCCCATCACAAGAAATACTCGAAGCCGGTGTTGGTGTATTCCTGGTGAGCGAAGTCCCCTCGCAAGTTCCCGGGTGCTGCGGGGAGGAAAGAGAGGGGAAAGGATGGAACAGGAAAGGAAAGGAGAGTCAGAGAGAGGGGACAGGAGTGGAGACGACAGAGGAAACGGAAAAAAGAATGAGAAAAGTGGGGGAGAAATGTAGAGAAAGAAGGAAATGAGAAGAAAGGTGAGAAAAAGATGAGACGAGAGAGGAATGGGAAGGAGGAAAAGAGAGAAAAGAAAGAAAAGGGAAAGAAATATTTTCAAAGGAGAAATAGAGAGAGTGGGAGAGAGGGTTGGAGCAGAGAGGAGGAAATAGGAGAGCCTTTCAGGGGCAGCTCCCAGCCACACACTGGGCCACGCAGCAGCCAAATCCCCGCCACCTGAGGTTTTAGCTCATTCACACAGAGCGGGTGTGTATAAATAGGGGGTGAAAAGGGGGTGCTGTCAGAGGCCTGGAAATCACATTTCTGACACAGGCACTTACTCATAAAAGGAATTAGAGGCCAGGGGCACAGCAGGAGGGAGATGCCTATTTAGAGGACCAGCCTCCAGGGCTGCCACTTCCTGGGGGTAGGGTGTACATGGAGTGATTTGAACGAGGCCCCTCATATTTTCTAGGCTACATACAAGAACTTTTCTGGCCAGAGACTGCAAACTGGCATCTCCCACTGGTTAAGGCCAACAGACATTGTTTGGCATGAGCTCTGTTTACTTTTTTTTTTTTTCATTTTAATTAGTTGGCCACATTTAAAACTAGGAGATTCACAGTAAATCCAGGGTTGTATCTTTGAAAATTTGAAAGTCTTGGCCAGAGAGGATTTTATTTCTCTGGGGAACTATGAATGTACCAGAGCTGAGCACTGGCTACACCTTAAGATGGGTGTTGTTCTGTCTTTAGGAACTTCCCTCGTGTAAGTTCTTGCTTGGCCCCAAGAAGCATTTGGTTTACTTCTTGTGCTTTAGAACTTGACCTGGAAATTCACTTTCTCTTATTAAATATCACAGTGACCAATAGCAACACTGTGATGTATAACTGGAAGAAAAGTGGAAACTTTTAGGACTTTTCAAATTCTTTCCCTTGAATTAACTTTCCTGGCTCTGCTGTTGATAGTAATTACATTTGGAGTGGTTGGAATATTTGGGAGGGGCGTGAAGAAAAAAAAGAAATGAAAAGAAGTCACAAATCTTGTCTACTTTATGTTTTTGCTTTTGAAAGAAATGAGTGATTTTGACTCTAGCCCTAAGGCTAAGCCCGACTTCATCCCATTCATTCATGTAATATATGCGACCCCTGCAGTTTCTGTCTTGCAAACTTTCTAAAGCCTATTCCCTGCTTTCCAACAAGTTTACCTTTCTGCTTTTACTTCTCAACCCTGAAACTGTCTCTCTTCCTCCTTTGAACTCAGTATGAGAAGTTATACAGATTTGGAATCCAAAACTACACTGGGAAACAGAACATCCTCTTTTAGCCTCATATAGGGCTTACCTCATAGCTCTCAAGCAAAACACTTAGCTCTTCTGTGACTCTGTTACCCCACAGAGATTTGAGTCATACCATAAATCACCACTAGAAGTTATTGTTAAAGAGAAAGACTTTTTGCAAAGGGACAGTGCTTCTGCTCTCTGCTGCACCACTATTACTTTGAAAATTGCATTGTGAAAGTTACAGACATCAATAGCAAAACCACAGAAGAACACAAATGAGAAGAAGGTGAGGAACCTGGTGAGGAGAGAAGGATAGTGGAACGCTGTAAGTCATTCCAGCCGCTGCTGAAAATATAGCGGGACCTCATGCGTTGGTTTTAGAAGGAAGGCTGGGGAACAGGAAGACTTAAATTCAACCCAACATACATTTGTGTGTCATGCACTTTGCTACATGTTGGGGACATAGAGGTAGAGAAACAGATTCAATGAGATAAATTTTATAAAGCATTTAGCATCATTCTAGGAAAATCATAAGTTGTCAATAATATAGGGTAGCTGTATGAGTACATTTTCATACAGCTATAAATAAATACTGGAGACTGGGTAATTTATAAAGGAAAGAGGTTTAATTGACTTACAGTTCAGCAGGTCTTGGGAGGCCTCAGGAAACTTACAACCATGGTGGAAGGCAAAGGCAAAGCAAGCACCTTCTTCACAAGGCAGCAGGAGAGAGAAGGGTGAAGGAGGAACTTCGAAACGCTGATAAAACCATCAAATCTTTTGAGAACTCACTCACTATCATGATAGCATGGGGACAACTGCTCTCATGATCCAATCACCTACCTCCCTTGACACATGGGGACTACAGGTCCCTCCCGATGTGGGGATTACAAATCAAGATGAGATTTGGGTGGGGACACAGAGTCAAACCGTATCAGTAGCTAACACTATTGATTTAGCATAGCATAATGGTTAAAACTCGGGCTCTAGGTTTGAAAACTAACTCTCTTGCTGTGTGTTGCGGCAAGTGACTTGACTGCTCTGGGCCTGTTTCTGCAACTGTAAAATGGGGATGATAGGATTATTATAAGATTACATGAGGTATGATATGTAAAACACCCTTTAACACATGGCCTGCCACATATTAAGAACAGTAGAAGTTAGTTTCGCTCACGTGCATTTGAAGAGACCACCAAACAGGCTCTGTGTGAGCAACAAGGCTGTTTATTTCACCTGGGTGCAGGCGGGCTGAGTCTGAAAAGAGAGTCAGTGAAGGGAGATAAGGGTGGGGCCGTTTTATAGGATTTGGATAGATAAAGGAAAATTACAGTCAAATGGGATTTGTTCTCTGGCGGGCAGGAGTGGGGGTCACAAGATGCTCAGTGGTGGAGCTTTTTGAGCCAGGATGAGCCAGGAGAAGGAATTTCACAAGATAATCTCATCAGTTAAGGCAGGAACAGGCCATTTTCACTTCTTTTGTGGTGGAATGTCATCAGTTAAGGCAGGAACTGGCCATCTAGATGTGTACGTGCAGGTCACCGGCGATATGATGGCTTAGTTTGGGCTCAGAGGCCTGACAGTTAGTTATATGTATTAGGACATGGCCATTGACCTCAAGGAGCTCCATAGGGCAGAAAAGGAGAATAATATCAATAAATTCAGTATCATCTGATTTTTGCAAAAAAGAAATGATTATAAGAAGCAGAGGTAATGGTGTGGTGGGGAGGTTGGTTCCTGAGCAGGGTTTTGAACTAAGGATAGGGACAAAAAAGAACAGGCAAGTGCAGTGGAATAGTAAAGAACAGCCCCACAGGAAACAGAATTCTTTTTCAATAGTTGACAAATACAGTTGATCCTTATTATTTCCGGATTCTGTGTTTGTAAATTCACCCACTTGCTACGATTTATTTGTAAGTCAAAATTAATACTTGATGCACTTTTGTGGTCATTTGTAGACATTCTCAGAGCGGAAAAAAGGCAAAAAAATTTGAGTTGCCCTACGTGCATGTTCCCAACTGAGGTCAAACAAAGCAAGCAACGCTCTGCCTTTTTGTTTCAGCTCTCATACTGTAAACAAGTATCCTTTTCATGTTCTATTTAATGCTTTTTTTTTTTTTTGCATTTCGTGCTTTTTGTTTGCTATATGGTAAAATGGCCCCTAAGCATCATGCTAAGCACAAGAAGACTGTGACACACCTTACAGAGGAAATGCATGCATTAGAAAGCTTCATTCAGGTTTAAATTATAGTGTAGTTGGCAGTGATTTCAATGTTAATGAATCAACAATACACGTTATGTAAGGTGTTTTTAAACTGAAACACACATAATACAAGGTTATGTCTTGACTGACAAAAATATTGTGACCAGAGGCTCACAGAAACCTAACCTTGTATTTCTGTATTTGCTAATTGAGTGTTTGAGGCAAGTTTATAGAATATAAAGATAGCAAGAATTGACTGTGAAATGTGAGAAGCACTAGCATTTTCTGTGCTGACTGTATTGCTGGCATACTTGTTCTTCCGTATCCAACCAGTCACCAAGATTTGTCCTACAAAGCTGAATAAAATTCAGGTTGTGTAAAATTCTAAATTGAATGATGTCATTGACTTATTTTTATGCATTTTGGTCATAATTGTTAGCTTTCTATTGATTTGTTTTATGATAGATTAAATTTTTATTAAATTTTAATATCTTTTATTAGTGATTTCTTATTTAATTGATGAACACTTAATATCTATAAACACACCATTAGCATGGCTTCTCAACAGAGTATTTAATCAGTTAAGTGACTGTACATATAGGTACAAAATAAAATCTGTATCTGGGAGAAATTCTGACTTTCCTCTGATAACACAGTTCAAACATTTAGATATTTTTTCCTGTGTTTCTCTTTATCTGGCATGTGATACAGAGCTATTTGACCTCATTACTCATATTAAAATCCGTTGTGTATAATAGACGTGATAAAGTAATATCTCCAAAATCCTTTTTAGGGGATACCTTTGGTTCGTTACTAGGATAAAACATTGCCAAAGAGCCACCTCTTCCTTGCAACTGAAGTGGTCGATAGAGCCATATCACCCTTATCACACCTTGATGCTTCTGAGCCAGAGATGCCTTTTCTAGGAATTATTTTACCCCACTTATTCCTGTAGCATTTATGGAGCCATATCATCAGGTGATTCCATTAGAACTGAACTAAGGGGAAATATTTTCTGTTAGGATATCTTCCCACTCATTGGAATGATGAAATACTAAGAACCACAGCAATTTAGACTTACCCTTAACAAATTCTCTCATGTGAGGCTAATTCTTATATTCATTCATTCATACTCATCTTTTCCTTGGCCAAATTGACATCTGGTAACAAGTGATAATAATTTAAAGCAAAACAAATTCATTGGGATCTCCATGGAGACAGTTCTTGCTCTGGTCTCCATGGTGAC
The DNA here is from genome assembly GCF_000001405.40 of Homo sapiens. NCBI lineage: Eukaryota > Metazoa > Chordata > Mammalia > Primates > Hominidae > Homo > Homo sapiens. Next base: position 69,825,901 of record NC_000009.12, read on the forward strand.
ATTTAGTTTTAAGGACTCAGGTTAATTTTATGTATTTGTGATTTTAATTACTTTTCTTCCCTGCCTAAGCCCCAAATTAAAGAGCCTGGGAGTTTCGCTTCCTGTCTCCTATAGGAAGAAACCAGAAAGATAAACAGAAAAAAAGGGAAGAATTATGGTGATAATTGTGGGGTAGGGAATTTTGTAGTTTTAAAGACTTTTACACAAAATCATCTGGGCTGGGGCAATAAATTAGAATTAGAATTAAAGAGGGGAATCTTTCCATGAAGCTCTTCAGACTTCCCCCCACCCTACTGCACTGTTTGAACAGGAAGTTTATATGTATTTAAGGTACTTCACATTCACAGAAGCACCCAGTTCCAAGACACTAGGATATCATGAGTGCACTTAAATAGAAAAGAGAGTGTCTGAATTTTCTAATATGCTGTGTCATTCTTCCTGTATTTAATCAATGATTTTCTCAGGTACTAACCTGGAAGCATTTAGAGTTCCTCCTGTCACTGGAGACCAAGCTTGTGTTACACAGATCTTTGCTAGCCAGCAATCCCATCTTTCTACATCTCCAACACACATTCGAGAACTACGATAAAAAGCAAAGAAAAAAAAGTAAGGACCCTTGGTAACAACATGCTGCAGCCTGTCTTTTTGCTGAAATCCACAAGGGCTTCTTTTCTATCAAGTTTTCTTCTTTCTGCCTTTAACATAGACTTAGGCCCTCAATCAAAAGCTTATTAACTCTTAATTTGTACACATTTTTAAGTTTGGTTATGTGGTTTCCATGCAAACAGCACAAAATTTGACGGGAGAGGGAAGAGGCTTTAAAGGGGCTTTTGGATCTATAGTTAGAAGGCAGAAAGAAGGGCAAGCCTCAGGATAAGGGATAAGAATGCAGTAGGTGCTCAATTAATGTTTCTCAAATAAATGAGCAAATGAGCAGGCAGAAAGAATAAAGACAGAAACCCAAAAGGTACTGCAGGCTGGGGCCCTATATTTATATTTTAATGAGGCCTTGAAGTAAAAGACTACAGTATAGTACAAAATCCCCACTAAAACCAGGGCTGATTTTCACAGCCATGCTCTTGATGCAATAGCATAACATGGAAGTATGTTTGGACACCTCTGTAGAAATGACCTTAGAAGGGTATAATATATACTTCTGTTACAATAGTAAAGAATTTTTAAATGGGAGCTAAGCTTGTGCTGTTCCTAGTTGCAGTGTGTGTCATACCATCAAGAACTGATGGGTATTAATGAGGTTTTGAGTTAATGTAGGGACGAATGATATTTACACTTTAAAGAGATATTTTTATTTCTCAATTTATACTTTAAAAAATTCCAAATTATAATATCATGCAGGCATTTAAGATGATGTAATAGTAGGCTAAGAACATGGAAATATATTCACTCTGTAGCGGGTAGCAGAATTAGAAATATGCACACAACTCAGATGCATATATAAAATTTATTTTCTAAAACCAATCCTCAAACTTTTCAACTGTTGGTTACTAGAGAAAAATTCAAACATGCCAATTAAAGCTTATCTCTGTCTCTTTTAGTTTAACAGCTTGTTTTAGGTTAAAATAGTCTCGTTCAGAACAGTGCCCACTCTTTGAGTCCTTCCTCCTCCACCTTCTCCTTCCCCCACTACCATCTGTATGTGTACGAGGGGCTGAGGTTATGTGACATTTTGGTGGGGGTGGAGGAGTGAGGCCTCCAGATCTATCGTAGGTCCTTGTCCTTGCTCGCCTCATCCTGGTCCAACCGCTGTGCATGCTGCTGCTGCTGAATTTGTGGCTGATCCTGTTGGTTTGTTGAGGACTTGGTGTCTCTGCCTCCAGATTCGGTCCCACTCGGTCTCTTGCAGGGGACTACAGATACCTGTCAGGCTTGTCCTCTCACAGCCCCCGACTTAGGCTGGTCACCCTGCAGCCACAGTGGTGGGGCACCTCTACCCTCAACATGGTGGCGTGCAGCTGGCCCAGTGATACTCTACTCAGCTTCCCTCTCAATGCCTTGGAAAGAGAGCGAGCAGATGCCATGGTTTGCCCAGGATGGTTTACTCTCATTGGCCTGAGACTTACCAAAAGCCCCTCTTTTAGTTTCTAAAGTGTTCTTCAGAAGATAAATTACAAAGTCATCCTCCCTGTGGTATATTTGGGAGCTTCTGGTTCTTGTTAATAGAAGCTTAAGGAATTTAGAAGGTCTTTTGATTCTCAACAATGCCTGACTTTCAAGAAAATATCTCACTCAGAACTCAAAAATTTCATTTTGTCAGTCAGAAGTTAATCAATAATACTCCATTTTTCTTCAGATTTCTGGTGAAACAGTCCTAATTTTTCCCAAAGCAAATGTGGGTATCTCTGATTTATCAGAGCAAAAGTTATTTTAAAGGCTGGCTCAGTAAAGTATAAAGATTAATATTTGAAATATTAATCTCAAGTATAAAAAAACAGCATGTACTGGAATTCTCTCTTTGGTTAAAAATATGTGTCTAGGTTGGGCACAGTAGCTCACTCACGCCTGTAATCCCAACACTTTGGGAAGCCAAGGTGAGGGGATCGCTTGAGCCAGGAGCTTGAGACCAGCCTGGGCAACATGGTGAAACCCAATCTCTACCAAAAAACCACCAAAAATTAGCCGGGTGTGGTGGCACACCCCTGTGGTCTAAGCTACTTGGGAGGCTGAGGCGAGAGGATCGCTGGAGCATGGGAGGCAGAGGTTGCAGTGAGCCGAGACTGAGCCACTGCACTCCAGCCTGGGTGACAGAGCTGGGTGACAGACCCTGTTTCCAAAAAATAAAATAAAATAAAATAAATGAGTCTATATGCACTGAAAAGAGAGTGAAAAAATATTCACCATGTAACATGATACTTATTACTGGATGGTGCATTTATGGATTATTTGTCTTTTTCTTTTTTCTCTTTGCTACTTCTACATTTTCCATAATGAACATGTATTTTCATAATAAGAATAAAGTAAAATAACTTAAAATTTGTGATATCACTTTCTACAGCTTTTCCCTGGATGCAAGCATTCTCTAAAGGATCAGAATTTAGACACAATACTTCATTTCTTTCAGCTTCTGAGTCACCCTCCATGGTTTATTATGAGCCTTTTAAAAATATCTTTTTAATTGTTAGTTTATGTTGGGTAAAAAGGATGATGTTATTCACATTCATTTGGTTTAACCACCCTTTCATTCTCGTCTGCGTTCTACAACGGTGGATCCTACGCCACGGTTATTTTTAATCTAGTCCTACATTCTCATTCCTCAACATACGCACATTACCTACAAATGCTTCTGGATATAGTAGTTTTTTGGGGAAAGCACTATATTTTTTATTTTTCAAGATGAAATCCAGGAGACTCAGCCTCCTTTTGCCCTGACTACATTTTTCTTCCAGTGCTGTTTTCTTTTATGAAATTCCAGTCAAATTCTTTTTCTGAAAACTGATCGTTATAGAATGATTGTGCCATGACCTTTGTGTGAAAGTTTGCTCAACTTAACTGGCATTTACAAAAATAAAATCGTTTTACATGCAAGATAAGCCCTGGTAAGGCAAAGTATACAGAAGAGGCATTTCACCACACGGGCAAACTTGGATAGGAAAGATCCTTGCTATACAGAAGTACCTCTGCCTCAAACCAAACCTCTACCCTTATGACCATCTCATAACTGGGCTGTGGAAGCCATTAGAGTCCTCTCCTTGTTGTAATGCTGCTGTAGTCTTTCCTCTCACAGATAGTCTAAGGTACTTTTTCACCAAGCTTGTTTTCTTTTACCTTACTGACTATCTCTTTCTAGGTAAGAGTGTTGTGGTTGGGAGAGGAAGTTAGAAGAATGTGGGGCTTCGTGACATTTTGATAAGGAGAAGTTCACACTGAGAAGCCCAGACTTGGGGCTCAGGGTGTTTTGTGGCACTAGAACTAGTATTGTTGAACACACTTCTCTGAGTTTCTCTGGGAACCCATCCCCATTCGCACCATTTTCTGTGTGTACTGGTCAGAGCTCTTTTGGTTGCAAGTGACAGATGGTCAGCTTGCCCTAGCTTAAGAAAACAGAATGAATTAACTCAGGATATTCCTGGATGATTGATTACCAGGTGAGAAAGGCAGCGGTAAGCTGGGCCTTAGGAACAACTGGAACGAGGGATGAAAATGTTACCAGGTCTTACTGTGTTTCCCCTCTCTCTTTGTGGGTTTGCTTCATCTTGTTGTGGAAGAGTATGGGAAACATGGCTGCTGCAGTTCTGGAATATATAACTTACATCTTGATCCCACAAAGAAAGTTTGGCTTTAAGGTATTTTCAGTTCTGGCTCAACAAATTCCAGGCCATATGTCTTTCCCTGGACCAAGTACCTGTTTGGAGTCATCTGGCTAGGCAAGGGCAAATGGAAATATGGTAGCTCTCCAAGAGCAACGAACAAGGAGGACGCATCCAGGAGAAGGAAGGAGTGCTGGGCTGGCAGTCCTAGAGTTACTGCAGTGGAGAAGGAATAGCAAATTTTACACACTCAGTTTCACAGCAAAAGTCTAGAACATAACCTATTAATATATTGGGAGACTTCCTACAATTGATGCTATTTTGACTTTAAACTCTCCCTCCCCAGCCAACTTGTATCTACTCAATGCAATTTTAAAAAATGTATCTTAGATGTAATGGGCAGAAAACAGAAATCTTGTGTAGAGATTAGATGAAACATATCTTTGCAGTGCTTTGCAAAGGTTATGAATAAATTTGAGTACTCTTATTTTACTTTTTTAAAGAAAGGGTTTCACTTTGTCACCCAGATTGGAGTGCAGTGGCTCAATCATAGCTCATGGTAACTTCAAACGTTTGGGCTCAAGTGATTCTCCTGCCCCAGCCTTCCAAGCAGCTGGGACTATAGGCATGCACCACCATGCCTGACTAATTTTAAAAAACTTTTTTTTTCTTTGGTAGAGTTGACAGTCTTCCTCTAATACCCAGGCTGGTCTTGAACTCCTGGTCTAAAGCGATCCTCCAACCTTGGCCTCCCAAAGTACTGGGATTACAGATGTGTGCCATTGCATCCAGACTTCTTACTGTTTTTGATAGGCATTAATCTTTATTACTGTTTGCTTTATTTCATTTGAAATACAATTATGTTTTAGTTATTATTGGTCACACCGTGTATTTTCTTTATTTTTATTTAACTAAGTTGTGATGCATTAACAAAGAGAATTAATTGCAGAAATATTATAATATGTTTATTTGGTAAGCTACTAGATCTCCAATCAGATGGTTCCAGGTTCAATTAAATGGAAGAATTAATATAATACCATTTATCTATTGCAAAGTAAATTTCATTGCAAATAATTTAGCCTCCTTTTATAGACAGTGATAGGATAAAATTTTTTGAAATTAAAATATAGGAATAAATAACTTGTCACAATTTTTTAAACATTTGGAAAAACTGAATTGCTCAGTAAGGATCCAGAAGCATTAAATAAGCTTTTTTTAAAAAAAGCACTAAGCTTTTATTCACTATCTTCTTTCCAGATGAAGAACTCTTTTTTTTTAATTGCATTTATTAAAAGTGTATTTATGAATCCATTGCTCTGTTGAAAGCACTTTGCTGGGTTAGGAATTTGACAGTGACTAAGACATCCTCCCTGCCTTTAGGATGTTAGAGGTTACTGTGAGATAGGAGTGGGGAGGGCTACCCCAGCAACTACAATGTACTGTGATATGTGTTTTGATTAGCGGTAAGCAGGTTGCTCAGGGAGCATCCAAGAGGAGCCTTTAACTTAGGCCTGTTGGACCAGGGGAGCTTTTCAGAGGAGGTTCACCTGGTTCCTAGGATCCCCAAGGAGAACTAAAGTATGATGCATTAGTTTCCAACCGAGAGCAGTACTACCCTTTCCCCAAGAGTCTTTGGAAATACGTGTGGGCATTTTTTGTTGCGTAATGACTGGTATCTTGTGATGCAGAATGTGTGGTTGTAAGAATTGTGACTCTTAGTCCTGGAGGTGACCATAGCATCTTAACAACATTTATCCATCTATCTATATGAAGCCTAATTTACATATCCATAAACTATAAGAACAGCCAGATGGGTGAAAACAGCAGAACTAACATGTATCTAGCGTCAACACATTAAGTTTAGTTAGTTTGCATATGGCCATTTATAACAAGGGTGTGAACAGCAACTCTCCTAATAGATCCAGTCAAAGAAAGGGAATTCCCCACTCAGTATTGTATAAGAACCCCGAGCTTTCAGAGATCAGTGGCACCTGCTCTCCTTGTAGGGATGCAATAAGGCAACAACGGACCACTGCAAGCAGTCTCTCAGAGGTTAGGATATTGTGATATCCCACCCAGACCTCTAACAAATAATTAGTTGTTATGTCATTATTAGAAAAATTTAGTCTGGAAAGATTGCATGGTTTTTTAATTTGAATTTTTCTTTGTGTGTAAAACAATCCTATAATAAACATAAGTAATTTGGAAATACTATTGTTTGGTTTCCACATATGTCAAAGTCAGTGTGGCGCGTGTAATGTGGTAAGTCTTGCTCCTTGTCTCAGCCCTTGCCCATGTAGCTCTGACAAATGAGCAGGTCAAGGTGTACCAAATGTCCTGCTGGACTTTCAGGCACAAATATGAATTTTTTTTCCCTACTAGTACTGTTTTGGGGAATAACTCTTAGCTCTGTGATAATTTTCTTTATTTCTTCTATAGAAATAGTCTATTCGGATTTTTTTTTTTTTTTTTTTTTTTTTTGCCCTTAACAGTACCTTTTTTTTTTCTCAGCTGGCCTTAGGCCTAAACTTTTTTTTTTTTTTAAATACTTTAAATTTTAGGGTACATGTGCAAAACGTGCAGGTTTGTTACATATGTAGACATGTGCCATGTTGGTGTGCTGCACCCATTAACTCGTCATTTAACATTAGATATATCTCCCAATGGTATCCCTCCCTATTTGGACTTCTTGTTTCTACTGGGGGCGTTGGGAAATAGTTTTTCTTAGAAAGTCATGTAAGTCATCTAGCTTTACATATATATTTGCATAGAGTTATGGAAAGTAATCTTTAATGATTAAGGTGTTTTTCTTCTATTTTGATGGTTATATCCTATTTTTAACAATTTTATTAAGATGTAATTCACATGCCATACAAATCACCCTTTTAAAGTGTATTTAATTCAATGGCTTTTAGTATTCACCAAGTTGTGCATCCATCACCACAATCAATTTTAGAATGTTTTATTACCCCCTCAAAATAAATCCCACTCCCTTTATCCCTTACTCCAAGCCTCCCCTAGTCCTCAGCCCTCGAGCCACAGGCAACCACTAATTGATTTTCTGCCTCTATAGATTTGCCTATTCTGGGCATTTCACATAAATGGAATTGTACAACATATAGTCGTTACATAATATTTTCAAGGTTCATCTGTGTTGTAGTTTTTATCAATACTTCATTTCTTTTTATTTCTTAATAATACGTCATTATGTATTTTAGTAGATACGGGGTTTCGCCATGTTGGGCAGGCTGGTCTCAAACTCCTGACCTCAAGCAATCTACCTGCCTCTGCCTCCCAAAGTGCTGGGATTACGGTGTGAGCTATTGCACCTGGCCAAAATATATACATACTATTTAGTCTAACATTTTCCATTGTTTCCGGTGAAAGAGTTTATCTGTGCAGCTGCGGGAAATGTAACTTGGTTTGCACTCCAAGAGGCCACCTCTGTGCAATCTTGTCGATCTCTTCTCAGCACTCCTTCTACTTGGCCTCAGCTGGACTTTGGCTGCTTTTAATAGCCCTTGTACATGTTATAATCTGGGGATGATAACTTGTGATTTTGCCAAAAATTTATTTGCTTTTAATTGTTTCATTTCCTTTGCTGTTTTTGAATGAATTCTAGGAGGAAAGGGAAAAATGTACATTTGTGTAGTTACGTTCATTATGGAAGTCTGTTTTAATTCTAGATTTTATTCCTGAAGAAAAGCTTATTTGTTTTCTAATGTTAATGCAACAAATTGTCCTGAAACCAAAAGACTTTGTATTATCTACTCAATATGCACAGCTCATGGAATCACTAAGTGTGATTTAAAATAGATCTTAAGGTGACATAATGTAATCTTTTGATGTTATTCTGGAATAATTCAAATTATTTAAGCCAGTAAGATTAAGACTATTGGAATAGGAGCTTACACAGGTAATTGAGTGATTCTTTGCTTTTTGTTTTGGACGGGGGCAGGCTGATCTCCATGTCACTCCATGCCAGGTATACTGCAAGGTGTTTCAGACTACAGTAATTACTAATGTACAGTGCCCCTTAAAAACTCCCTCTTTAGCCCTACTTTTCCACCACCCAGTGTCTTCAGCCAGCTATTGCAAGTTGTTTCTGGAGGAGAGGATCAAGGAAACTCAGAAGTATCCTAGGGTTTGAAGATTATTGAGACCCAGTTGTCTAACCATAGGGTGACAGAACGTACTCACCCTGGTTTGACAATGACAGTCCCGTTTTTCACCACTCCTGGTGTACTTAGCATCTTATTTCCCTCTAAAAGTGTCCCAGGTGGGATTATCAATTGCAGTGTTGCCCTATTTTATACATGTCCCTTCAGCTGTTTTCAAAGTCATGTGTTTGGCAGTTAATCAGACTGACCACATTTATTTAACATTTAAACTGTTACGATAGACAAAGCCTCCAACTGTTGTATTCCTTTTGATTCCTTCCAATATTTTCCATAGGGCCTTCTGTTTTGAAGATTTTCTATGAAGAAAATTTATAATAATGATGGGTCTTATTTATGTGCCACTCAATATATGCTCAGTGGAGAAGATGACTTCACTTATCTGTCTCCATCAAATGGTTTCCTTTTGAGTGCAGTTAAGTTTCAAATTCTGTGGTTTCATGGTTATAGATGCACAGATCACATACAGCATGAGACACATAGAAAAACAAAGTATTTCTTCGTAAGTCTGAAATGTCACAATTTTTACAAAGAACATAAGATTTTCTTTATGATTCTGCAAATACACCTGAAAGTCTTCATTTATCAGTTTGAGGGCTATGCCACCAAATAACACTGCCTTGGCATGTAAATCATTTGCCCACGAAATCTTCAAAGAGTATTGTCAATGTCTCATAGTCTTTGATTCTATCGGTTTTATGCTTCTAATGTGTTAGGGAATATAGCTGACTCTCAAGGGTAATTTTCTTTTAAAGTTCTAGATAGCAGATGATTATAAAAATCTAATAGGAAAGGTATCTTTTGCTTCTCATTTCACCAGCTTTATATCAGAAAATACAATAGCTAACGGCATGGTTGTGAACTACATTAATAATTCTAAAATTTAAAATTAATATATCCTGCCATCTGGAGTCTTAACTAAACATTTTAAACATCTTTGAAATCTGCAAAGAAAAGTGTGTCTCTTGTCAAGTCACCACAAGCTAGAATTCAGCTCAGATTTTCATTGTTCTCATGTCAGATATTGCTCAGATTCAAACCCCTTTGCAATCAGTGTTATGCATATGTATGTTGAAAGTTTTCTCATTCAGCAAGTAGATTTATAATTTCTCTGGAGACAAGTTAGCATTGCAAAGGACTAGCATCTCTATATGCATAATTACTCCCTCTTTACGTGTGCTTTTGCAGACTGAGCCAGGATACTCTTCATTTTTATGGACACGTTTGAAAGCCGTTGCTTTCAGCATTTATATTAAGGTGACAGTAACAAAATGTAAGAACATTCATCTAATCAATCAATCAGTCAATCATTTAAGATTTAATGAGCATTTACAATGTGTCAGACCAAGATCACAAAGATGAATAAAAAATAATCCGTGTCTAAGAAGCTTTCTGTCAAATGAGAAGGCTGATACATGAACGGATAATTACAAAACAATATGAAAGGTGCGGCAGTGACAAAGATGCTGGTTTCTTTGCAACCTCCCAATTCCCTTGCCCCACATAAACATACAACCACAGAAACCCTAGAGTATAACCTGTTTCCTTTCCTGTAAGAAGAATCCTACGACCTAATCCCACCCTCTCCTCCGCTGACACGGAGCTGGGCCCTCTGGCTTGGGGCAGCCTTGGGGAGCTGCAGGACCTTCCTGACCTGCAGCTCTGGATTCTAGTTTGTTCAGTCCTGCAACTCAATGTAGCAAGTTTTTCAGATAGCTAAATCTATTCAGTTTGAAGGACTATGAGATTGTTTTTACTGATTGTTGGTGTTAGAGGCCTTCTTATGAAAGGTGGTAGATGATTATTTTATTTTGAATGTTCTCGTCAAAACAAAAAGTTGGCAGCTTTATGTTGGCCCCATCCTTTTTGGGGGAAAGTTTGGCTGCTCCATGAAGCACTTAGGTTTGGGAACCACTGAGAGTCTGGGGTGCAACTGTTCTCTAGGGCTTTCTCAACCTTGGTACTATGGACATTTTGGGCAAGATACTTCTCTGTGGTTGGGGGCTGTCCTGTGCATTGCAGGATGTTTAGCAGCATCGCTGTCCTCTACCCGCTAGACACTGGTAGCACTCTCCTCCTTAGAAGTATACGCAACAATGTCTCCAGGCATGGCCAAATGTCTGCATTGTCTCTGGGGTGGGAGTGGATGCCACAAATTGATCCCCTTCTCCAACCAGATTGAAAACCACTGGTCTAGAGCAATATTTTTCACGACCCATCAATGTATTGTGAACTCAATTCAGTGGATTAATAATGGCATTTAAAAAAATAAAATAATAGAGAATAAAAAGTATCCAAATTCCTATGAGGGTAAAGACTGTTTTGTCACATTTTGGCTTCAATTTCTTTTTTTTTTTTTTTTACATTTTATTTATTTATTTATTTATTTATTTTTTATTATTATACTTTAAGTTTTAGGGTACATGTGCACATTGTGCAGGTTAGTTACATATGTATACATGTGCCATGCTGGTGCGCTGCACTCACTAACTCGTCATCTAGCATTAGGTATATCTCCCAATGCTATCCCTCCCGCCTCCCCCCACCCCACAACAGTCCCCAGAGTGTGATGTTCCCCTTCCTGTGTCCATGTGTTCTCATTGTTCAATTCCCACCTATGAGTGAGAATATGCGGTGTTTGGTTTTCTGTTCTTGCGATAGTTTACTGAGAATGATGATTTCCAATTTCATCCATGTCCCTACAAAGGACATGAACTCATCATTTTTTATGGCTGCATAGTATTCCATGGTGTATATGTGCCACATTTTCTTAATCCAGTCTATCATTGTTGGACATTCGGGTTGGTTCCAAGTCTTTGCTATTGTGAATAATGCCGCAATAAATATACGTGTGCATGTGTCTTTACAGCAGCATGATTTATAGTCCTTTGGGTATATACCCAGTAATGGGATGGCTGGGTCAAATGGTATTTCCAGGTCTAGATCCCTGAGGAATCGCCACACTGACTTCCACAATGGTTGAACTAGTTTACAGTCCCACCAACAGTGTAAAAGTGTTCCTGTTTCTCCACATCCTCTCCAGCACCTGTTGTTTCCTGACTTTTTAATGATTGCCATTCTAACTGGTGTGAGATGGTATCTCATTGTGGTTTTGATTTGCATTTCTCTGATGGCCAGTGATGATGAGCATTTTTTCACGTGTCTTTTGGCTGCATAAATGTCTTCTTTTGAGAAGTGTCTGTTCATGTCCTTCGCCCACTTTTTGATGGGGTTGTTTGTTTTTTTCTTGTAAATTTGTTGGAGTTCATTGTAGATTCTGGATATTAGCCCTTTGTCAGATGAGTAGGTTGTGAAAATTGTTTCCCATTTTGTAGGTTGCCTGTTCACTCTGATGGTAGTTTCTTTTGCTGTGCAGAAGCTCTTTAGTTTAATTAGATCCCATTTGTCAATTTTGGCTTTTGCTGCCATTGCTTTTGGTGTTTTAGACATGAAGTCCTTGCCCATGCCTATGTCCTGAATGGTAATGCCTAGGTTTTCTTCTAGGGTTTTCATGGTTTTAGGTCTAACGTTTAAGTCTTTAATCCATCTTGAATTGATTTTTGTATAAGGTGTAAGGAAGGGATCCAGTTTCAGCTTTCTACATATGACTAGCCAGTTTTCCCAGCACCATTTATTAAACAGGGAATCCTTTCCCCATTGCTTGTTTTTCTCAGGTTTGTTAAAGATCAGATAGTTGTAGATATGCAGCATTATTTCTGAGGGCTCTGTTCTATTCCATTGATCTATATCTCTGTTTTGGTACCAGTACCATGCTGTTTTGGTGACTGTAGCCTTGTAGTATAGTTTGAAGTCAGGTAGCGTGATGCCTCCAGCTTTGTTCTTTTGGCTTAGGATTGACTTGGCAATGCGGGCTCTTTTTTGGTTCCATATGAACTTTAAATTAGTTTTTTCCAATTCTGTGAAGAAAGACATTGGTAGCTTGATGGGGATGGCATTGAATCTATAAATTACCTTGGGCAGTATGGCCATTTTCACGATATTGATTCTTCCTACCCATGAGCATGGAATGTTCTTCCATTTGTTTGTATCCTCTTTTATTTCCTTGAGCAGTGGTTTGTAGTTCTCCTTGAAGAGGTCCTTCACATCCCTTGTAAGTTGGATTCCTAGGTATTGTATTCTCTTTGAAGCAATTGTGAATGGGAGTTCACTCATGATTTGGCTCTCTGTTTGTCTGTTGTTGGTGTATAAGAATGCTTGTGATTTTTATACATTGATTTTGTATCCTGAGACTTCGCTGAAGTTGCTTATCAGCTTAAGGAGATTTTGGGCTGAGACAATGGGGTTTTCTAGATATATAATCATGTCGTCTGCAAACTGGGACAATTTGACTTCCTCTTTTCCTAATTGAATACCCTTTATTTCCTTCTCCTGCCTAATTGCCCTGGCCAGAACTTCCAACACTATGTTGAATAGGAGTGGTGAGAGAGGGCATCCCTGTCTTGTGCCAGTTTTCAAAGGGAATGCTTCCAGTTTTTGCCCATTCAGTATGATATTGGCTGTGGGTTTGTCATAGATAGCTCTTATTATTTTGAAATACGTCCCATCAATACCTAATTTATTGAGAGTTTGTAGCATGAAAGGGTTGTTGAATTTTGTCAAAGGCTTTTTCTGCATCTATTGAGATAATCATGTGGTTTTTGTCTTTGGCTCTGTTTATATGCTGGATTACATTTATTGATTTGCGTATATTGAACCAGCCTTGCATCCCAGGGATGAAGCCCACTTGATCATGGTGGATAAGCTTTTTGATGTGCTGCTGGATTCGTTTTGCCAGTATTTTATTGAGGATTTTTGCATCAATGTTCATCAAGGATATTGGTCTAAAATTCTCTTTTTTTGTTGTGTCTCTGCCTGGCTTTGGTATCAGAATGATGCTGGCCTCATAAAATGAGTTAGGGAGGATTCCCTCTTTTTCTCTTGATTGGAATAGTTTCAGAAGGAATGGTACCAGTTCCTCCTTGTACCTCTGGTAGAATTCGGCTGTGAATCCATCTGGTCCTGGACTCTTTTTGGTTGGTAAGCTATTGATTATTGCCACAATTTCAGATCCTGTTATTGGTCTATTCAGAGATTCAATTTCTTCCAGAGTCTCACTTCGTCACCCAGGCTACCAGTGTAGTGGTGTGATCTCAGCTAACTGCAACCTCTGCTTCCCGGGTTCAAGCGATTCTCATGCCTCAGGCCTCTGAGTAGCTGGGATTACAGGCACGTGCCACCGTGCCCAGCTAATTTTCTGTATTTTTAGTAGAGACGGGGTTTCACCATGTTGGCCAGGCTGGTCTGAATTCCTGACCTCAAGTGATCCGCCTGCCTCAGCCTCCCAAAGTGCTGGGATTACAGTGTGAGCCACCATGTCTGGACAAATTTTGGTTTCAATTTTATGCATGGAAATACATGTACATATTCTGGATTAAGAAGTATCATTTTTTGGCCAGGCGCAGTGGCTCCCGCCTGTAATCCCAGCACTTTGGGAGGTCTAGGTGGGTGGATCACCGAAGGTCAGGAGTTCGAGACCAGCCTGGCCAACATGGTGAAACCCCATCTCTACTAAAAATACAGAAAATTAGCTGGGCACGGTGGCGTGTGCCTGTAATCCCAGCTATTCAGAGGGTTGAGGGAGGAGAATCGCTTGAACCCAGGAGGCGGAGGTTGTAGTGAGCTGACGTCATACCATTGCACTCTAGCCTGGGCAACAAAAGCAAAACTTCATGTAAAAAAAAAAAAAAAGATTGATCATTTTTCTTACTGGGGACTGTAGTTGAAGAATTTGAAAGTTACTGCTCTAGAGGCATTGTAAATTCTATTTTAGTACATGTATTTATTTTTCTCATGAAGAATTTTTCATTGCAACAAATAAAAAATCATGGCAAGTCGTTCGATGACTAAACAAATGCCGGTAGCAAGGAGAATGAGGCTATATGAAATATACATTATTGCACCTTGATTATTTTTATATATGTATATATTACATTTTAATCACAGAAAGGCTATAAGGCTTAGTTAGTTTTGACAAAGTGTTTAAAAATACCCAGCTAAAGCCTGTTGTAGATATTATCATTACACTTAATAATATTTTGCATTTATATGTCACCTTTCATTTGAGACTCTCAAGGTGTTGATTCATTTAGTTCCTCAGTTTATGATTCTCGGTTCATCTCAGGAAACCTGAGGCACAGGCCACTGTTCCCCTAACATAATAAAGTCAGAGAATTAATTCAGTCTCCTGTTTCCTTTAGAAAGCCTCAATCATTTTATATATGGTAAATATGTATTATACAGAGAGCATATAGTAAAGACATATCTTATATTTTATTTGGGTCTATATATTTTACTATATTTCATACAGTATATTTTATACATTTTATAATTTTTAAACATGTATATTTCTCTCTGCTAGGCTGGCAGCCTCTTGGGAGTAGGGGCAGATTTGGGGCTGTGAATCTCTCAGAGCCCCACAGGCTGTGGGCACAGCATCCATGGGCAGCCGGCAGGCACGAGGAAATGCCAGTTACATTAGCTCAGTCCCCCAAAGAAACACCTTCATTATGGATTCATGGTTTTAATGCTGGGTTTTTGGCTGCTATCTAAGGTTGCTATAGGAAAAAAGAACATATCTGCATCTTTTGTAAGAATCTAGTTATCATGAAACTTAAAGTATATGGTAGGATCATTAGGGCCACATACTGACTTTCACAGACCATAAATATCTTTGCTTTCTTGGGCCCCTTCTTCCATTAAAAAAAAAGTTTAAAATGATAGTTAGACTGATGGTATAAAGACAGGTATAATCCAAGCTGGATTATATATATATATATATATATATATATATATATTTCTGATTTAAAAGTAGTTATTTTGTAGGCCTCTAGAAGTATGGGCCCTGGGCCTTCTTCAGTGTCTAATAAAGAGGTGGGCCTTGGGGCAAATATGCTGAAATATCACTGGTATGTTTCCCCTTCATTTGTGTGCTGCTGTAGGGATGTACTCCGGTTTTATTGCCTCAGGGAAGAATGACCCAGCAGGTAACAAAAGAGCCAAATTATTGGATTTGGATTTCAAAAACTTGGGTCTTAGCATAAGCCTGATAGATTTGGGAGCATGAAGAGCCAAGCCACCCTGTTCCACAGCAAATGAAGAATTCATGGACACAAATAGGAGAAGGCCAGAGAAAAAGCTGAGAATGTTTGAATTTGTCTGGGATCCTGAATTTGAGTTAAGATTTTGGAAATCCTGGAGCCAGATGGGACCTGTATTAGTCGTTCTCATGCTGCTAATAAAGACATACACAAGACTGGGTAATTTATAAAGGAAAGAGGTTTAATTGACTCACAGTTCCACATGGCTGGGGAGGCCTCACAATCATGCTGGAAGGCAAATGATGAGTAAAGTCATGTCTTACATGGCAGCAGGCAAGAGAGAGCTTGTGTAGGGGAACTCTCCTTTATAAAACCATCAGATCTCATGAGACTTGTTCACTATCATGAGAACAGCATGGGAAAGACCCGCCCCCATGATTCAATTACCTCCCACAGGGTGTCTCCCATGACACATGGGAATTATGGGTGCTACAATTCAAGGTGAGATTTGTGTGGGGACATAGCCAAACCATATCAGGACTTGTCATTGCTCTCCCCATCACCCCCTATTCCCAGGGTAATGTTTTCAGAACTGCTGAAGATTGGGTCTCCCATGTGTCCCCAAGCCCAGAGTGCTGGAGAGATGAAACACTATCTGTTCGGTGGATCAGGCACATAACCCAGGGATGGTGCTGGGTTTCCAGGAACCCAGGTGGAGAGAGACACTAGAAGGTGTCTGGTGGGCTAGAGAGTGGCACCCTTGTGGCAGAGCACCAGTCTACCTATGAGTTTGTGTGGCAAGCCCAGGAGGATGGAGACCTGCATGGATCTGTAAGGGAAGACCACAGGGGAAGGAGAGTGTTTCTGCAGATGTAAGCAAGGAGAAAGGATGGCAACAAAGATGGATTCTTGGCATTGTGGCACCACACAAACCCCTCAGAACTGGAAGAAATCCAGAATTGACCAATATTCCGGTTTTTCCTCTTGGTAAAATGAGAGCTTGGAAGAAAAATTAAGTTCAATTATGGCAAAACTAAGTTCCAATGTATACCAGATTTTGGAGCCTGATTAGTATTCACTATACATAGATGTTTATGATGCTTTACAGCATATGAAGGATTTTCTGCTTTTTAAAAAAATTTTAATTCATATTAAGATCTTAAAAGGTATTGTTATTATTTCTGTCCTCATATTATACATGTGAAAATGGAAGCACAGAAAGGTTAAGTGACTTCCCCAAGGCCACACAGCTGGGACCTGGTTGAGCTTGTGTTGTCCAATATCCCCCCTGAGGACTTAAGTGAAAGCTTCCTGTTAGGATCTCATAAAATGCTGGTAGGTTACCAAAAAGCATTTAGTGTTCTGCACTTTGATGCTCAGATGTGAGGAGAGAAGAGGGCTCAGGTGTGTTTTGCTTGCCGCCCCACCTTGGGCTCCCTTGCTGCTGGGTTCTACTGCAGAGCTCTGCTGTCATGCTCAGAGGTGGGGAGGCAGGAGTGTTAATGGGAATGTAGTGCAGGGGCTGAGCCCTAGTCCAGTGGGGGTGGGGAAGGAAAGAGGATGCCCTTTGGATTCGGTGCCCAACCTAGGTTAAGGGAAGCAATTCTTCTTACCTAGATTTTTACCCACACTTACCATGTTGTAGATTTTTCTTATTTTTGTGTCTCTCTATCTAGACTGCAAGCAACTGAAGGCAGGGACTCCATTAGACTCACTTCCCACTGCATCCCCCACACCTACCAAAGTCCCTGGCATGTAGTAGGAATTTTAAAACATTTGTGGAATAAACAAATGGCTGGATGATTGAATTCTCGGGTACTTGAGTGTCCCCTAAACAATTCTAGCCCTGTATCCCTTAAAGCAAAGTAACTTCTGAGGGTTGCTTAGTCTTAGCATCCTATATTTCACTCAAGAAAGTTCTATTAAAAATAGCTACTTCAGTTGCCAGCCACTTCTCCTACTTTTTCCTTCTCTACCCCCAAATCCTCTTCTTCCTTCTTCCCCCTCCCCTCCCCCTCCCCTCCCCTCCTACTTCTCCTCCTCCTCCTCTTCCTCCTCCTCCCCCCCTCCTCCTCCTCCTCCTCCTCCTCCTCCTCCTCCTCCTCCTCCTCCTCCTCCTTCTTCTTCTTCTTCTTCTTCTTCTTCTTCTTCTTCTTCTTCTTCTTCTTCTTCTTCTTCTTCTTCTTCTTCCTCCTCCTCCTCCTTCTTTCTTCTTCTTTTTTGAGACAGGGTCTTATTCTGTTGCCCAGGCTGGAGTTCAGTGGCACAATCATGGCTGACTGCAGCCTTGACCTCCCTGAGGTGATCCTCCTAGCCCAGCCTCCCGTGTAGCTGGGACTACAGGCACATGCCACCAAGCCCAACTGATTTTTGTATTTTTTGTAGAGATGGGGTCTTGCCATGTTTCCCAGGCTGGTCTTGAAGCTTCTAGGCTCAAGGGATCTGCCTGCCTCCCAAAGTGCTGAGATTACAGGCGTGTGTTACTGTTCCCTGCCTCTTATTATTCTTAATCACTCTTTTAATCAAGATGTTTGGTATATTTTTTCCTTCTTCCATCTACATTTTTAAGAACTGTTTTCTTCTACCTCATGTTTATCAGCTTCCTTTATTGCCTCTTTAGAAGCAGAAGCACAGGTTATAAATCAATATGGGCAAATACTTTGCTGTCTTGTTTTGAAAAAAATTGTAATTAAAATTCATGGTAGAAAGAATTTCTAAAGTGGAAAGTTGCCTTTCCAAGATATTACCATGTCTTATTTTAGAACTTACTGTTGGTAAACTAATCTACATTATTAAATAGGATTCAGTTCATTGGAATCACTGAGTAATTACTGTGTTTGATAAGTATTGTTTGGGTGATATTATTAGTTTTATCACTTATGCTAGGTTGCTTTTAGGAATTAGCCTCAGCATTACTTGAAAAGAGATGGAAAATACTTTATATGTCACAAATCTAATAAATTTATACTTAATACTACAAATATAGAAAATTTTCATTGGATAATTTTTAAAAATCTGAATGCAATACAGAATAAATAAACTACATCTCTTAACGGACTCCTAATTTTTTCTTAAGGCACCGTGACAGAGAAGCTTTTCCCAAAGGTTATGATATAGAGGGTCCTGAGAAAGTTAAAAAACTGTGTAATTCAACATATCGGCGACTGGGAACCGATGAATCCCCAGTAAGTAGTTGCTATTACTTCGTTTGAAGTCTGAAATCTTTGTCATAGTGAAACATAAAAAGGTAAAGGGAGGAGTGTTTTGTGCAGCACCATCCCTCGTTAACTGTGTTAGTTACTTAGATGACTTAGTCACTGTGTGCTGAAGCAACATTACCTGTAAAATGTGCCTACCTCACAAAGTGATTGGGCGAATTACATGAGATGAAGCAAGTTGAGTATGTGGCATGGTGCCTGGCACATAAAAGTGCCTAGGAAATTGTTCCTGTTGCTATGATGCTGTTGTCACTACAGCAGCAATATCCTGCTAGATGTCTCCTTTCACCTCCACAATAACCCTGCAAAGTAGGTATTAACCATCACTAATTACAGAGGAGGGGAAAGAGGCTCTTAAAGACTAAGCAACTTACTCAAAGTCACACAGCTAGGGCGTGGAAGAGGGAGAGTTTATACCCTGGTCTTTGGTTTCAAGTGTTTTGTGCTTATCTTAAGCTGGTGGAGTTGTGAGTAATTAAAACATGCTATTAACAGTGTCATAATGTTTGTACAATCCAGTTACAAGAAAAATATTTATGGCATAAGTAATTCCTGTTTTAATTGAGGTGAGTGCGTTACTGCTTGGCTACCTAGGTGTCTGTCCAGTCAGCATAAGGCAAGAGCTCAACAACTAGGAGACCCCCAAATTGGGTCCTACAATGTCACGAGCTTTGTGGCTAGCTGAAGACAATTTAGCCTTAGAGGATGGCCTCGGGGCATGAAGAGCTGGTGATTTGATGAGGGTGGTCGTACAGGTGATGAAAAGATTGGGTTTGTGTCACATTCTGCCCCCGCCCCCCAAGGCTGGGCTAGTTTTAGACCAGCATTTGAAATGGGGCAGGTGTAAAAAGACGCATAATTCCACATTGGAAATTGTTCTAGAAGATTCTCCATTCTGCAAGGTAATGAGGACAAATTAGCTTAGCATGGCAGTGCCATTTCCTCCTTTCCTCTTATAGTTGCAGTGGACAGAGAGTAATAAGGATCGCCTGGAGAATGGGGATTTATCATAAAGTGACAGCTGCCTGGATATAGAATGAGCAAACTTGCAGGAACTAACACAGCTCTAAAGCAAGGCATCCCCATCGCCACCCCAACCTCTCTGTGTCACATGCACACACAGAGTCTCTTTGGCATCTCTATTTCTCTCTGCTCAGGTTTACCTCTTGCTCCATAGCCCAGATCTCAGGGGAATCTGATGATTTCCTCAGTTTCCACCCAACCCTCTTCCCTTTGCACCAGGCTGCCTCATGGGTCATCAGCCAGCATGTGGATGGGGCTCTGCAGTGTGATGCCCAACTCAGTCAACATCCACTTGCTCCATTCCCCCACAAACACAGCTTCACCTTGCTTTCTTCAGCATGGGGCTGTGGTCAGGAGAAGAGTAAGCTGGGCAATTCAGGCATTGCTTGACATGCACTTAGAGACTTTGGTCCTTAAAAAACATTTATTTTTGATTTCTATATTAAAGATGTTTTTAAAGAACTTTTGGTCCTTAAAAACATTCATTTTTGATTCCTATATAGAAATGCTCTTGGTTTCTGGGTATTCCTATACCTCATATCGTGGGGGAAGTGAGATGAAGCGGGATATGAGGTATAGGAACCACAAACATTCCCTCCCCAATATTATATGCGTTACAGTGGTCAAGCCTCAGGTTTAATGAGAATGTGTAAATAAATAGTAGTATTTACTGTCTGTATGTCTTTTTGTTGATGGCCATTGAAACCCTGTCCTCCACCTGCCAGATTTGGAATGTGTATTCAATAGAAAAGAAAATAGACTGAGGAATCACTATTTCTGATGGAACTGCTATTCTCTATCTTAATAGCAATTTACATTTTTCCCTATAGACTTTCTGTGTATAAAGCACTGGCTCATCCATCTTGTTTTTCATTCTTCACAACAAAGCTATAAAGCTGTCAAGAAATATATTATTATTTAGTTCTAAACCTAGACTTACAGATCTTAAATGACTCACCCAAGGTCCCAAGTGTAAAGAAAAGGAGGGGATACTGGCGCCAAGCCCCCACACCTTCACATGCCAGGTGTGAGGCTGGATATAGCAAGAGGATGGGCAAGTCCTTCTTCCTGTTGTCACAGAGATTTGGTAAAGGCCTAAAGACACTCTTGATAGTTGGCAGGAACCACATGCCTTAAAGCAAGAATCTGGGCCACCTAGGCAGGACCTGCTAAGAGACTAAATTAGATTAAACCAGTATGAGTAGTTATGTCCTTAAAGACAAGGGACTGAAGAGTTAAAAGAGTATTCATGTAGTTGTGGGTTCTGTGCCTCTCTTTCTCCAGTTGAGAGAGGTTTCAAGGGAACCACTCAGAGAGATTAATATGTATGTCCTGGAATTTAGAGGACACGGGGTCCAGTCACATGCCTAAAAACCTAAATGTGAGAGGTCATGCCTGATATGGCACAGCAGAAAGAGGGAGTGCGGGGCAGGGACAGTAGTGGTCAAGAAGAGACTTGCCTAAGACTTTTATTAAACAAAAGGAAATAACTTGCTGTGGGAGGGAAGGGGCAGTTTGATTAAAAATGAAATTGCTTTATGATTGCATCCTATTGATGCAATAGGATCAATTCAACAAGATGGTTCCATTAAAAGTGCTTCATTTCATCCTCTGGACAGCTGTTCAGGCAGGTATCATGCATGATCCACATTGGATAAATGAGGGAGCTGAGAACAAGTGAAGCTTAATCACTGGTGAAAAGTCAAACAGCTAGAAAGTGTATTAAAAATTAAAATCTATTGTTCTTCTCTGGCTCTAAATGCTAAGATCTTAGAGACTTTTCCAAACTGCCTCTTGGAGTACCAAACTTTTCCACTTCTAGTGTGCTGGCCTTTTTACCCTGCTACACTGCACCTTCCTTGTAGAAAATAGACCTGATTATTTTTTGCTCTGGCTTGGATATTGTATATCTCACTGCATATGTGTTGGGGCTTTGATTTCTTACATCTTAGCCATAACTTCTGTCCTATTTCCTGAATTATGTCCACACACATGCTGGCTAGCCCTATTCCCATCTGTTTCCCCTTCTGAATGCCTTCTTAACATTTTTGGTTTTTTTGCAAGTTTGCTGCTGAGTGGCTGCTTTGTACATCCACCGCACTTTCATTTAGCTGATTGAGGGTGTCCTTGTCCTTAAATGCTGCTGCAGGAGCTAATATGAGCATCATTTATTTGTAGCAGAGTTTAAAATCGGACTTACTTTTGTCTACGTTTTGGCTAAGGCTCTAAAAGTCTAAGAACAGAACAATAGCCTCATGTGCCGAAGTAAAGAATTAGGTCACTTATGCAAGATCCTCAAAGAAGATGGTGTTAATAGGCTCCCACTCACATGAGGGATATAAGAGAATTGAAATGCAAGAAGCCTCAAGAGGAGTTTGATAGTACAGAAAGGATTTTGGAGAGTGTGCTCTAAGTCTTATCTGCAAGGACCCTTGTGTGCCTCACGAAGTTAGACACAAGACTCTGGTGACTGGTCAGAGGAAGCAGAGCAGAAAGAGGGAGCCAGCTCCTCTAGAGGTGGAGCAACAATGTGTGAATCCTCGGTCCCAGATGTGCCTCTTGTGGATCCATTGTGGACCATGGGGAAGAAGAAAATGACATGGAATCATTTCAGAGCCTGTCGAACAGCATCTCATAGTAGGTGCCCAATAAATATTTGTAGAAGGAAAAGAAGGAGAGATGGGAGGGCATCTAGCTGGGTTTCCAGGAGCCGAGGCAAGACATTTAAGTCTAGCCAGAGGCATCTTCTATCATGGGACATGCCATTCAATGTTCCCAGAGGTGATCCCAAAGTCTACCAGAACCTCCCAAGAAAGTCACCTTGGAACATTCACCAGTGCCAGAGAGGGTCAAAGATAAACATACCCAGGGGAAACCAAAGCAAGATTACATTCTGCCATTCCCACTTTTACCTCTCTCTCTTCCTCATCTCCACACATCCTTGGCATCAGTCCCCAAGGAGATAGAGGGAGGTGGGGAATGGGGAAGAAGTCCAAGTGGGATAATTGAGAAGAAGCCAACTGTGCCCCCTGTTCCCAGTATAGTGGGCCAGGCCGAAGCAGCCCCAAGGTGGAGGAATGAGAATCTTCCCATGAAGTTTGAAGTTTTGGCTATTATATGGGACTGGCATTTTAATTACCTCAGTGAAAATCCTCTTGGGACAAAAGTAGCCAGAGAAGTTTTGTATTATCTGAGAGTCACCAGAAACGCCCCGGGACCTGTCTTATATTTCATCAAGGAGCATGAGAAAGAACTAGTCCTCTAAATGACTGTGGATGGGCAGTGATGGAGGAAAAATAGATTTGTTTTCTGATTGTACCTACTTATAAGTCCCACTTGTTCAATAAGCCAGTTGCCCTTTTGTATGTAAAAGAGCAGTCCATTCTTATCATATCTCTCTATCCCCTTTCCCTACTTTAGTTTTCTTCATGACACTTACATTGCTGGACATATTTTAGACTTACTTAGTTATTAATAGTTTGTCACCTTCTGTTAGAATACGAGCTCTATGAAAGTGGGGAGTTTGGTCTATTTTGTTCCCTGTTTTCTCCCCAGTTCCTAGAACAGTGCCTAGAACATAGTGGATGCTCAATAAGTATTTGTGGAAGAAAGGGAAGAAGGAAGAAATGAAGTAAGGGAGGGAGGAAGGGATGAAGGAAGTAAACAAAGAAGGAAGGGAGGGAGGAAGGGGAGGAGGGAGGAAGGGAAGAGGACAAAAGGAAGAAGTTCTACATTCAACAAACATTTTTTGAGGCCCCATTACTTTGCCAGGCATAATGCTAAGTGCTAGGGTGAGAAACATAATTCAAAAATTGGTGCCTGTATATAAGGAACTCATAGGTTCCTAGGGGAAATGGGAACACATAACCACGGTGGCAAAGGGTATGATGGATGCTATGACAGGAAGAACATCAGGATGCTGTGAGGTGTACCTGAACTGAAATGGGTTGGAAGGAGGTTTGGGTATGGTTTCCTTTGAAGCTCTGGAGCTGAATCCTAAAGGAACCATCTCTTGGCAGAATCTGGAAACATACCATTCAGGTTTCAATGGTGGGATAATTGATTTCCTATTTCAATGGTCCCTCAGGTTTCAGGAGGCCAAGTGAGGCCATTGGGGAAATAGATTCACAGGAGAACAGCAATTCAAGCCACTGGGTTTGCCCTGATTGTCTTATTCTAAGCTTAGTGGGTAATAGCGTTCTAAACTATAGTCTTTTACCTGGACTTTATTCAGGTGCTACATATCTCTACCCAGGTGAATTCCATGAAAACTAAAATCATCAAGAGTATGTCTATCATCATTGCTTCAACTTGTAAAGCCTTTCACCCAAGGATCCTCACAACACTACCAAAGGCCCTATCACAATCACTTATGTTACCTTCCTAGCATGTGAGGCTGATACTAAAGTGAGAGCCACTGGGAGGCCAAAGAAAGACCACTTCTGAGAAAGGGGTGCATGTTGAATCCCATACACCTAGAAGGATTAAGTACAGAACACATATGATGCTGTGTCATAGAAGCTGAGAACTTGTCAGACATAAATGAACAAAGAAATACATGAGCAATTTATTAAACAGATTTTTCTTATACAGCTAGTGGC
The DNA here is from genome assembly GCF_000001405.40 of Homo sapiens. Classification (NCBI taxonomy): domain Eukaryota; kingdom Metazoa; phylum Chordata; class Mammalia; order Primates; family Hominidae; genus Homo; species Homo sapiens. The sequence continues at coordinate 69,850,283 of NC_000009.12, forward strand.
TCAATGCCAAGGCATTTTTGGAACTAACAGGACAACATTGTTGAGCAAATTAGGCTAATATTAACAGCATCACAGATATTTTGGATTTAAAAATGGCAAATAAATGAATAGTACAAAAGTATATTAGCATTCATTTTATGAATAGATTAAGAATAGCCAAATAAGCCTAAATCTGAGCTGTTTTAGTGAATAAAAATATGACATTTAAAAACTAATGTCCTAAAAGGGATACAAACGATATAATTATACCAGATATGGGAAATTCAATTATTTACTTAATTGGTTCAAGTATTTTTTTCTTTGACATTGTAGGATAGTATTTTGACCAGTATAATCTTATAATCTTATAGATGCTTCTTGCATTCATATCTAAGCACCTGAAAGGGGTATATGGATCAAATGTTTATAAATGGAATATTTTAAATGCCATTGCAGGGGAAAGGAAGATGTTTGGGGATAGTAGGCTGTTGAGCTAGGGTCTCTTCTTGCTTCCTGTCTCCATAATCTTGGAGCTTGTGGTTGATGTCACAGGTTTCAGCATTCTCTCCTGGAACAACTTTGGATCAGCTTTTCCAATATCACCACAATGACATCTGGCTTTCCTGTGTTAGGAATTCCGTATCAATTTTGGCCCACTGAGTGTACTTCCCTTGTTTTCTGCTGCATCTCTGAGTCTATTTATTCTAGCAAATATCTTCTCTGTCATTTCCAGACGTTTGGGATGGGAATGAAAGCAGGCCACCCAGCATTTTGATCCCATCACTTTCATTTGCTGCTCCTTTTCTACATCAGTAATCATGCCCTAATTTAACTCTTACAGAAACTAGACTTTAATTTTTCATTTATATTAGTTTGCTTAAGCAGGTGTAACTGTTATGTTGAACAAACGAGACTTGAATTGGGCAATCATGTGCATGTATATACACACACACCCGCACGCACAAACATGCAGAGACACACACATCCATATTTTTTGCCTCCACTGCCTATTTACCCTGCTTTCTGGAATCGGTTCTTCCTTTATGCTTGGACAAAATGCTGTGCAGCTTCCTTAGGTTTTATGGTCAATCTCAGATAATAAGAAGCCTATTGGTCCCATTTCAATAAGTAAAATATTTCATCAAAATGATGAATTTCATTTAGAGTTAAAGCTTTTCTCTTCCTCCAGCTACAGCCTGCTCTAGGCTGGTAAGTCTGCAGAGGGAAGTGAGTGTGAAGGGTAGGCCGAGTTGGATAATTTTTTATTTCCCCACCTGCTCTGCTTTTCCTTTCCCCCAGACAACTAGAAGAGCCTTTTGTGTTTATTTTACTAATATTAAATATTTAATTGAGACTATTTTGTGACAAGAAGTGGTTTTGTCATCTCAGAGTGATCATGAAAAAATGAGACTTGTTATAAATTTATTTCTGCTAGAGACAGGAAAAGGAGCATCCCGTAAGCCAGGTGTGGTGGTGCACGTTTGTAGTCCTAGCTACGTGGGAGGCTGAGGCAGGAGGATTGCTTGAGCCCATGAGTTTGAGGCTGCAGTGAGCTATGATTGTGCCACTACACTTCAGCATGGGTAACAGTGAGACCCTATTTCTAAAAATAGAGAAAAAAAAAAAAGAAGAGGAAGAAGGAAGAAGCTCATAAAAGCTTGCTTGAAGAGGTAGTTGTGGAAAACAATAAAATTATTTTTCTGATTGCACCCTATGAGTCTCAGTTGTTCAAAATAATAGCAGTTATATTTGCAGAGGCCTCTCTCGGATCCTTTAGAATCTTTACATGGCACTGCTGAGTTAACCTAGATGTGAAAACAGCCAGGATTTCCAAGGACAAAACTTCTGAGAAATAAGTATGGTCTTTGTGATGATTTTAAAAGATAATCAAGCCTTTGTATATATTTTTTTTTTTTTGGCAACGGTGCAGAAAAGCTACAGTTGGTAGGGGGAATGCTGCTTAACAGGCTAAAATAAGACTCTTCCTTAGTTATGACTGAAGATCTAAGATAATAGATGCCAGCTCCTCCTTTATTCCAAGTAAGTGAGATGCCAACCCACTCATGCAGAACATGCAAATTATTTGGGCGGTAACTGAGTTTTGAGCTGCTTGGTGTCTCATTCACCTTGATGATTTAAAAACAAACAAAAATGGTTGAAATCAAACAGATCTGGTCAAAATAATTTAGCAGTTGGAGGAGTTGTCTGGAGAGAGTGTGCATGCTGTGAATCCCACCCCTTTAATCTCTTAAGGGGTAGGGGTGGGAAGTGTGTCTCCTTAATTTCCACCCTGAGAGTGGGGCCTCAATGATACCACCCAGGGAACTTGATGCACTGGGGTCTCACTCATGCTTGACAAAATGCTACAGACTGGAAGGTTCCAGAAGCAGCCTGTGGCATCAGAGGGAAAAGCTTGACGTGAGAAGTACCTGAGCTTCTAATATGGTTTTGCTCTGTGTCCCCACCCAAATCTCATCTTGTAGCTCCTATAACGTGGGAAGGACCCAGTGGGAGATAATTGAATAATGGTGGCGGGTCTTTCCCATGCTGTTCTTGTAATAGTGCATAAGTCTCATGAGATCTAATGGCTTTAAAAACTGGAGTTCCCCTGCACAAGCACACTCTCTCTCTTTGCCTGCTGCCATCCATGTAAGATGTGACTTGCTCCTCACTGCCTTCTGCCATGATTATGAGGCCTCCCCAGCCCAGTGGAACTGTAAATCCATTAAACCTCTTTCTTCTGTAAATTACCCAGTCTTGGGTATGTCTTTATCAGCAGCATGAAAACGGACCAATACACCTTCCTTCACTGTGGGTCAGAGGAATATACTTTCTGGGTGCCTGTAAAGAACCCAGGAAAGAATTGTCAATTGGGGATTATCTAAAATGAATCTTGCCATAAGAGATTCTGCCAAGGGTAAGTCATCCTCAGCAGAACAGTCTGGCCAACCTGAAATATATAACCTGAGAAGTCATAAGTGTTCTCTTCATTCCCTGTACCAGTCACCCAGGTTATGTGTCTACTGGATTTACTTCCCATAAGTGCAGCACAAATGGGAATTCATTCTAGAAGAATAGAAATTGGGATTTAAAAATAATTCGTACTCAGGAAAACAGGGAATATGAATGATATTATGAAATGAGCTTCCTCTATCCATTAGATATTTTCTATATTATAATTTTCTCAAGCTAGATTTTATTATGTAAATTAAATGGAAATTTTAGTGATTATCCTGCGAGTTTGTGCTGTGTTAATTTAGCTATCTCACATACCAAATTGCCAATCTCCAGTCTGTGATATACATATATACAAAGCCCAAAAGACTTTTAAACATATGGAAGTGCTTTATGAAGTACCATCCTTATGTCAGGTTATGAACATTTCTGCACCAAAGTGATTTTTTCACATTAAGATGGTGTAGGATTAGGTTTGCCTACATGCAACAGACACTGAAAATCAACAGAGGCTGTTCATATAGGGTTGTATTATTTCATGTAAAGGGTCTGGAGGATAGCAGGACTGGTATGAAAGTTCTATGTATTGTCAGAGACCAATTCCTTCCAGTTTTCTGCTCTGCCATCCTTGGGTAGGACCCAAGATGGCTGCTGGAAAACAGTCATTTTGTCCCCATTCCAGGCAGCAAGAAGGAAAACAAAAGAAGGACTTTCCCTGGAAGTTCTTTCCAAGGAAACAACTATTTCCACTTATGCTTAATTGTCCAGAACCAGTAACTGATCATATCTAAGTGTAAAATAATCTGAAAAATGTGGTCTGCAACACCAGGCACCCAGCTAAAGTTTGGGGATTCTATTGATGATGAAGAAGGAATGTCTAATATTGGGAGATAACATTTGCCGCTGGTATAGGAAACAGAAGTTAAGAGTTGTCTTTGGAGTCAGATGGCTTCTCTTTAATTCTTGGCTCTACCACTTACAGGGTTGTAACTTAAGTCGAGTCTCCAACTTTCCATGTCTTCATTTCCTTATGTGTAAAGTGAGAATTGTAGAGTTGTCACAAGCATTTAATGTGAAGATATTTAGAACAGTTTCTGGCCATGTGCTGTTATTACCATTATCCCCATGATTTACTATAACCTACTATGCTATAGCTAGTATAGCCTCTGGAGTTTGTTTACAAATCTAGTTGTAGAACCTAGTATGATGCCTGGCACTTAATAGATGTGGACAGATGGATGAATGAATGAGGCAGACTGCATGAGTCTTAAATTGTGGAGCTTCTACTTTCTAGCTGATTTGCCTGGGCATTATTTAATCCCTTCCAGCCTTAGTTTTCCCTTTTTTAAAACAGAAATAAATTATACCAAGTGTTCTTCATTTGCACCTCCAGATCCACTCTCCACTCTTCTCACCCTGCTTTGTGCCAAGGAGGCTGACCTCTAGGGTTGGCTGCAATGAGCTCCTTGCCTTCTGGCTTTCCACTGGGTGGGCCCATGGGAGGCACTGGCAGGTGACCAGAGGTGGGAGGAGAGGGAGCTTGGACATTTATTTCTGTGATTTCCTCCCTGTAGGACCATGGTTTGGCAGTGGCTGGGTTTCTGTTATGAAAGATACAACTATCAGGTGGCCCTCACTACAGCTGTAGGTTGTTCTGAGTAGGTTGATACAACTATCAGGTGACCCTCACTAGAGCTGTAGGTTGTTCTGAGTTACAGTAACTGTTCTACCCTCAAGGTTCTCCACTATTGCTATCCTCAGTGTGCTTCAATAGTGTTGATTTTCTTAATGGTTCCCACACGTTTATAAAGAGATCCTTCATTAAATTCTCCTCAGTTCCCAATTTGATTGTTTTTCCCTTCTGAGACCATGATTAATATTAATACATAACACTCAGAGGGTTGCTTTGAGAAGGTGTTGAAATAATGCATTTAAAGTGCTTAGTACATTGTCTGGCACAGAATAAGCACTCATTCTGCTCCACTAATGCTATGATTATCTGTTTCCTTTTACTCCTCTATTTTATGTTTGGCAATATCTTTGTTTCATATGATTTTCAAAGAGTTGGTTGATTTGCTGAAATGTTTTACTGTTAAAAATCATCAGAGCATATCTAAGCTTAATTTTTACACTTGCTCTTAGCCAAAAGGCTGAGAAGCAATCTAAGCTTAATTTTTTGGTCAATCTTATACCTTCAAACAAAATGGTGGCTACTAATTTTTTCTCAAAAGATTTTTTTTGCTGTTAAAATAAATAAGACCCAATGTAGTGTCCCCTACCATCGACTTTGAAACCTGAACATCTAAGAAGAAGAGTAGTTGAGCTAAGGGTATATGGATCAAAGCTGGGAAATTTGGCTGGGAGGATAGTCATTCAGGAGGTTGAGGTCTTGGAGAGCAGTGCTCTGAGAAGCCAAGGATCTAGAGAGCCATGGAGTAGACCAGGAAACCAGCACCAGAGACTTAATCAAAATGGTTTTGACTAGGCTAGACTCCTGGTTATAGAAAAATCTTATTACTAAAGCAAAATGGACCCAAAGCATCTGACTATAACCATGATACTCTTGCAGTTGAAGGCTCTGGTTTTCTAAAGAGTGGTCTCTCTTTAAAAAACAACAACAACAACAACAGAAAGTCTAGTGGTATTAATGTGTTCTGAGGCTTCATGAATATCTTGGGGAATCTAGTCTTTCAGATAAAGTAATGGATTTTCTTGGTGATGAGTTCTGGTTCTTGGCTCTGAACCTCCAGCTTCATGATCTTCTAGAGTTTTGTATGGAGAAAATATTGAATCCCTTACATCCATTTTTGTTCCTTTGATCCCTGAGATGTTACCCTTGATGTTTCTGCAATTGGTTTGAGTACATCTTATAGTTTGAAGATTTTTCCACATCGCAATAATTGCTTAGTAATTAATTGAATTATGCTGTATGACCGAGAGTGAATAATAATGATGATGATGATGATATCTGAAGTCCTTGTGATTTACAAAGTGATTGCTACAAACATTTTCCTGCTTAGGGTATTTAAAATATACCAACCCTGAAAAGGATAAAGAAGGAAATAGAAAGTAGGTAGAGTTAGTATATTTAATTGAATGCAGTTCTTTCTGTTTCATAGAAACAACCAATTTGCTTTTTATTTCCCAACAGCATCCAGTAATTGCTATTTTTACATATTTATGATGAAATAATTGACAGCTATGATCTATTACTTATTTTTAATGTCAACTAGAGTCAACAATTAAAATCAGAATGTACTTCAATAAAAACATGTTTTAGTAACTGACCATTTGTAGTGAAAATTCATTTTTCTTATATGTGGCTTCTATGTTTCCAGATTTGGACATCAGAAACACATGAAAAGTTGTCACAAATGTGTTTAAACACAGAATGGGTTGAAATGAAGAGCAAGGCTTTATTGAATGAGGAAACAGTGAGCTCCGGGATTATCGAAAGGTATTCTTAATACTTTTCTTTACTTTATAGAATGTGGACATGCAGAAAGGACTTGTATAAGTAGCAAAAAGGTATAGTGACCCCAGTTCCACACTAAAGGAACATATCAAGCACATTTGTCTCAAGCTTCCATGCTTTCTGCTCATGCTGTTCTCTCTGTTTGGGAGTTTCTTTTCGTCAATTGTTTACCAATCAACTCTCTACTTATTCTGGGCCCAGCTAAAATGCCATTTCCTCTTTATATGTGTTTTTTTTTTTTTTTTTTCTGGCCCAAGGTTCTGACTATCCAGGTTTGAACCCCAGCTCTACAATTTACTGTAAAAGTTATTTGGTGTTTATAACCCAGCTTGTTCACCTGTAAAATGGGAATTACAAAAGCATCTACTTCGTAGGGTTGTTATGAAATTTAGACGAAATAAAGTATGAAGTGTGCATAGAAGTATTGACTGACATGCAATAAGAATTAGGTAAGCTGTCATTAATCAGAATTAATTGCTTTTTGATTTTTGTTCTCTGAGTATTTTATGTCCTACATGACAGTTGGACTTGCATTCTAGTTATTTATATGAAGGCATTTCCTCAGGAATAGAGAGTTCTTTGAGGATAGAAACTCTTTATTCATCATAGTTGTCATCCTGCATCCTGGCACAGTGCCTCCCCATCGAAGTGTATGACACATAGCCTTTGTCTTATACTGTAATTGTTGAAAAATGCAGTCAAAATAATGACAAAAATGCTAAAAATTCCATTGACTTGTTGAGACATTTTGTTTTACAAAGTTCATAAAAGTTGCAAACATGAAAACTCTTTAAAAAGTAATCATCATAAAAATCTAACCCTAAATTAGTTTTTGTTTTGTTTTGTTTTTTGACCTGGAGTCTTGCTCTGCTGCCCAGGCTGGAGGACAGTGGCGTGATCTTGGCTCACTGCAACCTCTGCCTCTCAGGTTCAAGCAATTCTCCTGCCTCAGCCTCCCGAGTAGCTAGGGCTACAGGCACATGCTGCCACGTCCGGCTAATTTTTTTTGTATTTTTAGTAGAGACTGGGTTTTACCATGTTGCCCAGGCTGGTCTTGAACTCCTGAGCGCAGGCAATCCTCCCGTCTCGGCCTCCCAAAGTTCTGGGATTACAGGCGTGAGCCACTGCGCCCAGCCCCTAAATTAGTTTTACATGGCTTTGAAAGTTTACACATTACACTCTAACAAGTTTTCTAAAAAAATGTTATCTTGTTTTAGGGTCACCGGATTGCCTGCCACAGGTTTTGGAGCTGTCTTTCCTAGACATCCACCGGATTGGAGCAAAATGTTAGTAGTCCCTAAACTGCTACAACTGTACAAAATGTTTCTTGATTCAGAAGGTTTGTTTGCAGGGGCAAAGGTATGACAGGGTGAGCCAAGGTCAACAAAATGCCCTTTACATGACATCTTCGACTTGCCTTTAACCAAATGTTTTCTCCTTTCACATGCACAACATTAATAACCGTAATAATAAAACAGTAAATCCTCACTATTTGCAGATCCTGTATTTGTAAATTTTTCTTCTCTGTAAAATTTACCTATTTGTATCCCACAAGTCAATACTCGTGGTTCTGTCATGGTCATTTGTGGACATATGCAGAATGGTAAAAAAGGGAAGGCACCAGATGTGTACAATCCCAACTGAGGTCGAACAGGGTGATGCCCTGCCTTCTTGGTTCAGCTCTCATTCCATAAACGTGTTCTTTTCACAGTCTATTCAGTGACACGTTTTTCTAACTCTTATGCTTTTTGTTGGTGATCTTGTTTAAGACATCCCTCAAGCATGGTGGTGAAGTGCTGCCGTGTTCCTTAGAGCAAGAAGGTTGTGATGTGCCTTTCAGAGAAAACACATGTGTTAGACAAGCTTGATTCAGGCATGAGTTGCAGTGTTGTTGGTCATAAATTCAAAGGTGATAAATCAAAAAATAAGATGTCTTTAAGCAGAAACAGACATAAAACAAAGTTTTATATTGATCGATTGGTGAAAATGTGACCAGAGGCTTGCAGGAACCTAACCCTATATTTCCACTAAGATCAATGGTTCAATATTTGCTAATTCAGAGTTTGCAGCAACTTCATAGAACATTACTGTGAACAAAGAGAACTGACTTTACAGCAAGAGACTATTTTTACTGATATAAGAGATAAGTTTGTTTTGGCAGGGAAGCATGAATTCTTACTACAAAAGAAAAAGGTCTTATTCACTCATCTTTCTAAACATAAACTTTCATTATGTACAGGTAAGTGATGTGGAAATACACTTATAAGCATGAACAAATTCTAAGGATTGCATTGTGCATTGTGGGGTTGTTGTGAAGATTAAGCAAGTTAATATATGTCAAACAATTAGAGCAGTAACTGATGCATACGTACTAAATTCTCTGCTGGACGTGGTGAACCTTTCAGTTTATAAACTCATATCAGTTCAGAGAAATTTTCTTGATTTATTTTATTCTTGACTTATTGTGTTTTCTCTGTTTTCTCTTTTGGAAATCCTTTGTTTGAATGTTGGATTTCTTGTCCTGATCCTAAAACTTTCCTGTCTTTTCTCACCTTTTCTTTTTTATCTTTACTATCTACTTTCCTCTCTGTTTCTTCAACTCTACCATTGAATTATCTTTTTGTTTTCTGGATCCTTTTGTTTTTATAGGATCTTTTTTTTTGGTTTCATGACTTCAGTATCTTCTCTTTTCTATCTGAAGATGTTAATGAAAGTTTTAATGATAGCTTTAAAATTTTTTTTCTTCCCCATGCATACTCTCTGTTTTCTCCAAGATGCCTTTTGTTTCTGTTCTTTATTTGTTTGTATGGTATCCATCTTCCACGCTAGAGACATTTTCCTCAAGCACCTGCTAATCAATCCTCTGCTCATGATTAAGAGATGGGGCTCCGAGCCTGTGAGTGAGGCTTACTGCCTTGGAGATTCCCTGGAGGAATCTAGGTGGGTCATTATTTCAAAGAAGCCCTAGTACCAGTACAGTCATGCATCGCATAATGTCGGGGATATGTTCCGAGAAATGTGTTGTTAGGTGATTTCATGGTTGTGTGAACATCATAGAGTGTACTTACACAAACCAGATGGTCTAGCCTACTACACACTGAGGCTAGATGGTAAAATCCATTGCTCCTAGACTATCAACCTGTACAGCATGTTACTGTACTGAACAGTGTAGGCAATTATAACACAGTGTTAAGTATTTATGTATCTAAACATATCTAAACATAAAAAAGTACAGTAAAAATACAGAATGAAAGATAAAAAATGGTACACCTGTATAGGGCACATGCCATGCATGTACCCTGCAAGACTGGAAGTTGCTCTGGGTGAGTCCATGAGTGAGCAGAGAGTCTATGAATGTGAAGGCCTAGGACATTACTAAATACTACTGTAGACTTTATAAACGCTGTATACTTAGGCTACACTAAATTTATAAAACAATTTCATTTGTCCATTTTGCATTGCTATAAAGGAATACCTGAGACTGGGTAATTTATAAAGAAAAGAGGTTTATTTGGCTCACAGTTCTGCAGGCTGTGCAAGCATGGCATCATCATCTGCTTGGCTTCTGGTGAGGCCTCAGGAAGCTTTTACTCATGGCAGAAGGTGAAGGGGAGGCAGGAATGTCACATGGCAACAGTGGGAGCAAGAGAGAGGGGAGGAGGTGCCAGGGTCTTTTTAACTACCAGATCTCATGTGAACTCTCCTTACTGCAAGGAGGGCACCAAGCCACTCATGAGGTATCCACCCCCATGACCCAAACACCTCTCATCGGACCCCACCTCCAACATTGGGGATCACATTTCAGTATGAGATTTGGGTAGGTCAAACATCAAAAATACATCAGCAATATTGGCCTTTCTTCAAAAAGAAATTTACCTTAGCTTGTGGCACCTTTTTTACTTTATACCTTTTCTTTTTTTTTTTTTTTAACTTTTGGACCCTTTTAGCAACACTTAGCTTAAAACGCAAACACATTGTATAGCTGTATAAAATATTTTCTTTCTTTATATCCCTATTCTGTAAGCTTTTTATTATTAAACAATTTTTTTTACTTTTAAAACTTTTTTCTTAAAAACAAAGACACAAACACACACCTTAGCCTAGGCCTACACAGGGTCCGGATCATCAATATCACTGTCTTCCACCTCCACATCTTGAGCTTCTGATAGGCCTTCAGGGGCAGTAACATGCATGGAGTTGTCATCTCCTGTGATAACAATGCCTTCTTCTGGATACCTCCTGTAGGACCTGCCTGAGGCTGTTTTACAGTTCACATTTTTTTAAATAAGTAGAAGAAATATGCTCTAAAACTGTGATAAAAAGCGTAGTACAGTAAGTGCATAAACCAGTAACAGTTGTTTATTATTGTTATCAAGTATCATTATATACTGTACATAATTGTATATGCTCCACTTTTATATAGCTGCCAGCACAGTAGTCTTGTTGACACTAGCATCACCACAAATATGTAAGTAATGCATTGTGCTATGATATTACAAAGGCAACAATGTCAATAGAAATTTTTCAGTTCCATTATAATCGTATGGAGTCTTCATAGTACATACTGTACAGCCTGTTGTTGACTGAAAGAGCATTATTTGGCATGACTCTATTTTAGCCTCTCCTTTTGGGCTGGTCATATTTCCAGATAAGCCTCTTCAATCTCCCTTCTGCAGGGTGAAGAGTGGGCTGATGCCTGTGTTCTTAGAGTGAGCAAGCAATTGGACTGGGACATCAGTATGAATACTGCATTATGTATGGTCACTGAATTGAATTGTGTTTTTGATTAAGGACTCTCTTACCCTACAGATGAATAAATTTCTAGCTTTCTGCTAAGGGAGGGGAGGGGCAGTTACCTGGCAGTTGGGGAAGAGCTTTGGAGCAACACCTGTTTTTCAGATAGCTCTCCCCACAGGCCTTTGCTGACTTAGGATTCATTCAGCTTTCTGCTACGTCAGGCACCACATGTCAGTCTTCTCTTCAGTTCCCAAAATTTGTTTCTCTTGTCCTTTCTCCTGTTCTCCATATTCTTATGAGTCAAAAAAAAAAAAAAAAAAAAAAACACAACATTTTCTTAAGTCTCTTTACTGTGGTTTTAGTGGAGCTTTTTGAAGAAGCAAGATTCGATGTTCATCTTAACTCTGATGTTATCAGAGTTATCAGAGACTTGATGTTATCAAGTCTCACCTGATCTGCAACCTCCTCTAGAGGACCTTCCCATACCTACTGCCACTCCACTCCCCATAACTTGGTTAGGTCCCTCACTGTGGGTGCCCATAGCACTGTGTGCTTCTTTTATGCAAACACTATTAATATTTGTTGCAATTGTTTGCATTCTTCTCGTTCTTGCTAAATTCAATGCTCTGAAGGGAAAGACTATCACAATTCTGTCCCCAGTGCCTAAAGAGAGCCTAACCTGCAGCAAATACACCACAATTATCTCCTGAGTTAATAGATTAATTATTTCTGATGTTGAACAGCAAATTATAATAGAAGAGGATTTGGCTAATTTCTATCTTATTTGATTTAGGGGTTCAAGGCCTTTAGAGCCAAAAGTTGTTCTCAATTCTTTTTGGTAAATGCATTTGAAGACATAGTTTCTTTTAGAAAATCAGCCCTTATTAGTTTGAATTGCTAGAATTACTCATTTGTTTTATTTGATTCATGAGTATTAACAAGGAAATAAATACATGAACACCTTCAACCGGCCCCTACTAATTCCATATGTAATTCTTTCTTTCAGTTAATATACACTAATTATAGAATGTTTCATACAGTACAATGCTGTGGTGTTTTAGAATCTGCTCTCCTGAATATTAAATAATATTTTGCTTCTTGCCAACTCTACAGCTCTGAAAGTTAAATGTCAACTTTAAAAGGCAATGAATAAGAATGAATTTGCTCAGTGGACCAAAATATGCTTCAAGTTATAAAAGAAAGACTGTAATCATAAGGTGAATTTAAGGTTTAGGTTACCTGTTAAGGGAGAAAAATCAGGATAAGGTATAGTTTTGTTATTAAGGAGACATTAGGTTGATGGACTTACTTTAATTTTTAGATAATGTCCGTTACACAGAAACGGCATTTGACTGACTCTCTTTCTCATAACTCAACCTGTATCCCACTGACTTTATTTTGGACCAATGTGAAGAAGACATAACACCTTTCCTCCATAAGTGGGTAGCAAACATCTCAATGAAACTAATTGAAAATCAGAACAGCTAGAATGTTTGACACCACCAGAACTTGTCACTCCTGACCTTAACTAAAGAAAAGCGCTCTGTGAATAATTCCTTCCATGTGCATCACAGATGGAGGAGATAGAGAAAAATAAATTGAAGTATAGGGAACAGTTAAGATGACACTATAGTGATATCAAAGACTTAAACTTTAAAAATGAAATTTATAGACTTTGAGTCCCGATTGAGCTTGTCTAGAACCAAAGCTATTGTTTTCCTTGAGAGTTGGTCTCAGTCCCATGAGTGAGTCTCCAAGGAATTGACAGTGGCCTGTGATGGGCAGAGTGAGAGTCAAGAAGGCTCAAAGACCTCTCAGGCATCAAAAATGCCCATTTGGTCTCAAACTGTTAATAATACAGATGCACGTGTAGGGAGTCTCTAACATGGATAACTTATGTTATATGGGTAGAGACAGTAGAGGAATAGAAAAGTAACGAGAGGCACATTTCCTTTATGGCATATAGGAAAAGTAGATGGGAACATGAATATAGTTAGTAAGTCAATTTAAGAGTTTTTATTTGCCTTCCTACCTGATTCTCAAGCATTCTCAAGTAACTTTTACTTAATTTGAAAGTACTCTTTATGAGGCATGGAAAATAAATTCACTAATTATCAAAAGGCCCCAGTATATCTGATTATTTAATACAAAATCATTTTATGATTTGTCCATAGAACCAGATGATTGTAGCTAATTCATTCTAGGAAGTAAGGTTTTCCATGTACAAATCTCTGGGCTGTGTCTACGACCATTAAACAAGCGATCAGAAACCAAACCAGTAAAATAAACAACAACCAGAACTGTATCAAGCAGATCCAATTTTGAAAGGGAGATGTAGTAATAGATATAATTTTATGTTAAGATCTTATTTCTCAGAAGCCCTCATTTAAATATACACATAGAGTTCCTTCTCTATTCCCACCGTTTCACTTGACTTCACTTTTTTTTCTCTTTAAAAAAAGGAAGGAAAAAAATATATACACATATAAACATGTGTGGTCCCAGGATAATGGTCCACAGGAGAAGTCAGGTTTTTTTGATAGGGAAAAATCAGTTCAGGCAGGGTATTTGCTGTGTGAGAAGCAGGTCCATGGGGCCCTGAGTTTGAGGGCTCCCCAGGAGTACTGAGTTCCCACTGGAGGATGGAGAAGCACCCGAGGTAGACCTCACACAAGGTCAGCCCTCACTACTGCACCTTGTCGTTTTTACCAAATTTGATTGCCTCCTGGTGGTAGTGATTAGCGTGTATTGTTGAAATTTCATAATAAATGACTCGTTTCAACAATTCATCCAAACATTTATGTAATCCACATAATGGGAGAAGAAAAAAATTAATAGTGTTTGGGATCACTAAGTAGCTTTTGGAAATTGTGTGTGTGTGTGTATGTGCATGTGTGTATACGTGTGTGTGTGTGTGGGTGTTTGCTTTTTTCAGAAAGAACATGGTATAGAAAAATAGGATAGGAAACCTGGGTTCTACTTCTAGGCCTGCAATAAACCTGCTACGTGACTGTGTGCTGCCTAATAGCCCTCTCTGGACTCCAGTTGTTTCCATTTGGAAAATGAGGGGATTGAACCAAATGATCTGTAAAGTCCTTTCCCACTCTAAAATTTTATGGCTCTAGGAGAAAGGCATCTATAGTTGCATAAATGGGCAAGTTAAATGAGGCCCAAAAGTAGTTCAGGCAGTTAAGTGTTCATTGTTGGGATGGAGCACTTATCCTTATGTGTGTGGAGTGGTCTTCATAGTAGCAGTAGCAAGCCTGGGCTGCAGTTTAAATTCTTCCCTTTTATTCCTCTCTCTGAGACATTAGCATCTATAAAACCTTTGGTACTCTTCAGAGGAAAGGGACTACATGTAAATAGTAAGAAGGATTTTTCTTTTCTCAAAGTACAGTACAGGACATTTATTTTGTTTTCTACTTATGCATTTGTGCTATGGCTTGCTTCCTGGTAAAATATTACCCAGTTGTTGAACATTTCTCCAGAAGAAAAAAAGCTTCAAAAGTTACCCTATGGTGATGATGATATGGTAGGCTTTGTGTCCCCACCCAAATCTCATCTTGAATTATAATCCCCATAATCCCCATAATCCCCACATGTCAAGGCAAAGACTGGGTGGAGATAACTGGATCATGGGGGCAATTTCCTCCATGCTGTTCTCTTGATAGTGAGTGACTTCTCACCAGATCTGATGGTTTTATAAGGGCCTTTTCCCCCTTTGCTCACTCTTCTCTCTCCTGCTGCCCTCTAAAGAGGTGCCTTCCACCATCATTGTAAGTTTCCTGAGGTCTCCCCAGCCATGCCGAACTGTGAGTCAATTAAACCTCTTTTCTTTATAAATTACCCATTCTCGGACAGTTCTTTATAGCACTGTGAGAATGAACTAATACAGATGAGGAGGAGGATAAAAACAAAAATATGCAAAGAGGAAAGTGGGGTGATGAAAGGCCATGAGAGTGAGACAGGCTTGAATTCAGTTCTTGATTCTCCATCTTATTCATTGTAGGAGCTTTCATTTTTGTCTGGCCAGCTTTCTTCTTTTGGACAACATCCTCTCACCTATTCAGTGTAATTTGACTAGGCCATATTATGGATGGCTGACTCTGTTCCCCATTTCTACCTCCCCACAAGCCTAAGTGTTGGGCACAAGATCCAGACCAGGCTATTCAGAGGATAGTTATTGGAGTTCTAGGGAAGATGCCCTGTCCTGCTCCAGTTTGCAAGTTATAGAGGACATCCTCCTTCTGTGGGAGTATCTATGTATAAATGAAGTTAAGCAGAGATATGGGAAAAGACAGTTCTGATGACATTCTTCTTATACAAGCTGATATTTTCCTTTAAATTTTATCTATTAAGTTTGAGTTGGGTTTCTATAACTTATACTAATAAAAGCAAACATCATGTAAGTACATGATGCTTATTATGTACCAGGCACTATTCTAAGTGTTTTATATATGTTAACTCAGTACTCCCTACAAAAACTCTATGAATTGGTTTCATCATTATCTGAATTCTGTGATGGGAAATACAGAAGCACAGAGAAGTAAATAACATGTCCAAACTCTCACAGCTGGCCAGAGATAATGGCCAGGATTTGAGCTGAGATAGTTTAATACCAAAGCTCATAGCCACTCCTCTATGCTGCTTCTCTCAATAATAGGCCAACTAAGAGACCTCTGGCACATACTTAAGTTTCCTGAACATCACTTGTCTTTGTAAACATGGAGAGAATAATGGCTATATTTAGTCAGGCCAGGCCTTAAGCATTGGATTAGTCAGTATTCTCCGAGAAACAGAACCAATATGATATGTATGAGGAGATTTATCATGTGCTTACATGGTTATGGAAGCTGAGAAGTCCTACCATCTGCCTTCTGTAAGCTGGAGGGCTGAGAAAGCCAGTGGTGCAATTCACTTAGAGTCTGAAGGCTGGAGGGCCAGGGAAGATGATGGTGTAACTCCTGGTTCAATTCTGAAAGCCTGAGAACTAGTGGGCCTGCTGGTGTAAATCCCAGAGTTCAAATGCCAGATAACTAGGAGCTCAGATGTCCAAGGTCAAGAGAAAATGGATGTCCTAGCTCAAGAAGAGAGAAAATGTACCTTTCCTCTTTTTGTTCTGTTCAGGCCCTTCATGAATTGGATGATGCCTACCTACACTGGTGAGGGTAAATCTTCTTTACTCAGTCCACTGATTCAAAAGCTACTCTATTTTGGATTAGCAAAAGAGATGGACAGATACAGACAGAATCTGGGCTATCTGGGCATTCTTTGGCCCAGTTATGTTGACACATAAAATTAGCCATGACAAGCACTAAGCTTATAAAGGAAATACTGGTGAAAAGTTATTTATCCATTTTGAAATTTCTCAAATCAAATGTTCCATTTCTTAAACTACCCGGGCTCCTGGTTCCTTAGACATGCCTAGGTCCCGGCTTGACATTTTTGCCCTGTGAGGCAAGAGTGCTACCTGAGTGCATATCACCAACTTGAATTTCCTGGAATGGATAGCTTGGCTGGTACTGAGTGGTGACGGCTTACTAGTTGGCAAGTTTGCTGAATTAATTGCGGAGTCAACCTAAATGCAATTTTTCTTTGCATTATCCTTGCATATAGGATATCTCTCCTTAGCTGATGTATGTTGAAGCCAAATGACCGAGGAGGTGGGATATCTGGTGTTAGTATTTGGGGTTGTGACTCAGGTCCTAATGAGTTTGGTTTGGAACTTGGATTGTGTGCCTTGGCAAAGGATATTTTAATGGCGGGTAACAATAACCTATTCTATCGCTATCCTTGCATTGTAATTCAAATAATTTGATAAGAAAATATATGTGAAAGCACATGATATAGTGCCCGTTAGATCTGAAGTTTTGGCATCCTGATGGGCTGATGGCTGACTCAGACCATTCTTTGTTTCCTGTAAGTCTTTATTGAGTCTAACTTTATTACAGTAGCCATTCAAGTTATATCTGCCAAGTGGAAAGTCAGGTTTCTCTGTAGTTTTGGGTGTGCTCAGTGAGGCCCTAAAACTAGCATTATGAAGATAGGCTTATATGGTTTATCTTGTGGCCACTAGTTTGCAGAGATGGCTGCAGCACTTTTTTCCCTCCCTGAACATGCATGCTGCTGCTCCCAGCAAGAGGCTGAGGTTATTTGCCTGCCCTCTGCAGCTGGGCTGGCCTTATGACTGGTTTTGATTAATAGAATGTGGCAGAAATGATATCCTGGGACTTCTGATTACAGACATTAAGAAAAATAGTAGTTTCTACTTTCTGATTCTCAGATCCTAGCTGATATGCTGTGAGAAGCCCAAGACACATGGAGAAGCCACATGGAGGAGAATCAAGGCTTGTGTTTGACAGCTCCAGTGAAGCTCTCAGACAATAGTCAAAACAAACTGGAGCCATGTGAATGAGCTGTCTTGGATCATCCAGCCCAGTCAAACCTTTGGACAACTGTAGCTCTAACTAACATCACATGGAACAGATAAACCACCCGGCTGAGCTAATCATTCCACAGAATAATCAGAGATAATAAAATAGTTGTTATTTTAAGTTACTTTCAAGCCATAACAATAGGTAATTGAAACAACCTTCATATCTCTTAATACCATGCTTATATGGCCATTTCTTCTGATATTAAGCCTATAGGTATAGTTTTTGCCATTTCTAATCGATCAGAGATGCAAGCAGTTCAAATTGTGGGGACTGATGAGCTAATAAAACAATGTGCACAATAATCAACTCAAAATGGATTAAAGATTTAAGTGCAAGACCTGAAACCATAAAACTCCTAGAATAAAACATAGAGGAAAACCTTCTTGACATTGGTCTTGGAAATGAAATGATTTTTTTGGACAGACATCAAAGGTACAGGCAGCAAAAGCAAAAAATAAACAAACAAAAATGAGACTACATCAAACAAAAAAAAGCTTCTTCACTGCAAAAGAAACAAAAATGAGGCTGGGTGTCATGGCCCCAGCACTTTGGGAGGCCAAGGGCAGTGAATCACTTGAGGCCAAGAGTATGAGATCAGCCTGGCCAACATGGTGAAACCCCGTCTCTATTAAAAATACAAAAATTAGCTGGGCATGGTGGCACATGCCTGTAATCCCAGCTACTCGGGAGGCTGAGGCAGGAGAATAGCTTGGAGCTGGGAGGCAGAGGTTGCAGTGAGCTGAGATCATGCCATTGCACTCCAGCCTGAGTGACAGAGTGAGTGAGACTCTGTCTCCAAAAAAAAAAAAAAACCAAAAACAAAAACAAAAAGAAACAAAAATGAAAAGGCAGCCTATGGATGAGGAGAAAATATTTGTAAGCATATATCTGAAAAGAGCTTAATATCCAAAATTTACAAGGAACTCATACAACTTATTAGAAAAAAAAAAAAAGCCTGATAAAATGAGCCAAGGACTTAAATAGGCATTTTTCCAAAGAAGACATACAAATGGCCAACAGGTATTTAAAAAGGTGCTCAACATCACTAATTACCAGGCAAATATAAATCATAACTCAAATGAGATATCACCTCATGCCTGTTGGGATGACTTTATCAAAAAGACAAAAGATAAGCGTTGGCAAGCATGTGGAGAAACTAGAACCCTTGAACACTGTTGGTGGGTGTGTAAAATGGTACAGACATTATGGAAAAAAGTATAGAAGTTCCTTAAAAATAAAAAATAGAACTACAATATGATTTATAAGTCACACTTCCAGGTACACATCCAAATGAAATGGAACCAGTATCTTGTAGAGATACCTGTACCCTCATCTTCATTGCAGCATTATTCACAATCGCCAAGATACAGACTCAACCTAAGTGTCCGTTGATGGATATTATTTCACCTTAAAAAAGAAGAAAATCCTGCAATTTGTGACAACATAGATAAACCTAGAGGATATGATGCTAAGTGAAATACAGACACAGAAAGAAAAGTACTGCATAATCTCACTTCTACGTGGAATCTAAAACATTGAATTTATAGAAGCTGAGAGTAGAATGGTGGTTGTCAGGACCTGAGGGGTGGGAGAAATAGAGAGATGCTGGTCAAAGGGTACAAAGTTTCAGTCATGCAAGATGAATAAGCGCTAGAGATCTAATGTACAGCATGAGGATTATAGTTGACTATAATGTGTCACATACTTGAAATTTGATAAGAAAGTAGGTCTGAATTGTTCTTATCGCAAAAAAGGTAACTGTGAGGAGATGGATATGTTAATTAGCTTGACTGTAGTAAAATCAGTTTAATATGTAAATATATATCAAAACATTATGTCATGCGCTTTAAAGATGTACAGTTTTGATTCAAAATAATAAAAAAAAACCCCAAATTGAGTGGCAAAGATTTTTTAAATATCAGGGCTGTGGAATTTATATTTAAGCCTGACATTTCCTTTAATCCCATGTATATTAATAAAGAGCCAGTATAATTAGTATTACTCTTCATAATATTTAAAGTTTATGTAGTTGTCATAGAAAATCATTAGTTATAATTACTTAAAATGAAGTCTTCAGTTGATCTCAGTGAATAGTAATGTACTATGTATCTTTGAGTTACAGAGGTGGCTTCACAGGAATAAGAAATTTCCAGAATTTCAGAAGTCTTTGCTGCTATCTGTATTTAATTTGATTCTGTATTTGACAGTTATGGAGTTAAATTATTACCCAAACATATAAATCTTATATTGTCCTTTCAAATGGCTTTTAAAAACTATTAGGTCTGAGGAAATTACATTTGTCCCACATATCTGAGTTAATTCTTTCAATAGAACCATTTAATGACTGC
This sequence comes from Homo sapiens, assembly GCF_000001405.40. Classification (NCBI taxonomy): domain Eukaryota; kingdom Metazoa; phylum Chordata; class Mammalia; order Primates; family Hominidae; genus Homo; species Homo sapiens. The sequence goes on from NC_000009.12 coordinate 69,870,214, forward strand.
ATACTATTTACTAAGAAGAGTTAGGCACCGGGAATATAGAAAAAAAAGACATCAGCTCATTTGTCTAATGTATGAGACAGAAAAACAACCAATTAATACTTGTGTATCAGCCAAGGAATATGCTTGGCTGAAAGTAACAGGAAACCTAACTAATAGCAGCTTGAATAACTAAGACATTTATTTGGTCACCTGGCATGAAATATAAAGGCAAGGAGTCCAAAACTGGCATGGCACCTAAACAATGTCGTCAAGAATTTGGATCTTTTTGTGTTTCTTCTTTACAAGTCTTATTAACTAGCTTTCATCCTTGCGATCTCAAGATGGTTGCTATACCTCCAATCCCCATTCTGTTCCACAAAGAAAGAAGCGAAAAAGTAAAGAGGTAAAGGGAAGCCCTCCCCAGGATCTTCATCCTACATCTATTTTATGGACTGTGGCATGGCCACCCATGGCTACATGATTGTTTTCAGCTTCTAAGTAGAGAAAGACAAGGGAGAAGGGAATTTGGAATAAGTGTTGATTGGGCCAAACTACATGCCACAACACATTAGGGGTAAACAGGATGCAAGGGAGCACTGAATTCAGATTTGGGAGGTCAGGAAAGGCTTCTGGGTAGAAGCGACATCTGAGCTGAGTCATGAAGTCTGAGTTGGAGTCAGCCAGATCAACAGGAGAGAAGGGCACCCTAGGCAGAGGATGAAGGATGTACAAAAAAGGCAGGGAGGCTGGGCGCAGTGGCTCACACCTGTAATTCCAGCAGTTTGGGAGGCTGAGGCGGGAGGATCACCTGAGGCCAGGAGTTCGAGACCAGCCTGGCCAACATGGTGAAACCCTGTCTTTACTAAAAATACAAAAGTTAGCCAGCATGGTGGCACACACCTGTAATCCCAGCTACTTGGGAGGCTGAGGCATGAGAATCGCTTGAACCAGGGAGGTGGAGGTTGCAGTGAGCTGAGATCGCCACACTGCATTCCAGCCTGGGGGACAGAGGGAGACTCTGTCTCAAATAAAAATAAAATAATAATAATAAACAAAGGCAGGGAGGAGCAGGACCTATGGGAGGCATGCATGGTTCATCAAGCAAGAATTTGCAGTGATGACAGCTAAAGTTGGAGAGAAATATTGGGGCTAAGAAAGCAGGGCCTGAAAGCCATGCTGAGTTTGGACTTTATCATGTAGATGGTATGAAAGGTTTTTGAGCATACGGTAGGAATAATCAGATTTGTGTTTAGAAAACAGAGAACAGATTGGTAGGCAACTGAGATTGCAATCTTGAACGTATCAAGGCAAGATGTAATAAGGGCCTGACCTTAAGTGATGGTGATGTGGAGGGGGAGAAGGGTGCAGATTTTAGATCTAGTAAAAAAAAAAAAAAGAGGCATTGACATCTACTTGAAGATTGATTAATTACGGGGGTAAAGCAGACTTGAGATTGATTCCTAGGCTTCTGGCTTAGGCAATTGGAGGGTGATGGGGCCATTCACTGAGGCAGTGAAGTCAGGAGGAAGAGCCAACATCAGATAAGCATGTGGATATTTGAGACTGGAGCACAAGAGAGATTACTGATCTGTCCCAACTGCAAACATAGGTATCCTAGCTGGCTCCTCTGCCTTATCTTTCCCTTTCACTCCATTCTCCAACCTGCAGCTTGAATAATTTATTTAAAACACAAAGATAACCAACCCCTCCCACTGTTTAATATCATTACAGTATAGTTTTCTCTTCTACCTTAATGAGCATTTACTATGTGTCTGGCACTGAGATAAGGGCTTTACATGCCATATTTTATTTAATGCTCATTCTTTAAGATAGATACTGCAACAATCCTCGTTAGAAAGGACTCAGAGGGGTAAAGTGACTTTCCAAAAGTTTTTCATCCAGTAAGCACTAGAGCTGGGCTTTAAACTCCTATCTGGTCTGTCTGACTGCAGAGCCTGTGTCATTAACTTTTAATGGGAAAATCTGCAGTTACTTTTGCACCAACCTAAATACTACATTGCATCATCTTTGATGCTTAAATGTGTATAGTGCTCTATATCTTTCAGAGTACTTTCACACACATTATCCGTTATTCCATTCTGCTTAACAATCACTCAAGGTCATTTGGGTGAGTATTAATTGTATAAAGGAGAAAATCAAAGCACAAAAATAACCAAAGAATTCAATTCCTCATTAAGTAATTAATCCATTTATTCTATAAATATTTATGAGGCTGATACTAATGGGAGGAGTTTAAATGCAGAGTGGTTAAGAGACTTTCTCAAGGCTCCATGACTGCTTAGTTGCAAAGCAGAAACTGGAAGCTTTGGGTCACAGTTCCGTGTTCTTGTGGGAGGGGAGAACATCTTGCAAAGCTGCTAGGGTTCTTAACAAGTGCTGGGCTTGGATCAGGATTAAAATCTGATTCAAATTGTCCTTCATTTCATCTTTCCTCTCCACCTCTTACCCACTAGCTTCTTAGAAATTGATCTCTAAAAAATAGGCCTGGGGGCTGGGCACAGTGGCTCATACCTGTGGTCCCAGCATGTTGAGAGGTTGAGGTGGGAGGATCAATTGAGCCTAGAAGTTCAAGTCTGCAGTGAGCTTGAATCACCTGTTCTGTGAAAGGGCTGTATATACAAAGCGACCCCCCAAATGCAGAAGAAATAAGAAACCAAAGAAAGAGGCAGACAAATCTGGGTCATAGGTTTCGGGTAGTTTAAGGGGAACTTAAAAGCAGGGAGACTTACAGAAGAATGGTCTTGGGAGGCTACAATACAGGTAGATCTCCACATCACAAATCCCCAGACCCAGGGCTTAAATCTTGGGGAAAGTATCCCTGCTCTGGAAGGAATGTGTAGGTGGCTATGGGTGTCAAAGCCTATGATTTCCAGAACAACAAGGGTCGTTTTGGAGGAAACTTACAATCAGTAGGTCTTCCTACATAAAGAGTAATATATCAGTCAGAAATTTGGGAGGCATTCTTGAACTTGGGGTTAGTTAGAAGTTACATGGTGGATTGACATTTAAAATAAAGTCACTCTTCTCTCCATGTTGCCACTGCACTCTAGCTAGGGTGACGGAGTGAGATCCTGTCTCCAATAAATAAGATAAAAAAATAAGCCTGGCATTCAGCAGCTGTGGATTTGTTCTGTGGCTAATTCAGCAGGTAGAAGTAGGAGGAAATGACCGGCATGTCTGTATCAGCTCAACCTAAGTTTTTTTGTTTGTTTGTTTGTTTGTTTGTTTTTGTGAATGATGGTTGCTGTTAAGAATGAGACAGAGTTTTCCAGAGTGGTTGTAGATTGCGGCCTCACCTGCACAATGCACCCCGTCACCTCAACACAGGGTCAGGTAGATTCCGTGACCCGCTGTGGCTATATTTATCTTAAGTAATGAATACTGCTTCTACTGCTGCCAGTGACAAGATTAACTCCAAATTAGTTCTCTGCTTCTTTAAGTCACGTACTCACATTCAGACTCCTAGATGACCCGTCTGATTTGGTGAATACATGTCACATGCCCTTGTTCTGGCTGCCAGGAAGCTGGGTGATAAAATATCTGCCCCCCATCTAGACAAAACAGAAAAGAAACAGTTGATCTTTAAGGTTTCTTTGAGCCTAAGAAGCTGTGATTCTGTGGGCTTGGGTACATCATCTTGTCATCCAGTCACATATGTTACCACTGGTGTTAGGGCAGCTGTAGACGTTTTAACTCATACCATGAATTTTATGATAACTCCATTATCAGACACCTTTTCCTTTCTTATCTTACGAAACATCTTTCATTGTACTCTGCCTTATAAAGTATATAATAACTACAACTGTTAAAGACAAAAGAGGGCACGTGTAGCAAATTGTGGGTGGTGCAGGGTGAAAGCCAGCCACCTAAATTCCCGGCATCCTTACAGTGTGGCATATCCTAGTGAATTTACTGGTTTCTGGTTTTACATTTCCAGAAAGCCTGTTTTTATCAGTACTTCAGAATTTATCTGACACATGGAGATCAACTCGTGCTCATTAAATCACGATAAACACCAGAATTCTAAGTAGTTAATTTATAATGAGAAATAAAAATTTCAAGCACACCAGACGGTCATGTCAGCCTAATAAAAGGCATTCTCTCTCTGTGAAAAACCATACGGGAAGCCAAACAATCATCAGAATGTTGTTCACTCTTTGGAATCAGAGCAAGGGGAGTTGGTTACGTGATTACAATGATTAATGGCCTTAGACTTTGGTGGCCTGATTGTAATAGGATTCTTTCGGTTGTAAGGAACAAAAACACAATTAAAATTTTCTTGGGCAAAAAGGACAGTTTATTAAAAGAGTACTGGAGTGCCTCATGGAACTTTGGGAAAGTCCTTGGAAGAGCCTGACTTCAGAGATGACTGGACTCAGGACTAAAAAAAACCTGGGATTCTCTTCCTGTTGGCTTTATTCCCTCCCGCTGAGGACCAACTTCTTCCACCGGCTGGAGGATATTACATCTCTCAGTTACTGTCACGGGAGAGTGAGTGCCCCTTTTCCAGTAGTTTCTATTAAGAAAAGGAAATCCCAAAGAGGGCCCTGATCAGACTGGTATTTGGACCTAAGAGCCACGAGTAGGGATGGGAGCTGTAAAGCAGAGCCACCTGGCACAGGCTTGTTCCTGCTGGTTCCAGATAATGACTTAAATCACTGTTGGCTGTCAGTAAGTCCGGGTTGGTGGATTGACATTGATGTAGTCCAGCTCTGCTTCCAGAACCAGGGGGATCTGTTTGTAAACCAGGATACCTCTTCCCCAAGACAATGCCTAGAAATAATGCCTCTGTTGTTTTTCTGACCTCTTGCTTCCTGGAGTTTCTCTGAAGGGCATTTCTCTTAATGGACTTGTTCTTTTTGCTACAGCTAATATCTAGAGGAATATCCATGTTGATTTCCCATATTTTTATTCTCAAAAGACCACCTTATTTCAAATTTGGGGAGCACATAATGTACTCTCTATCACTTAAAAATTGATTGTTGCCCTGTTTTTTGGATTTTTTTTTTAAGGGGGTGAGGGAAGGAGAAGGCAATCACAAAGAGTTGGTGAGTAATTGGCTGAAAGTCATCATTCAATATTATAAAAGTTTCCATTTTGTTCCACAATGCCTTTTTAGAAAGATAACTGAATGTTTTAATCTTTCACCTGTATTTACTTTGCATACTCAGTGTAGTTAATCTATATCTCTTTATATTCTAATTTTATTTTTATTGATTTAAATATTCAATGAATGTTTCTCATTGCCTACTTTGTATCAGACTCTGTGCTGGGAGGTGATAATAAGGAGAGGCAAAAGGGCTCAATTAGGAGGGATAGGTTTCTATCTGCTTTACACGAGTGGAGAGATACCCAAAAGCTGACCTGCAGGACAGTTCTACCCAAAGCAACTCTCCAGTGTTCTGCTGGGGTTCCTGATAAGCATATCATTTGAGTCATAACTTTGAGTAGGAAGAGGGTAGGGAAGCAAGTTCACTGTTGTCTATTAACACAAACATATTTTAAGATTATGGAATATTTTCATTATCTAAAATACTCTTCAAACATCCATCTACTCATTACCCAGTTATAATGTAAGTTAATATTTTTACTATACATGCTTCAATGTTTTTAAAGAAATGGTTTATCATGATTTATATGGCCATTCAATATATCCATTTTCTTGCAGGACATTAGCTTCCAAATTTTCACTATTACAAATAAGGCCACAGTAACTGTCATTATACACATCTCCTTGAATATATATGTAAGAGTTTCTTTATACACCATAAATATTACAATTATAAATCACCAATTCGCAATAACATTTTTTAAAAAAGAGTTTTCTTTATACTCAGAATTGTTGGGTAATAAGACATATGCACCTTCAATTTTGCAAGATATTGCCACTAGTTTTGCTTGAACATATTTATTGTTTCATATCCTTATAAATAGGGATTTTTAATTTTTATCAATCTAATAGATATTACATGGCATTTCATTGTTGTTTTACTTTGCATTTCACTAATTACTAAATTTGATTTGCAAGAGTTTTAAAGGCTGGGCACAGTGGCTCAGGCCTATAATCCCAGCATTTTGGGAGACCAAGGCAGGTGGATCTCTTGAGGCCAGGAGTTCAAGACCAGCCTGGCCAACATGACAAAACCCCATCTCTACTAAAAATACAAAAATTACTTGGGCCTGGTGATGCATGCCTGTAGTTCCAGCTACTTGGAAGGTTGAGGCAGGAGAATTGCTTGAACCTGGGAGGCAGAGGTTGCAGTGAGCCATGATTGTGCCACTGCACTCCAGCCTGGGGATGACAGAGTGAGATTTTGTCTAAAAAGAAAAAAAAAAGAGTTTTAAAAAATTAATTCTGTTATTAATCCTCTTTTGGTTAGATTTATTTTATTGATCCTCTTTTGGTTAGATTTATTTCATTTTATTTTACTATTTTTTTGAGATGGAGTCTTGCGCTGTCTCCCAGGCTAGAGTGCAATGGCGCAGTTTTGGCTCACTGCAACCTCCGCCTCCTGGGTTCAAGTGATTCCCCTGCCTCAGCCTCCCAAGTAGCTGGGACTACAGGCACCCGCCAGCACGCCTGGCTAATTTTTGTATTTTTAGTAGAGACGGGGTTTCACCATGTTGGCCAGGCTGGTCTCAAACTCCTGACCTCAAGTGATCCACCTGCCTTGGCCTCCCAAAGTGTTGGGATTACAGGCATGAGCCACTGCACCCAGCCTTTTGGTTAGATTTATAATAAACATCTTCTTCCAGTCTATGACTTTTCTGAAAACTTTGTTTATAGTATCTTTTGATCAACAGAAGTTTTAATTTACAATTTAGTCAAGACCTAAATATGAAATGTCAAATTCTAAAATTTTAGAAATTTCATATATAATGCATACATATATACGTAATATACATGTAATTATATATGCTTATATGTAATATTTTTATAAGACTAAAGGTTTAGCCCAGCATCACGTGACTCACTCTTTCCTCACTAACTTGTAAGGCCATTTCCATCATACACCAAATTCCTATATTTAAGCAGTTCTGCTTCTAGGCTTTACATTTTCTCAATTGGTCTATTTTTATACTGACTCTCTTTGGCACTTCATAGAGTCATATGACTATTAGGATTTGTTTGTCAAGTTCTACAAAACACCTTATTGGTGTTTAGATTGGAAGTGCTTTAAATTTTTTGGATGGAATAATTGCTATCATTATATCCACCATTCCACACGTACATAAATTATTTTACGTTTTTCCACAACATTTTGTATTTTCCCCATAAATGACTTGTATATCTTCTGTTACATGTATTCTTATAGGAAACAGATATTTTGTTGCAAGTATAAATGGGATTTTCCTCCTTTGATTATGCTTTCTAATTTCTTGTTGCAGGTATATGGCTATGCTATTTTTGTATATTGATCTTTTATCCAACAACCTTGCTGAAACTTGCCTATTGTTATAATTTGTAGATTCTCTTGTATTTTTAAAAATGTAAACAACTTTGTCATCCATGGAAGATGATGATTTTGTTTCCTTTATTCCAATTATGCTATTTGCTAATGTTGATTTTGCTTGTCTTTCTTGTTTTACTGCATTTTCTAGGCTCTCTAGTGCATTATTGAATAGAAATGCTAATGGAGGACTTCTGTGACTGGGACTATTTCAGGGGGAGAATTTTCATGAGCTTAGTTTTTATTCTTCTTTATTGTGTTCTTCTCATAGTAATGTTGCCTTGTTCTGTTCATTTAAAGTATGATGGATTTTCCTGGACTAGCAGCAATCATAGATAATTCTATCCAGGAGGAATGAAAACTTTGGGCAGTTTGCTCAATATCCTAGTTCAAGAGTGCCCTCTTCAGTTCTAACAGTGAAGTGAGGCTTATTTAATTAATGACACGTTTCTGGGGTGGTGAAACATAGGAGGGAGTGATGTTTACTGATAATCGTGATACTACCTTACAGCCCTAGGATCCTTATTTTCTTGTGTTTTATTTCTCATTTTTCTTTACCTTCTAGTTGTACTGCTCCTTCCCAGAAGCAGTGTCTTCCCAAGACTATAACTGTGGTCCTGGATACTTCCTTGAAAAGTCATGCTTCAGATCTTCTGGTCTTAGACTTGTTCTTACGATTTCCTCATCAGGGAAGGGCGTTCTCCTTCTGTGGGTGCTGTCCTCTGTGTTTCACCCCTGCTAGAGACTTGCCACCTCTCCTGTCTTCCATATAATCCCTGCCTGATTCTGTTTCAGCATGGGCTCTGATTTGGCTCTACGGATTCTGGACTGTTCTACCTACATGTAAATCCAAGTTTGTGGTATTCCCTATCCTTCACTATGCTCTACCTCTGGGCAATTGTGAAGTTTTATTTGCTTTACTGTTGACCTGTATGGTTTTGGAGGATGTATGTAGAGATTTGGATTTAAGGAACCAAAGGGTTGAGAAATGTGTGTTACAATCTTCCTGCATAAATGTGGATTTGTCATTTTATTTCTGTGATTCTGGTCTATTTTTGTCTTACGTATTTGTATTGGGCTGTTCTTGCATTGCTATAAAGAAATCCCTGAGACTGGGTAATTTACAAAGAAAAGAGGTTTAATTGGCTCACAGTTCTACAGGCTTTATAGGAAACATGGTGCTGGCATCTGCTCAGCTTCTAGGGAGTCCTCAGACAGCTTTTACTCATGGCAGAAGGTGAAGGGGGAGCAGGCACATCGCATGGCAGAAGCAGGAGCAAGAAAGAGAGTTGGGGGGCAGGAGCTACACACTTTTATATGACCAGATAGTGCGAGAACTCACTCACTATTATGACGATGGCACCAGGCCATGAGGGATCTGCCTCCATGACCCAAACACCTCCCCCCAGGCCTCACCTCCAGTATTGGGAATTACAATTCAACATGAGATTTGGGCAGGGACAAATATCCAAACAGTGTCAATATTCTATATGTTGTTAGGTTTATTGACATAAGATTGTTATATACTTTCTTGGTGACTTGCTCTTTTAATCAGTAGATAATGATCTTTGTAACTAGTAATTTTTGCTCAAAGTCTCTTACATAGGATGTTATTATAAGAATTCAATTTCCTTTGGTTAATATTTGCTATTGTTGACCAAAAGATCACCAGGATGGCTAAATAGTAGAAAGGAGAGCTTTATTGGAGATATTGGTTTGGAAGCTGGGAAGAGAAAGTCTCCAGCATGGACGAGGGGAAGCACAGTTTGGGTTTTATGCCTCACAGGGCCTGAATCATGCATATTCAGGAGGTTCGGGGGGAAAAGCTATACGTATTTATGAGGGAGCTGTGCGCATATGTAATGGATAAATATGCATATGACATACATCCTACGTTCACTTTGGGACTGGGTTTTAACATTAAAATGAGGTGGAATTTGGCTTTATCAAAGGGTGAACTTTAGGACACAAAGACAGTTTATGCACAGCCTCTATCAGCTGGCTGAAACTGTTTAAAGGTCTGCAATTGCTTATCAGAGAAGAAAGTTTGTAAGGCCAGTCCTTTATCCAATTAGAGTCATAGTGGTTTGGATCGTAAGTCAGAATTAGGACAATTGGCCTGATATCTCCTATTGTTAGGATATTTAGTGAGAATTTAGAAATTTGCCATGCCAAACCATCCCTGAATCCCCAACCCATAGGTAACTTTTTGTTTTTTTTTTAACCTTAGGTTCTGTCTTAGTTGATAAAGGGGCATCTATTTTGGTCTCTCACATCACACTGTATATACTTTTATATATTTTTGTTTGTTTTGGTTTATTTTTTATTATTTTATGTTTAATTTTTGTGGGTACATAGTAGGTGTATGTATTTATAGAATACATGAGATTTTGGTACAGGCATGCAATGCATAATAATCACATCATGAAAAACTGGGTATCCATCCTCTCAAGCATTTATCCTTTGTGTTACAAACAATCCAATTATACTCTTTTAGTTATTTTAAAGTGTACAATTAAATTACTATTGACTATAGTCCCCACGTTGTGCTATTAAATACTAGGTCTTACTCATTCTCTCTATTATTTTTTGTACCCATTCACCATCCCACCTCCCCACTATGCCATCCCTTCCCTGCCCTGACTATCCTTCCCATCCTCTGGTAACCATCCTTCTACTCCCTATGTCCATGAGTTCAGTTGTTTTGGTTTGTAGATCCCTCAAACACGGTGAGAACATGTGATATTTGTTTTTTTTGTGCCTGGCTTATTTCACTTAACATAGTGATCTCCTGTTCTATCAATGTTGTTGCAAAAGACAGAATCTCATTCTTTTTAATGGCTGAATAGTGGTTCATTGTCTATAAGTACCACATTTTCTCTATCCATTCACCTGTTGATGAATTCTTAGGTTACTTCCAAATCTTGGCTATTGTGAACAGTGCTGCAACAAACTTGGGAGTGCAGGTATTTCTTTGATATACTGATTTCCTTTGTTTTGCATATATACCCAGCAGTGGGATTGCTGCATCATATGATAGCTCAATTGTTAGCTTTTTGAGGAACCTCCAAACTGTTCTCCATAGTGGTTGTACTAATTTACATTCTTACAACAGTATATAAGGGTTTCCTTTTCTCCACATCCTCACCAGCATTTGTTATTGCCTGTCTTGTGGATATAAGCCATTTTAACCGGCATGAGATGATATCTCATTGTAGTTTTGGTTTGCATTTCTCTAATGATCAATGATGTTGAGCACCTTTTCATATGCCTATTTGCCACTTGTATGTCTTCTTTTGAGAAATGTCTATTCAAATCTTTGGCCCATTTTTTGATAGGATTATTAGATTTTTTTTTTCCTGTAGAGTTGTTTGAGCTCTTTATATATTCTGGTAACTAATCCCTTGTCAGATGGGTAGTTTGTAAATATTTTCTCCAATTCTGTGGGTTATCCCTTCGCTTTGTTGATTGTATCCTTTGCCATGCAGAAGATTTTTAACTTGATGTGATCCCATTTGTCTACTTTTGCTTTGGCTGCCTGTGCTTGTGGAGTATTGCTCAAGAAGTCTTTGCCCAGACCAATGTCCTGGAGATTTTTCCCAATGTTTTCTTGTAGTAGTTTCATAGTTTGAGGTCACAGATTAAAGTCTTTAATCCATTTTGATTTGATTTCTGTATATGGTGAGAGATAGGGGTCTAGTTTCATTTTCTGCATATGGAAATCCAGTTTCCCCAGCACCGTTTGTTGAAGAGACTGTCTTTTCTCCAGTGTCTGTTCTTGGCACCTTTCTCAAAAATGAATTCACTGTAGGTGTGTGGATTTGTTTCTGGGTTCTGTATTCTGTTCCATTGGTCTGTGTGTCTGTTTTTATGCTAATACCATGCTGTTTTGGTTACTATAGCTTTGTAACATAATTTGAAGTCAAATAATGTGACTCTTGCAGTTTTGTTCTTTTGGCTCAGGATAGCTTTGGCTATTCTGTGTCTTTTGTTATTCCATATACATTTTAGGATTGTTTCTTCTATTTCCATAAAAGATGTCATTGGTATTTTGATAGGGGTTGCATTGAATCTGTAGATTGCTCTGGGTAATATGGACATTTTAACAATATTGAGTTTTCCAAGCCATGAACATAAAATATTTTTCCATTTTGTGGTGTTCTCTTCAATTTCTCTCATCCATGTTTTATAGTTTTCATTGTAGAGATCTTTCACTTCTTTGGTTAATTCCTAGGTATCTAATTTTATTTGTGGCTATCGTAAATGGGATTAGGTTTTTTTTAAATTTCTTTTTCAGATTGTTCCCTGTTAACATATAGAAATGCCTTTTTTTTTTTTGAGACCGTCTTGCTCTGTCACCCAGGGTGGAATGCAGTAGTGTGATCATGTCTCACTGCAACCGCTGCCTCCCAAGTTCAAGCAATTCTCCTGCCTCAGCCACCTGAATAGCTGGGATTAGAGGTGTGTGCCACCACACCTGGCTAATTTTTGTATTTTTGTAGAAGCTGGGTTTCACCATGTTGCCCAGGCTGGTCTTGAACTCCTGGCCTCAAGTGATCCACCCACCTGGCCTCCTAAAATGCTGGGGGCATGAGCCACCATGCCTGATCTGCCACTGATTTTTGTATGTTGATTTTGTGTCCTGCAACTTTACTGAATTTGTTTATCAGTATAGTTTCTTTGGTGGTCTTTAGGATTTTCTAAATATAAGATCATGTCATGTGCAAACAAGGATAATTTGACTTCTTCCTTTCCAATTTGGATGCCCTTTATTTCTTTTTTTTGTCTAATTGCTCTAGCTAAGATTTCCAGTACTATGTTGAATAACAGTGGTGAAAGTGGCCATCCTTGTTGTATTTCAGATTTTATAGGAAAGGCTTTCAGTTTTTCTGCATTCAGTATGACACTAGCTGTGGGTCTGTCATATAAAGCTTTCATTATGTTGAAGTATGTTCTTTCTATACTCAATTTTTTGAGGATGTGTATTATAAAGGGATGTTGAACTTTTATCAAATACTTTCTCTGCATCAATTGAAATGACTGTATAATTTTTATCCTTCATTCTGTTGATATGATGTATCACACTGATAGATTTGCACAGGTTGAACCATCCTTGTGTCTCTGGGATAAATCCTGCTTGGTCATGATGAATGATTTTTTTAACGTGTTGTTGAATTTGGTTTGCTAGTATTTTATTGAGGATTTGTGCATCAATATTCATTAGAGATACTGGCCTGTAGTTTTCTTTTTTTGATGTGTCTTTGTCTGGTTTTGGAATCAGGGTAATACTGGCCTCTTAGAATGAATTTGGAAGTATACCTTCTGCCTCTATATTTCAGAATAGTTGAGTAGGATTGGTATCAGTTCTTTAAATGTTTGGTAGAAATCAGCAGTGAAGCCCTCATGTCCTGGGATTTTCTTTACTGGGAGATTTTTTATCTGTGATCTCATTACTTGTTATTGGTGTAAGAGTTAAAGAAAGAGGAAAGAAACACAAAAAGTGGCTCAACAGTCAAAGACAGGTTTATTTTGGAGAATAAACCTGAGAGGGGCTTCTGGCCGATTTCCGTCAGGAGCATTCTCTCATACAGACTAAGAGTATTTAAAGGTTCAGGGCTAGAGAACTTATCATAGGCTTGGAATGTTTCTGTGTTGGGGAGAAGTTTATGTGGGGTTGGAATGACTCTGGTTGGAGGGGAGGTTATCTTGGGGCTGACATCTCTCTGGTTGGGGAGGGGTTTATCTTAAGGTTGGAATGTTTCTGGTTGGAGATGTCATTTGTGGTTTATGAACATGCTGACCTTAGCCATTAGGCTGATGCCCTTTGGATTCAGGCAGTTTTTGATGAAAGTGAACTTTAAAATGGTGGTGTTTGTCCAAGATGGCGACGCTCCTGCTCTGTCAACTACCCTGTTCAGGTTTTGGATTTCCTCATGGTTCAGTCTTGGTAGGTTGTATGTGTCTAGGAGTTTTGCCCATTTCTTCTAGATTTTCTAATTTATTGGCATATAGTTTCCTGTAGTAGCCACTAACGATCCTTTGAATTTCTGCCCTATCAGTTGTAATGTCTCCTTTTTCATCTCTGATTTTATTTATTTGGGTCTTCTCTCTTTTTGTCTTAGTCTGGCTAAAGGTTTGTCAATTTTGTTTATTTTTTTAAAAAAAAACAATTAAAAAAAAATCATTCTTTTGTATTGTTTTCTTCATTTCAAATTCATTTATTTCTACTCTGATTATTATTTCATTTCTTCTACTAATTTTGGATTCAGTTTGCTCTTGCTTTTCTAGTTCTTTAAGATGCATCAATAGGTTATTTAGGTTATTTATTTGAGGTGTTTCTTCTTTTTTGATGTAGGCACTTATAGCTATAAATTTCCCTCTTAGTACTGCTTTCACTGTATCCTTTAAGTTTTGGTATGTTGTGTTTTCATTGTCATTTGTTTTAAGGAATTTTTCAATTTCCTTCTTAATGTTTTCATTAAGCCACTGGTCACTGAGAAGTACATATTTTAATTTCCATGCATTGGTATATATTTTTATGTATTTTTACTTTCAAGCTTCTTTGAAAGTAATTTTATTTTAGATATAAAAGCAGGTAGCTGATCATTAAAAATTGTTTTTATTTTAGAGACAGGATCTCTCTCTGTCACCTGTGCTGGTGCTGCTATAGCTCATGGCAGCCTCGAACTCCTGGCTTTAAGAGATCTCTTTCCTCAGCTTCCTGAGTAGCTGGGAGTACAGGTGCAAGCTACTGAGCCAGCCAGTGTAGGAGTTTTGACCTGCTGCCTTTCTGACCTGGGCTGGTTCACCCCTCCTTAGGCAATCTGGTGGTCCTGCTCCTGGGAGGTCACCATACTGATGTTGAACTTAGTGTGGACACCCCATAGGCATACAGCACTATAGCTCAGAACTCCTGGGCTCAATTGACCCTCCTGCCTCAACCTCCTGAGTAGCTGGGACTATAGACACATGCCACCGAACATGACAAATAGGAGGTTTTTTTTTTAAATACAGTTTGATGTTCAATTTAAGTCTGAGAAAATATTTTCACGGATAGGCTTAACCCCTTTATTTTTATTATAATTGCTAAGATATTTAATTTTATTTTTATGATTTTAATTTGTTTTATGAGCAGAAATAATGTCCCCCTGTTCCTTTTATTCTCCTTTCCTGACTTCTATTAGATTTGTCTTTAAAAAAAAACCCATTTGATGGTTTGAAAGTTACATTTCTAATTTTTGTTGTTTTAATCATTAGTACTCAAACTCTAGTGTACATCAGAATCACCTGAAGGGCTTGCTGAGATATGTATTGCTGGGTCCCACCCCTAGAGTTTCTAATTTAGTTGTTTTGTGGTGGGAACCAAGTATTCGCATTTCTGTTCCCAGGTACTGCTGCTACTACTCAGGAAATCACCACAACCTGAGGGCCTGGCAAGAATTGGTGGTTACCACCCAGGTATCCAACAGCCCGTCTAAGTTGGACTTGTTATTTTGGGATTCTTGTTGGGGTTCTGTTACTTTCTCACCAGCTCAGCCATGCGTTAAAACTTCTTAAAATTTCCTTTTACCCTGGTTTTTCAGTATGCAATACTCAGAGGAGTTTCTTTGGCCATCCAGTCCCATAATATTGCCAGGAATGGAGGTGGGGTTTTAATTTATCATAAGAGAATAATTTTTCCCCTACTGTGAACTCAAGCAGAGAGAAACTTTCTTGCAAGTTTCTCTGGATTGATAGCTGAGGTTTCTCTGGTTTCTTTTATATGGAGGTATAACCTTTACAGATTCTTGGCTGCAGTTGGAGTTCAGCTCTCTGCCTCCTGTGAATCTAAGGCCAAGTCTCTTACTCTAGATGTGTGGGTCAAATTCCACATCAGTTTATGATTTCCCATTATAATGACTATCCTCTTCAGTTCTAGCACCTCAGGGTTTCCCTTTTGGGCTTGGCTATACTTGTAGACTTTGGGGGATGAGTGTGGATGTATTTCATCCAGCATTTCTGTGTGTTTAATGGGGTGGAGGTTGGGAATGTTATGTAATCTCAGTCTATCTGGCTGTCCTCCACTATTCTTCAGCGGTCACCTGGCAAAGAATGTGGGTCAAAAAGTTCATAGAGGCAGGAAGTTGGTGGTAAAGAGAATCCTTGGAATGCAGAGCTCCTGAGCTCAGGGACTTGAGCCTGGGCTTTCACACATATCATTAGTACAGGAGAGTAGTAGGTGGTGCTAAATTGGAAGTACAGTAGTCTCCCCTTATTCATAGTTTTGTTTTCCACAGTTTCAGTTACATGAGGTCAACTGCAGTCCGAAAATATTAAACAGAAAATTTCAGAAATGAACAATTTGTAAGTTTTAACTTGCAGGTGGCTCTGAGTAGTGCCACAAAATCTTGTGTCATCTGGCTTCATCCAGTTCAGGACATGAATCCTCCCTTTGTCCAGTGTCTCCACACTGTCTACTGTCCCTGGCTGTTAGTCACTGAGTAGCCTTCTTCATTATTAGATTGTCATGGTATTGCAGTGCTTGTGTTCAAGTAACCCTTATTATACTTGATGATGGCTCTAGAGTGCAAGAGTGGTGGTGCAGGCATTCAGATATGCTAAAGACGAGCTGTCAAGTGCTTCCTTTAAGCACTTTAGGTGCTTAAAGATGAAAGTTCTCAACTTAAGGAGAGAAAAAAAAATCGTATGCTGAGGTTGCTAAGACCTATGGTAAGAACAAATCTTTCATCCTTGCAATTATAAAGAAGAAAAGAAAAATCCATGCTAGTTTTGCTGTTGTATCTCAAACTGCAATAGTGAAGGCCATAGTGCTTGATAAGTCCTTAGCTAAGATGAAAAAGGCACTATATTTGTGGGTAGAAAACGTGAACAGAAATGTGTTCTAATTGACAGCAATTGGATTCAGTACTATCGGAGGCTTCAGACATCCACTTAGGGGTCTTGGAACATATTCTCTAAGGATAAGGGAGACTGCTGAAATTGAAGTAAGGGGTACCCTGCTGCTGGTGGGCAATACTATATACAGAGGCTGGGACAGTTGTGGGGTTTTAAATTTTGATTAGGGCCAATCCTTCCTGAAATGTTTTTATTTCATGTAAAGTGTATACCAATAAAAATGTAAAATATTTTTCGTTTTTGAAGTCATTCTTTCCTCATTGACTTATCCCTCTTAGGTGTGCATTGACAACGTACTCAGAAGATTATGTTCCACCATATGATTATCAGCCACATGTGAGTACAAGAACCGTAGTCTTCTACCTATTTGTGTACTTGAAATGATTATTTGCACCTAGTATAGTCAAACTTGGGAAGAAAGGAGAAATTGCTAAAGCTTATGATATTTTACATTTATTTTGAGATATTAGCTGTTTATTGGAATCATGACAATGTTTTATGGTTATGATTTATTTTTGGATGTTTATCGATTTCAGGGAAAAATATTGCCGTATCTAAAGTATATTAGACACTTTCTTCCTCATCTTGTTTACTTGTCCCCTCCCTGAATTCAATTTATCTGGAATAAGAACCCACTTTCTATTCATTTGTATTGCATCAACACATAAAAATAAGTGGCTTAATATAGCTCTGGGAAATATGTATGTTAATTTAAGAATGTCCAGTTTATAACTTGAATGTATTTCTACTTTACAAATTATGCAACAGAAACAAAACAAGGCTGCTTCCAATTAGCCTTATTCTGAAAATCTTAACCAGGGCAGTAGACATGAGATAGAAATAAGATATTTAACTATTGGTAAAGAAGAGAAAAACATCTTATTTTCCAATAGTATAATTATCTATTCAGGAGAACCAAGATATTAATCTGAGAAGTAATTAGAATAAATAAGACAATAGCTTTCCTTCACATCAACACTAACAGTTAATAAATTATAAAAGAAAAAAGCATACTAATTATTATTAGCAACACAAATTCAAAATTCTTTAGTGAGGAAAGTTTCACCAGGATCAATAAAAGATAATGTGGCAGTTTATCTCCAAAGATGGCAGACCTTCCTGTTGGCACAAGCCACTCACCATTGAAGGTGAGGATTCCTCCATCTCGAGTTGAGGTGATCAGTAGAACATGGCAAAAGTGACTGTGTGCCAGTTCTAAGCCTAGCTTTAAGATTGCCTCCACCTTTTAAGCTCTGAGCCACCAGAGAATCCAGGCTACTCTGTTGGAGGGAGAGGCCGTGGGAGGAACACTGGCAAGCTTGACTTACGAGTGAGGAAGCCATCGTGGATAATCAGCTTAGCAGAGCCTGGACTCCAGCTCTGGCTTCCATCTGACTGCAACCCTTGAGGATCCAAAAGAAGAAATTGAAGCCATTATCTGTTTGTTTTAAAATATGAACCAAAACATGACTGAGGCAGATATCTCAAATAAAAAGGAATAGCTACCATTTTAGGGAACTGGAAAACTAAACTAACTATAAACCAAATTTATAAGTTTAATATAATGAAATTCCAATGGAATTTGTTTTCTATGAGAATTTTAAGATTCCAGGAATTATTTGAAAGGACAAACAGATAAGAATAATCAGAAATGTTTTGAAAAGGTAGCATAACCGATTTAGGGAAGTAAGGGGTTTAGGACGCCACCTTCATTATATGCTACATTCTGATTTATATTTTTCTATTTAAAAAAATAATATTTAAGACATAGAAACAGCAAATGTGGTAGTTTATTGTTTAATATACTTAATATATATAGAACTCATACATATTGGCAGGAGAAATGTTAATGACCCTAGAGAAATGAGCAAAGGAAATAATATATGGGCAGTTTACAAAGTAGGAAATATAATCAACTAACTAGTAAATATAGGGAACACACCCCATTTACAAATACTAAACAATATGAATTAAGACAAAAAGATTTTTCTTTTGAGAATAAAATTGTCAATGTTTTCAAAACATACTACTTGAGGCTAGGCAGGGTGGCTCAGGCCTGTAATCCCAGCACTTTGGGAGGCCGAGGCAGGTGGATCACTTGAGGTCAGACATTTGCAACCAGCCTGGCCAATGTGGCGAAACCTTGTCTCTACTAAAAAAATACAAAAATTGGCCACAT
This sequence comes from Homo sapiens, assembly GCF_000001405.40. NCBI lineage: Eukaryota > Metazoa > Chordata > Mammalia > Primates > Hominidae > Homo > Homo sapiens. Next base: position 69,888,739 of record NC_000009.12, read on the forward strand.
GTGGTGGTGCGTGTCTGTAATTCCAGCTACTTGGGAGGCTGAGGCAGGAGAATCTCTTGAACCCGGGAGGCAGAGGTTGCAGTGAGCAGAGATTGTGCCACTGCATTCCAGCCTGGGTGATGGAGTGAGACTTGGTCTCAAAAAGGGAAAAAAAAAAAATTTGACCTAATAATTCTTTTTCTAGGAAACTTCCCCAAAGAAAAGTAATTGAAACTAGCAATAAAATTCATATGCAAATACATTCATCACTGAATTATTTATGATGACAAAACTTGGAAAGTACCTAAATATTTAGTATTACTGAAACTGCCTTTGCAAAAACTATAGTAAGAAGGGAAATGTGACATAACTGAGTCCATCTTGCTTCTACCAGGCTCAGCTGCTTTTGCTCCTTCTTGTGTGGAGGCCATAACAGTTCTTTTTCTGAACTGATACCCTCGTTCAAAAATGGAAACCGTATTTGTAAATACTAACAAAAGGTCATAAGGTTAGACTTATGGTAAGGGCTTGAACTTTGCTAAAGAATAGGCATAGTTAAATAATGACCTGGCATTGCTTAACTTGCTTTTCTATACGTTGCTTACTGCTCCAGATCCATTTAACGAGGGTCACAAGATTTATAACTTCCCCAACTACTCCCAGATAACTTCACTGTTGTGAAACCTAAAGAACTGGTCTTTGAGATATTTTTCACATTTAGCATTTCAGCAGTCAGAGAAATGTTCCCTGGTCCTGAGATCCTCTCCTAGGAACTGACTCAGCTATGCAAAGACAGTTTAGACACTCCTGTGATTTCATTCTCAGCCAATCTTTTCAGTTCCCCAGGCCCTAGCCCACCAAATTATTCTTAAAACCCCTAGCCTCTGAATTGTTGGGAAGGTGGATTTGAGAAATTTCTCCTGTCCTTCTGCTTGGCTGGTCCTGTGATAACTAAACTCTTTCTTTGCTGCAACACCTGCTGTTCTCAATGTATTGTTTTTTGGGGGATGGCAGGCAAGAAGAATCCATTGGGCTGTAACATTAGAAGTAGCATTAATCAAGTATGTTATAGTCATATGATGAAATATTGTGCAGCCTTTATAATCTCCATAGATAGTTCTTAGTGTCTTGATAAATCTTCATTTAAGGGTAAAAAAATTAAGTTACAAAGTTGCATGTATATTTTATCCAAACTACATAAAAATATAGAGAAAATTTTAGAAACTAGGGAAACTGCCAAAATGCTAGCACAGTTGGCCAATGAATGTTGAGATTCTAGGTGATTTTCTTCATCTTTACACTTTTTAGAATTATCCAATGTAACAAGTGTGATGGTTTATCATCAGAAAAACCACAAGGAAAGAAACATATCATTTTAAAATGCATTTCAGGTCCATTTTCTTATTTACATGGGATTGGACTGTATCTTTAAATAAAAGAAATCTAATTAAAAACTCACAAATTTCAAAGGACTAAATATTATAAATATAAATAATGTGGGATGTATTTTTAGGGCACATAAATCATTAACCATTGCATTATATATTTATGCTTTTAATTTTTTCAGCATTATTTCTAATATTTCTCATGTTATTTGTTTCCACATTAACAGCACAGCATACCATGACAGTTGTTTGCCTTTATTTGCAATTTTGTTCACTTACTTCTAATGTCTTTTCCAAAGCAATTGATTTTGAGGCACGTTTTTAGCGCTGCTTCTGACACCCACATTTAATGAATGCTTGCATGACATTGTTATTGGATACAAATAACTTTTGATTATAATAACAGTGGATAGTTAAATAACAGAGAGTAGTGATTGAACTCTTAACAGATGTTGTCGTGCACATAAACAAGCATATAATTCACACATACTGAAAAAGGAGAGAATATTTTCTTGCTAGAGACTTCACCATGTGGCCTTGCCATGAACACAGTTCACCATTCATTCGGTCTACTACATCTGCAATTATGCAAGTTTTGAAGAAATCTGAAAATATTTGGATTTATATTATCTCAAATGTTGTGCATAAATTGAGACTTGATTAATTTTTATATTATGGTCTCTTACGTTTCCTTAATCCACATTTGTATAAAGTGGGACAGCATTATAGAAAGTAAAGGGAATGCAGTTTATCATTCCATAGCTCTAAGCATTGGTAAAGAAATACAGAGGATTAGGAAGCCATGGGGTCATTTCCAAGCAGGGAAATGGAAGAAAATTGCAACCCGTTTATTTTGAACTTCTCCTCTTAAACTGGATGTTTATTATAGCTCATCTCAATTTCAATTAAAGATACCTTCTCTTGAAAGTACCTCCATCATTTCCCAAAGAACCAGAACAGCGGAAAAGTTGGAAAGAAGGTACATTAGAGAACTGATCCAAAGCTGGCTGTTAGAAACTGAGAAAGTTTTTAACAGAGAATTGTTTCACAATACATGGACAAGGCGTCCATGTATTGTTTCAGAGTAAAGAAGAAACTATATCCCTTTAACAGCAGTTAGTCCCTGAAATGGCAGGATTGCCTGTCCTACTACTGGGACTCTATGCACTGGTATGGATGTGGCATTGCTAAAATATTGAGATTTCTGTGCTGGTTGGAAATGAGCTGTGGCCTCAAGTCCCCCGGGACCCTGGACTTCCTGGATGCACTATGACTTTCCTGGGCCCTAAGCACTTTTGCCTTCATGGGCCCCTTCCTCCACTAAAGCAAACAAAGAAATATATTTTACAACTGAGTTGATATAAAGACAAAAGTAATCCGAGTTAGACTATATTCTTCTTTTTTTTTTTTTGGATTTAAAGCTTATTAAAGAAATATCTAAACTACCTATTGGGTACTATGCTTATTACCTGGGTAACAAAATAATCTGTACACCAAACCCCCATGATATGAAATTTACCTACATAAACAAACCTGCACATATACCTCTGAACTTAAAATAAAAGCTTTTTAAAAAGAAATATCTTTTTAGGCTATATTTCTCATTTTCATTTTGTAAAAAATACCCATCTTTTCTCCCCTCTTTTACGCAGTTTGAATCCTTACCTATTTTTGACTGCGTTACTGTATTTTATGGCCATGTGATATGACCACGTTATTCTTAACCCTCCTGAAATTATTACTAACATACCAATGAGTGTTGTTATCACACAGTGTTCTTTTTTTAATCCCCCACTGGGAAGCACTCTTGGACTTCTATGCCCTATTTTAAGACCAATTTTCTGTATAACAGCTGTCATCAGTTTCTTTGCTCTGAGGTGTTTATGGATATTATATTATCAGCATCATTTCTGGGCTTAGCTTTGAGTTTCTACAGAGTTTGTTTTTCAAAATGACATCCGCATTTTTTTATTGTGGTAAAATATGCATAACATAAAATATACATGATATAAAATTTACTATTTTAATCTTTTTTAGCATGTAATTCAATGGCATTAAGTACATTCCTGTTGTTATATTCATTTTTAAAGATTCTGATTTTAAAAGAAATTAAAATATGTTCACGGGCCCCTAAAAGTATTGTGAGCCCTAGGCACTCTGCGTTCTGTGTCTGATGGCTAAGTTGTTTCAGCCTGGACTTCCTAGAAGCCAGATCAGTACCTGGCTGACTGGAGGCTTCTAGAACTTACTCAGTTGGCTTGGCTGAGAAATACTTAACCATCCCAGATGCAGATGCATCTTCGCTAAAAGTCAAGAGTTGGGCATGCAGGAATTACCATTAGGAGCCCTTTATTGTTTAATGAGGCTCTTTCACCTCAAAGATACTCTCCAAAGAGGAATTGCCTTTGGTTTTCTATTTCCTAATGATACGGACAGCAGGTAGGGAAATACTGGGTAGAAGAGGGCGATCTCCAGTGAGGGTCACATCCTCAAGCCTGGACCTATGGCCCAAAATGAGAATATACATTCCTTTTTACCTGCCTGAACGTTGCCTTTTCCAAAGCCACCCTGGCCCGCCACAACCCCATCCTGTACCTATAAAAATCCTAGGCCTCACCAGCAGAGCAGCAGAGAAGGAGAGAAGAGAAAAAGCAGTCAGACATTGGAGAGAAGCAGCTTGATTTCAGAGGGACAGTTCGTTGAGAGGACCTCAAAGAAGACTTCAGCCAGGGACAGCCGAACTCCAGGGGAAGATTATTTTCCCAATCCATCCCTTTCCAGCTCTCCATCCCACTGAGAGCCACTTCCACTGCTCGATAAAATGCTCCACATTCACCATCTTTGATTTGTTTGTATGATCTGATTCTTCCTGGACACCATCTTCAATTTGTTTGTGTGATCTGATTCTTCCTGGACACTGAACAAGAGCTCAGGATACAGAGGGCTGTCACACAGAGCTGTTAAACACTTAGCCATCTGTGGATGGCAAAGCTAAGACAGTACACTTTAACACATGCCCTCAGGGGCTCTGGGGGTCATGGGCAACCCCTAGGCGCTTCCATGGGCTCGCACAGAGTTCTGCTCCTGCTGGTCACCCAGAAGCACTCATCCCAGACTCTGCACTCACTTACCTACCTGCAAGGAGTTGAGAGCTGTGGGCTGAGTAAGCAAGCCACCCCTTCATGAGTCCCACGAAAGGGTCAAGGGAGCTATCCCATTATACTAGGAAGGGTTGCCTACCAGGTGCCTTGAAAAGAAGACAAGAGAAAGAATGGCTTGCTGAAAAACAGAAAGAGCTGGGACAGAAAGAGAATCCAGAACAGGGTGAAGATTCTATAGAAAGCCTCACTTGTCTGAATTATATTAGCTTTCAAATCCCAGTTATTTTAAGGTCCTCTCTTTGTATCTTTGCTTCATTCCATGTCCCTATTGTCTTCCCCATTTTCATTTCAGCATAGACAGTCTCTTTCTTTTTCTTTCTCCTCCTCCTTTCCCTCCTCCTCTTTTTCTTCTGTTATTTTAAAAAATAATAGCATGGAAAATTGTTCAAGTTAATCTGGCCACATAGAAAAATGAAGTATAAAAGCCTTGTATTCTAAAGTGTGGTTTTTCCAAACTTGTACCTGGAAAATTAAGGCTGAAATTTAACTAAGTTCCAGGCTTATAATGTATTTTTATTACTTTCATTTTAGTGCTATTTTATTTGTACTTCATCTGACTATATCCACGATTTAATTTTCTTTGTCTTGTTAATTGCCTGACTCAATATTCACTAACAAATGAATAATTGCCATTTGCTTATTTATCTTATCGTGTATTATTGACTGAAATGAAATGAGTGAGAGTTTTAGAATCCTCTGCAAATAAGGTAGTGGTAGGGGGTAGAATTGGAGAGGAGGGAAGGGTCTTATAATCCCTGCCAGAGTGTCCCATAATGCTGCTGCTAGTTAACCATGGAAACAGGCTTCTTTGACTTGGGTTCAAAAGGATATGGTGGCCTTTCTAACCTAAATATCTTGTCTGAAAGATCTCAACACATGTCATACATATGTGTGCTGACCTTATATTTATACTTGAAGGCTTGGTTTTATATAGTTTTATAAACAAACAGTTCTGGTTCTGAGTCTCATGTCATTCTGCCAGCTCTAAGAACCACATTTCCTAGGCCCCAGCTTCAACCTTAGGATCTGCTGGTTTTTGCTCATATAACTCCATAGAACTTCCATGGACTACCGAGTTGATTGGGAGACAATAGAATTTGCCTTATTGAATAAAATATACAGTTGCTGGTAGATGAGTAGAAGGAAGGAAGGAATGAAGCAAGGAAGCAAGGAAACAAGGAAAGGAGGGAGGACAGAAGAAATAAAGGGAGGAAGAGAGGAATGAAGTAACACTTATTGTCTACCATGTTCCAGGCACTGGCTTAGTTATCTTACATGTATTAGCTCACTTAATCCTCACAACTGCCCCAGAATATCAACCTATTGGAATTACATACTGAGGAATCTGTGTCCCAGAGAGTTTAAGTATGAGTAATAACACACCATGTAAGTGTTCAAAGTGAACTTGGGTCTGATTCCAAGTGCCATATTTGTAGCTACTTTGCAAAACACGACTCAAAACTTATATACTCCAACCTTTGTAGGCCTTGATCTCACTTTAAGACTAGAGTTAGATGGACAGACACAGTGGATCACACCTGTATTCCCAGTACTTTGGAAGGCTGAGGTGGGCAGTTCATTTGAGCTTAGGAGTTCCAGGCCAGCCTGGTCAACATGGTGAAACACCATCTCTACTAAACATACAAAAGATTAGTTGGGCCTGGTGGCAGTGAGCCTAGATTGCACCACTGCATTCCAACCTGGGTGACAGAGTGAGACTCTATCTCAAAAAAAAAGAAAAAAAAAAAAAGACTAGGGTTAGACAGTGTGATGGTTAATTTTCTGTGTTAACTTAACTAGGTTATTTGCCCTGTAGTTTAGTCAAATACTTCTCTAGATGTTGTTGTGGAGGTCTTTTGTAAATGTGATTAACATTTACAATCAGTTAACTTTTAGTAAAGATTATTCCAAATAATGTAAGTGGGGCTCATTGAATCAGTTTATAGCCTTAAGTGCAAAAAACTAAGGTTTTCTGGAAAAAAAGGAATTCAGTCTCAAGATTGTAACATAGAAATCCTTCCTGAGTTACTTGCTGGCCTCCACAATCATGTGAGCCAATTCCTTAAAATCAGTCTCTCTCTCTCTCTCTCTCTCTCTCTCTCTCTCTGTGTGTGTGTGTGTGTGTGTGTGTGTATTCTATTGGTTCTGTTTCTCTGGAGATCTTTGACTGATACAGACACAGTGATCTTTCCAAGCTCTCTGGCTCTCAGATTCTACTATTTGATTTGATTTGATTCTGTCTCAATGATCTTTTCCCATTGAAATAGTAATTTATTTATGACCAAGTATCCTTTCGGATTAAAGACCTTGGTAGACATTTAATTCAAACTTAGTTGAAAATTAAATGTTAATTATACTTAATTATAAATTAATTATTTTAACTTCCTGCTCATCTTGTGTATCACCAACAGTAGAGAAATTGTGGGGTCTTAATTCTCAGGAAACGGATTGTTTTTTAGAGTTGTATTCTTTTAGTAGAGAGATACCCTATTTCTCCAGAAACTTAACTTTTGCCTTATGTTGCCTCTGAAGTTATTTATTAACTTTTTTGAGACAGAGTCTTGCTCTGTCACTCAGACTGGAGTGCAGTGGAATGATCTCGGCTCACTGCAATCTCTACCTCCCAGGCTCAAGTGATCCTCCTGCCTCAGCCTCTGAAAGTGCTGGGATTACAGGCGTGAGCTGCTGCGCCTGGCCTGGTCTAACATTTGTTTCTAAGTTAGGCCATGAAGCTAAGTTCTGCTTCAGAGAACTTGGAATTATGAGATATTTTATTTTCTTCTTTTTGATTATCTTCAGTTTCTACAGTGAACATATAAAACTTTTGTAAGGAGAAATAAAGTTTTAAAGATTGAGAAGCCTAGGCCTCAAATTGATATACAGTCCATTAAGTCATTCCATTATAAAACAGTGGCAAAGGTAAATGTCCTCACATAATATAGACTGAAGAATAAGAAAAATCGTATTTGTGTTTTATATGATTGAAGTGATAGAACCAATCAATTTTGTGCATTAGAAACAAACAAATATATCAACAGCTAATGTTTAATTGTGTATTGCTTAGTTTTTGATGCTGGCCATAACAAAAATTTGTGTGATATTAATCTTTAAAAGTCAATTTATTTGTGAAGTGTTCATTTACATAGATCTTCATATTTTTTGTAGTGAAACCTTACTATGTTGACTGGATTCATTAGTGGTAGAGATATTTATATTTCTATCCACAGCCTAAATTTCTTTGTACTTCCCATGGCTATTTCCCTGTAGCTAAGAGTCTCATGCTCTGTTAATATCTGTATTTGTTACAAATGCTTCTCCCTCCTAAAACTTTATCAAATAAATAGGAGTAGTAAATACTTCTTAAATACATAAGAATATATCCCACTAGTTACATATTTGTTTAGCTACATTTGCCAATTATTCTTATGTTTGTGACACAATCATTGGAGGAAAAAATATCCAATAGAAATAAAACTTGGCCAGGTGCGGTGGCTCACACCTGTCATCCCAATGCTTTGGGAGGCTTGAGATGGGAAAATGGCTTGAGGCCAAGAGTTCAAACCTGCAGTGAGCTATGATTGCACCACTGCACTCCAGGTTGGGTGACACATCAAGACTCTGTCTCTGAAAAAAAAATTTTGAAAAAATAAAAGAAATAAAATATTTTAAATTTAGTGAAGTAAATGAACGAGGGAATCCACCTGAGATACCCATCCCCCATTGGTCCCCAGGGCAGATAAGGTAGGTTTGACTGTGGGGTAATTCTTCTTTTCCTCCCACCATTCTGCATGTGTGCTTAACTACCTTATTAGAGGAAGGCAAGTCTTCAGTCAAGTGCATGTAATTGGTAAAGACTTTTATACATGATGTATGCTGGAAATAATGAAACAAAATATCACAACAATTTACTTTTATATCTATTTTCATTCCATCCAATGTGACATTCACATAAATAAGCTTACTAACTCAAATATCATTTTAAAAGTAAATGGAACACTCAAAATGAGCATCCTTATAGGCATACTGGGGAAGAATGGTTTTTGCTGTGCTAATGCCAGGTGGCTAATAGCTATCTTTAATGGTGGACGCAAGGTTAGTTTGCACTGACTAATTTGGCCAGGAAACATAAACCATTATGCATTTTTATGGATGATCTGGATGAAGGAATTGAGACTATGCTTCCAAATTATCCTGTAATATTAAATTAGGCAGAGTTACTACGTTCCAGAAGGCAGTCCTAAAACTGAAAATGACCTTGAAAAATAAAACTATCAGAAATGAAAGGTCCTAAAGAAAAAGGATGAAATCCTATATGAATGAGTAGAACCAAGGAATAGCCTACCAGAAGATTGAAAAAAATCAGCTAAGGACTGGCTATACAGTTGACTAAGAAGTAGCATTATCATTTTACCGAAAAAAGGTGCAGGAGATAATGGTGCTTAGAGTAAGGATAGAGCATACAAGGGGCAATGGGGGTGGAGGTGGAGTGGATACCAGGAGACCCCATTGTTTAAAGATACATTAATGCATTTTACTGATGTAAGTGGTAAAACCATGAGGGAAGGTGGGTTGGGGGAACCACTCACTAGGAGGACCCTCCTTTAACATCCTAACCTGCCTTGCCATGATCTGAGGAAGAAGAAAGAGAAGGAAGAGAACAAGAAGAAAAGAAAGAAGAATGCTTTCTTAACCAATCTTCTGAAAGCCAGTTTTCCCCTATGGTGATTCTTTTGTTGCAACTCCAGTGCTTCCTGTTTTGGCAGGGCCTATTTTGCCCTCAGTATTCCTTTCTCTGGTGCTCTTTCTTTTCCTCCTTCTACCAGCATGTTTTATGGGACTCCCCCAACCCTTCACTGAAAATGCACCCTCAAGGGTGGCTAGAGGTTAATTGACATTGTTGTGTTTTGTCAGATGCTACTCTGGGTTAGGCTTCTTTGGAGCTTAGCAATTGTTGATTACCACCACATTCTTCAGCCTCCCTCCCTCTTCAGAGCCTATGACATTGCAACACTCTCTCCTAACCTCTCCTTGTCTGTCCTTCATGGCTTCTTTATGGACCCAATCATGGGCTTCCCCAACATTTGTGCCCCAGATCCCTGCACCTCTCATTTTACACAATCTCAGAGAATTCATCAATTGCCATGGCTGTATACCAATCAACATTGGGCAGGGGGTAATTTTAATTGTTGTATAATTTCGAACTTACAGGAAAGTTTCAAAAATGGCACAAGGAGCTTCCATATATTCTTTGCAGAGTTGATAGCTGTTTACCATATGAAGGTAGGCTGAAGACATCATGCCCTTTTGCTCCTAAATAGTTCAATGTGTATCTCCTAAAAATAAGGATGAGTGTCTGTGGTACAGTTTTCAATTTCAGGAAAATTGATACAGTGCAATTATACAATCCACAGTCCATGTTAAATATCATCCATGGTCCCAATAATGTTCTTTATAGCTATTTTTTCCCTGCCAGTGATCACTGCTGTGCATAGGGCACTGACTTCTCTCTAGGCCATCTGTCCCACAGCACTACCTTCCAAATAAACATTTTTTACTGATGTCATCTTAAATTAAAAATGTCTAAAATGTGACTCATCATTTCCCCCCTAAAACAAATCATCCCCACCCCCATGTCTTTCTAATTCTTTTCAGTGTTATTATAACTCTCCTGGCCTTCCAGGCTTGAAGCTATGAATCATCTTTGGTTCTTTGTCCTCAGTTAGCTGTGTAAGTCCTTTATGTTCTTCCTGTGAAATGACTCTTTCATTCTGCATAAGCCTTTGTGCACTAATGCCCACTCATTCCACACATCAGACAAATTCTTCTGGTTACACTCATCTACCTGAAGGGCTCAGAAAAAGCTTGCAATGCTTGTCCTTCCTTAAGTAAACTCTGTCACAACTCTGTGTGTGTAGCACCGAATAGTGACCTAGCCAACAGTAACATATAGTAATTCACAAATCTGTTTCAATACACACTTTCTTCCCATTCCCACTAAATACATGTTGAAGAGAGATTTACCTATTATGTTAGGGTGTGGAAAACATAACTGTCTGCAACTCACGTATGCAGAGGAAATTTATCTAACTGATATTTGACCTTCTTCTGGAGCCCACCACCAGTGGGAAAACATAAGTTCTTCAATCCATTTAAAGCTTAGTCTGATGCCATAATTTAAATAGTTCTGCTTTCTATAGAAAGTGTTTAATCCCTCCTGAAGAAAACGCTCACTTTCTCAGAGATCCTCTCCCATCCTGTGTGTGCAGAGAAGAGCTAACATAGCAGAACTGAGACTACTATCCTTTCAAAGCCTGCTCACAATGTTGGTCCTTGATTGGCATCTAGAAACTTGGCTTTCAGGATAAGAATTCCCTGATTAGAATGACCCACTGTGGCTAAAATGTTTGTGCAAACAATATGTTTTATGCTGAACACCTGTTTCCTTCTGGGAGTCTGAAATTTTGGGACATGCTAGGCAGAGGCTGCCTACATGACCCAGCTCCCAGTAAAAACTCTGGGCACTGAGTCTGCAATTAGCTTTCCCAGCAGACAGCATGGCACAACTCACTGTTGGGGGATTTACACTCATCCTGTGTGACTCCACTGGGAGAGGACTCTTGGAAATTTGCACCTGGTTTCCTGTGGATGTCAGCCCATAGCCTTTGCTGATTTTGCTTTGTATCATTTTTATGTAATAAATCAAAACCATGAGTACAACTATACAGGTGGTCCCTGACTTACGATGGTTCAACTTACAATTTTTTGACTTTATGATGCATTTATTGGTATTAAATGCATTTCACCTTATGAGTTTATTTTTTACTTAGATGGGTTTATTGAGATGTAACTGCATTGCAAATTGAGGAGCGTCTGTATATAGGTGTGTGTGCATATACACCCACAGCTGTGAGTCCTCCTAGATCATCAAACCTGAGGTGGTATTGGGGACCCCAATACACCATACTCTTTTCTCCCCTGAAAAAAGTATATTTTTCTCTCCTCATGACTATTGTTTTACACTAGTATGAGCAGAGTGGGTTGTTTGCAGCAACAAGAATGCAGCTTTCCCTACAATGGCATCCAGATACATGAAGAGAAGGATGTGACTTAGCATCCTGATGCCAGAAGGGAGGAGGAGGGTTTTACGTGTGGTATTTTCTGCCTGTTCTGTTCTCTGAGGTGATATCCCTAGTCTACCTCATTGCTCTTTTCTTTGCTGGCATTAGTGGCCAAACTTTATAGACATTGTAACTGGCAATCTTTTTCTCTTTATCCTTGGGCTTGGTTGGAGCCCAGAAGGCCTGTCTGGGATGACTCAGCCTCATTTCCATTCCCATAGACACTGTACACCCCACAGACAACTTCTGTGACTCTTATGCAGCCCCAGCTCCAATGGTCGGCTCTGCAGCCCCTGTTAGTATCTTCCTCTGCAGACTTGCAGCTACCTTAGGATCTCATCCATGCCACAGGAAAACAAAAGTGGCTCAAGATTGATGAGTCTTAGTGGTTCCCTCTGTCTGACCATGCTAGTGAAAGGAAAGGGCCATCTGAGAGTTGATCTGTTTCAAGAGTTTCCAACAGAAATGGGGGCCAGGAAGCTGCTATGTATTTTTTTTTTATGCTTTAAGTATAAGGGTACATGTGCACAACGTGCAAGTTTGTTACATATGTATACATGTGCCATGTTGGTGTGCTGCACCTATTAACTCATCATTTACATTAGGTATATCTCCTAATGCTATCCCTCCCGCCTCCCTCCACTCCACAACAGGCCCCTGGTGTGTGATGTTCCCCTTCTTGTGTCCAAGTGTTCTTATTGTTCAATTCCCACCTATGAGTGAGAACATGTGGTGTTTGGTTTTGTTTTGTTTGGTTTTGGTTTTTTTTTTTTTGAGATGGAGTCTTGCTCTGTCGCCCAGGCTGGAGTGCAGTGGCGCGATCTTGGCTCACTGCAAGCTCCGCCCCCTGGGATCACGCCATTCTCCTGCCTCAGCCTCCCGAGTAGCTGGGAATACAGGTGCCCGCCACTACGCCCAGCTAAATTTTTGTATATTTAGTAGAGACGGGGTTTCACCGTGTTAGCTAGGATGGTCTCGATCTCCTGACCTCGTGATCCACCTGCCTCGGCCTCCCAAAGTGCTGGGATTACAGGCGTGAGCCACCGCGCCCGGCCGGTGTTTGGTTTTTTGTCCTTGCGATAATTTGCTCGGAATGATGGTTTCCAGCTTCATCTATATCCCTACAAAGGACATGAACTCATCCTTTTTATGGCTGCATAGTGTTCCACGGTGTATATGCGCCACATTTTCTTAATCCAGTCTATCATTGATGGACGTTTGGGTTGGTTCCAAGTCTTTGCTATTGTGAATAGTGCTGCAGTAACATACGTGTGCATGTGTCTTTATAGCAGCATGATTTATAATCCTTTGGGTATATGCCCAGTAATGAGGTGGCTGGGTCAAATGGTATTTCTAGTTCTAGATCCCTGAGGAATCGCCACACTGACTTCCACAATGGTTGAACTAGTTTACACTCCCACCAACAGTGTAAAAGTGTTCCTATTTCTCCACATCCTCTCCAGCACCTGTTGTTTCCTGACTTTTTAATGATCGCCATTCTAACTGGTGTGAGATGGTATCTCACTGTGGTTTTGATTCACATTTCTCTGATGGCCAATGATGACGAGCATTTTTTCATGTGTTTTATGGCTGCATAAATGTCTTCTTTTGAGAAGTGTCTGTTCATATCCTACAGAATGGGAAAAAATTTTTGCAATCTACTCATCTGACAAAGGGCTAATATCCAGAATCTACAAAGAGATCCTATGTATTTTTTGCCATCATTCTCATTCGTCTAGTGTAACATTCACTATTCAGGTCAAAGGGACTTTGCCTGATTAAAGCCCAGGGATGGGAAAATTGGCACATAATGTTGGCCCTTTCTGCTTTCCCTTCCCCTTTGTTTTTTTAATTCTCACAATTCTCTTGACAGGTTCTTCCCTATCTTCCTCCTCTTCATTTCAACTCTTCTCTAAGCCTTCATAGCAAAGGATATTTTCTCTACCCATTTGGAGAACTCTATAATCTCCCAGGTTTGATCATTGACATTCTAAAGTCCTCAAAACTGTGAGTGGGATTACAAGGATATTGTCTTGCTCAAAAATCCTATTTTGTATGTTAGAAGCTGGTATGACTTTTCTCTTTGGTTGGTGTTTTTCTGAAACAAAGTACAAATCGGTGGTTATATACATGGAAAGAGGAAAACACATGAATAATTTTCCAGTTATTACCCGCTTTATTGACTTGAGTGGTATACCAAACGACTTTCTTGTCCAGGATTCCCACAATACCAATTTTGCCTTGGTTCTGAGCTGCAGTCAATAGTAAGGTTTTTTAAGGTTGTTCTTGGTATACCTGTTTTTTTTTTTCTATTCTATTTCATGCTTTTTGTGTTAAACTTTGAAAAGCATACTCTCTCTGCTTTCTTATAATAATTATACCCTCTAGGTTTCTAGTAAGTTGTTCTAATTTTTGAATACCTGCCTTGTTCTCCTATTTCATGTTTGCATGTTTCTGATTCCTAGTTGTATGCTTTGTCACAAATTTCCTGTTTTCCTTCACTCCTACTTTTCATATACGCCCTGCTCCCTTGGTTTTGACCCATTTATTTCCTCTGATTCCAAGTACCTCAGTGTTCCAATATTGTAGATTATTCAGGTGTATGTTAGGATGCTTTTAATAAGATGTACAAAATCCAGCTCAAACTGGGTCAGACTATAAAAGCAATTTACTGGCTTCCATGTTCTAAAAAGTCAGACTTCAGGAAAGGATTGATATAGTAATGCTATTGTGTTTCTTACTGACTGTCAGATGTGACTTTTATGGTGTTGGTGTCATGCTAGATTGGTTATAGGAGAGCTGCAAACTGCACCCTGGGATAGATGCTTCTTCATTTATGTCCAATCGTGGAAAAAGAACTTCTTTCACATAAACCATTGAACAGAAGTCCTGGGCTTTAATCTGTTTGGACCAATTTAAGTCAAATGCCTAACACTGAACCTATTACTGTCATTGAGAATGAGATGCCACTATTCTGATTATCTTCAGCCAGTTAGATTCTGCTCCTAGACCTGGGACTGAGATCAGTCCTACCCAAACCACATCCCTGCTACACCCTGGAAAATGGGAGAAGCGGACTCATGGGTGAGCTGGAGCCAGCTCTTAACAGTTGCCATGAGCTTACTATGCTCACCTCTTCTTCAGTGTTCACTGACCTCACTCTGGTAACTTGAAGTTAGCCTTAGTGGGAGTATTTATGCCACAGAAATTGGCAAATATTACAATTTTAATTTTTTAGAGCTGGTTTACCAACACAGCACTGAGAATGAGAGGAACCCAATGTAACCAACATGGATTAACAGGCAACAGTCTCTTAACTAGTTTTTCTAATGTCAGAATTGCTTTTTCCAATGCATTTTTTTTGAGACAGGGTCTTGCTCTGTTGCCCAGGCTGGAGGGCAGTGTCATGATCATGGCTCACTGCAATCTCAGCTTCCTAGGCTTAAGTGATCCTCACACCTCAGCATCACGAGTAGCTGGGACTACAAGAACGTGTCATCATGCCCAGCTAATTTTTTATTTTATAGAGACGTGGTCTCACTGTGTTGCCCAGGCTGGTCTCAAACTCCTGGCCTCAAGTGATCCTCACACCTTGGCCTTCCAAAGTGTTGGGATTACAGGAGTGAGCCTCTGTGCCCGGCCCATTCTTTTTTTAATAACAGCTTCACTGAGATATAATTTCACATACTATAACACTCACCCTTTTAAAGTGTACAATTCAGTGTTTTTTTAGTATATTTATGGGATTGTACAATCACCACCACAATCAATTTCAGGACATTTTTGTCACCCCAGGAAACTCAGTATCTATTAACAGTCACTCCCCATTCCTTCCCATCATCCCATTCCTGTCAATCACCAGTATACTTTTCTGTGTCTGTGAATCTGCCTATTCTGCACACTTAATACAAGAAGTTGTACAATATGTGGTTTCGCTTCTTAGCATAATGTTTTCAGGGTCTTTCAATTCTGTAGCATGTATCGGTATTTTATTCCTTTTGTTGACAAATAATATTTTATTGTATGTCTAGACCGTGTTTGTTTATTCATGTAATTGATGACATGTGAATGATTGAGATCCAATTCTAATCACTGTTTCAGTATCCAGTTTTTTCCTCCTCTAGTCTTTAATGCTTCTGCTACCAGAATCACTTTCCTAGAACAGCACATTTCATCTTGTCACTCACCTCATAAAAATCCTTCTCTCTGCCTATGAAATGCTGAAGGAGCCCATAGACGCTGTATTTGAGGCTCTCTTCAGTTTGACTGCAGCAGGGATGGGAATGAGAAGATCTCACCTCCCTTTGAGGGAACATTTTGGCCAGTGATGCTCAAATCTCATTTAAAGGACCTCTATTTGACCTACCCACCAAGCAACCAACCATAACACCTGAAGAAATAGCCCGAATGACAAAAGCAAAAGCCCAAACTACACAGAACAGTGACACAGATATTATGTAGCTCTGCAATTTTATAGTTGATATTTATTTTCATCTCTTAATTGATAAAGGTTTTGTTAGGGTTCTGGAGGGATAATGAGTTTTATAGTCAGATAGATCTAATCTGTAGTCCTGGCTTAGTCGCTTATTACTGACTTTCTTTAAATTCTCTCCTGAGATTTTAAGCAAATCATCATTTCTACCTGTAAAGTGGGTGTAATAATTCATACCTCAGAGCCCAGTTATGGATTAAAAAATATAAACACTCAATACTTGTGCCTAACCCATAATAGGCACTCAATAAATACATGGACACTATTAAGGTTGAATATATGATGATAATTTTCAATTATTTTTGACAAAACCCATCTAAGATTGTAACTATTTTGGTGTTCTTTCATTGTTTTATAGCTTTGGTGATTTAATTTCAACATTGTCCTAGTGCTTTAAAATTAGAGCCAATTTAAAGCAGAAATTAGATAATCAGTTAAAAGTCTTTATGTTCCATGTCTGCCATTACCCTTGGTGTAATCGGAAAGAATCAATATATCTTTTGGGAAATAGTCAATGATAATATCTTGTTTTATTACAATGAAGCTTTTCTGAAGTGGCCTAAGGATAAACATCTTAAACACTACACTGGGTTATGTTGAGGTAAATTCTTACAGCAATGTGTCAGAGCTTGGCATTTACCAGTGTCATGGGAAGTATGACTTGGTAACAATTATTAAAGATATAACCCAAGATATTATTCTTTGCAATGGTTATAACATATTTTTAAAAGGTGTTGAATTGTAATTAAATTATAATTGTTTTGGTCTATATATATGATCATAAAATTTAAATTGTTCTTTATGCTGTGTATTTGTGGTTTAGAAAAATTTTACATGTGTGGTAACTTTTTAGTTTTATAAACAACCATGAATTATATTCTTTTTTTGGGCTTTGAAGTAATTATGAATGCAATAGCCATTTTTTTAACTGAAACATTTGCTATTTGAGAGAACAAATTAATCAATTGTTAAAAATTAACCTTCAATCATAAGAATAATATATGAAAAATAAACTTTTGAAGATTACTTCTTTTTACATACTTCAGTTATTAAATATTATTTCTCTTTTTTCCCCCATAGGCTTATCCCTGTCAAGATGATTATTCCATAGTCCACAGAAAATGCCGTTCTCAGTTCACGGATCTAAATGGTTCTAAAAGATTTGGCATCAACACTTGGCATGATGAGAGTGGGATTTATGCTAATTCAGATGTAAAACAGAAACTCTATCCCTTGACTAGTGGGCCTATTGTGCCAATTTAAAAATAATGTATAGAATCAGCATCTCTGACTAATGAAAAATGGATGTAGCAGTTGATGATTTTCTATCTTAATAAATGCAATGGAAGTGTTACTATAGTAGATTCCTTTAAGCAGAAAGTCTTATTTTCTGGACCAGTGTTTATATCCTTATTTTCATAAGCTACTCTGGTATTTTCCGAAGTTTATTGTGTGTCTTGCTGAGAGCATGCTACACAATTCTAGATGGTATTTAGTGAAACATTATTTTATGGATTATGTATTTGTTTTAATAATTATTAGAAAAACACATAAAACTAGCACAGTCAAGGTTATGATTGCTTAGGGTGTGGCTAATTATAAAAAAGTAGGCCAACTTAAATTCCACAGAAGACAAATTTTAAGTGAATAAATATATAGGTTGACATAAAACTCAAATGGCCAAAGTTTAGGCAACACTGGCCCTATAATAATGCTGAGTATGTATGTGATTTTTTTTTGAGGGGGAAATTGGTATCTATAAATTTCTATTTATCTGTGGTAGCTAGTTTCATTGTGGATTATTTATTTTGCATGACATTTTTCCTTATTCAAGTTAAGACCTTTTGAGTATATGGATAGCAGAGGTGCAGATAGAATCTTTGTGAAACTCTAGGGGTTTGATGGGAAATCTAGTCATCTAGTGTTAGATTTGGAAGAAATCTTAGCCATTGTTTTGACTTACCCTCACATTTTACAGATGAGCAAACAGAGGTCCATGGAGATTTAAGTAGTCTGCTGTATTGGTCAGCTGGGTCTACCGTAACAAAATACCATAGACTGGGTGGCTTAGACAACAAAGAAGTCTGCAAGCCAGGAAGACAGCCATCACCAGAAATAAACCCTGCCAGAACCTTGATCTTGGACTTTTCAGCCTCCAAAACCATGCAAAAATAAATTTCTGTAAAATAAGAAGGTGAGTCAAAACAATTGCTAAGATTGTTACCTTCTTGCCCTGTTCTTGCATGGCAGGAGGGGGATGGGGGTGGCGGACCTCTTTCGCTTCCTCTTCATGTAAGGCTACAGTTTTATTTGATTAGACCCCCACTCTTATGTCCTCATTTAACCTGAATTACCTCCTAAAGACCCTATCTTCAGATAGCCACATTGGGTGTAAGGGCTTTGACATATAAATCTGGGGAGAACAGAATTCAGTTCATAGCTGTTGCCCAGGGTTATAGGAGTAGCAGATTCTGATGGATCTTTGAGGTGCATTTGAAAACTTTTATTTCTTCTGAGGATGTATTTAATTATTTGGCCAACTTGGGCTTCATTTACTTATTTTTCTTTAAAAAATAACATTCACGAACTAGCATTTCATGATAAATGCTAATTGAACACTGCCTCTAGTGCTGGATTCACAAGATATAAAAAAGACTATAAGCTTTTTGATGACAGAAATGATAATTAATATAGAAAATGTGATATACCAGGTAAGCATGTGCCAGAAGAATCTTACTATAATTTCCTGCTGCTTTAAAATGTGTGTCCATATGCACACAAATACGTATATTATATATGCTAATTATGTATATTACATATACATTAAGTATAATATAGTCTATATAAATGTTAATTCATTATGTAGTACTTATTCTAGTAGATATCTACCTAGGATTACCTTTCCTTCCACTTACTATACATCCAAGTTTAACCATTCCTAACACTAATATATCTGGGGTGAAGAGCTATTTGAAGTATGCAAATCTGGATGTCAAGCCACTCATCATTTAATAATTTCTTTTTGTGGAGAAAAAGTTTTAATGGCCACATCATTACCTTTGAACACTGCCTGGTGCCTAGAACATAAAATAAGATTCACTTACTTTAGCAGAAATGTTATACTGTCACGATGACTAACATGACATTTTGTATAAACGACTAGGTCTGCTATTAGGGATCACCTTATAAATCAGTTTGGGTTTGGGTTAGAAGGAGAATGAAATAAGAGAGATTGTATTTAAACTAGCCTAGGAAAATGGTGCACTGAAATAAAGGTTACTGCAGGGGTTTTCCCCATGACAAGCATTACGTTGCCTTCAGTGAGTGAATGAGTGAATGTTGGACTCAATGAACTCTACGTTATTCTAACAACTTGATCTTTTAGGTAAAAATATTTTATATTGAGGTAAGCACTTCAATGGTTCATCTCACCAGCATCAAAGACCACTTCAAATAAGACAAGCTGGAATTCAGATTTCATTGTTGGATAATGTCCTCTGTGGGAAGTGACTACACTGTCTCCTGACTGGTCCATGTGTATGTGTCATAGAACCCCACTTAAGACCCCAAAATCACACTATATCTTTTGTGTTTACAAAGTTAATAAGATCTGTATCTACATCAATATCTCATTCAAATGAAACCTCAAAATCACACCCGAGAACCCAAAATCACACTATATCTTTCATGTTTATAAAGTTAGTGAGATCCATTTCTACAGCAATATCTCTTTCAAATGTACACAGCATCTCTCTTTTGGCCTTTATGCATTGCTGTGTCAGAGACATTGGTGTGAGCCCACCACGGCAGGGGGCAGACTGCTGGGAGAATGAGAGAATGTTGAGCAGATCCTAAGCAGATATATCAAAGAGGGGGTCTCTGAGTTAAGTTTGACCTACATGTAAGTTTTATGTGGTCTGCACAGTGTGTTTAAAAATTAATTTTAAAAAATAGAACCAAACTTTATTAATTAAGACATTTTACTTAAAAATCAGGATTTCTACTCCCTTGAAAGTCTGGCAGATCTGGCACCACTTGGCCACATTTTCACGCAGTAACAATCAGCAGGGGTATGAGGGAGGGCGGGGTCTCTTTAGATGGACGCTAAGTTCACTGTTTTGCTGCAATTTCCACCTGGCACACTTCACTCCACTGTGGAGGCATTATGACCCCCTCCCTAGGGAGAGATGAGACAATGTGAAATAGTAGGGGGAAGGAATGGTAGAAAAGCAGCAAACTGGCAGCTCTGGTGACTGGCGTTAGGATGAAGAAGGCAGAGGCTGCATCCTGATAGTGGGGATATAGCACATCTGGTTCAGTTCAAGTCAAAATCAAGATCCCAGCCTAGATAGAATGTAGAGATGGGGAGTGGGTCAAGGACTTTGCTTTATAAATATAGAATAGAGAATCCTCAGCTCAACCTCAATCCTCAGCGTATATTAGGAACACATTTGAGATGAGGTAAGAAGTGAGGGTACCAGGCCCAAACCCTAGGATATGACACTGGCAGATCAAGACAAGAGGCAGGGCCAAGCCAGCTCAGTGGTTTGTTTATAAAGGAAAGTCACTCCATGGACACCAGTGCTCCAGAGGTGCAGAAAAATTCCAGATTTGTGAAAACGCTAAGAAAAAATGGTGAAGTCTTTTTGTGGGACATAGAATGTAGGTGGCGGGCTGGGAGAGGCCATGGAAGTGCCTGGCACAGCCACTGTCAAGAATAGAGCAGCAGGAAAATTCTTTCATAAAGATGTACAGATCAGAAGCTAACTTTATTTCAGACAGAGCAGCAGGGAAGTTTGCAGATAGCTGGAAGCTCACTCCAAATAGCAGAGAACAAGTATGAGGCAGCCATTGTAAACCAAAGTAGAAAATCTAAGCAAAATCTAACACAGTAAATTATCGTTCCAAATATTAATATCATAACTTTAAAAAAATGTTTAACAGCTTTATTGGGATATGATTCACATATTATACAATTCAACCCATTAAAGCATATAATTCAATGGTTGTTAGTATATTCACAGAATTCTGCTATTATCACCACAATCAATTTTAGAACATTTTTATCACTCCTGAAAGAAATCCATATCCATTGGTGGTCATTTTCCATTCCCTCCCAATTCCCACAGTCCTAAGCAACCAAGAATCTACTTTCTGCCTCTGCAGATTTACCTATTTTGGATCTTTTCTGTAAGTAGAATCTTACAATATGTGGTCTTTTGTGACTGGTTTCTTTCACTTTCCATAGTGTTTTCAAGGTTCATCCATGTTGTAACATCTATCAGCACTTCATTCCTTTTTGGATGAATAATATTCCATTGTATAGATATACCACGATTTATCCATTCATTAGTTGATGGACATTTGGGTTGGTTCCACCTATGAACATTCATGTATGAGTTTTTGCATGCATCTCTCTTGGACATTGTGATGGTTAATATTGAGTGTCAACTTGATTGAATTGAAGGATGCAAATTATTGTTCCTGGGTGTGTCTGTGAGGGTGTTGCCAAAGGAGATTAACATTTGAGTCGGTGGGCTGGGAGAGCCATACTCACCCTCAATCTGGGTGGGCACCATCTAATCAGCTATCAGCACAGCCAGGATAAAAGGCAGAAGAACGTGGAAAGACTAGACTGACTTTGTCTTCTGGTCTACATCTTTCTCCCATGCTGGATGTTTCCTGTCCTCAAACATCGGACTCCAAGTCCTTCAGCTTTGGGATTCTTGGACCTTTGACCACAGACTGAAGGCTGCACTGTTGGCTTCCTTACTTTTGAGGTTTTGGGATTTAGATTGACTTCCTTGCTCCTCAGCTTGCAGACGGCCTATTATGGGACTTAACCTTGTGATTGTGTGAGTCAATTCTCCTTAATAAACTCCCTTTTATATATATATCTATCATACATCTATCCTATTAGTTGTATCACTCCAGGGAACCCTGACTAATACAGACATGTACCTAGGAGTAGAATTGCTGTGTCATATGGTAACTGTATGTTTAACCTTTTGAGGAACTACCAAACTATTTTCTAAAGTAGTGCACCATTTTACATTTCTACCAGCAATGTATGAAGGTTACAATTTTTCCATATCCTTGCCAATGTTTGTTATTTTTCATTGTTTTGATTGAAACCAGTTTGTGAAATGGCCGTTTCACAAAACATGAGTTCTTGAAGAGTGGAGACTATATCTGCTCATCTGGGGGTTACCAATGTCTAATACACAGTGAGCACTCAGAAATGCTGAAGGGTTGGTATAAATATGTTTGTCATAATCATATCTTAATATGAGTGAATGCTTGGGTAATTGATAAAAATGCAATCTGTATGATTGGAATGGCCTTGTTTAAAAATATTCTGATATTTAGCACATTTGTCCTACTAAGGGCTTCAATGGTAATCTTGTGAAATTGGAGGAGTTGGCAAAATTGGCCTAAGAAAATGTTATGTCCTGTATGGAAAACGTGAGTTTGCCAGAGCATCCATGGAACTGACTAAAATCCTCCTTAAAGTAAAGTAATGATTGCTGGCCAACCAGAGCACCAATCAGAATAAACCTTGCATATTCAAATACTAAAGACCCTGAGAAATTCTGTAGAACAGAAAGCAGTTAAATTCTATTTAATCCAGCATTTCCCAGGCTTATTTCATCAAAGAATCATTTCTTCTTGCAGGAGATATCTATAAATATATCCCAAGATATTAGTATTTCAGGGAAAACATTAGGGAAAACATTAATCTAAGCAATTTCTAAATAAGGATGAAGGACAAAATAAATATTTGTTGAGTGGCTACTAAGTACCACATACACAGGTGAAGTAGATTTTATAAAATCCCAGTTCTACTGCTAAGAAAAAAAATTCTAAATACCTCTTTCAGTCAACAGATTTAGACAGAACCCCAACTTCATGATGATGAAATACAGTACAAATTTATCTTAACAGTTATTGTGATTGGCATGTACATATTCTCTATTCTCTTCCTTATCTTTCTAAACAAAGAGGAATGGCTAACTCCCTCTACTTTAAATTCTCAGAGCTACTTATGTTACATTTTCCTGTAAGGTTTTCATTAAGTACCAATAGAACTTATGGTCTATAGTTTCACTTATCATTTTAATGTAGGCCGAATTGAGTATTTGTAGGTTATAATTATTTTATTCTATAGGGTAAGAGCAGGCTAAAGGCTTAATAAGAGACCTTTTACCATAACAATTAATGTGTTGGATTCACATAGGTGCCTAATAAGTGTTCATTTATGAGAATATAAGATTCTATGCAATAGGTTCTTAATCTCAAGAACTATCAGGAAAAATTTGCGTTTTTATGTAATGTAACATAAATGTAATTAAACTTAATTTAAGTCTATAGAAATAGGTAGAATCACTAAGTAGGAAAACAAATAGAATGGGATAACCTGAAGCAAAGTTAGAGAGATTTGGAAGAGGAGAAATTTACATTGTAATTGAAAAATGAGGAGAGATAAAGAATGAATTAAAGTGAAAGTATTTTTCAATATTGTATTCTTTGCATGCATTTGATTAACATTTTTATTAAAAATTTATTCAAAATCCCAATAGATTTAATTTAGGCAGTATATTGACAAGATAGTTGATATGACACTGATCATTAACAAGGTGACTAGGTTGTTTTTATGAAACCAATAATTGGTCACAGAAAAGCCCTTAGTCATGACTTAAAAAAAACAAACTGCACAGCATATATAGTGGCTTTTTAAAAGTTAAAGTACCCAAACAAAGAAATATTTCTAAACACCCAAGCAAATGTTGAAATCTGAAACATTTTTCTATTGAAGCCAACTGAAGAAAATAACATGGGGAAACCAAAAACTAAAAAGCATTTCTTTTCAAGATGCCTCTTTCTATACATCGTTTAAAATCCAGCAGAGTGTATATAAAGCTCTTTTATAAAGCAGGAAGGTAGAAAAAGAAGCTGTTGGCATTTCTGGTTTTTATTGAATAATTGCAAGAAAGTGGCTGTGAAGGAAGAGAAAAAAACTCAAGGAAATGGGTAGGTGAAAAACACAATAAGACAATCAAATAAAGAAAATGAAATGAGTGTGGGGGCAGATTTAATGCCTCGCACTTCAGAGAAATCAGGTGGAGAAACTTATCTCATGAGCTAGCCAAACAGATGGCATATTAGAGAATCCTGGGTTTCTCTGAAGATGGGATTACCTTAATTGAAGTCCTGGGGTAGGGGCAGGAGTTTTTCTCAGTAGAGAATAAGCAGATTGTCTCCCTTCTCTAATGCTGCCAAGGAAAGGTAGAGGAGGTGATTACTCATGGAAAAATATCAATGATGCATTTTTTTTTACATTTCTAGACTTTTAGAACTTAACAGTAGAAAATGTGCATTGGCTACTCAGCTTGAGGTGATGCCTGACTCAATAAAAGTGTCTGTGGCACCAGGGCTCCTTGGAGAAATAGTTGATTCTATGGTGCGGCCAGGAATATACACAATGAGCCTGGAGCACCTTGTAGTTCCAGAAAGTAAACACGCACAACAGACAGACAGACACACACACACGGAATATGATGAAGATATGTCAAAGGGACATGAGTCAAAAGAAAGAGCTTCAAATGGCCCATACTGATATAAATAAATAATTGAATAAATAGATAAATGAGGAGAATGGACACATCTTCCATGCAGAAGAATCCTGAACAATTTATGTAACTACTCTACCCTTGGAAGAGTGGAGCTCCCCTTAACTCTCAATTTGTTAAGTGTAGGCTGTACATAGCGACTTTCTTCCAAAAAGTACCATATAAAGATGGAAGAATAAGAGTAATGACAGTGGAGGTTCCTAACACTACCTTAGCCAGGTGACCAAGGTCAACATCAACAGTGATCAGCCATATTGCTAGTATGTACCCTTGACATGGTGTGATGAGAATGGCACTTTACCTCTGTGGTAAAGCTCCTATCTAGTCATGAGAAAAACATCAGATAAATTCCAGGTGAAGGACATTCTACAAAATATCCAACTAGTCTTCCTTAAAACTTTCAAAGTCATTAAAAACAAGGACAGTATGAGAAATTGTCACAGCCTAGAGGAGCCTGAGGACATGTGATAACTAAATGTAAGGTGATATCTTGCATGGGGTGCTGGGACAGAAAAAGGACATTACGTAAAAACTAAGGACATTTGAAAAAAGCATGGACTTTAGTTAATAGTAATGCGTCAACATTAGTTCTTTAATTGTGACAAATGTGCCAAACTAATGCTAATAATAGGGTGATATGGTTTGAATCTGTTTCCCCACCAAATCTCACATCGAATTTTAATCCCCAGTGTTGGAGGTAGGGCCTGGTGGGAGGTGATTGGATGGTGGGGGCTGTTTCTCATGAATGGTTTGGCACCATCCCCTTAGTGCTATTGCCGTGATACTGAGTGAGTGAGTTCTCACGAGATCTGGTTGTTTAAGAGTGTGTAGCGTCCCCCCCACCCCTTCTGCCTCCTGCTCCAGCCATGTGAGGTACCGGCTCCCCTTTCGCCTTCTGCTATGATTTTAAGTTTCCTGAGGCCTCCCCAGAAGCCAGGCAGATGCCACCATGCTTCCTGTGCAGCCTGCAGAACCGTGAGCCAATTAAACTTCTTTTCTTTGTAAATTACCCAGTCTTAGGCATCTCTTAAGAGCAATTCAAGAACGGACTAATACCCAGGGAAAACTGGGTGAGAGGTATATGGAAATTCTGTACTATCTTCACAACTGTTCAGGAAATCTCAAACCATTCTAAAACTGAAAGTTTATTTAAACATTAAAAAATGTTTGTGATAAATGCTAGCACCTGAAGATTCTGGCTGAGAAATTGTTACAGAGATGTGATATCTGATATTGATAGCCTAGCCTTGTGATGTGAAACTTGTTTTTCCATAAATTAATCTACTTGCATGAAATATCTTGTTTTTTACATGGTGAATATACTTCTATATAAATTCAGCAACAGCAGTTCTAAAAAAAATCTGGTAGAAAAAAAGTCAAGAGGTAGTTGGAGTCCACAGGTGCAAAAAATACTATGCGATTTCATTTATTAAAAGTTCAAAGCAGGGCACAGTGGCTCATGCCTGTAATCCCAGCACTTTGGGAGGCCGAGGCAGGCAGATCACGAGGTCAGGAGTTCAAGACCATCTTGGCCAACATGGTGAAACCCCATCTCTACTAAAAATACGAAAAAATTAGCCGGGCGTGGTGGCAGGCGCCTGTAACCCCAGCTGTTCAAGAAGCTGAGGCAGGAGAATCGCTTGAGCCGGTGGGGGAGGGGGGGGGCCCGGAGGTTGCAGTGAGCTGAGATCTTGCCACTGCACTCCAGCCTGGAAGACAGAGTGAGACCCCATCACCAAAAAAAAAAAAAAAAAAAAAAAAAAAAAAAAAAAAAAATTCAAAGCATATACTTAAGGTGAAACTAATCTAGAATGTTAGAGGTTGAAACGGTGATTATCTTTGGAAGGTATGACTGGGAGAGCCACTAAGGCTGCTTCAGGGAGATACTGCTCTTTTTCTTGGACTAAGTGGTAGTTCATTTTGTAAAAATTTATTGGGCTGTAAGCTTACGATTTGTTCACTTTTCCATATGTGTATTATACTTCGAAAAGAAAGTTTATTAAAGAAAACAAATGTGCTTTTTGGCCGGACGCGGTAGCTCACACCTGTAATCCCAGCACTTTGGGAGGCCGAGGCAGGCGGATCATGAGATCAGGAGATTGAGACCATCCTGGCTAACACGGTGAAACCCTGTCTCTACTAAAAATACAAAAAAAAAAAAAAAAAAAAAAAAAGAATTAGCCAGGCATGGTGGCAGGCACCTGTAGTCCCAGCTACTCGGGAGGCTGAGGCAGGAGAATGGTGTGAACCCAGGAGGCGGAGCTTGCAGTGACCCGAGATGGCAACACTGCACTCCAGCCTGGGCGACAGAGTGAGATTCTGTCTCAACAAAAACAACAAAAGAAAACAAATGTGCTTTTTGACATTTATTTAAATATGGTCCGCAAATGGGTTTTGGATAGTAAACACTTTTCACAGTTGAGGACCTCGCAGTGCTGTGTTGCTATTAGAAAAGTATGTTGTCCGTTTATTCCCTCGTTCCACAAGTATTTATTAAACACCCAGGACTGGCACCAGGAAAGGATTGGCCTGTCTCTAAAACAATAGATTATATGGGAAATAGACCTACTAACTGAAAACTGTAATATGTTAGATAGTGTTATAATACATATGTGTGAAGATGCAGGGGGATTCTAGAAATGTGCTTCAGTTTCTTGGGGAATATCAGAGAAGGCTTCTCAGTAAAGAGGGGCACTAGAGTTAATACATGAAAAACAAAGAGTACATATTTGGCCAAAAGGAAGTGGGTGTGGGTACAGGGGGACAAGAAGGGATGAGGAGGGAATTGCAGACAGAGGTCATGGCTAGAGAAAGGTGGCAGAGGCAGGGTACCTTTTGGAAAGTTCCTGAAGTTTGGGAGAGTGGCAGGGAGTAGGGGGAGCTGAGGTCATAGATGAAGGTAAGAGCCACATTGTGAAAGGCCGTGAAGAAAAAAAGACTTTATCCAGGAGGTGATGAGCTTTAGGAAGTTGAGTAACCCGACAGAACTATGATTAGAAAGATAACTCAAAGGTGGTGTAGAGGAATACTTGAAGGGAACAGGGCTGGAAGTAGGAAGAACAGCAAGGATGCTACCATAAGAGTACAAGAGAGATGGCGGCAGCATAGACAAAGCAGCAGACAGATGTTTGAGCCTGAGACTGGTCAGGTCTCAGTGACTAATTAGATGGGGAGGGGCCCGGTGGGTGCCTATGATTACATCAATGGTACCATGAATAATGACAGAGAACACTGAAGGAAAACTGGGAATGGGAAGGAAGAAGAGTTCCATTTGGAATATGTTAACTTCGGAACATCCAGGTGGGGACATCTAGCAGGTAGTTGGACATAATGGGAATGAAGCCCAGTAGGATGATCTGGAGCTATGAGAGTTCTCTTGGTAGATACAAAGGGAGGTCTGAGTTTACTAACGAAGAGTAAGTGTAGTGAGAAGATCATTGCAGACAAGGCTGTGTAGAATAAAGTGCTGAAGAGTTGGAGCTGTCAGAGGGTAGCTCAAGTGCTTCACCATCCATGGGTCCAACTCCATAAGAAGGACAACCGGGTCAACTCGGGTATGTAGAGTGGCCAAGGGACTGTAGGTCCTAGTGTGGTGGAATTATGAGATTCAGAGTAGTGAGGAAGTGAGAAAACCAAGAGGATGTGAGCCTGTGATGAGACAGCATGTAAACCAAGTTTAAGATTTCAGGCTGAGCCAGTTCTGACTTATAAATAGAATGGGGCATATAAATTCCATGAGGACATGAGCATTCTGCTTTCATATCCCCAGTAGGTAGGATAGAGTATGACATATGGTAGATGCTCAATAAATATTTGATCAGTGAATGAATAAATGAATGACGTATTGCTGAAGTAGACTGAATTGAAAGTTAATAAAATGGATGAGGTCAAGGAAATCTTTGGAAATTCTTAGAAAACTTCAATAGGTGACTTTGATTTGTGTTTAGGAATACATATTTCACATCTTCCCTTGTGGAAAGCAAATTAATAGGTATACTCAGGAGATTACTATTGCATGGGATATGATCATATTCAGGAAACATCTTTCACTACTTCCCGCCTTAGAGAAAATGAATTTACATAATATGTAAATGTCTATATTACATTCTAATTAACAATATTCTATTTTGAGGATTTTACCAGACTACCACTTGAAAATGTTTCATGTGAGATTATGTAATATCACCTATGATGTAGTCTAGCTAAACGTTTAACTTGAATACCTTGAGCTGTTAGTTCTTGTAGTTTATAGGAAACACAAAGGATATAACAGTAAACTAAATGGTACCACAAGGAAACAGCCAGACAGATTGAGAAGATGGGACATTATGTAGGACAATTGGCCAGTTTATTTAACAAGTCAGTGAGGTTTAGAAGGACAAAAAGGAATTCTGCTAGATTAGAAGAGGAAGCCTGGATCACATTGTTGTTTGGAGAAAGCAATTGTAAAAGAATTCTGTGACTATTGAAGTTATTAGACTATGGACTAGGTATGAGAAAAATGAAAATTTACTGATGTGGAAAGATGTAGATCATCAGTGAGTAAAGCAGAATATAAAACATTATGTGCAATAGAATTTTGACAAAAATATCATTTATGTTTATAAACATATAAAAAAGACCTGAAAGGATGTGTAATAAGCTTTTAAAGGGCTACTGTCTGGTTTGTGGGAACATGATATTTTCATTTTCTTATTCTTGTTTATCTGTATTTTCTAGCTTCTACAATGCCTTTGTATTTCTTTGAAATATTAAAAGGTTTTTTTTGTTTAAAAAATTAAAACGAAAAGAAACTGGAAATGACGTTTAGAAAGAATACATTTATTCTAAACACTACAAGAGAATGAAATAACTTCCTGTTTTAGTTTGCTACAGCTACTGTAACAAAGTGCCACAAACCAAGCAGCTTAAACAACAGAAATTTGTCTCACAGTTCTGGAGGCCAGAAGTTTGAGATCTAGCTGTCAGCAGGTTTTTCTGCTGAGGGTGTGAGGAAGACTCTGTTCCATGCCTCTCTTGAGCTTTGGTGGTGTGTGGCATCACCCGGATCTCTGCCTTCCTCATCACATGGCGTTCTCCCTGTGCGCGTGTCCGTGCCCAAATTCCCCCTTGTTATAAGGACACCAGTCACATTGGATTAGGGATCCTCCCCACTTCTGTATGACCTCGTCTTAACCAGTTACATCTCCAAGTCCCTATTTCCAAATAAGGCCACATTTCGAGGCATTGGGGGTTAGGACTTCAACATATGACTTTTAGAGGGGACATAGGGGACACAATTCAACTCATAAGAGTTCCCAAGAGATGAGTCCTCATGATTTAAAAGTGTATAAACTTCCCTACACAAGGGAATGAAGCCTACAGTCCATAAGCTGCTTTCTCTCTCTCATAATCAACACGAAATGCTTTTTTTTTTTTGAAGACAGGGATCTTGCTGATTGCCCAGGCTGGATTGCAGGGGTGTGATATTGGCTCACTGTAACCTCTGCCTCCTGGGCTCAAGTGATCCCTCCACTTAAACCTCCCTAGTAGCTGGGACCACAGGCGTGCACCACCACGCCCGGCTAATTTTTGTATTTTAGTGGAGACGGGGTTTCACAGTGTTGGCCAGGTTGGTCTTGAACTCCTGGCCTCAGGTGATCTGCTTGCCTTGGCCTCTCAAAGTGCTGGGATTACAGGCGTCAGCCACCTCGCCCAGGCATAATTTTTTACTTTTTGTAGAGATGGGGTTCCGCCATCTTGCCTAGGCTGGTCTCAACCAAAATGCTATTCTTAATGGACTTTTCTCTTGACCTGTAAGCAGTGCACAATGAAGAACTAATAAAAATATCCTCACTTTAAGAAATAACTAAGCTGTAGTAACACCTTCAGAGATCTGTATGTTTTATTTGAATTTGAACTCAGATAACCACAGGCTAAAACATTTAATAAAACTGCTACCACTTCTGATGAAATAAATAGAGAAGGGTAAAGAAAAATATCTCTTACTGAGAAAAAGCTTTTGGAGAATTAGTGTTGGTCTCATAAACAGTTTTTACTTATGTAAGACCCAGAAATGAGGATTCTGTATCAAAATACAAGTTTTCTCTTTCTAGATGCAGCAAACAGTGCCACGGAATAAACTGTGGTCTGGTTAATGTTTAAATCTGGCTCCCTCTACTGGAGGATGTGAGTTTTCTCCTTTCTTTTTAACTGGAGGTCCAAAAAGCATACACTGTACAGGATAGGGGTTCACAGCTCAGGGGTTTCCATTCTTCACTACATATATAGACATTGCCTCATTGACTGGCTTGTGGTTTGTAATAAGAAAAAATGTGTAAATCTCACTGTTGATAAGTCAGCCACCACATCCCTGCTACCTTCTACTTCAGAGATAAAATTTAACTCAGATCTTAAGACAAATAAGAACATGAACTTGACATTCAATCTTCCCCATGTTGGGACATAGACTGCTGATCTGAATTTAGGCTTTTAGAGCTAGAATAAATCCCGAGAGATCCTACAATCCAATTCTTCATTTTCCTGATGAGAAAATATATGTGCAGAGAGAGGAAGTGATTTCCTCAAATTATGCAATGTCGAGATCTTCAATGTGAATATAATCACAAATTGCACACGATGTACTTCTCTAACGTTTTATAGCATTTAGGGCATCAACTCAAGTTAATAAATATTTCTAGATTGCCTACTGTGTGTCAGACACGAAGAGATATACAAAGATGTGTGAGATGTGATTTTTGCTCCTTCAAGAGCTTATTGTTAATTAAATTATATGAAGGATAATTCCAGGTGCTGCCAGGTCTGCAACTCCAAATGGCCAATTAAATGATATTTCCCACATTAATAAGTACTGATTCTTGACAGATGATTGATCATTTCTTTGCACAGCCAATCTTCTTGATTAGGTCTTGGTGCCAATAGAGCTGCTTTGGGGTTTGATTGTTTTTCTGAACTGGAAATTGGTGACTTTGAATGGAGTTGGGGAGTGATATGTGTGTTGGGGTAGAGTTTCAAATTTTTGTTTTTATTGCTCCTGTATAAATGACTTTGGATCATTCCTGGTAAATGACTTAAAGTTGCTTTTGAATAGAAATGTCCAAACACATCTGAGTATCTGGTTCTATTTTTGTTGGTCCAGCTGTCCCAGCCTTAAACCCATCTCGCAGTGCTAAGATGCCCACGCAAATCTTTTGCGATCAACTCGGTGCATTACTTTTATCTGCCCACGGTAGTAACACGATCCTTATATGCCTGTATGTGAATACGGACAACTAGTAAGGATAGAGAGAGAAAGAGAGAGAGAGGGGGAGACCCTAAAGCCATTGTGACTTTATTGTTTGAACCACTCTATGCTTATTCAGCTCTGCCGTTTGCCAGCTGTGTCACCTTGAGAAAGTTACTTAACCTCTTTGTGCCTCACATACCTCATAGGTAGTTGTGATGATTAATGTATTAATATACATGAAGCATTTAGAACAGATTCTAGTACATAATAAGCATGTATATGACTTCATTGACATTATTACTTGATTTGTACGTGCAAGGAAAACTAATATGGTGTTTATAAATTCAAAAAAGTTTCAAAAGGTGATTTACAAAATGGGAGCCATCTAGATTAATACTATTTCATGCTGGCTCTGGACACAGATGCAGGGGGAGTTATTCTCTGGGGAAAGTGAGCCTTTTCAGTAACCACAGGCAGCAGGGTGAGAAATCTTAGTTCTAAACCAATGAAGTAAATGCTGGGATCCCCTACTGTTCTCATATATTCTGCATAGAAGATATGAAAGTATTATGGAAATGATTTTAAGTACATGAAGAGAGAGAAAAGAATCCTAGTGTTGAAAGTCTAAGAATATGTATTTGAGCACACTACATTTCTCTTCCTCCTGAAACATCTTTAGAAATCATAGCCTTTTTAAATTTAAAATTCATTGGTGATTCTTAGATTTTAGCATCAAAGTGAGGACTAAGCTCTGATTTTTCTCTTGCTCAAATTCCTACCTAAGGGGTCTAGGGAGTCATGCCCTATGAACCATAAATTCTTGTCAGATGGGTTTTATTTGACCCTATATATTGTGACTGACTTTTCAGTCTGACTTTGGCATAACGTTATGAGACGAGGAAAAATATTTAACCCCAAAATACATTTCCTTGCCATATCTTGAAGTTGCCCTGCAAAGTCTCTTGTGGGGAAAAATCCACATTCTCTGGAGAATCCCCTTCCCCCTTTGTTTTCCTCCCTTCTTTCCAGATCCAGGAGATAATTAACTAAGAGGCTGGCACCCTTTTAAGTCCCATAAGAAACATTTTACAACCTACTGTCTCTCTAAAGTCTGCTGAGAAATTCCTCTGCACACTAAAACTTGGTCCCCACAATCCTTTATCTTAACCTGAACATTCCTTTCCATTAATCCCAGGTCTTCAGATAAACTCCACCAATTGTCAACCACAAAATGTTCAAATTTACCTATAGCCTGGAATCCCCCGCTTTGAGTTGTCCCACCTTTCTGAACCAAACCAATGTCGTGCTTAAATGTATTTGATTGATGTCTCATGCCTCTCTAAAATATATAAAACCAAGCTGTATCCTAACCACCTTGGGCACATGTTCTCAGGACCTCCTGAGGGCTGTGTCACAGGACATGGTCACTCATATTTGGCTCAGAATAAATCTCTTCAAATATTTTACAGAGTTTACTCTATCAATAAAAGAAAAGGTACAATTGCAACAAAAGAATTCTGTGTTCTTAATATTCCTGATTAAGCAGCTGCTCTGCTCAGCACCTCTCGGAAGATTTTGTACAATATGAAATACCTTCCAGAGCTGAGCATCATTCTGAGCTTCAGCATTACCTCATTTTCATCAAGATAGATGTAAACGTGATTATTTTAAATGACTAGAGCATTTCCAAGCATTTAGCTTTTAAAACTCAGATGAGACTTAATCAACTGTTTTCCCATTTTATATCACCAACGTCTCTTATTCTGCATAGCTCAGAAGTCAAGCTGAGCTTGAATTAAAATCCAGTTTTCCAGGCTGTTACTGAAAGATAAAAAGACTAATTGGTTTACAGCTTCTTCAAAGCCTGTATACCATAGGTTGAGTTTCTGATGTTTAATCATTTATGTTACTGTATAGTGTCTATCCTATTACTGACAAACCCAAACCTTCTATGGGTTGTTTTCTCTTAGTGCCTGTGATCTCACCACAGCAAATCACCATTTCACCATAAGCATCTTTTTATTATTAGTTGGAGATCCCATACTATGCCACTAGTTGCTGCAAATCCGTTAGGCATTAATGACATATACTCCATAGCCATTCTGCTGTGAGTTAGCAATGAATAAATCCATTAAAATGAAGGGTTGCTGAACTTCCTGCATTACTGTGTGAGGAGCTCTGCCAGCTTGCTCCACAGAGAAACTGGTGAAAATTATTAAAAGCAAACTAACTCAAAGCCTCTGGAAATGATCCTAAAGGCATACAGCAAATGAAGAAATAATCCCAGCACTTTGGGAAGCCGAGGCGGGTGGATCATGAGGTCAGGAGATCGAGAGCATCCTGGCTAACTTGGTGAAACCCCATCACTACTAAAAATACAAAAAAATTAGCCAGGCGTGGTGGAGGGCGCCTGTAGTGCCAGCTACTCAGGAGGCTGAGGCAGGAAAATGGCAGGAATCCGGGAGGCAGAGGTTGCAGTGAGCCGAGATTGTGCCCCTGCGCTCCAGCCTGGGCGACAGAGCGAGACTCTGTCTAAAAATAAATAAATAAATAAATAAATAAATAAATAAAGAGGCTGGGTGCGGTGGCTCATGCCTGTAATCCCAACACTTTGGGAGGCCAAGGCAGGCAGATCACGAGGTCAGGAGATCGAGACCATCCTGGCTAACATGGTGAAACCCCATCTCTACTAAAAATACAAAAAATTAGCCGGGCATGGTGGCAGGCACCTGTAGTCCCAGCTACTCGGGAGGCTGAGGCAGGAGAATGGCGTGAACCCAGGAGGCGGAGCTTGCAGTGAGCCGAGATCACGTCACTGCACTCCAGCCTGGGCTCCGTCTCAAAACAAATAAAACCTACAACAATTTGGTAAGAAATGTGAGAGTCTCTGGTATTTGAACCAAGACTACTCTCCCCTTCCCCTTTCCCAGCTTAATGAGGCATAGACTTTGCATCATGTTGTCATAGCCAAGAAGATGGGGATCCCTCTCCCTCTAGCTCCCAGTGGAGAGCGCTTTCTTCCCAGGAGGAGCAGGACTTCAGCATTTCTCGTCTTGTCCACAGCTATCTGTTGCTGAGGTTAAGTAGTGGGTGTGTTCAGTCAGAATGGGGGCTCCCTTCCTCCTATCCCCCACTTATGGAGTAGAGACTGTACCTTGGACAGGCACATTAAAAGAATTGGGGCCCCAGTCACCCTTGCTGCAGTTCATGAGTTGGTGGTTCCTTGCCACCAAAAACAATCTCAGGCTGTGGCATTTGCTCTCCACCAAGCACTCAGATCCTGGAGCACAGCTGTCACTCAGAAAGCAACTTGTCTTTGTCTTCACCCCCAGCTCTAGAACCCTGGCTTAGAGATTTTGCCTGGGGAAAGAAGCAAGCTATAAAACAACTCTCAATGTCTTCGAAAGGAAACTGACTTCATTTGCAACACACTGTGGAGAAGCCCAAGCCAAAGGGCACTCTCAAGAGCAGTGGAGAGACTGTGGTGAAAGGCACTTGGGAGGCACATTTGTGAAGTTAATGAAGATAGAGCCTAGACTGTGGGTTGCCTAGGAGAGAACCAGAGAGAACCAGAATATGACAGCTGGAAGGAGCCCTCATAGGGTGAAAACAATTATCAAGCACTGACCACAGAAATCATTCCTTCAAAGGGACCACAATTTGGGGTGAATTCGTTTGTAAAGCTATTTATGCCCCCAGGGTACTTTTTAAAACAATAATGCAATCAGCCAGCAATTAGTGGAGTTCAATAGCTGGGTGTGGTCAGGGAAGGAAAGAAAAAGAGTCCTACCAATCCTATTATCATCCCAGGGTTACTGTAGCCATCCCCAAAGCCATGCCTCCCTGAGGAGCAACATTGGAGGCTTAACAATGTGTGTGTGTGTGTGTGTGTGTGTGTGTGTGTGTGTGTGCGCGCGCGCATGTGTGTTCACATAAAACTTCACTAAAATAACCCAGCTGGTTAAGAAAAAAAAAAAGCAAGCAAATAATAATAATAGCCCAGGAGAGGGAAGTCTAGTGTTCAGAATTGCTACAGTATATGACATAGTTTGGATGTTTGTCCCCTCCAAATCT
The DNA here is from genome assembly GCF_000001405.40 of Homo sapiens. Classification (NCBI taxonomy): domain Eukaryota; kingdom Metazoa; phylum Chordata; class Mammalia; order Primates; family Hominidae; genus Homo; species Homo sapiens. The sequence goes on from NC_000009.12 coordinate 69,924,803, forward strand.
TATGTTAACACTTGATCCCCAATGTTGTTGGAGTTTTGGCCTAGTGGGAGGTTCTTGGGTGATGGGGGTAGATCCCTCGTGAATGGCATGGTCACTTTCTCTTTGTAATGAGTGGGTTATCGCTCTGTTAGTTCATTTAAGAACTGATAGTTGAAAAGAACCATACCCTTCTCTCACCTCTTCCTTTCTCATGTGTGACATGCCTTCTTCCCCTTCCTGAGGCCCTAACCAGAAGTAGATGCTCATGCCATGCTTCTTATACAGCCTGCAGAATGGTGAGCCAAATAAACCTCTTTTCTTTATAAATTACCCACCCTCAGGTATTCCTTTAGAGTAATGCAAATGAACTAATACAATATATTATCTAAAATGTCCCATTTCCAACAAAAAATTATGCAAAGAAACAGGAAAGCATGATCCATACGCAGGAAAAAAGCAGGCAACACAAACTGCCTATGAGAGCAACCAGATGTCATATTTAACAGGAAAGTATTTCAAAATAGCCACCAAAAATGTTGGAGATAAATGCTCGGTGCCGCAAAGTGAAACCAGCACTCAGGCAAAAGTTTTTGCAGCAAGGCAACTTACTTCTGCAGAAGGGTGCTACTCGCATCAATCACAATTGCAAGAGCACACTGAATAAAGGAAAGCAGGGGTTTTTATTCGTAATGCAATCCCTACATCTGTGTCACTCCCCCATGGGCTGGGGTCAGACTGCACAATCTAAACTGACCTGATGGGCTATTTGTGAATATTTTCCCAAATAAGGAAGGGAAGGGGAATGTGAGGTACAGTGGTAGGACATGCAGTTTCAGTGGGAGGAATTGGTGTAGAGCAGGTAGCCAAGGGAACAGATGTGAAGTTATTGATTAGAACTGACGGGAAGGTTGTTTACAGTAACTAGGGACAAGGAGGCATGGAGAACAAGAAAGTTGAGTTTGAGAACAAAGAACAAGGAAGTTAACAAGCTAAACATGTGAAGAGGAATAAATTTATTGTATCCTACAATTTCCCCCCTCTTAATTTTTATAGTCCTTCCTCTTCAGACCTTTTTAAGATGTCTTGGCTTTGCTGTTCGACTTCATCCTCTAAAAGGAACAACTTATCTGAATAAGGTGGAGGAGAGCTAAGGGAGGCTTTAGTAAGTACTGTTTCTATAAGCCTTTGTACTAGCCCATGGATGCATGGTATGACACAACACCCAACAAGAATGAGTACACCTATTATGGCTGCAAGAGAAGTAAGCACTGAGGCTGTGATTCCTTTCCATTTACCAAATCACCTTTCTAGCTAGCCATGCTTAGAAAGGGTTATCAACTCTAGAATTTTTAGCTAATTCATTGGATAAAGAGGTAAGTCTCTGTAAGGCCTTGTTATGTTCCCATTGGGGGCAGTATTGTTTGGGATGAAGGTACAACATTGAGTTTTAATTATAATGCAAACTCCACCTTTTTCAGCTAACATCATGTCTAGGGCCATTCTGTTTTCCCAAACCATCTGGCTAGTAGGCCCTAACTGGTCAGCTATTACTTTGATGGCATCTCTAGTGTAATTAATAAATCATTGCTGTTTATAATAGATGTAATTTATCCAATTTACATTTTTATTAATAGTTACTCATGGAAATACTGATTCAAATCCTGCAGCTATTTGGTCTGGGCTTTGAATTTATCAGGTACTCCCCGTGGGACTCTAATTGCATCTAAATAAACTTGAGAGTCAAAAGACCCATAAGGGGCTTCTCTTATTTTATGGTGTTGCATTTTTTCTTTTTCTGGTTGATGAAATGCCAGGGTGAAAGGGATAGCCAATTAGACAAGAGCATAAGTACCACTCCAGTTACTTGACAGAGTGTCCAGTAAGGGTCTGCCACAATACCACCACACATCTGCTCGAGGATGGCTAAGGGCAGACTGATGGGTAAGCTTCTAGAAGGGCTTAAGCTCACTGCATCCTGTTAAGCTTCCAAGGAATGCCAAGTTTTCCCCTTGTTGTGAGAGACACAAGGTGAAATTGACGTTGGGAGATGGAAGCTGGATGGCCTTCGGGGGCTGACCCGCAGGGTGTTGGATTTCAGGATAGAGCAGAAAGAGAGCTTGGCATTATTTATTGTCCCAAGCTGTAGAATCCTGGAAGAGAGCTATCATGCAGCCCATGCCTGGTTGACTAGCGGACCATCCAAGTGGAAAGAGGACAATCTGGGCCTCTGGCTGGCCGTGCACACAAGCATAACAATTGCTTTTGTTTAACATGTGGACAGAATATTTGATCCATTCCAACCAGGAATTTGCATCTTGATATCCTGTTTCAATTGCTAAAGTTTGCCTTAAATCATTTACTTCTACAATATCTACCTTAGTCTTATCATTGGGTATAGAGGGGATAGCAGTTTGATTAGAAGAAGGCTTAGAAGGAGAAGAGAGGAAAGGGGGTGAAGAGGATGAGGGATTAATAAAATGCATTTCAAAAGTCCCTATGAGGTCTGTGCCAGCCAAGTTGGCTCCCATGCTGTAGAAGCGGCTCAAAGTAGGTCTAGGGTCGGTAGAGGTGGAAGTGAGAATTGAAATTTGCACTGGATTACATTGGTTATACTGGCAATTGGGGTTGGAGGTGCTTTCTTTAGTAAAGTGAATGTATGGTTTTAAGGATACACAACCACCTGTCAATGAGGTCTAGCCTTGATATTTGGTTGTCCACAGAACATCATTCCTGCTATGGCAGACCTGTTTCTCTATATTTGTTAAAGAGCAAGAGTCTTGGTAGGGGGAACCTCTATTTTAAAGGGGCAGAGATACTTTTCTAAGGCTAAGAGTTTCCTTTGACTTTGAAGATCTCTACAGGGTATGACTAAACAAGCATCAAACGTAATAACTTTGGGGGAGTTTGATTTAGTTACATTGATAACAAGGTGGTCAGCAATAGAATGAGAAAAGAAGAAAGAGTAATAGAATAGATGAAAGAGAGTTAAACTTAGCTTTAGTTTGAGGGGGTTTTCCCCTGGGACAATGGCCCATGACTGCGGAGGTGGTGGTGCTTTCTTGACTCAGGTGTGATGGGTCCATCCTTTTTCTGCTATCAGGACTGTGGTTCCAGTGGTTAGAAGCACTTAGGTGAAGTCCTTCCCAGGACAGCTCAAGTTTTTCTTCTTTCTAGCTTTTGATGAGGACATGATCCCCAGGCTGATGTTGATGTACTGGGAACTCCAGGGGCGGCGCCTGTGCTAGGAGACCTTTGGTTTTTAAAAAAAGAGAAAGTAGAGGAGAGACCAAGTATATAATTCCTGAGGAATTGATCTTTTGTTTCAAATGTAGGAATGCCAGCAGTGGAGTGTAAATAAGGCAATTAGAGCATCTCATAAGGAGAAAGGCCAATATCTTTCCAAGGAGCAGCTCAGATTCTTAAAAGGCAATAAGAAGACATTTGGTCCATGGCAACTGAGTCTCTAGAACTAATTTGGTTATGTGGTTCTTTAAGGTCTAATTCATCCTTTCTATTCTTCTTGAGGAAGGTGGGTGCCAAGGAGTATGATATTCCCATCTAATGTCTAGGGCTTGGGATAGCTTTTTAATGATATGTGCTATGAAATGGGTTCCATTGTCTGAATCAATATTTTCTATTGGTCCAAACCTGGGCACTATCTTTTCAGTTAATGCTTTAACTACATTATTGGCCATTGCATTTGAAAAGGGAATAGCTTCAACTCAATGAGTAAGGTGATCTGCTGTTACTAATAAGTACTTTAGGCGACCGATTGGGGGCATTTCAGTGTAGTCAATTTGAACACTTTGGAATGGTCTTAGCCCTGGATCCCTCCCCGCAAGGGGCGATTTCTTTGTAACTTGTTTGTTGGGTTTTTTTTTTTTACATATGAAGCAACTATCTTTAATCTGTTTGGCTACAGTATAAGTTCCTGAACACCCATAAACCCTGAGAACTGCATCACACATAGCTTGGGGTCCCCAGTGGGTCCCTTGATGCAGATGGGACAGGATTTCCTTCATGACGAGTTTGGATAGTATTTCTCATTGATCTGGTAACACCCATTTTCCTTCTGAGTTTTCTTTGGCTCCTATTCTTATTAATTTTTCCTTTTCTGCAGCAGAGAAGATAGAGGTTGCAGCAGGGGGAGGAAGACAAGGAGTTAAGTGAAAGATAGGTGTTTCAGATGAAACAGCAGCCTGCTTAGCTGCTTGATTTGCAAGGTTATTTCCCCAACTTGTAAAGGAAAAGTCTTTTTAGTGTCTGGGGACATGTACAATGGCTATTTCTTCTGGCAACTGGAGATTGTTTAAAACATGGATGATTAGCTCTTCATGGGCAAGATTTTGGCCTTTAAAATTAATAAGAGGTTTCTCAGGCCAAATTTTTCCAAATGTATGTGCTACTCCAAAGGCATACTTAGAATCAGTATAAATAGTTTCTTCCTTGTTCTGTAAGTGTTTTAAAGCCTGGCTGAGGGCAAATGGTTCACAAACTTGGGCAGATCAACTATTGGGCAACCTTCCTGACTCTATTTCTTCAAGAGTTTCTCTATCAATTACTGAATACCCATTATGCCTTTCTCCTTTAATTACTTGGGAGGAACCATCTATAAATAAGCATCGCCCCATTTTGAAAGGGGTCTCTCCTAGATCTGGCCTGACCTTCATTTGGTAGTCAATTAAATCTAAACATAGGTGTTCTCTTTTTAGATTTGGGTCTCCTGTCAAGAAACCTGCTGGGTTGAGTGAATTATCAGTAGTTAAGGTTAAATTCATCTTTTTTCTAGTAGAATAGCCTCATATTTTAATTTTTCAAGATTCAATTTCAGTATTTCAAGATTCTGGAGTCAGTGAGCACCTTCCTGCTTTTTTATTTAAAGTAGCTCTAACTTGGTGGGGTGTGCTTACAGTTAATTTTCCCCCAAAGGTTAATTTTCTGGTTTCTTCAACTAATACTTCTGTAGCTGCAACAGATTGAAAACATTGAGGCCATCTACAGGTATTGGGTGTAAAACTTTTGATAGGAAGGCTATGGGCTGCCAGCGGCCACTGGGTTCTTGAGTGAGCACCCCTAAAGCTACCCTGTTATTTATGTTAACAAAAAGATGAAATGGCTTTTCTAGGGAAGGTAAGGCTAAAAAACCTGATCGGCTTCCTCAGAAGTCCACAGGAGATGGTCCAGCTTCCACTAGGTAAGCTTTTCATATAAAAGTTTACTTTTTAGGGCATATGAGTCAATCCATAAGCAGCAGTATCCAACTAATCCTAAAAATGTTCTGAGTCCTTGCTTAGTTTGAGGCAGGGATAAGGACACGATGCCTTCAACTCACTCAGGCCCTATTCTTCACTTACCTCCACTGATAAAAGTGGCCTAAATATTTAACTTCAGTCTCCACATACTGAAGCTTTCCCTTTGAGACCCATAGCCCCTCAAATTCCAGATGGTTAAGAATATGTGTAGAGAAGTCAGCTACTTTTTTTACATCTTCACCAGATATAAGAATATCACCCACATACTGGACCAGGCATATCTACTTTGGGATGACAACTTTTTCTGACACTTGTTCTAGATTTGGCCAAAAAGGTTTAGGGAGTCTGTGAACCCTTGAACTCCATTGATACTGTTGTTTTTGCCCTGAATGGGGGTCCTCCCACTCAAAAGCAAATGTGTCTCAGCTGTCTTTAGCCAAGGGGCATGCCCAGAAGGCATCCTTTAAGTCTATTACTGTAAACCACTGATGATTATATGGAATTTTGCTGAGAATGGTGTATGGGTTGGGGACAACAGGATGGGTAGTCTGGACTATTTGACTGATGGCTTTAAGATCTTGCACCAGTCAGTATGTCCCATCTGCTTTCTTGACTGGCAATACTGGAGTGTTATAAGGGGACATACAGGGTACAAGGGAGTCCATCTTTAATAAGACTTTCAATTATAGGCTTTAACCCTATTCTGCCCTCTAGGGGAATGGGGTATTTTTTTCCTCCTCACTACTTCCCCAGTGGGTTTTTAGCTTGATGTGGCTTGGAGGGATTTGGAGTTTCCCTAGGTTTCCCTCCCTTGACCAGACATTGGGATTACTGTATTTTTCATCTGCAGTGGTGAGTAGGTTTAATGAGGCAAGAAATCCTTTAGGGTGAACTTGTAGGCCTATGCCTAATTTTAGCATTAAGTCTCTTCCCAATAGATTAGTTCCTGCCTCAGGGATCAATAAAAATTGGATATGAGTCAATCAATCTTGGTATTTAACTTCTGTACTTTCTAAGATTTTTGCCTTAAATCCTTCTCCTTTTATCCCAGAGACTAAAAGTTCTTCTGAAGAGCAGGCAATGTTAGGTGGAGGGAAACAAATGGAGAAGTGAGCCACTCCTAAATTGACTAAAAAGGTGATAGGCTCCTGTTTGGGTCCCACCTCTAAATTTATCAAGGGCTCCTGGTGGGATTCGAAGCAAAAGAGACAGAGCCCCTGACTCCCCTATTCTTCCTCAAAAGTCATGAGTGGTAGGGCTTCTTTCTGCCTTTGCAATTCAGGACATTCTCTCTTGAAGTGGCCTGCTGTTCCACATTTGTAGTACCTATCCTGTCTCTCCACTGTCTCAATCCTGGGATTCTTTAGCTTTGCTCCCCCATATTTTTTAGATGGTCTGGTAGATGAGGGGCGGGGTCCTCTAGATGGAGGCTTGTGTCCTTTAAACAGAGATCTGGACCCTTTATAGTTTCTGGCCCCCTGGAAGCTATATTTAGAAATGTGTGGGTTTGGAGCCACCTGCTGGAAAGTGTATAACATGAGTTTTGCCTTTTGTTTTTGCTTTTCTTTGTCTCTCTTTACGTACACTTTTGGAGCTTCCCTAAGGAGTTCACTCAGAGGTTGGTTTTCCCAATTTTCTAATTTTTGTAACGAAATATCTGGCTAACTTTTAGTGACAAAATGGAGCTTTAACATTCCCTGTCCAAGGGGATCTTCTAAATTTAGGCCTGCATATTGTCTCATTTGGTCCTTTAGTCTGTCTAGAAATTTCATAGGCCCCTCATCTTTTTCCTGTTATGAAACAACAATCAAGTGCTCTAGAGAGCTTTTGGGTTCGGGGTACTGATTCCCTAATTCCTTTTATTATCGTGTCCCTTAGGTCTTGCATATTTTCCTGGTGAGCCACATTATTATTGTCCCACCAGGGGTCTTGGGTGGGAAACTTCTGATCTGCAGTAGGAAGGTTTTTACCGGGAGGGTGTTCATGTTCCCAAATTACCATAGCAGGCTTATGGATCATGCTTCTTTCTTCCCCCGAAAAGAGGATGCCTAGGATGGACATTAACTCAACGCAAGTGTATAATTGAGGTCCCAAGAATTGATCAACTTGATCTGCCACCCATAAGGGTCATCAAACAATGGCTTAAGTTCCTTCGTCAAAGTTTGGATCTCCAAACTGGTTAAGGGAGCATTCACAAAGCCAATAGCTCCCCATTCTTGTGGCACCTCCTTTAAGGGGAAGAGAGTTGGGGCTGACTCCTTAGATGTAGAGGGAAATGGGAAATTTTGGATAGCATTTCTCCATTGTTCTATATCATGTTGGAGTCCTTTTAGGGAAGGGTACTGGGGCTGAGAAGTAACAGGCTCATGGGATGGTTCCCAAGAATCAGGATTGTAAGGAGGAGGCATAATGTGAGCAGGGGAAGGATCTGGATCAGGATCTAGGATGGCAGCAGCTGCCTGAGGGGAAGGGTTAGGGGCACTGAGTGGGGGAAGATGGTCTAGGGGATCCTATATGCTGGAGTCTTTAGGCACAGGAACTGGCTTTTCTGACTCTTCATTTTGAGATTCTAGATTGAGTTTTTCCCTAGTTGTCTTTAAGGAAAAAGGAGAATGGGTCCCTGACTCCAAACAAAGAGCACAATCCAGTTCTTCTTGAGAAACCAGGCTTTTATCATTTACATATTAAATCAGAAGTTGACACACCACATCCTCATTTGACCCAAACATCGGCCAGAAGATTGAGGGTTTGAGGATGGGTCCCTGAGTCCAAATAAAACCGCAATATTTTATCATTTGTTGCTTTTTCTTTTTGTTTAGTCCTCTCATTATCTTTCCAATATTTTAACATGAGACCCAGGGGACTATCAGAGGGAATATCTTTATTGCTATCTTTATCCCTTTTACTCCCTGTCTTGCTTGGGGTATTTCCCATGTTGAGTCCTAGTTAGGCTCAATCCCTCGTATTAGAGATTTCTTGCCTATCCTTCTCTGGAGGCTTATTGAGACTCAATCCCTCATATTAGAGATTTCTTGCCTATCCTTTAGCCCCACCTGCTGGAGGCTCCTTGTACCCTTCTTTCACTGTGTCCACTCTGGCCGCTTCCCTGAGGGGAATTTAGGTCCCTCTTAACATTGGTGTGCCAGTATAAACCCCACAGCAGGATGCTCCCTAAGCCATATGAGGTGACCACGGAACCGCAGATAGGAACCACTCACTCTGCACAGCAGTAGTGCTTAGTACCATCCACACAAGCACACTGCCAGCAGTAGTGCTTGTGATCATCCACACACACTTTCAACCTCCAGAATATCCCGACCACCAAGGAAATACTTTGTCACTCCAGTGACATTTCTTACCTTGGCCTGTGCACAGAGTTACCTGGTCTCTGTGCTGTTGCAAGCCTTTTTCTCCCTGCATTGCTGAGAGTCTGGGTTTATTCATTGCGCTGGGTGGGTCCTGATCCCTCACCCTGAGGCCACTGCAATGAGACAGTGGGATGCTCCTCATGAAAGGTGACAGGAGACCCCGTTCCCAGAGGAGAATGGGAATCCTGGACGAGCCCCAATATTTGTTGGAGATAAATGATCAGTGCTGCAAAGTGAAACCAGCACTCAGGCAAAAGTTTTCTCAGCAAGGCAACTTATTTCAACAGAAGGGTGCTGCTCACGTCAATCACGATTGCAAGAGCACACTGAACAGAGGAAAGCAGGGATTTTTACTCCTAATGCAATCACTACCTCTGTGTCACTCCCCCATGGGCTGGGGTCAGACTGCATAATCTAAACTGACCTGGTTGGCTATTTGTGAATATTTTCCCAAATAAGGAAGGGAAGGGGAATGTGAGTTACAGTGGTGGGACATGCGGTTTTGGTGGGAGGAATGGGTGCACAGTGGGTATCCAAGGGAACAGATGTGAGTTATTGATTAGAACTGACGGGAAAGTTGTTTACAGTAACTAGTGGCAAGGATGCATGGAGAACAAGAAAGTTGGGTTTGAGAACAGAGAACAAGGTAGTTAACAGGTTAAACTTTTGAAGAGGAATACATTTATTATGTCCTACAAAAAACGTCTTCATAGAACTTAACAAAAGCATGATTACAGAGGTAAAGGAAGGTATGATGACACTGTTGCATCAGATAGAGAATATAAAAAAAGAGATAGAAATTGTAAAAAAGATCCAAAGACTGAGTGTGGTGGCTCATGCCTATAATCCCAGCACTTTGGGAAGAAAAAGCAGAAGGATTGCCTGAAATCAGGAGTGCAGTATCAGCCTAGACAACACAGTAAACCCCATTTCTACAAAAATAAATTAGCCCAACATGGTGGCATGCAGCTGTAGTCCCAGCTACTTAGGAGGCTGAGGTGGGAGGATTGCTTGAGCCCAGGATTGTGAGGCTGCAGTGAGCTATGATCACACCACTACACTCCAGCCTAGGCAACAAAATGAGACTACGTCTCTTAAAAATAAAATGAACCAAATGAAAATTCTAGAACTGAGTAGTTCAGTGATTGAAATAAAAAAATTCAACATCAAGGGGCTCAGCAGTAGATTTGAAATGGCAGAAGAATTTTCAAATTTAAACATAGATCAACAAAGATTAAGTAAGCTGGAGAACAGAGAGAAAAAAATGGATAGAAATTAACAGAGCCTTAGATAAATATGAGACACCATTAAATGCACCAATATATGCATAAAGGGAATATTGGAGAGGAGAGGGAGAAGAGACGAAAAAATATTCAAATAAATAATGGCAGGCAACCTCCCAATTTTAATGAAAAACAATAACCTATATAACCAGGAAGCTCAATGAACTTCAAATAGGATAAACACAAAGAAATACATAAACAGATATATCATTACTAAAGACGATAAAAGTCAAAGACAAGGAGAAAATCTTGAAAGCAGCAAAAGAACATCTCATTCCTTATAAAGGAAGCTCAATAAGATTAACATTCAATTTGTCAGTCAAAACAATGGCGATCAGAAGACAGTGGAATGGTATATTCAAAGTGCTCAAGGGAAAACAAAAACCCTTGTTAACCAATAAACATATACCTCTAAACTATTTTTTTAAAGTGAAGGAGAAATACAGACTTTCAAAGATAAGAAAACTGAATTTGTTGACAACATACCTATCTTGCAAAGCATGCTAAAGGAAGTTCTTCAGGCAGAAAGCAAGTGACCCCAGATGGTAATTTGAATAGAAAAACTGAGAGTACCAGTAAAGGTAATTATGTAAGTACAAAAAACAGTATAAATGCACATTTTTGACCCTTTCTTATCTTAATGAATGTAAAAAGCAATTGCATAAATAATATGTAAATAATGTATTGTTGGATGTATAACATATAGAAATGTAACATAAGCATAACGTTTTTACTAATAACAGCACAAAGAGATGAATGGAATCGAAGCTGTATTGGCCAAGGAAATGAGTACAGATGATAAAGTAATAATTATAACATTGTATCTTTTGGTCTGCAGTATGTATAATAATAGATGTAATATGTATAATCATAATACTACAAAAAGGGAAAAAGTAAATAGAGCTATGTATCAGTAAAGTTTTTATGTAATCACTATAATTAAGCTGGCTTAATATTAAAGGTGATTTTGATAAGTTAAGATGTATATGGTAAACCCTAGAGCAACTATTAAAATAAAACATACTAAATAGTAAAAAATTATTAAAGAAATTAGAATGTTACATTAGAAAATATCCACTTCATACAGTAGAATTTAGTGAACAATGAAGAGAAGAACAAAAAGGCGTAAGACATATAGAAGTGTATTAGTCAGGGTTCTCCAGAGAGACAGGACCAATAGTATATACTTATAGATATAGATAGAGACATATGAGAGAGGTTTTATTAGGGGAACTGACTCAAACAATTATGGAGGCTGAGAAGTCCCATGACAGGCTATGTGCAGGCTGGAGACCCTGGGATGCTGGTGGTGTGGCTCAGTCCAGTTCCAAAAGCCTCGGAATTAGGGAAGCTGATGGCTCAATTCTCAATCTGAGTCGAAGGCCTGAGAACTTGGGGTTGCAGAGGGTGGGGTGCTGGTTTAAGTCCTGAAGTTCCAAGACTGAAGAGCCTGGGGTTCTGATGTCCAAAGACAGGAGGAGAAAGTCTGTCCCAGCTCCAGGAGAGACAAATTCACCTTTCATATGTTTGTTCTATGGGGGCTGCCAGCTGATTGGATGGTGTCTGCCACATTGAGGGTGGATCTTTTCCACCTGTCCACTCAGATTCACATGCCAGTCTCACAGACACACCCCAAAAGAATACTTTAAAATCTCTCTAAGTATTCCTTAATCCAGTAAAATTGAAACCTAAAATTAACCATCACAGAAAGCAAAATGTAAAATAGCAGACATAAATCCAACTATGGTCATGCATTGCTTAGCAACATTCTAAGAAATTTATTATTAGGTGATGCATTGTGCAAATGTCATAGAGTATATTTACACAAACTTAGATGGCTACTACACACTAGGCTATATGACATAGCCTATTGCTATTAGGCTACAAACCTGTACAACATGTTACTATACTGAATACCGTAGGCTGTTGTAACATGATATGAGCATTTGTGTATCTACACACAACAGCTTGCAGGACTTCAAGTTGCTCTGGATGAGTCATGGTGTGAATGGTAGTGAATGTGAAGGCCTAGGACATTACTATATACTACTGTAGACTTTATGAACTCTGTATGCTTAGGCTACACTACATTTATTTTTAAATTTTCTTTAATAATAAAACTTAGTTTACTGTAACTTTTTAGTTTACAAACTTGTACACTTTTTTAACTTTTTGACTTTTTTATAATAACACTTAGCTTAAAACACATGTTGTATAGCTGTACAAAAATATTTTCTTTCTTCATATTTTACTCTAGAAGAATTTTTTCACTAAACTTTTTCTTAACTTTAAAAACTTTTTTTGTTAAAAACTAAGACACAAACATACATATTAGCCTAGGCCTATACAGAGTCAAGATTATCAATGTCACTGTCTTCCACCTCCACATTTTGTGCCACTGGGAGGTCTTTAGGGGCAATAACAGGCATGGAACTATCATCTCCTATGATGATAATGCCTTCCAATCCTGAAGGACTTTCTGAGGCTCTTCTTGAGAAGGTGTCACTCTTTTCAGAAATATGGCCATGGTGATTTGCTTGGTTTGTTTCTTTTTTTCATCATAGATTTGCTTGTAAGCAGATAACACACCATGAACATTGCTCTTCATTAATGAAAACCTTTCATTGTTGGGGTTCATGTTTTCAGTTTTTTAAGGAGCTTGTTGGGGTCTGCAAAAGCTCCTGCTAAAGCTTTCACTATAAATTTTTTGAGAGTTCTTCTTTTACTTCTCCTGTAATTATCTTTCCTCTTGCCTCTTCTTCAGCTATCTGTTCCTCTTGCAGTTCCAACAACTTCTTGTTAGTCAGTTCCTCATGAATCATCTCTAGGAGCTCTTCAATATCATCCTCACACACACCCAGGTTTAAGTTGTTTGTCATCTCAACCACAGCCTTGTTGATTTTTGTAACCTCCTCATCCTTTACAAATCCTTTGACATCATGGTTGAAACTTTTGAATGTCTTCTTCCAGGTACCATTTATATACTCCTTGGTGACATCACCCTAAATCAAAGCAAGGTTCTTGATGCAGTCATAGATGTTGTAATTCTTCCAGAATTGCATCCGCGTCTTCAGTTACAGCAATAGCGTGGGCAAAGGTCCTCCTCAGGTAGAAAGCCTTAAAAGCTGCTATACTTTCTCAATCCTTTGACTGTATCAAAGAGGTGGTGTTTGTAGGGAGAAACACTACTTTGATATTGGAATAAAGATCACCAATAAGAGGAGCATGTGCAAGAGCATTATCAGCAGTAAGTAAAATTTTGAAAGTTATGTTATTTTTCAGACAGTACTTCTCCATTTTGCTGGCATAGCAATTCAAGATGGCATCTTAGAAGAGGAACTGGGTCAGCTGTGACTTCTTACTCCCCCTGTAGTGCACCGGCAGTGTGTGCTTTTTAATATGGTTGAAGGCCCTGGAGCTCTCAGTGTGACAGATCACAAAGGGTTTCAATTTGTAGCCTGCAACACTGCCCCCAAACAAGATTATGATCCTGTCCTTAAAAGACTTGAACCTGGCATTGACTTGGCTTCCTTATGAATGAAAGTCTTTTCAGGCATTTGTGTGCAGAATAGGGAGATTTCATCCATATCAAAGATTTGCTCTGGCAAGTAATTTTCTTCTGCAATCAGCTTATCCAGAGTTCCAAAAATTCTTCAGCTCCCTTCATATCAGCACTCATAGACTCACCACTCACTTTCACATTGTGTAATGAATAATAATTCTTGAGTCATTTAAACTCCTGAGCTAGCAGCAAATTCAATGTCATAGTCGGGTCCAGTCTTTTTCTTCAATATCACGAATAAACTTTTTGCTTTGGTTATGATTATCATGGTGCTGAGAGGAGTATGCTTCTGTATCTGATCTTCAATCTAAGACATTAGAAGTTTCTCCATATCTGATATAGGGTCATCTCAAATTTTGTTAGTCTCACTGGCTTTGATGAAGCAGATCCTTTAACAGTCTTTAACGCTCTTTGTCCTTGTTCTTCAAAATGTTAGCTACGGTGGAATAGGACATGCCTGATTGGTGAGCAATAATCATCACTGATTTTCCACCTTCATAGTGCTTAATCACTTTTAATTTTGTTTCCAGGTTAATCATTTGATGTGGCCTCTTAATGGCAACATTATTCATGATTTTTGTATACTTAGGAGTCATAATGAACAAAACAACACAAGATTAAATCAAGCACAACAGAAAATGGTACAAGCAAAAGATGAGGTAAGTACGAGATGGATAAGACTGCTGCTGGCATGACATGACATACTGTTTTACAGTAAACTTTTTTATATGTAGAAATACACTCTAAACATTAAAAAGTATAGTGTAGCTGGCATGGTGGCTCACGCCTGTAATCCCAGCACTTTGGGAGGCCGAGGTGGGCGGATCACCTGAGGCCAGGAGTTCAAGACCAGCCTGGCCAACATGGTGAAACCCCATCTCTACTAGAAATACAAAAAATTAGCTGAGTGTGGTGGCGGGCACCTGTAATCCCAGTTTCTCAAGAGGCTGAGGCATGAGAATCGCTTAAGCCCTGGAGGCAGAGGTTGCAGTGAGCCAAGATCATAGCATTGCACTCCAGCCTGGGCAACAGAGCAAAAAAAAAAAAAAAAAAAAAGTATAGTATAGTAACCAGTAACATAGTCATTTATTATTATCAAGTATTATGTACTGTACATAATGGTGTGTGTGTTATACTTTTATATGACTGGTATCACAGTAGTTTACTCCAGCATCACCACAAACATGTGCATCGAATGATTGACCTGGAAACATGTGCATGTTTGTGGTGATGCTAGAGTAAACTACTGTGTTACCAGTCATATAAAAGTATAACACACACAACATTACAGTCGCTATGATGTCAGTAGGAGTTAGGAATATTTTTTAGCTCCATTATAATCTTGTGAAACAACTGTCATATATGTTGTCTGTCAATGACCAAAATGTCATTGTGCAGCAGCACATGATTGCATATCAATAATAGCATTAAATATGGATGAATGAAACAATTGAATCAAAAGGCAGAGATTGGTGGACTATAAAAAATATGATCCAACTATAAGCTGCCTACAAGAGACACATTAGACTCAAAGATACAAATACATTGAAAGTAAAAGAATGAAAAAATATCATGCAACAGCAACCACAAAAAGTTTGGAGTGACTATATTAATACCAGACAAAATAGACATTAAAACAAAAAGTGTTACTAGAGATAAAGAGGGCTATTTTACAATGACAAAAGGATCAATCCACTAGGAGGATTTAACTACTATAAACATATATGTGTCTAATAACAGAGTACGAAAATACATGAAGCAAAAACAATCAGAGGTTGGAGAAATAGACCAACAATACGAGTTGAAGACTTTAATACTCCTCTTTCAATAATGTGTAGAACAACTATGCAGAAGATCAAAAAGAAAATAGATGACTTGAACAATACTATAAGTCAACCTGATGTAGCCATCCATAGAACACTCTACCTAACAACAACAGAATATACATTCTTCTAACATGCACAGGGAACATTTTCAAGATAGAACATAAGCTAGATCATAAGGCAAATCTCAATAGATTAAAAAGGACAGAAATCTCACAAAGTACATTCTCCCACCAAGGGAATAAGATTAGAAATCAATAGTGGGAAAAGCCTCAGCCTGTCACGGTGCCTCATGCCTGTAATCCCACTATTTGCGAGGCTGAGGTGGGAGGATTGCCTGAAGCCAGGAGTTTGAGAGCAGTCTGGGCAACATAGCAAAAGTTTATCTCTAAACATTTTTTTAAAAAATTAGCCAGGCATGGTGGTGAGTATCTGTAGTAGCAGCTACTTAGGAGGCTGAGGTGGGAGGATTGCTAGGGCCCAGGAGTTCAAGGGATGCAGTGACCTATGATGGAACCACCATTGCACCCCAGACTGGACAGTGGAGCAAGACTGTGTCTCTAAAAATAAATAAGTAAATAACGAATGAAAAAATTTTAAAATAGTGAAAAAATCGAAAACCTACAAATATGTGGAACTTAACACACACCTAAATGACCAATGGGTCATAGAAGAAATCAAAGAGGAGATCTGAAAATACTTTGAGATTAATAAAAATAAAGATACAACATGCCAAGATGCAGAAAAGCAGTGTTTAGAGGGAAGTTTATAGCTGTAAGTGACTAGATTAAGAAAGAAGAAGGAACTGAAACTAATAACTTAACCTTCCATTTTAACAAAATAGAAAGAGAAGTGCAAACTAAATCTAAACAAGCAGAAGAGAGAAAATAATAAAAATCAGAGTGAAAATTAATGAAATAGATAATAGAAAAACAAAGAAAAATCAATAGAACTAAAATTCATTATTTGAAACAATCAGTAAAGTGTACAAATCTTTAGCTATATTGACTAAGAT
This sequence comes from Homo sapiens, assembly GCF_000001405.40. Lineage (NCBI taxonomy): Eukaryota > Metazoa > Chordata > Mammalia > Primates > Hominidae > Homo > Homo sapiens. The sequence goes on from NC_000009.12 coordinate 69,941,085, forward strand.
AAAAGGGAGATGCCTGAAATTAAAATCAGTAATAAAAGTAGGATCATTCCTACTGTATTGACTTTACAGAGATGAAAAGGTTTGTAAATAAATATCATAAATAATTGTAAGCCTAAAAATTAAATAGGTGAGATGAAATGGACAAGTTCCTAAAGAGACTCAAACTATTGAAAATAACTCAAAAATAAATAGATGCTTGAATAGACATATAATGAATGAAGAGATTGAGTTTTGGAAAACAAAAACAAAAACAAAAACAAAAAACCACAAAGAAAAGCCCAGACCCAGATGGCATCACTGCTCAATTCTACCAGACATTTAAGATTTAAAGAAGAATTAATGTCAATTCTCCAAAACTCTTCAAGAAAATAGATGAGGAAACATTTCCCACCTTGTTTTATGTTCCCTGTATTGCTCTGATATCCAAACCAGAAAAAGACATCCCAAGAAAACTATAGACCAATTTCTTATGAATATAGACGCAAAAGTTCTCAACAAAATATTAACTAAAAGAATTCAGAAACTTATAAAATAAATTATACACGTGACCAAGTGAGATTTATTCCAAGAATGCAAGATTGGTACAGTAGTGTAATACAACGTATTAATAGAATAAAAACAAAAAAACACACAATCATCTCAATTAATACAGAAAGAATATTTGACAAAATTTAACAGCATTCCATGATTTAAAAACTATCAACAATGAGAAATAGAAGAAATTTTTTTCAACCTGATGAAGGGCATCTACAAAACCTGACATTATTATATAGCTAACATTATACTTAATGATAAAAGAGTGGCAACTTTCTCCCCAAGATCAGGAACAAGAGAACGTCAACTCTTACCACTTCTATTTAATATTGTATTGGAGGTTCTAGCCAGGGCAATTAGGCAAGAAAATGAAATAAAGGACATTCAGATTGGAAAGGAAGAAGTAAAACTATTTCTATTAGTAGATAACATAGTCTTGTATGTAGAAAATCTTAAGAAATCCACCCAAAATGATTAGAACTAATGAACAAGTTCACCAAATTTGCAGGATACAAATTAGTTGTATTTTTATACACATGCAATGAATGATCCAAATGGAAACTAAGAAAACAATACTGGCTGGGTCTGGTGGCTCATGCCTGTAATCTCAGCACTTTGGGAGGCTGAGGCAGGAGGATTGCTTGAGCCCAGGAGTTCGAGACCAGCCTGGGCAACAAAGTGAGACCCTGTCTCTAAAGAAAAAAAAAAAGGAAAAGAAAACAATCCCATGCATTAAAAAGAATAAAATATTAAAATACTTAGGAACAAATTTAACAAAAGAAGTGTGGTATTTATACCCTGGAAACTATATAGATAGATAGATGGGAATCAACCCATATTCATGCATCAGAAAACTTAATATTGTTAAGATGGCAATATTCCACAAACTGGTCTACAGATTCAACACTACTCCTATCAGAAGCCCTGTGGATTTTTTTTTTTGTAGAAATTGACAAGCTGATTGTAAAATTCATGTATAATTGCAAGGAAACAAACATAGCCAGAAAAATCCTGAAAAAGAATAAAATAGGAGGACTCACACTTCCCAACCTCAAAACATACCACAAAGCAATGGTAATGAAGACTGGCAAAACAATAGATATATGGACCAATAGAATAGAATGGAGAGTCCAGAAATAGATGCATACACTTATGGTCAACTGATTTATGACAAGGGTGCCATGACCTTTCAATGGGAAGATAAGAATCTTCTCAACAAATAGTGCTGGTACAACTGGATAACTGCAGATGAAGGAATAGAGTCGGACTCTCACCTAACGCCATAAAAAAAAAAACAGCTCAAAATAGATCAAAGACCTAGATATAAGAGCTAAAATGATAAAATCGTTAGAAGAAAACATAGTATATCTTCATGACCTTGAATTTGACATAGCATTCTTATATATGGCACCAAAACCAAGGACAACAAAAGAAAAAATAAATTAATTGGACTTTATCAAAATTAAAAAATTTTATGCATTGCAGGACACTGTCAGGAAAGTGAAAGACAACTCACAGAATGGGAGAAAATATTTGCAAATCATACATCTGATAAGGAATCTGTATCTAGAATGTAAAGAACCTTTATGACTCAATGTAAAAGTAAAATAACCCGATTAGAAAATGGGCAAAGGGTCTTAATAGACTTTTCTCTAGAACCATATTCAGATGGCCAGTAAGCACATGAAAAGATGATTTACATCGTTAGTCATCAGGGAAATGCAAATTAAAACCAGAACGAGATATTACTTCACACTGACTGGGATGGCTAGAATAAAAAAGTTAAATAATGACAACAAATGTTGCTGAAGATGTAGAGAAATTGGAACCCTCATATACCACCAGTGGGAATGTAACATGGTTCCACTGCTGTGGAAAACAGTCTGGCAGTTCCTGACATAATTAAACATAGAGTTACCATATGCCCCAGCAATTCTAATCCTAGGTATATAAGAGAAAAGAAAACATATGTCCATGCAAAAACTTAAACACAAATGTGCATAGCAGCATTATTCATAATAGCCCAGAGGTGGAAATAACTCAAATGTCTATCAGTAAATGAATAAACAAAATGTGGTATATTCATACAATGGAATATTATTTCAGCCAATACAATGGAGTACTAACACCTGCTATAATTTGGATAAACCTTGAAAACATGCCAAGTGAAAGAAGCCACTTACAAAAGACCACGTCAGTTGATTCCATTCATATGAAAGCCCAGAATACAGAAATCTATGGAAACAGAAATTGGATTAGTGTTTGCTTAAGGCTGAAGAGGGAATGGGTGGATATGAGGGTGGTATCTAGAGACTGTAACCATTTGGAGTTTCTTGTTGATGTGATAAAAATGTCATAAAATTGACTGTGGTGAAGGTCGCACATATCTGTGAATATACTAAAAACCATTGAAGTGTAGACTTTAAATGAGTGAATTGTATGGTTTGTGAGTTATATCTAAATAGAGTTGTTTAAACATAAATGAAAGGGTTGATGAGAAAGGGAAGAGAAACAGATGAATAAAATATGTAAAATAATGCGGTACTAAAACCTAGGAAAATATTGGCCAGTGTGGGCTTTTCAGAGGCAGTGAGGGAAGGATGCTTCATCACTGGGTTACCTGTGACCTTTATTGAAATGCTGAAGTCACACTGAAAATGATAAATATACATGCAGATTTACCTCCTTAATATATTGAAATAGAAGAAATTCAGAAACAGAGATTATAAAGCTTTCTTATATTTATTTAAGTGTCCACAGTCTTCCCAGGGTTCCAAAGCATTTGCACATCCTGCTTAAAACTTATAGTGTCCTTGTAAGGTCCAGTGGTAATTAAGAATTATCACTGTTGTATTTAGAGAAAGAAGGCATAGAAAATTTATGATTTTACCCTGCATATATTCCTGGATATTATTTCATTTTAAAAACTTATGTTGTCCTCCAATAAAAAGTAAGCTCCATGATTCATTTATTCAACAAATGTTTATCAAAACCCTGAAGTGCTCCAAGCACTGTTCTATGTGCTTGGGGTACCTTAGAGACCAAAACACAAAATTGTATATCCTCATGGAAGATGCATTCTGTTAAGGGAAAACAGACAACAATCAATAAACATAATAAATAAATAGATTGTAATGTGTGTTTGAAAGTGGCTAGTTTTATGGAGAAAATAGACCATGAGAATATTGGCTTACTGTGTTTTTATCTGTGCCAACCCTGGTACCCAGAGGAGCACTGGTCCAGAGAAGCACAATGAATATTTGTTGAATAAATGAATGAATGAATAGATGCAGTTCAAACTGTATGTTTGGCTTCTAAAGATTTACAGTTTGTACTTTTGGATTGGTTTTCCTTAAAAAAAAATCACTGTAGCTATAGAAAGAATTTAACATCTGTCCCCCTTCCCATTCGGCTTTGCTCTCTAAGAGGAGGAGAAATGTAGTGGTTAAGCACGAAAATCTCCAGAGCCAGACTGTATGGATTCAAATGCCAGATTTACTACTTATTATTTCTGACAACTTTAATTATGTTTATATCAATTTTAAAATTACATTCATTTCATTCAACTACAATTTAAGGCTCTGTGTTTTGAAGACCTCCTTGCTACAGACACTTTCGATGTTGTGTGTTAACTTCATCTTTATAATTCCCTTGAAATCTTACATGTAATCAACATTTATTATGTGTCAGTTGTTTACAAGAAACTGTACTGGGTCTGTACTGGGTCCTAAAGGTATCATATAATGATGCGCCTGTCATAGGTGATGTTGATGGACCTTTAGGTCTGTCAATTGGAAACTTGATGCATCTAGATTCTATGCAAGATATGAACTCTTTTGTCAGCTAAGAGTGTCTCATTCACATCTAACATCCTCAGAACCTTACACAGTGATTGGTACATATATGGCACATTTTTTTATGAATAAAGAAAAAGTTATGATTTAGTAATACCACTCACATACATACACACACAGCACACATTTGCAACTGATTGGGCATCCTGTTTAGTATATATCTGGGCCTGGGTCTGAGGTTGGCCCACTTAGATCTGGACTCCCTTTCAGAGCAACAAAGTCTACATGGACTTTGTATGTGACTTGTAGCTTGGCAGCAGCCCAGGAAACTGCTTCTCTATCTTAGACATCAGCCAGCCTTGAGGGAAGTTCAGAGAGTAACTCTCTCCTTCCTTCCTTGGATGCACTGTTGCAACCCTCCCTTGTGGGCTGGTTGTTCATTTTTGTGTTTTGGTTACATTCTCTTATTTCTTCATCTTTTTTTTTTTTTTTTGGTTCTGCTTTAAAAGTAAAACAACAGTAGGGTTTGTGAAGACATTGCAGATGGTAATTTATTAGCTGTGATATAATGGTATCAGGAAATAGCTAGCTCTTTGGCTGTTTATTTCCCTCGTGGTGGATGGAAAGAGTAAGTATAGCAATGTTTCAGTTGCTATGGATACCAAGTCTTTGAGATAATAGAATCCTTTTAACATAATCCAGTTCTATTAGATTGGCTTTTCTCTTGAATGTTACATCTACCAAGCATACTTTCTTTTCTCAGTACAAAAATTTATATCCCTTTCTCTCAATATCGGGAAGTGTTATTTTAATTTTTCCTCCAATTTTGCCCTGCAGTTTATCTTTTTCCTATGTCTCCTCTTTCCTACATCAGAAAAGATGACATGGAAAAGTAAACCATATATCTGTCTTTCCCTCTAGCTAAGCGGAAAACTGATTTAGTTTCACACAATTATATGCAAGTACTGCAACATAATTTGTCCAGGTGTGATGTTTAAATCTTTTTAACTCAAACCACAAAAATGGGGTTAATTATAAAAGGCATATAAACATCTCCTCAACATTCCATTGGTTCATTGAGTCAGATGTCTTCAAAATAGAATCTCTTTGGGATGTATAATTTTGAGTACAGCATTAAGTAAATGACTGTTGCAGAGGAAAAAAAAAGTCAAGTGTTCAAAAGAAAACTCAAAAAGTGGCAGCTCATAGTTCATGGATATAAGAAAATTCTACTCCCATGTGTGAAGTAGTCAGACTCCTTGCTAAAAACATACATTTTAAAAAGTCTAAAATGTTAGTTAAATCATAATTCATCTTTTTTTTGAGAAATCATTTTAGTAAATTTATAACAACACTAATTTTTTGAACTCTTGCTTCGGTCTCTCATTCCTAATTCTATCTTGTATTTATCTTTACAGAGGGATTCAGTTCATTATATACATTTGAAATTCTGTGCAATAAATATTTTTTTGCACTGTCATGCTAGAATCTGTCATGCTGAAGAAGAAATGGCCAGTGTATGTGTCATGAGGCTGGATTTTAGTCCCAGCTCTTCCTGTGCTTGTGTGGCCTCAAATGAGTCATTTAACCTCTTGGGTCTTAATTTCATCATCAAAAATTCGAGGTCAGACTACATTATTTTCCAGAGCCCCTTGACATCCCAAAATGTCTACATTGCTTTGAAATCTATCCACATCTCCAACTGATTTCCAGCATCAAGGTTAGAAACTGTTTTAAATAGGCTTACTGAGTTCAAAACCAAATAGAAAAGAGAAAGTCTTAGAAGTACAAGCCTGCCAGCAACCTTATTTCCATCCTGCACTGTACTGACAAGAATTTTAAATTTACAGTGGAAAACAGGAATTAGACCATATTTAGGTAGCTAGTTTCAAAACCTTTATTGTTGGTGATATTTTCTCCAGATGGAAAGTAGGTATGTAAAAGTAATCTTGGCTACAGCTAATATTTATTGTTCCTGTAGTAAATTCCAGACACTTTGCTGAGTGCTTTGTGTGGTTCAGCCCATCAAGCCTCGCAGCAACACTATGAGGCAGGTATTATAATGTTCATTTTATACATGAAAATGAACACAATAAGGAATGAAAATCTAAGTCGTTTGTCCTAAGTGGCTCAACTAGTAATTGGCAGCCCCAGGATTTAAATTCATGCTGTCTGACTCTGTCTAGAGTATATAAATACTATAATGCACAGATTTTTTTTTTTTTGGTGCATGTGTGGCTTATACAGTTGTTCCTTGAACAACACGGGTTTGAATTGTGCAGGTCCACTTATATTTTTTTCCATCAACTGCAGATTGAAAATACAGTATTCAAGGGATGTGCAACCTGTGTATACAGTGGGCTGACTTTTCCTATATGTGGGTTCTGCGGGGTCAACTGTGGGACTTGAGAATGTAGCAATGGTCCTGAAAAGAATCCCTCATGTATATCGAAGGATGATTGTATATTCTTTTTTGTTGTTGTTTTGATTTGCTTTGAGACACAGTCTCACTCTGTTTCCCAGGCCAGAGTGCAGTGTCATGATTGTAGCTCACTGTTACTTTGACCTCCTGGGTTCAAGCAGTTCTCCCACCTGAGCTTTCTGAGTAGCTGGGACTAGATGCTCATGCCACCATGCCCAGCTAATGTCTTCCTTTCAAAATTTTTTGTAGAGACAAAGTCTCCCTATGTTGCCCAGGCTGGTCTCTGACTCCTGGCCTCAAGCAATTCTCCTGTCTTGGCCTCCCAAAGTGTTGGGATTATAGGTGTGAGCCATCATGCCTGACCTATATATTCTTTATATGTTCTGACAAAAACTCATTATCTCCTTTGCATTCCCCAATCCAGTTCTTCTCTGCATGCCTGATCTCAGTGAAAGGCACTACTTGCACTAATGACACAAGACAGACACCTGGAAATTACACTTGATACCTCCCTTCCCCTCACTTCACTTACCATCCATGCAACCCATCACTAAGTCCTATCAACGACATTTATTAAATAGCTCTCAAAATGCATGTATCAAAGTCCCAGAGAAAACCTGGAATACTAAAAGAATTTTACCTAAGGGATTTTAATGAAGGGACTATGTATAGATATGTGGGAAAACCTAAGAATCTGCAAGAAATGGTGGAGCACCAGTGGACTAGCAATAGTGGATGCTGTTAGCATCTTTATGGGTTGAATTGTGTCCTCCCAAAAAAGACATATTGGAGTCCTAAGCCCCAATATCTTGGAATGTGACTTTATTTGGAGATAGATCCTTTTTACAGAGGTAATCACTTTAAAATGAGATCATAGGGTGGATACTAATCCAATATGACTGATGTCCTTATAAAAAAGGAAAATTTGGATACATAGAGATACACATACACAGGGATACTGCCATGCGAACACAAAGGCAGAGATCAGGGTGGTGCGTCTGGTATGCCAAGGAACACAAAAGATTGTCAGGAAGCCACTAGGAGAGTGGCATGGGACACATTCACCCTCACAGCTGTCAGAAGGAACCAACCTGCCAGCTCCCTCCCACAATTTTTTTTTTTTTTTTTTTTTTTAGACAGGGTCTCACTCATGGCCAGACTGGAGTGCAATGGTACAATCATAGCTCACTGCAGCCTTGAGCTCCTGCACTCAAGCCATTCTCCTGCCTCAACCTCCCAAGTAGCTGGAACTGCAGGCATGAGCCCCTGCACCCAGCCCGGATGACATCTTGATCTCAGTCTTCTTAATTCTATAATGCTAGTTTGTGGTACTTTGTTATGGCAGCTCTAGCAAACTAATACAGCATCCTTTGGCCTGAAGGTGCATGGGAAGAGGACAGTATTCCAGGAAGCAGGTGAGAGCCATGATGGTAGAAGAGGGACTGCTTCTCAGGGACTGTGGCCAAAGGGAAATGCATTTTTCAGCATTTATTGGCTAGAAATCACCAACTATTTTCTTACTTTGAAATAATTGTGTTTATACAGGAAAGGTGCAATAAATGCTTGATTCTTTTCCTTTGTTTACTAGTTTTCAGAATAATGGCTTGTTTTCCTAGACATTTCCAAAGATGACTGGTTTTTTTCTGCATCATGAACTCATAGATTTTTAACATACCAACCTATTGCAATCTATTGCAAGCATTATCATTTTCTTGCTCACACTGAACTAGTTTTTGGCCAAAAACAGCCACTTCGGGCTGGCTGTTTTGACATTTTTATATAGCCCCAGTGATCTCTGACAGCTTCCTCGCTCTCCAGTATGGCAAGATGCCTGGGCTCAGCTTGATCATTTCTTGTCCCAGACCTGAGAAGAGCCATTTCTCCAAGGAGCTTAGACCAGAGAAAAGCCATTTCTCCAGGGAGCTCTGTCTGGTTCATTTGAGTGGGAAACTACAGTATGAATATCCCTGATTTTTGATGGTGCTTCATCTTGACATCTTCGGAAATGGCAATTGCCTCTTTGGGTGGTGTCTGGTAGGAGGGTATTGTGAGGTGAGGGTTATATGGCTTCTTCCTGTAATTGACAGTTACACAGATTGTTCCTCCCATAAAGGCCTGGTTTGCTGTCATTGCTCTTGTTTTTTTCCTGCTGGATCCGTAGTTTAGGTCAGGAAAACAGAAGTCTCTTTAAAAATTCCAGTTATTACAAATTTTAATAAGGAGATGCCATATGCTGAATTGTCCCTCTCCTCCCTTCAAATTTATATGTTGAAGCCTTAACCCACAATGTGATGGTATTTGGAGATAAGGCACTTTGGGAGGTAACTAAGTTTAGATGAAATCATAAGAGTATGACCCTTACGATAAAATGAGTGCCCTTAAACAAAGAGACACTGAGAGCTTGTGCCCTTTTCCTATTTCTACCCACATGCATCGTGGAAAAGCCTTGTGAGAATGCAGCTGTTTGCAAGCCAGGAAGATGGGCCTCACCGGGAGCTGAATTAGCCAATGACTTTGACCTTTGACTTCCTAGCCTCCAGAACTGTGATAAATAAATGTCTGTTGTTTAAACCACCCAGCCTATGGCATTTTTAAAAATTATTTTTATTGTGGTAAAAAACATATAACATGAAATTTACTGTATTAACCATTTTTAAGTGTACAGTTCAGTGGTATTAAGTACATTCATAATGTCGTGTAGCCATCACTACCATCCATCTCCATTATTCTTTTCATCTTGTAAAACTGAACTCTATAACCATTAAACAATAACTCCTATTCCTCTCTCACCCACTTCCTGGCAACCATCATTCTACTTTTTGTCTTTATGGTTTTGAAAATCTATAGTATTTTGTTATAACAACTTGAGCTAAGACAGAAATGTCCCACTTCTGGTATCAAAATCTGTATTAGTTAGAGTTCTCCAGAGAAACAGAACCAATAGGATCTATCTATGTATGTATCTGTCTGTCTGTCTGTCTGTCTATCTATCTATCTATCTGTCTATCTATCTATCTATCTATCTATCTATCTATCTATCTATCTAGATGTATACAGGAAGTGATTTATTAAAAAGAATTGGCTCATGTGATTATGGAGGCTAAGAAGTCCCATGATCTGCAGATGGCAAGCTAGCGACGCAGGAGAGCCAATGTTGTAGCTCCAGTCTGAGTCTGAAGGCCTGAGAACCAAGAGAGCTGATGGTGTAAGTTCCAGTCTAAGTTCAAAGACCTGAGAATGAGAAGAACCAATAGTGTAGGACCCAGTTTGAGTACAGGAGAAGACTGATGTCTCACCTCATGTAGTTGGGAAGAGAGAGAAATTCTCCATTTCTCTGCTTTCTTATTCGGCCCCTCAATGGATTGGAAGAGACCCATGCACATTGAGGAGGGCCATCTTCTTTACTCAGTCTACCAATTAAAATGCTAATCTCATCCAGAAAATCTCTCTCACAGACATACCCAGAAATAATGTTTAACCAAATATCTGGGTACCACATGACCTGGTCATGTTCACTCATAAGAAATTTACATGGAAAATGGAACAGTGTTGGAAATGGGAATGGAAGAAGTCCATGGAGCCTTGGGGCAGGACTTTGGAGATAAAATCTTATCCCTCCTGTCCCTTTCCACATCACTTTTGAGGTTCCAGTTTGTGTCAACCAAATGTAACTCCAGAAAATCAAAGAGAGGAGATGGCTAGAAGAGTATCCTATTCGGGAGCTTCCCACAAGATGACCTTCTTTATTTTAGTCAATTTCTGCAATAGCGGCTGCAACCACAAACCACAAAAATCTTTACATGTATTGTTGAAAAGCTACATATGGGTAGGTTTAATGAGTAAGATATGGACCCTGCCTTGCAAAAATTCTCAATGAAAGAATGAGATCTGCTGATACTCTATTGGCTTTCATTGTCAGAGTTATACTACTGGTAATCAGTGCAGGGACCAGGAGAAAACTTTCCCTTTGACTTCTTATGGTTTGTTGAAAAGTCAATGGACAAAAGGCAGATTAATAAAGAAAATGCATGTAAGTGCAGTAATGTGTACAGGAGTCATGCAAAATAAAAGAAATCTTAATAATCCTAATTTCCAGTGAAAAACTTAGGAAGTAAGCAATCTTACTTGTAATGTACCAGATGCAGAGCCCAGGACAGAGGATAGAGCTATGGAAACAATGCTTGGAAGATCTGACGTCTTTCAGCATGGACAAGAAACAGAACTGGGCCATCAAGGACAGAATCATATTGAGTGTGGCTGTGCTCTGCAGCTGGTGGTCCAGGCTGCTGTGGACACTATGTATGTTCCCTGGCCTCACCATGGCCACTTCTCTAGACCTCAGAATGTAAAGGCTCAAAACCAAAGACAAACTCACAGACAAATCATAACAAGTATCAAAAAGCCACAGAAACAATAGTTTTATGATCATAAAACTAATCTAGGAGAAACAGAATAAAGTTGACCAGTAGACCCAGGCAAAAAATGTCTAAAATTTTGAAAACATTTCTATTTTATTTTCCCAACAATTTTAAAACTAGCTCTGCTTTCCAAAGATTACCAATGTCTCGTGAACTTGAAAAGCATTTGGGCTAGTTATTTAATTTATGAGTACTCATGTTTTTATAACTTAATTTAACACCATGTATATAATAGACAGCCATGTATGCATGTATATGTAAAAATATTGACGAACACAAATAAAGCCCTTATAACTTTAATTTAAAAATTTTAGTCATGAGATCTATAAAATGTACTAGTTTAAAAGGACAGTTGGATTCAAACTATGCCTTTGTAAATAGAACAAGTTAAAATTTACCTGTCCCACATGGCTGAAATCCTTACTGAGTTTTAGAGAAAACATGTTTAGCAAATTTACATTTTAAAGCACAGAGAGAGACTTTAAGCTTTTATAAGAAGCGATTTGGGTTTGTTAGAGGATGATTTAAGATTGATGCAAAGGTAACACAAAAACTTAAGAATTCACCATAGGATTTTATTAGGAGACCAATTTTACTTAGATAGTTTCTAATTTAGTCTCCATTTTCCAACTGGACCACTGAGCTCAGAGTGGAGCCCATTAATAAATAGAACCAACAAAGCATTTGTGTTTTCAGAACCTGAGAGTTATATATGTGAAAAGCAGGTATAGCTAGAAAACAGAGAATTTAAAACCTCAGAAATTAAGGGTCCCATTTTTACACTGAATCCCAGGTACTCTCCAAATACAAAGGACCATGGGACCAGGCCATGCAATGTTCCACAGTGCCCCTTACTACAAAGACATTTCCCTGAGGCTGGTGGGTGACCCAATGCAAATTAGTCTACTCTGGGATCAGCCCATCCCACTTGGGAGTATTATCCCTCATTAGTGAACATTAGTTCCTCATTAGCTCCAAGTATCCTAGCTCCATGTCTTTCTTACTTAAACACACAAAGTAATGAATAGCTCCCCATATTGACAATCATTCACTGTAGCACTGTCAGCCACCCCCAAAACTGCAGGCCTCGCCAGTGACTTGTCAGCCATCACACACACAAATGTCAAGTGCTCTCTCATGGTACAAAGTAATCCCTGATACCCTAAAACATAAAGACATCAGGGAACTCAGTGCAAAAGAGAACAGAGGTTTAGACCTGTGAGAAACCTGCCCATGACTTTTGGAATTACACAAGGAAGTCAGAAGACCTCCCCACCACTCCAAAAAAAGAAGGTGTGTGATGCCTTTTTCTGTGTTACTCATGGGGATCTCAGAATCATCAGAAGCTCCTTCCTAGGTCCCTTCATGTGGTATCAAAGATAGCAAAGAGGAATAAGGGGCAGAAGTAAATGGGAGAACAATTCTTAGAGGAGCCAATATGAGGAGATTTTAAGCTTTCTGGAAAAGCCAATGACATTTTACATTTTTTTCTGGCAAAAATCATATCAATAAGAAAGGAAGCAGACAGAGGGACCAAACATATAATTTATGAAAAGTTTTAGTCAACTAAAAAATATTCCCAGAAACACAATCCAACAGAGAGCCTGAATATTAATTTTTAATTAAGTTGACTTCTGACCATAGAGAGTTTAAAACAAATCTTTTAAAATTTCTTATTATCAGATTTTATCTGGGACAAGCAGCCAATATACCTGGCTTTTGAACGTCTTTTTTCTTTTCTTTTAAACCAAGGTACCTTTCCAAGTAACTCACCAAAACCAGTAAGCCTTAACCAGTGTTGTGACTTAACTAATGATGCACTAAATATCTCCATATCTCCAAAGAGGTGCAAAGCAGTTCTCACAAGATCCAGATCCACTGCAAAGACAGCTCAAAGAAAAGAAAGCTTTGCTAGCCACAAATGGAGTACAACCCACATTTCTGTCCTGCCATATTCTCTAGGGTCTCAGCTTCTCAGCTGACCATCTACACACAAAGGCCAACCATCCCATGTGCCTACAGATGGAAGATTAAAATAGACAGTAAAACAGGAGATCAAAAGTTGCACATTAAAGGGAAAAGGATCAATAACAAATGGATACCCTCAAAAGTCAAGAGTTATACAAATATCAAACCAAAATTTTATAAATGTTTCTTCTTCTGAGTTAAAGGACTTTTTTTCAGAGACTGGTTCCTTGACTGGGAACCAAACCAGTACCATGGCTGTGAAAGCACAGAATCCTAATCACTAGACTACTATGAATATTGGTGTAACAGTGACAATTATTGTTTTGCTGACTCCTCAAGTGTGCCTTCCATCTTCCTCGCATTCAAATGCATTACTATAAAGTAATAGTTTCAAATGTTTCTTAATTAACAGTGATACCTAGTACTGTGACCAAAATAGAATACTTAAGTTAAGGGATCTTATGGCTCCAAATGAATAGAATAGGTGGCACACTTATTTGAAACATTAAAAGCCTAGGGGATGATTTATGGAAAAATTCATTGGAAACCTCTTTTCGTAAAGTAAAAAAAGGGCATCAATGTGAATAAAAGAAAGCAGGGTGAAAGTATGATTTTTATAACAAGAATGCCCTTCAATTGTAACTTAAATGCTAGCATTTTAAGAGAACCAACATTCTCACCATTGTTTGTTTGCTACTATTCCTACTTTAGTGAGAGGCCTTGTGTTGCCCTAGAAAAGAGTTTGCAATGCCCTGGTACCTTTAAAAGAGTCATGTGCTCTGTAGCATGTCATTCTATTGATTGGAAAACACATCTAATGATGAACAAGAATAATTAGCACTTGGACTTGTGTTTTGTAATGCACATGGTGTTAAGGTACCATCCAGAATACAGAAAAAGCAAATTCACAATCATGAAAATTTGTGTATTTATATTCTGTTGAAAAAAAGAAACATCACAAGTATAATAACTCTAGGCTATAGTTAGTAAATTTTGCTAACAATTACAAAATATTTTTCATTTCTTTTTTTCTCTTTTCTTTTTTTAAAAAACGGGGTCTCGCTCTGTCACCCAGGCTGGAGTGCAGTGGCGCAATCTCAGCTCACTGGAGCCTCAACCTTCTAGGCTCAAGTAGTCCTCCTACCTCAGCCCCCTAAGTAGCTGGGACTACAGGCACATGCCACCATGCCCAGGTAACTTTTGTATTTTTTGTACAGATGGGTTTTGCCATGTTGCCCAGGCTGGTCTGGAACTCCTGAGCTCAGGCAATCCACCCACCTCAGCCACCAAAGTGCTAGGATTACAGGCATGAGCCACTGTGCCCAGCCAAATGAATTGCTTTTTATCAGTTGCATCATTAATGACTAGAACAATGGTTATTATTTTTGATTCTGTAGTTAAAGTGACATAGAATTAATTGTTTGTATTAGTCATTAAAACTGAATTCCATTAAAATTCCTGATTCAACACAGATTGAGCTGTGTAGCAAACACTGGGTCTTCTTTTAGTTCAAAATCCGAATTCCAATCCCAGGCATTACAAAACTTCCCTTTGAATAGTTCTCCTCCTCACTGGTGCTATTTTAGAGGCCTTAAACTTTCATTTTCCCCCTTTACAAGTTAATTTAGTCAGAACAGATGTGTGTGACATCTGTGCACATATGTTCCCTGCAGAATTCTTGGGAGTGGAGGATCAGTCCTGCACCTTTGCATCGGACCCCTTATGATGAACATACTGGAAACCACTGTTTCTGGATCTGAGAAAATATGTTTCCTCCTATCTCTAAAACAATCTGTGTTTTATGTAGCGGACAATTTAATGAGTTGATTTTCTCTTGCTTTCTCTAGCACATTTCACTTTTCCAGCTGGGGTCAAGTTTGGGACTCATTCCCTTCTGGGCCTGGAAGTCAGCCTGGCGGGCCCCGCCCCAGAGCTATGGCCTCCTCACAAAACCAGCTTTGTAACATGGTCCTTGACTGTGGAGAAACCCAACAGAGCAAGAAGTTTCTTTAATCACCTCTTGGGAGCTCTGACAAATGCTCTGAGCATTTTCACCAGGCGTTCTGATTTCCCTGTGAGGTTTCTATGGCTCCCTAGTCAACATTTTCCAATACTGACTTTGGAACCTTTGGGAAAGTGCGTCAAGAAATAATGTCTGTTTTATATGAAAAAATTGTCATTTCAAAAATGGCTGGGAATATCAGTTATATTTGGGAACTCACTGAAATGTCTTATGCTACGGACGGACACATGCTTCTGTATGCTCCTATATGGTCAAGAGTTCCACTACTGATGCTGTCGGTCTGAGGGAGGGTGATGCTCACCACACCACAGTTCGATCAAAGTGCTCCTGATCTGTCAGAGGACCATGGAAAGGGAGGGATGTGGCAAGCCTGAGCCCAGTGTCACCTAAAAACTAGCCCTTTTTTTGTATGCAGATTTTGCAATGCATGAATATCACTCTATTGCTCCATTGGGTGGATCAATTATGTTTTTAAAAATCTTCAAAAGTGTTTCTGCCCAAATCCTAAGTCACAATCTTCTGCAACTCTCCTAAACCTTGTACTGTGTCTGCGATGGCTCAATGTGCGTACTGCAGGGTCAGGTAATCTTAGAACTAAAGGGGAGGAAAAAGAATCTCTCTACCTTTCATGATTCTTAACCAGAATTCCCTATATCAAAAGACAGATTAACAAGAGGAAAACAAACAAGAGTTTATTAATATATAATACCTCTTATATACATGGGAGAAAATTAATAAATCTCTAGAGTAGTTCTCAAAAAAGAGTTAAACCTCTGGCTTAAATACCATCATTTGCTGAAACAAAGAAAGAAGGGTATGAGGAAAGTCCTGCTTAAGATGGCCAGGAAAAACACTGTAAACCAAGCTTGTCCAACCCATGACCCGCGGGCCTCATGTGGCCCAGGATAGCTTCGAATGAAGCCCAACACAAATTCATAAACTTTTTTCAAACATTATGAGATTTTTTTTGTGATTTTTTTTTTTTTCTCATCAGCTGTCGTTAGTGTAGTTTACGTGTGGCCCAAGACAATTTTTCTTCCAGTTTGGCCCAGGGAAGCCAAAAGTTTGAACGCCCGTGCTGTAAAAGAGGTAAGGTTTGTTGTGCAGATTTAAATTGATGCCTTCTTCATGGATAAGAATCTCTAGCGATTTAGTCCTTCTCTTGCTGGTGAAGAGAGGGAGATATCCTTTCAAATAAATGTTTCCTTTATAGATGTAAGTTTCCTTATGGAAGGGCAACTTTGCAGAATTACTCCTATGTCTGAAGTTTCTCAAGATAACCAGCTTACAATAATCAATATGCCAAAGAGACATATTTTGAAACCGCCTTTGCAAAAATTATGACAGTGAGAGAGAGCTGACATAGCTGATTCCATCTTGTTTCTAACTTCACAAGCTGTCTTTGCTCATTCCTAGGCATAGGCAAAGCTAACTATGGGAGAGATTTTGTTCATAGGTTAACTTTAAAACAAAAATGATAATAGCCGTTTCCTAAAATAAACCCCCTCCCTGTGCAGAAACCAAAAGTGCCTTTGTAAAATTCCGCAATGTTAGAATTATGGTTCAGGAGTCATGTATCCAGAGGTCACAAGATTTTTAACCTCCCCAATTGCTCCTATATATAACATCACTATTGTAAAACCTGAAGCTGGTGTTTGAAGTATCTTTTACACCTTGCAACCTTGCTTCTTGACGGACTAGCTGGCACCAGCCACCTAGACCAGTAACCCATACCAAGAAACAGACTCAACCAGTCTGCTAACCTCTGCTCAGGAACCAACTCAGCACAAGAAGAGAGTTTCAACCCCCTATGATTGCATCTCCAACCCAACCAATCATAATTCACCATTCCCTAGCCCTCTGTTCACTAAACTATCCTTGAAAACCCTAGCCTCCAAGTTGTCAGGGAGGCAAATTTGAGAATTATCTCCCATCTTCCTCACTTGGCTAGCTCTGTAACAATTAAACACTTTCTTTTATTTTTATTTATTTATTTTGAGACGGAGTCCCGCTCTGTCACCCAGGCTGGAGTGTAGTGGTGCGATCTTGGCTCACTGCAACCTCCTCCTCCAGGGTTCAAGCTATTTTCCTACCTCAGCCTCCTGAGTAGCTGGGATTACAGGCACTCACCACCACACTAGGCTAATTTTTATATTTTTAGTAGATACGGGGTTTCACCATGTTGGCCAGGCTGGTCTCAAACTCCTGACCTTAAGTGATCCATCTGCCTCAGCCTCCCAAAGTGCTGGGATTACAGGCATGAGCCACCACGCCTGGCCACAATTAAACATTTTCTTTGCTGCAAACACTCCTGCTGTTCTCAGTGCATTTGGCTTTTCTGGGCAGCAGGTAAGAACAACCTGTCAGGTGATTACATTTTGGACTGGCATATTCTGGTCTCCTACCATCATATTTTGGGGTTGTCCTGAACCTTGGAAGAATGACGTATAAAGTATTGGGTTACAGTTCAACAGCCATTGATTTCTAAAGATAGTTGAAGATAATTTAAACATAATTTAGATTTTATAATTACTTCTAGAAGTTATTATTATGAATAGGTAAGAATTACTAAGCTCACTCTATGCAGTAGACATGTACCAAGTACCTCTGTTTTCTTATCTTCATGAAATATTTCCGTGGTAGGTACTATTCACTCTTCTTTTTTTTTTAACTTTTTTATTTTTTGAGACAGAGTCTTGCTCTGTCGCCCAGGCTGTAGTGCAGTGGTAAGATCTCAGCTCACTGCAACCTCCGTCTCCCAGGTTCAAGTGATTCTTGTGCCTCAGCCTCCCAAGCAGCTGGGATTACAGGCATGCACCACCACACCCAGCTAATTTTTGTATTTTCAGTAGAGACAGGGTTTCGTCATGTTGCCCAGGCTGGTCTTGAACTCTTGTCCTCAAATGATCTGCCCGCCTCCACCTCCCAAAGTGCTGGGATTACAGGCATGAGCCACTGTGCCCAGCCGGTATTATTTACTCTTATTTTACAGATGAAAACAAAGATTCAGAGAAGATAACTTAACTGGCTAAGAAGTGGTAAAACTCAATCCTGAACCTAAGGATACCTAAGGCCATTTTGAGAGATTGACCAAAAATGGGAGAATTGTTTTAACTACTGTCAAAAGACAAAATTATAACACATTTAGTTTAAACATCTTAACTGGCTTTTATTTGCAACTTTAAAATTGGGTAGCACCGCATTCTGTAAAATAGAATGAGCATTCAGATAAGCTGAGCAGAAGTTGGTTTTGTAGACAGAAAAGGGCTGAGGAAAGCAGAAATAGAAAACAAAAAGTGGATGCTTGTTTCAAAAGTTACTTTCCTTATAAAGGATAAAGCAGAGGAAACTTCCTTATGATGCCGGCTAACTCTGGCTTAGTTGGGGATTTGACTGTTCTCTCTCACTCTTTTGATTTCTTGGAAGGTCAGATAAATAGTTAATTTAGGCTTGGTGCTGTGGAACTTTAGCATGAGTGACTCCATTTTGGTTTGGGCTGCTGGGCATAGTGCAGAAACTCAGTTCAAACAAAAGTCCTCCTGTAAATTTTATTTAACATTACTGTAACCACCCAATGCGTGCTACTTGCCTGCTCCCCAGATAGAGACAATTTATCAAGGGAGGGGAATTGGAAATAGACACAGAGTTTTATATACATAAAGCCAGCTAATGGGAGACTGGAGTTTTATTATTACTCAGTTCAGCCTCCTTGAGAATTTGGGGGCTAGGGTTTTTGAAAGATAGTTTGGGGGAAGGAAGGGTGTGCAGAAAATAGAAGTGAGGTACAGAAACAGCCGGATTGGTTACAGCTTGGTGTTTGCCTAACTTGAATGCGGTTTGAACAGTTGGCTGCCTGTAACTTGCTGAAACTCCAGTGATTGGTACAAGAGAGGGTTACAGCCTGTTTACACATTAAGTTGGGTTATAGTTCATGATGTAGAGAGAAACCTTTAGGTCAAACTTAGAATATGTACAAAGGAGGTAGTTTTAGGTTAAACTTTATTTAACAATTCTCCCATTTTTGGTCAATCTCTCTAAATTGAGAGGTTGACCACAACTTTAGGCATTGATGTCACTCTGTCACCATCATAAATGTACTTATTGGGTCTCAAATCCCACTGGTAAATAGCAGAAGAGTGATTTTGTAAGGTGGGAACAAGGGCTTCGGGTTACATCTTTGTAAGTGTTGGAGTAGAGGGATCTCCTTGTGCTGGAATCTCTTGTTTTCAGAAGAAAAACAAAACCTGGTCTGTTTTAGGATCTATTTGCTTCCTTAAAGTTTCAGTTTGATAGTCTGGTATGGTCTGTTGGAGCCTAGTGCATAAGCTCAGTCCAAAACAATGGACTCCCATAATTTTCTTTAAAAATTCTTCCCTTTTGGTCAGGTTCTTAGGTGAGAGTGTGACCAAAACTTAGGGCTTTAGTGCTGCTCTCAGTTACCATCATTTTGGGTTTCAGGTCTCAGGACATCATTCATAGGTTATCATGTCCTCAGGGTCACACATTTCTTTGAGTTTTTGTTGTTCCAATCAAAGAGAGACCACTTGACATTCTGTGGATGGCTGCATGAAAACATTTAAAACTTTTGCGATAATACAGTGTACCAGGAAGATAATACCAAGAGTTTGGAGTATGTTCCTTAGCTAGGGTCCCCATGAATAAAACCAACTAAAATTAAGTAGAACAAAGAATGAGCTAGTTACAATCTGCTCTTTTTAACTAAGGAGGCTGTTTTGTTAATTTTCTACAACTGAATCTCTATAATAATCTAGAGCACTTCTATTATCTAGCACAACTTTAGCAAGAGGATTTAAACTGACTTCTCCTACCAACACTGCTGCTATGGTTTGAATGTTTTGTCCCCTCCAAAACTAATGTGTTGGAAACTTAATCATCAGTGCAACAGTGTTGGGAGATGGGGCCTAATGGGAGGTGTTTAGGTCCTGAGAGCTCTACCCTCATGAATAGATTAATGTTATAAAATGGTGAGTTTTGCCCCCCTCGCTCTCTCTCTTTGTCCTTCTGTCATGAGATGATGCAGCAAGAAGGTCCTTGCAAGATGCTGGGACTTCAATATCGGACTTTCCAGCCTTCAGTACTGTGAGCCAATAAATTTCCGTTTATTAAAAATTACCCAGTCTGTGGTATTTATAGCAGCACAAAATGGACTATGACAGCTTCTATTTATTTATTCATTTAATAAATAATCATTAAGCGCTTACTATTGTAAGACACAATGCTAGATACTATAGATACAGTAATGAAAAGACTAAAGGCCCTACCCTTGGGCAGTTTAGACAAGTCAGTAAACTAATAGAATAAGTAGTATTTCAAAAAGTGATAAGTGCAATGAAGAAGACAAAACAGGGTTGGAAAGAGGAGCTATTACAGATTAGGTGGTCGGGGAAGCCCTGTGAAAGAAGTGTCAGGGAGTCAAGAAAGAGCCATCCGTGGAGATCTGGGGAAAAGCATTCTAGGCAGA
This sequence comes from Homo sapiens, assembly GCF_000001405.40. Lineage (NCBI taxonomy): Eukaryota > Metazoa > Chordata > Mammalia > Primates > Hominidae > Homo > Homo sapiens. The sequence goes on from NC_000009.12 coordinate 69,961,726, forward strand.
GGGGTCCATAAAATCAAAGGTCTCAAGATGAGAACGTATCTGGCTGGTTTGAGAAGAAGTCAGAGGCCAGATCATGATGGATCTTGCAGGCTGTGGGAAGACTGGACTTTACTGAAAGCATGATGTGAAACTACTGGCGAGTTTCAAGCAGGGGAGTGGCATGATTGTGAGTTATCTTTTATAGGGACTGTTTAGGCTGCAGGGCATTCAGAAGTCAGACAGATATAGGGCTTTGGGAAAGCTATTCCATCTCTCTTAGTCACAGATTCCTTATCTGTAAAATCAGTAAAATGATAATTGCAGTGTAAGATTGTTGTGAAGATAAAGTGAGACTGGAATCCTGCACACCTCTCTTTACTGATGTAATCATGGCTCACTTAGATGAGTGTGTCTGCACTAAGCCAGGCTAGGCTCACTTAGCCACTTGCAGCATCCAGATGACATCTTCTGAATGATCCTTGCTTTGTCTCTGAGTGGGGAGAGGGGACAGGGATGTAGAATTCAGCTAGGTAGGGAACAGGGGTGGAGATTAGAATAAGAATTTAAATGCATGCTTTATAAACCCTGACAAGTCTGCAAGTCTATATTGAGTAAGGAACAGCTAAACAGGGTTTTTGTTTTGTTTTGTCTTTTTTTTTTTTAGTAGCAGGTAGATGCAAAATAATCCTATTATTCTTGTGAAAGCCAGAATGAAAGAAGAAAAAGAAAAAGAAAGGAAGAGAAAGGAAGAAAGAAGAAAGAAAGAGAAAAGAAAGAAAGAGAGAGAAAGAGAGAAAGACAGACCTACATTGCAGATAAGTTTGGGCTGAAGAAATAACCTCACAGATAAATTTTTTGATCTTCTTTTGAAGGAGTAATAGCTTTTTATCCCTCTTGCTTAGGGAAGTTCTTCCAGTTTAGGTTTAGGTAAGGGAAACCTGGCCTAGAAAAACTCTAGAAAGTGATAAGAAGCTTCAGTTTTTCAGAATGTCTGAAGGTTCCCCTCGCCCCCTACTTGGTAGGGTGTCAGATGAGATATCCTATACCTAGTACAGCACCTGACGTAGCAACAACCCTATGAAGTTGATATTATCTCCCTCATTGTACAGATGTTGAAACTGAGGCCCAGAGAGCTAAGTAACTTGCACACAGCTGGGAGTAATGCATCTAGTACTGAAAGCAAGTTCTATTTGACTCCAAATCCCATACTTGTAAGGCACACAGTAGGTATATATCAGCATTTTCATATGGTTTGACCTATACCAAGTAACAATTTCTGAACTCAAAATATTTGAATATTTTTGAATAAAAAATAAACTCTTCTGTTACATTTTATTTTTTTCTTTTCTTCTTCTTTTTTTTTTTTTGAGATGGAGTCTCACTCTGTCGCCCAGGCTGGAGTGCAGTGGTGCAATCTCGGCTCACTGCAAGCTCCACCCCCCTGGTTCAAGTAATTGCCCTGCCTCAGCCTCCCGAGTAGCTGGGACTATTGGTGTGCACTACCATGTCCAGCTAATATTTTTGTATTTTTAGTAGAGACAGGGTTTCACCATGTTGGCCAGACTGGTCTCAAACTTCTGACCTCAGGCAATCTGCCCGCCTCAGCCTCCAAAGTGCTGGGATTACAGGCGTGAGACACCACGCCTAGCCTGTATTTTCTATCCCCTGTAAATTCATTCCCTGCTTGGGTAGGGAAAAACACATGTAGATTTTATAATAGATATTTTTAGATTTGAGATCTGTAATCTTCTGTTCTTCTAGAAATAAATATTCCTGACACATTAAAAAAATCAGGTTCATTTAATTTCTTATTAACAATACAACATGTTGTTGAAATTGTGCAAGAGAATAGGTTTTCTTTGTGTGGAATTAACTTATGAGACTGGCTCAGGCAAACGTATTTCAGATTCATTTTTGTTGATTAAGAGAACCAGCCAAAGTCAGATGGCAGAGAAGCTTCACATGCCCAAAGTGTGTTTTCTATTCAGAACAGTGCCAGAAATCAACAATTAATAAGGCCTACCTTGGCTTTTTGCCTTGTAGTAGCTCAGGTCAGATTTTGCATCTTATTGGGTCTGACAGACATTTCTCTGCCATGTGACTGTTTCTGTGATCTCAGGAAAGTTTGTCTTCCTACCCTTGAATTGACAGTGTCGGACCCAGGGCATTAGGACTGAATAAGGAATTTGTGTATGCGAGAGAGAGAGTGAGGGAAAGGAGAGAGAGACTGTGTTTTGGGAGTGGGGAGAAAATGCATATTTTAATTTTGAGAGACACAACGAGCTAATTCGTTATCATGTAAATGCTGGTCTGTGGCAGCCCTTTGTGGCATTTAGCCTACTAGTAAGAGCTTTTGCTTTCATTTATTCCCGTTCTAGCCGTTTGTGTAAATGACTAAAGCAATCAACTCCTTGGTTTACTGCTGTTCCCAAGGCGTACGCAGGAGAAAGTAGAATGAAACAGAGAGCTGTTTTTGAGACTAGCCGAGGGGATATCTAACCTCCATCTTTGCATTTTAAAAGAGGGATGTAAAAGCAGCCTCTTTTTTTCTGGTTAGTTCTTGCATATTTGCCAACAGAAATGAGGCACTAATGATGGTGGGTGAGACAGTGGCTGCCAAGGCTGTTTGTCCACAAAAGGTATGTCATTGCATCTCAGACTTGCTCCTCAGCACTCATTTTTATTCTCCGGGACATATTATTGTAATGTAAATGAAACCTACTTGCTACAAGCTGAATGTTTGTGTCTCTCCAAAATCTATATGTGGAAACCCTAATCCCCAATATATTTGGAGGGTTAGTTCAGATCATGAAGGTGGAGACCCCATGATGAGATAAGCGCCCTTGTGAGATGAAGGGACCAGAGCACCCTCTCTGCCATGGGAGGACACAGCTGTCTGTCAGCCAGGAAGAGGGCCCTCACCAGAGCCTGCCCATGCTGGCACCCTCATCTCAGACCTCCTAGCCTCCAGAAATAAATTTCTGTTGTTTAAGGCTATGGCATTTTTTAATAACAGGCCAAACTGACTCCTCTCAAACCAGCTTAAGCAAAAGGGCTTGTAGAGGAAGAAAAATAATTTTTTCTTCAACCCTCATGAGTTCTTGGTTTGAACAGACCCAGGTGACAAAATACAGATTGAAAAGAGAAAAACAAATAGAAGTCTATTAACATGTATATTTTACATATACATGGGAGACACCCAGGAATGAATAGTTCTCAGAGGTGGCTTTGAATTCAAGCTTATATAGCATCTTCAACAAAGAATACAGATTGCTAGAAAAGTGATAAGATAAAGGAAAATGAGTTTCTAGGGGCAGTAAATTGTGGGAAGGCAAATAACTGGCAGTTAAAGGTGGGTCAGTAAAGCTCCTTCATGTAGATTCTCCTGGTATCATCTGCAGGTCAGTACGTGCAGAGTTCTCTGCAGTGGTTAACCTTGTTTTTCCTGGGGAGAGAGAATACCTTTGTCTTTGTAAATCTATGCCCTGCTTTTAGGCAAATAAAGGGAGTGCAGAGAGCTTTCCTGAATCTGCTCCTTCTTAATTGCCCTCAGTTCAACCATTGTTCACATTTTGGGGTGGGGGCATATTCTGGTCTCCCACAGGCATAAAGGACTTTATTAAAAGGCCAAAGAAGTAGTTTAGAATACTGCAGGTCGGAGATGGAGCTAAGCCAGGAGCAGATTGGAACCAAGGCCTGAAACACAGACGTCTGCTTCACTTTGCATCTGCTTCACTCTTCTCTGTCTTCCTGTAGAAGACAGAGAACTAACTTCCTCTGCTTTTCTGGTTCACTTTATGGAAAACTAGTCTTCCAACAGCTTTTGAGTCTAAATATTATTGTTGTGACTCTCCAGGGAGATCTCCGTCACACACCCACACCAATTCCAAATTCCTAAAGAAGAGACTGATTTCCCAGTCTGGGTCAATTGCCCAACCCAGACCCATCAGCGATGGCCACGGCATTAGAAAAGTTCATATTGCACGAAAGGCTATGTAGAGCTCCATAGCTATGACCATGAGGATGGAGGTGTGAGGGGAGAAGTCATTGGAGAAGAGGGAATCACTGTAAACTGGAGCAAAAACTCAATAGGCATTCATTTCATGAGTTGGTTTGGGATGGTGTATTTAACTATGAATGACACCTTAGGACTTTCCACGGCACCATGGAAGTAGATAACTGTACAGTGGTTGCTCTGCTCAGACAGGCTGACCGTTGTAACTCCAGTCACATTTCTTATGAGTGTGATATGTTCTGCTTGTTTTGAGTAACATTAGTAGTAGTCACCTCATCAGAAAGTTATTCACTGAAGTTTTAAAGAGGCCAACTGAAGCAGCAATAGCTTTTGATGGTGAGCTTGAGAAAGAAAAAAATTCTGGGAAAAAAGGTGTGGGATTTCCCTGTTTAATTTAATGCCACAAAAGCCCAATATTAAGGTTCAAATTGAATAAAATTTGTGTCCTCCATGGCCAACCTTGGAGGAAGATTATCCTACAAAGGTCAAATGGCTGGACTTTGTGGATCTGAATCTTGTCTTCTATGATCTCTCCTTTAAGGATCCCCTATGATTTTCTATTGTTACCACCATTCTGTTTGGGATGGGTGAGATCTGCTCAATTTTTAATGCTTCAGCTCAATGATGAACACATGATTTCCCAGAACATTCCAAAATTCAGTGGTGGTAAAGCTGGGACATTCAACAAGACTGTACTAAACATCAAGAGAAATGAGATAATATAGTTTACAAAACACAGTCACCTCTTATGAACATTTGAAACAGTGTGCTTTCCATTTATTTCTATTTTTGTATTTCTGTCCTTGCTTTCACAGTATTGAAGAGTGTAAGGAGCACATGCAGAAGAGCACTGTGGGCTCCCTCCACACTCAAGTTACTAGGCGATGGGGGAGAAAACCTGTCATCAGAGAATGGCCAGGAAGAGTAGCCCTCCCTGTCCCATGTGGTTTCTGCCATTATGTGTGTGTGTTTTAAAATCTCTGTGAAGTTCACTTATATCATCGCACTCATTGTTAATGCTGCTGTAAAAATTTAAAAAGTGGCTTAACACAAATGTATGTATGTATGTATATATTTATTTATTTATTTATTTTTTGAGACAGAGTCTTGCTCTGTTGCCCAGGCTGGAGTGCAGTGGCACAATCTCGGCTCACCACAACCTCTGCCTCCCGGGTTCAATTGATTCTCCTGCCTCAGCCTCCCAAGTAGCTGGGACTACAGGCACACACCACCACGCCCGGCTAATGTTTGTATTTTTAGTAAAGATGGGGTTTCACTGTGTTGGCCAGGCTGGTCTTGAACTCCTGACCTCATGATCTGCCTGCTTTGGCCTCCCAAAGTGCTGAAGGCGTGAGCCACCGTGCCCGGCCTTATTTATTTATTTTTTTTAGAGCTAGGGTCTCACTGTGTTGCCCAGGCTGGACATGAACTCCTGAGCTCAAACAATCCTCCCACCTCCTCAGCTTCTCGAGTAGCTAGAATTACAGATGTGTGCCAGTGCACCTGGCCATCTCAAATGTATTATCTTGGAGTTCTGGAGGTTAGAAATCTGCCACGGGTCTCACTGGGCTAAAATCAAGGTGAGGGCTGTTTTCCTTTCTGGAAGCCCTAGGAGAGAATATGTTTCTTTGCCTTTTTAGCTCCTAAAGGACATCTCCATTCTTTGACTGATGGTCTCTTCTGTCTTCAAAGCTAGCAATGCTGTATCTCTGGGCCCTTCTTCTGTGGTCACATTCCCTCTGACCAGTGGGAAAGGCTCCCAGATTTTGCTAACTCGTGTGATTGGGCCCATCTGGATAACTCAGAAAAAATACCTCATCTCAGGGTCTTTAGTCACATCTGCAAGGTCCCTTTTACCATATAAGGTAACATATTCATAGGTGCTGGGGATTAGGATGAGGACATCTGTGGAGGGCCATTATTCTGCCCACCATGGTTGTGCAAACCACTTTTGAGTGGAAGAAAAGAATTCTATCTGAAACAAAAAATGACTGCAACATCTTCTGCTTTCTAGGAAGGGGATGTAATTCTTCAGGGTAGATTTTTTTTTCTTAATTTTACTTTTCTTAGGAAAACACTATGATGCTCTCGAGGTCTTTTTAGTGGTGAAAGGCAAAGCCTTCCTGGGCTTGGATAAGATGGGACTTGTTTAGAAGGAGAAGCAAATTGTTCCAGATAATAAAGTATCAGGGACTTTGGGAAGCTTCACAGAAACACACACATCCAATATGCATCATGATCCCCGGCCACTCGTCTACATGCTGAAATTAAAGAACTGCTAATTTAGACTCCAGTGAGACTGGAATTCTACAATCCCTCTTTTTTCATGATCTTTTATAGGAGCACTTCTCTTGACCTTCTTACTTTAGGTTGCCCACATGCAATTTTACATCAAGGAAGGCATAAAGTGAGGCCTTTGCCTTAGCTTAGGGTTTACAGAGATTCTTCCTATGCCCTGTTCCAAGGGGAAATCTCCCACCCACTGCCTTGCAGGTTTTGGTCAAATATTAAACACAAACACACAGACTACTGGGGACATGGGGAAGGGGAACATGTTAGTGTATTAGTTACTTCTTTGTAGCTCATAATTTTTGTTTTATGAATCGGGGAACATTTTTCTCTCCCCAACTCCTGTGATCCTACATCTTTATTCATGCAGTTATCCCTCCTTGGAATATCCTCCTTACTTCTACCATCTACCTGAATTCATTCATCTTTTGAAGGTCTGGTTCAGGCCTGGGCTTCTCCCTCTATAGCATCCTCTGTTTGTACAAGAACAAGTGATACACTCCCTTCTTCGAACCATGATTCCTCTTAGCATACCACTTCTCACTTCGTCATCAAAGATTTTTCTCTCAGCATTTTGGGAAGCCAAGGTAGGAGGATAACCTGAGGCCAGGAGTTTGAGACCTGCCTAGGCAACATAGCAAGACCTCATTTCTCCAAAAAACTAACAAAAAAAATTAGCCAGATGTGGTGGCTGGCACCTGCAGTCTCAGCTACTTGGTAGGCTGAAGTGGGAGGATTGCTTGAGCCCAGGAGTTCGAGGCTACAGTGAGCTATGATTGCAACACTCCATTCTAGCCTGGGTGACAGTGAGTCCCTGTCTCAGGAAAAAAAAAAAAAAAAAAAAAAGCAAGGAAAGAAAAAGAAAAAAAGATCCCCCCCATCTTTTTTTTCTTTTTAAGGAGATATTTTGGGGGGGTTTCTGAGTGCCTGAACCATGCCTTATGCATTTAAATTTTCATGGTGCCTGGCACACAGTACATAATAATTGTTGGCTGTAGTAGACAACTCTTATTTTCTTTGCACAGAACATTTTCCTTTGTCTAAAAATAGCGTTCCTGCCATCATGGAGAGGGGAGAAAGACAATAAGCATAAGTATGTAAATAATATTATAGGCCAGGTGCGGTGGCTCACGCCTGTAAGCCCAACACTTTGGGAGGCCGAGGCAGGCAGATTGCCTGCGGTCAGGAGTTCGAGATCAGCCTCACCAACATGGTGAAACCCCGTCTCTGCTAAAAATGCAAAAATTAGCCGTGGGTGGTGGCAGGCGCCTGTAATCCCAGCTACTCAGGAGGCTGAGGTGGGAGAATCGCTTGAAAACAGGAGGCGGAGGTTGCAGTGAGCCAAAATTGTGCCATTGCACTCCAGTCTAGGTGACAGAGCGAGACTCCATCTCAAAAAAAAAAAAAAAAAAAAATTAAAAAAAGGATATGATAGAAAGCAATGTGTGAATAGAGAAAAAACTAGCATGAAGCAGGATAAGAAGAACTGTGAGTGCCAGGGGAGGGAAACAGGCTGCGATTTTAAATGGGATGGTCAGGGTAGGCCTTGCTGAGAAAGTGAAATCTGGGCAAGGACTTGAGTGAGGTAAGGAAGAGAATCCTGTGGCTATCTCAGGGAAGGATGTTCCAGGCACAGAGAACAGCCTGCCCAATAGCTGGAGTAAGAATGGGCTTTGGTATCCTTAAAGTGGAGCAAGGTGAGCAAGTGGGTGAGAAGTAGGAGATGAAGTCAACAAGTCATTAGGTGGCCAAGATCACCAAGAGCTTTGAAGGCCTCATAAGGCCTTCCCCTAACTCCTGTCCAACCAGGTGGTTTCAGAGGAGTCTCCCTGTCTGAAGTGGTCCTTCCTCGCTTTTATCCAATTGTGTGGCTCCCCATCAGTCACCATTATTTAGTCCAGGGGTGGATAGAGGACTCTGTCTATTCCAAGCAGAGTTCTTCCATAAAAGTGTAAATCTGAAAATGGAAGGAAAGAGTCAGGATCTGTTCCAGATACTGCAGATGGGCTCTCTCAGCTCCATTACAATCTCTTGTAACATGACTGCAAATTACAGGAAGGAAAGTTAAAGAACAAGGCTTAGTCAGTTCAGGCTGCTGTGACAACTGGGTGACTTAGATGACAAACATCTCTTTCTCATCATTCTGGAGGCCAGAATTCTGAGATCAGGGTGCCAGCATGGTTGGGTTCTGATGAGGGTCTTTTCTGGGTTGCAGACTGCTAACTTCTCTTTGTTTCCTCACTTGGTGGAAAGAGGGCCAGCTAGCTCTCTGGCCTCTTCTTATAAGAGCACTAATCCCATTCATGAGGGTTCCACCCTCATGACCTAATTCCCTCCCAAAGACTCCACCTCCTAATACCATCACACTGAGGATTAGATTTCAACATATGAATTTGGTGAGGACACAAACATTCAGCCTATAATGAAACACATCACCCAGATTCTTTAATAGCTTGGTTTTTCTGATAACTTAATTGACCCCAGTCAATGCCCTTGAGAGATCGGGAAGGCAGAATTTCACATTGTGGGCTGTTTTGGGGCAAGTATGATACACAGACTTTTTTTTTTTTCTGTGACAGGTGCAGCTGAAGTCCCAGTGGTTGGTTCTTAGCTTTGTGGGTATCAAGAAGCAGAACATAGGCCATCCATTTCACTTGCACAGAGAGCAGCAGAGGCTTTCTGACTGTGGCAGGAAACTGCACTATTGTTCTGGAAGTCAGTCCAGGAATCTCAGCCTAATTCCTGCATCTCCAGCTCTCCCAGTGATTTTGCAAACACCTAATTGTAGAGTGGTGGAGGGAGCAGGAATCACTTGGTAAAGCATGACCCCTGGGTGTATGCTTTCTGCGTGAACTTGCAGGAGAGGTGGCTGTTTTCTGCAATGATTTAGCCCCTTACTGCAACATGAAATATGGGAGCTTTCAGTGTTTATGTTTCCTACTATGTGGAAATGCTCATTTGCAGAGAGACTGACTGAAATCAACACAGACTGAAGCATAAGGAAAGAAAGAGGAAGAGTTGAAGACCAAGTTTAGGCTATCACTACCCATGAGGCCCCATAACACACATTCCTCTCTCATCATTTTGTTATCCAACCTACCTTTGATTTTGAGATACTCCAACATCTTTACTATGAATTCTTTTTTTTTTTTTTAGACAGGGTCTCACTCTGTTGCCCAAGCTGGAGTGCAATGGTGCGATCTCGGCTCACTGCAACCCTCTACCTCCCAGGTTCAAATGATTCTCTTATCTCAGCCTCCCGAGTAGCTGGGATTACAGGCGCCCACCACCATGCCCAGCTAATTTATGTATTTTTAGTAGAAACGGGGTCTCACCATATTGGCCAAGCTGGTTTCGAACTCCTGACCTCAAATGATTCACCCACCTCTGCCTCCCAAAGTGCTGGGATTACAGGCATGAGCCACTGTGCCCTGCCAAATTCATTCTTTTATTTAAGTTCATTCAAGATGGATTTCTGTCATTAGCAAATCAACAGTTGAATTGAATTGTGGTGAAGAGTACCCTGATATTATTACTGGGTTATTACTTCTAAATCATTAGTTTATTAATTGTGTGTATTCGTCTCTTTCCTCTCCAATTTATGGTTACTTATTTTGATTGTGTAGAGTTTGAAGTAAGAAGGTCAAACTTAAGACGAAAGGTTAGGTGTGCTGTGATTCGCAGCCACAGCTTCGTCCTAACACACTGCCGGAAAATCACCTCAAATTAAGGGGCCTGCTGTTGGCAGGGTAGAAATCTATTTTTAAGAAGTAGAAGTAGCATATAAATGAAACACATATGGGTCATGAAGCAAACTTCTCCAGCTAAAACGGTGATGCCTACCTACAAGAATGCAGCTCTCTATCACGTGGAGGCAGTGCGCTGGTGACAGTGACAGCAGTTTCAAAAGTAGAAAGACAAGCCCCTTTTTCACTTAAACCCAACCGAGTCACAAACAATCCAAACGCCAGACCCATCCTGCCCCAACGTGTGACCTAACTGAAATTTCTAGCAAAATGTTTTTGTAGCCACCTAACTAGCAACTGTAAACTAGCACCCCCTAAGCCTTTCTCGTTTCCGCCACTGGGTGGCAGCCAGCTGCCAGGTGTCAGATCAGTGAGGAGACAATTTTCTTGGTAGGGGGAGAGTGCGGTCATCCCACGTGCCCTATTTGGGAGTGATCCCTCACTCATACCCCTTGCTGAAAGCATACACTTGGTGGTCTTGTTTGACCACAGAATCCCTTCCCCCTCTGTTACTCCTGGTCCTCAAATCCCTTGATCAGCCCCTGGAGCAGCCAATCATTGACTAGTCAGGGTCCCACCAGATTCGTTCTCCAGAAAGTAAAGTGAGAAAGGGGTGACCTAGTTGGTAGTGAAAGCTGGAGTTCAAAGATCTCATGGACCAAAAAGCAGAAGCAACGAAAGAAAGAAAGAAAGAAAGAAAGAAAGAAAGAAAGAAAGAAAGAAAGAAAGAAAGAATAAAGACTTCATCAAAATCAAAAACTTTTGTGTGTCAAAAGACACAATCAAGAAATTAAAAAGAACCCACAGAATGGGAGAAAATATTTGTAAATAATATATCCGATAAGGGCCTAGTATCCAGAATGTATAAAGAATTTTACAACTCAATAACAAAAAGACAAACAATCCAGTTTTAATCTTGGACAAAGGATCTGAATCGACATTTATCCAGAGAAGATAGGCAAATAACCAAGAAGCCCATGGAAAGATGCTCAACATCACTAGCCACTAGGGAAATCAAAATCACTACTTTATTCCCAATAAGAAGGCTATATATATATATTTTTTAAGTGAGTGTTAGTGAGGATGGGGAGAAATGAAATTTTCATATATTTCTGGAATGTAAAATGGTACAGCCACTGTAGAAAACAGTTTGGCAGTTCCTCAAAAAGTTAAAAAATATGAAAAAAAAAATTACCAAATATGACCCAGCAATTCTACTCCTAGAAATATACTCAAGAGAGTTGAAAATATCTGCTCACACATACGTTCATATATAAAAGTTCCCAGCAGCATTGTTCACAGCAGCCAAAAGACAGGGTTAACAACTCAGATGCCCACTGACTGATGACTGGATAAGCAGAGTGAAGTGAATCTATACAAGGGTTTTGGGCATAAACCTAGGAGTGGGATTGCTGGGTCATATGATATTCTATGTTTGACTTTTTGAAGAACTGCTAAACTATTTCTGGAAACTAACTTTTACCTGCTTCTTCTACTGCTTGAGGTACTGGATGGATGATAAAGAATATGAAATCAGCAGTCAATATTTGTGGCCATGTACTCTACAGTTTCACAGAGCTGTTTTCTTTCTTTTTTCCTTTTTCTTTTCTTTTTTTTTTTTTTTGGTACAGAGTTTCGCTCTTGTTTCCCAGGCTGGAGTGCAATGGTGCAATCTCGGCTCACTGTAACCTCCACCTCCCAGGTTCAAGTGATTCTCCTGCCTCAGCCTCCCTAGTAGCTGGGATTACAGGCATCTGCCACCACGCCTGGCTAATTTTTTGTATTTTTAGTAGAGTTGGGGTTTCACCATGTTGGCCAGGCTAGTCTCGAACTCCTGACCTCAGGTGATCCACCCACCTCGGCCTCCCAAAGTGCTGGGATTATAGGCACGAGCCCCTGTGCTGGGACACAGAGCTGTTTTTATCAGATAAGCTTTTACTGAGCGCTTACTGTGTGCCAGGTACTCTCCTAGGACCCAAGGACAAAAAGATTAGTAAGACAGTCCCTGTCTCTTCAGGACTTATAGTCCCAGGGTGGGGTATGGAACTGGACTGATTTAAATGGACAGAGAAGTGCGAGAGGCAGGGAGGTGGTTTATGCCTGGAGAGACTTCTACTCTAGTGGGGAGAGAGACTGAAATACACCCCCCACCGCCGACCTCCGACACACCCCAAACACAGGAATCATGTTGAAACAAGGATGGATTTTGATATAAATGAGGGTTTTTTGTTGTCGTTGTTGTTGTCTTTTGAGGCAGAGTTTCACTCTTGTTGCCCAGGCTGGAGTGCAATGGCGTGATCTCAGCTCACTCCAACCTCTGCCTCCCGGGTTCAAGCGATTCTCCTGCCTCAGCCTCCTGAGTAGCTGGGATTACAGGTGCCCACCACCACACCTAGCTAGTTTTTGTATTTTTAGTAGAGACGGGGTCTCTATTTGAGACCCCGAGGTCAGGCTTGTCTCGAACTCCTGACCTTAGGCGAGCCACCCACCTCGGCCTCCCAAAGTGCTGGGATTACAGGCGTGAGCCACCACACCCGGCAAATCATGGGTCTTAAGCCAAGTTTTGTTTGATGTAAAAAGAGGTGAGAATTCCAAAGATGAAGAGGCCCTCATTGTGTGGAGAGACAGATGCTGGGCTACAGCTCAGGGCACTGCAGTGTTCATGCCAGCTTGACCACTAGCTGACTGTGTGAGTATCTGTATTTCTCTGGGCCTCAGTTTCACCGATTTCAAAGGTAGAGAAGTGGTGTAGATAATCTCTGTGGCCCTTTGAGGTTTGTACAAGTTGCTTTTCCTACCATGGAGTAACATGGAATTGGGAGGGAAGAGAACCATAAAGCTTCTTCAGATGTTTTATAGGCTTTTTCTTGTGGAGGTTGTAGGACTGAAGGGATGTTCATGTACGTGGCTGGGGCAGGGGAAGGGGGATGAAACTTCACATATACCATCAACATTTGACTAAATGATCCAGTTTCTGCCACCCACTGCCCAGGTATGACATGTTTGTGCCTAAGACTGAGACAGAGGCCATGGAAACAAGGGCGTAGGGGGATCATATTAGGGAAATACAGCATTTGGAGAGAATAATTCATCATACTTATTGTAGTGTTCATAGAGGCAAAGCAGGGAGCAGAAGATGAACATGTCCTTAAGTGGCTGGAGCTCAGAGCCGACTCTGATCACAGGGTGTTGCCTCCACCTTTCCACTCCTTCAGTTTTGCCAGACTCACCTTCTCTCCCTGCATCACCTCTCAGCGTCCAGTCATTCTTTATTCTCTTAGTCTTTCAGTCCTTTTCTGACTCACCTAACATCCTATCAATTCTGAACACCAAGCCAGTCATGGCCCTGCTCCCACCAGCCCGCAAATGGGTGGCCTCTTGGCCTTCCCACCCTGTCTTTCACATCAGTGAGAACTCATCGGATTCCTCCATCCCTGACGTAGGTTACCTCATCCTTCTTTTTTGAACCCTATTTCTTGGAAAATTCTGTGTCTTCTTTTTATCTCAGCCCAAATCCCTGTAGTCATGGCTAGTTCCTGACACCTGCTCCTTTAACAATCCTGTATATCTTGCAACTTTGTCTCTCTTTATTGACATTTTCCAAATGATACATTTTCCCAAGTCTCTTTTTATTAAAAATAAAACAAACAAAAATGACTTTTTTTGGCTTGGGTTTAATAAACAGAGTAATGGTAATTTTAAAAAATGAATAAATTTAGTATTTTAACCCAGTCTCATGGTTGTTGTTGCAACTTGGTGAAACAGAACTTTGGATCTGGTTATGGAATGGAAGGACATATTTTGAATAGGAACCCCAACTCATATGGGCTTCATATTAAGAGGAACTGAAAATCCAAAGGAAGGCCGGCCAAAGGGAACCCTTGGTTTTATAGCTCAATGATGTTATCAAGAACCTGATTGCTTTCATTTTTTTGTTTCCCCTTCCATGGTGTCGACTTCATCTAAAACGAAATTTTCTTGTGGTCCTAAGATGGCTACAAGCAGCTCTATGGGCTTCCTGTTCTCCTCAGAGGCAAGAGAAGCTCCCTCCCAACATCCCCAGCAGGAGTCCTGAGGTTTTCTCTAAGTAGTCTGACTGAAGTTATGCGCTCACTGCTGAACTAATCACTGTGGTTATGGAGCAAATGTCATGGTTGCCATAATCTCGGCCACATGCTCTACTGCCAGAGCTGGAGTGCAGTTTAGGTCCCTGAAACTACATGGTTCCCCTAAACTAAGTCAGAGGGTTTGTCCTTTACTCATGTACTTCCAGGACCTGAAGGTTGGTTTGGACCCCACTTACTGACACATCTCTAGATCCATGTCTAGCTGGTGCTCTAAGCTTTCTCAGCCCCAGCCCTCCCACTCAACTTGAACACTAGATATTAACAAAGTGCCAGGTGGAAAACTCCAGAATTGTGCATGGCAGCATGTGTGCAGAGATGAAAAGACACAGAGAAGTGAGGAGGGGTGAGGACTGTTTGGTCCTATAATAGTGATGCGGTGATATCATGACTTTAAACTCTCCAAACATCTGCTGGGAGGCTCCTACTGCTAAAAGTGGAACAGCTGATTAGAGGACAAAGGGAATCGAGCTTCCACTTAATTCTGACCAAAAGGAAAGGCCAGTTGGTGAAACAGAAGGTATGGGAAGCATGGGAGGAAATGACTGATTCACCTTGGAATTTGTAATAGCAGAGAAACGGACAAATGGGCATGTTCAGACACATCCATTGGATTTTTTTTTTTTTTTTTTTAGTCTAAGAAAGGCGAAGTGAGCCCATAGTCAGTTTCTAAAAGGGACTATCACTTAAGAAGGATAAGTAGCTTTAGAAAAGAAATGCCTACTCTGTAATCTTGGGTTATTCTAATGAGAAGTTCACTGAGGAAACATTAAAGAAACTGAGTGTGTTTAGGGTACAACCAAACCCAGATTTAGAAGGAACAGAAACAGCCGGCTTGATGGCTCATGCCTGTAATCCCAGCACTTTGGGAGAATGAGGCGGGAGGACCACCTGAGGTCAGGAGTTAGAGACCAGCCTGACCAACATGGAGAAACCCTGTCTCTACTAAAAATACAAAATTAGCCAGGCGTGGTGGTGCATGCCTGTAATCCCAGCTACTCGGGAGGCTGAGGCAGGAGAATCGCTTGAATCCAGGAGGCAGAGGTTGCGGTGAGCCGAGATCATGCCACCGCACTCCAGCCTGGGCAACAAGAGCAAAACTCCGTCTCAAAAAAAAAAAAAAAAAGAAAAAAGAAAAAAGAAAAAAGAAAAAATTAAAGAAAGAACAGAAACAGAATCTGGGAGGAAAGCCACACGTAGTGAAGGCTGAGTGTAACATGTGTCATTCATGGCTGAGTGACACAAATCTGTGCAGACGCAGCATCCCAAAGGCTAATTGTAGATAAGTTGACACTTGTATCTTTTGTAGAGATGAGGTTTCGCCATGTTGCCCAGGCTGGTCTCAAATTCCTGGGCTCAAGTGGAAAATGATTGCAAAGAGGGAAGGCACCCAAGATGGAGCTGGGCACCTTCTAATTTTAGAAGGGGTGTTATAGTAAGCACAAACTTAGTATTAAATTGCCAGTAAAATTTTTGATTAGATTACTAAACAAGTGGGTGGTTTTCAAGCACTTAGAAAAGTAGATAATCACCAGAAACACGTGTAGATAAACCAAGAATTATCTCCAAATAAGGTGACTTGGGTTTAAAGTCATTAGGCTTATTATCAGGAATATATCTGTATCCTGCAAATAAAAAATTTAACAAATCTTTAAATAAAACATCCTATGATAATTATGCAGGCAAGATAAACAAACATAGGCTGGATCATCAACAATTTATATGGCTGTTGATTTAATGCATCACAGCCATTTTGAGAAAAAAGTAGTCTTCCCTGCTATCTTTGGCAAAATACTATTAAGATACTTTTAATTAAACAACATAGATGGCTAGGTAAATAATATCTTTATTAGATTTGTGGATAAGACCATGTTATTATGTGAGTAAAATGAATTAGTATTTTAAAGATCTTCCCAGGTTGGAGAAAAATGGACAGAAGCTAGTAAGGTAAAGTTGAAAAGGGACTTATGCAAAGTTTGGCATTAGGTTAAAATAAAATTGCAACAGTACTGTATAGCAGCATAGAATGACAGGAATTCTGATTTCGGAACAAAACTATACTTGGCAATTTTAGTTGATGATGAATGGCATTTGAATTAGGAAGAGTGTAGTCTAACTACAATTTAACCTTGGGTTGCATTTTTGGAAGCCAGGCCTTCAGATCTGCCCTGGTCCGCCTGCTGCTGGAGTTGATGCCCAGTTTTGTTCAGTACACAACATGGTGTAATCTGACGGGTGCTGGAAGCCATATCTGCGATTATGGGTCCAGGAGATATAAACACGCAGGATGTCTTCCAGGGCCAATGAACAGACCTACTGGTGAGAAGAGAGGGCTCTTATTGGAGAATATGTGAGAAAACCATATTGGCAGGATGGGCAGAGGCAGATGGTAAGGCTAGGCTCTTGAATTCCCAGTCTAAAGATTGTGAGCCTTACCTCTTAGACAACACAGAGGTTCCAAGCACTCATAAGTGGGATGAGAGAGTGGATGAGAGTTGTACTTTGGAGGATAGATCTGAGATTTTAAATGTTATGGAGGCAATGCAATGGAAAGTCGTGGACTGGGTGGATAAGTGTTTAGGATCTGAAACCAGGACTGGGACAGAATGCTGGTCTTCAATTTCCTGGGCATTTAACTTTGGGCATGATTCTTTACCTCTCTGTGCCTCTGTTTTCTCATCTGTAAAATGTGGATAATAATATTATCTACCTTATTAAGTTGTGAGGAGGATTAAATACATTAAATATATATGAAGTGGGGCCAGGTACAGTGACTCATGCCTGTAATCCTAGCACTTTGGGAGGCCAAGGCAGGTGGATCACCCGAGGTCAGGAGTTCAAGACCAGCCTGACCAACATGGAGAAAACCTGTCTCTACTAAAAATACAAAATTAGCCAGGAGTGGTGGCGCAGGCCTGTAATCCTAGCTACTTGGGAGGCTGAGGCAGAAGAATTGCTTGAACCCAGGAGGCAGAGGTTGTGGTGAGCTGAGATTGCACCATTGTACTCCAGCCTGGGCAACAAGAGCGAAACTCCATCTCAAAATAAATAAATAAATAAATAAATAAAATATATATATGAAGTGCTTAGAACAGTTCCTGGCACATTGTAGTGCTCAATGAACGCTAACAGTGGCTATGATTACAATTCAAACCTGGAATGAGCAGGCAGTAAAAACTAGAGAAAGGAAGGAACAGCTGCACAGAGTGTAATGAAGGCAAAATTCGGAGGCCTTGCTGCTTACCTGGAGATAGCTCTCTTGGTCTCTTGCATACGTCTCAACCTTTGCTCTTATCGTGCTTGCAAGGTGGTGTCTGCATGGTATTCTACATGGCTACCTTGCTGCCCAAGGTCTTCCCCTTCACCCATGCCCAGAGTGAATTCCATAGCCATTCAGCCCTTACCTGACTTTTCATGTGTACATGTGTCTCACTCTACCCAATTTCAGGCTTGTTGAGGTCAGGTACTGTTGTACATGTTTCCTTTTATCGCCCGCAACATCTAGCACAGTCTCTTGCATGTATGCCTGTTCCAAACTGAATTTTGTTCATGCAGGAATGGCTTAAGTTAATGAGGATTCTAAGTTCCCAAGCTCGTGTTGGGGAAATGGTGGCACTTGTGATGAAAGAGTGAAGCACAAGGGAGAAGTCCATTAGCTTCAGAAGTTATGGGTTCAGTTTTGGGATATAATGAGGTTACCAATTATGTGGGATTAGGTTCAAAAGGCACTAAGGCAGCAGTATAATCTAGACAAAATTGCCTTTAAGTTCCTTAAATCTCAATGTTTCTCAATAAGTGATTTTAGTTGTATTGGGTCTAGTCAGCCTGTCATAAGTTGACCATGGATGAAACTGGTGGTTTATGTTTTGGGAAACATGCTGCACCAAAGATTATGCTTTTCTGGGTGTATAAGGTGGTGGTGATGGTGCCCTCTGTATTTTCTCAAAGTAGGCACTATGAAATTACACATATTCACATTATAAATGACTGGACTCTAGTATAATTATGTGGCATCCAGGTAGAGATGTCTAATGAAAGTATGTGAAAGATTTAATGCTTCCTGGCTCTCTGAGATTTTTCTTTCTTTTCATAGTTATAACCATTGGGGGAAATCACCCATCATTTGGCAAATCTAAATAAACAAATGGCCTTGAAGATGACATTCACTGCAGAGTTGGGCTTGAAAGTTGGCACAGAGGTGTAGGGAAGGATGAGTTCCCTCCACTCTTCAGTTTTTCTTTCTTCCCCATCGTGATACCTCCACTTTCTACACTATCCCAAGTACCCACACAGGGAGAGGAAGCAAAGAATATTCTGGAAATGCTTTTCATTCCTTCAGCAGATGTGAACTATTGCGTCAACCAATGGTTTCATAGACTGGGATAAAAAGACTACTATCAGCCTAACATTGTTTGTGTATAACTATTCATAGTTATAAATCAGAGTGGACATTTAAAAACCATTAATTAACTTCAGAAGGAAAAGTGAAAACCAAAGTGCAATGTTTTATTTTGCTAAACTCAAGAAACAATTTTAATAACCCCAATGAACCTAGAATCCAGCAACTGAGTAACAACCCGTTAGGCAGAAAATATGTCTCATCAAAGGAACAATCTAGCCATGTGTTGATGGTCAATAGACAATAGTTGGCTGATAGAAATTAGCCATGAGCAAATCCTAAATATGAACGCCATGGAGTTTTCACCTCAAATGCCCGAGAAAGGTTGCCTTGTTTTGTTGATATTGCTGTTAAGGAAAAAGAAAATCATGAATCTGGATATCCTTCCTCCTAATATTAACCATCTGCCCAAATGTAACCTGCTTATTTCCTGGCTGACATTCGGTTTTTGTGGCTCTTTCTTTTCATGGTGATTGTGAAAATCCCTAATGGTGACTAGTGCTCGCTAATGTAATATGGGACGGTCATTTTGAGGCTGGTTTCCAAGTTCTTCATCTGTAAGTCCTCTTCCCCCAAAATTCCTTAAATTCAAATATTGCAACTCCAAGAGGGTGGCCAGGCAAACCCACGTTCTTTGTGAAAACCTCCCAAATGAAATATGTTTTGAACATTTTTTAGAAGGTTAGAAAGGAAGAGTTGAGCAAAAGGACGCAAGGCCAAGGTCAACTATCTCTCATTAAAGGGAAAAGGGGACTTAAGGCTGTTTTCCAGGGTCCCCCCCAGGAGCAGAGAGGAATCTCTCCTCTACTAATAGTTAGCAGCTGTTCAAACAGAGGTGCTAACCTCAATTGTCTTAACCAAAAGTGGTTGAAAAATAACGTTTAAAAGAAGTGACAAGGTGCTATCTCTAAGTTTGAAGGATTATGCAGCAAAGGTTGGAATAGAAAAATAGGAGGCTCTCAAAGATATTCCTCAAACTTTAGCTATTTTGCTCAATCTTGGGCTTTTGTTGGATCTATTGTCTGTGTGGATCCAACATACTATTTGAGAGAGAAGTTGTCCTGACTTCCATGACTCAAGTGTGTGTTGCATAGGTAACATTGGGGGAGAGTCTAAGAGAGTTTGGAGAGAGATTCATATTTAGCCACATCCTCAAGGCTTTCTCATCAGCCCCAAATCTGACTGAGCCTTAAATCATTAAGCTGAAAGGAAGAGTTAATTTTCATTGGGCCTTGTTTTCATATGAAAGATAATTACAAATAACTGCAGTGAGATGCCTGGTGAGGGTTCCTGTTGCATGGTTCCCAGGGAGGGGTAGATTCAAGTTACTCCTATTTGTCAGTCAGTATTTTTCATTTACCTATAACCTTTTCTTATGAATTAATTCCAAGTGCTCTGTTGAAGGCTTCTCCGGACGGAGTCTCAGTTGTATCTGCCTTGGCATTTTTCCAGCCCCTACTGTTCCAGCTATAGGTGTTTAATTGACATTGCACTGAGAGAGGATCTCATGAACATTTAAAGCCCCAGTGCATAGAGGCACAAACGCAGTCAGAGGAAGTGGAGTGACTGGCTTCATTTCTCACTTGAAGGGCTATGACCTATTAGAGAAGAATGTGGAAGCCAAGAGTCAAAGGGAGGGAAAAACGCAGCTCATGCTGGAATTCTAGACGCCCTACAACCCCTGGGTGATGTACGGGTTGCTCTTGAAGGCAGAAATCTGCTCTCTTCCAATTTCTCTGGCTTTCATCCTTAAAGCTTGTCCATAATTTCAGGCTGGTTGAAATGGATGCCATGTTACTGGGATCTACACTGCACCACTTAAAAAATATTCTCCTTTCACTTGGCCTAAACAATGTGTATCTCCTTTTTACCTCTTCCTGTTGCAGAGATAAAATGCTCAGCAAGGAGTTAATGGTTTTACAGTGATGCAGCTGGCAGCAGTAGATCACAGAGCTCAGTACAGGAATCCAATTATTTCCTTTGTCTAAGATGAAAACCTATACTTCAGGGGTGGGGGAAGGGCCTGTGCTGTAGGGTTGCTTGATTTAAGATTTTGTTCTAGAAAGAAGGATGGTTCTCTGATGCAGCTCAGCTCCTGGGTCACAGAAGCTTGCCTTTCTCCTGCTTGATGTTAGCCACCTGAACACACTTGGGATCCAGGAAATAGGAAAAAATAGACTCCTTTTTCTAGGTTTCTGACTACTTTAGAGCTTAGAATGTGCAACTAAACTAGCCTTAAATATCATAGGCTAATGATGATGGTGACTCCAGAAACTTACTATTAATGTAGAGGACATTTTGGCAGCAATTTGTAAGGAGAAGATGCTTCTGAGGTCTCGGAGAGCAGATGTAGAAAGAAATCTGCAAATGCGTAGACAGATAGGATAGATAGATAGCTAGAAACTCCTCTCTCTGGGGCTTTCTGTTGACTTAAGAGTAGGCAGACACATTTCCAATTCCAAATCAAAGAAAATGCTTGGGTCTCATTTAAAAAAAAAGTAATCATTGCAAGATTCACAAAGAATAGAAACAGGTAGATAGTTTCACAGTCATTGGAAACTACATTCATCTTGTCCCAACAATATCATGGAAAGGTACAATTAAATCATTCTCATAAAACAGCAAAAGGCCCAGAAAGGTGAGAGACTTATGAAGGGTACAAAATAATTAGAATCAAAGCTAGGACTAAAAGCCTTGCAGGGTGGGATAGGACAAGAATGTGGACCTTGAAGTCCAATAGATCTGGATTTGAATTATTGTTCTTCAGCATAGCAGGTCTGTGATGGTGGGTAAGGGAAATCCACTTATTTGAGCTTTTATTCTTTCATGAAAATGGGAAAATAATGCTTACCTGATGAGTTGTTAAGAGGATTAGTGATAATGTACATAAATGTGTTTTTCCCATAGTAATTCTGCAGAGTAGATGAAAGTGAACAGTGGGCACTACGATGGAAAGGAAGTCAGATTCAGATTATGAAGGAACTAGAATTCATCAGCTGTGCCTGGCAAGATGCTTGGTTACAAAGAGCAGAGATGGGCTTTGACCAATAGTGATATGGCATGGCCAAGCCTACTTCAGCATTCTATAGGCTCAAATGCTCATTTCTTCTCCACATCCTCTCCCCACCCTTCTCCATCCTTCTCTGCCACAGGAGACTGACTTTTATGACCATGTCAACAGGCTCCCTTGCCCATTGCTTTTTGCTTGGGTTTGGCCAAGGTGAGGCACCAGCGGGAGGATGAGAAGAGAAAATGATCAAAGTGTTTTCCCCTCTGGCTGTCTCCCTGCTGGGCCAAGAGGAGCTGTATCTGTTTCTCTTGGAAGGCCAGGGCTCTTTTGTGTAGCCCTTTCCTATAGCTCCAGCTATGGCTCTCTCCTTTTTAAAGTAACCCTTCTTTCTCTTGCTCCTTCAGCTGTGGGAATGATAAAAGGCTCTCTGCTTTAACCAGTCCCAGAGGCTTCAGCACGCCTCACTGGTTTCTCTTAACTCTGTGCACACCTTTGTAAATAGTCCCTCATGAAACTCTCCTCAATAACCTTGCATGTAGTATCTATTTGCTGCAGAGACTCTTCCGTTTAGAGCTGAATATTATTGTCCCTATTTTATAGATGAGAAAACCAGCCCAACAGCATGTTGAAATACTCTCGTAACTCTGGGCTTGAACTCAGATTGCAGATGCCCATCATAAAACTCAGGCTCTCTCTATGAACTGTGTCTACCCCACTGCCTTCATGTTAAAAAGAGCCCATGGCCTTCAGCTGAAGTATTACACTCTGGCCTTTCACACACTCGCGCATGTGTGGGGACATGCTTTTGGAGGAGTGCCCCCTTCTTTCTATGAAGAGTCGATCCAGCTCTATCCTACCTGCCAAATGGAATCTGGGTCTTTGTTTTCAATTGTTGAAGAACCTCTCCTTCTTCGGTTAAAAGAATTACTCTGAATCCCCTGTTTTTACTCAGGAATACCTCCTGAGATTTTGATATTTGTAATTCTGTTAAGCGTAACTCTTAAACGCAATTATTGGAAAACAACCTTAATAAAATCTGACCCAAGGCAAGTCCTGAAATACCAGATCATAGAGGAACCTAATTAACTACTTTTTTTCCTGCTATAGAAGCCACAAAGCACATTAGAGCTGGAAATGGCCTTAAAGATTATTCAGGCTCTCAACCTAATTTTAATAACACAGACCCTCTTAAAATTTGAAGAAGCTATAAACCCTCTCTCAAGAAAAATGTGTATTTTGTCTTGCTTGTTATCTTTCTCTCTCTTTTTAAAAAATAGAGACAGGGTCTCACTATAGTTTCCTGGGCTGTTCTTGAACTCCTGGGCTTCAGCAATTCTCCTGCCCCAGTCTCTCAAGTATCTGGGACTACAGGCACATGCCATGGCACCCTTTCTCTTTCTCATTCACGCATCCACATGTATACACACTCTTACCTTTTTTTGATTCATTGTCATTGTGAAGCCCACTCATGGGTTCCCAGATTAATGACCCCTCTTTTAGGCAAATTCCTTTGGTTTGCAGATGAGGACGCTGATACCTACTCAGATAAAATGACTTACCCAGGGTTAGAGGTTCATATTTTGATCAGATTGGGCTGTTATGCTGCAATAATAAACAACAATAATCTCAGTAGCTTAAAACAACATTTTTCCCCCTCATTCATGTAGTTTCCTCTGTGGCTTA
Organism: Homo sapiens; assembly: GCF_000001405.40. NCBI lineage: Eukaryota > Metazoa > Chordata > Mammalia > Primates > Hominidae > Homo > Homo sapiens. The sequence continues at coordinate 69,984,971 of NC_000009.12, forward strand.
GCATGGGGCTCTGCTCTTTGTCATCTATACTCGGTGATGCAGGGTGACAGACAAATGCCTTCTAGAATATCATCCGTCATCATGACAAAAGAAGAGAAAGCATTGCAAACCATGCACATGCACTGATTCTTTAAGCTTCTGCCTGAAAGTGACACATCACTGCTGGTCGTACTTCATTGGCCCAACTGAGTTCTATGGCCATGCTTACCTCTAGGGTGGCAGAGAAACAACTGGTGGAGAACACAAATGACTGAGAAAGCTGGAAAAGCCAGAGTAGAACCAAGGCATTGTTTTATTTATTTATTTATTTTTGAGATGGAGTATCGCTCTGTTGCCCAGGCTTGAGTGCAATGGTGTGATCTCAGCTCAGTGCAACCTCCACTTCCTGGGTTCAAGCCATTCCCCTGCCTCAGCCTCCCAAGTAGCTGGAACTACAGGCATGTGCCACCACACCTGGCTAATTTTTGTATTTTTAGTAGAGACAGGGTTTCATCATGTTGGCCAGGCTGATCTCGAACTCCTGACCTCAAGTGATCCACCTGCCTCGGCCTCCCAAAGTGCTGGGATTACAGGGCATTGTTATTTTTTGTCTGAGTCCCTCTACTCTTCTAAGGCTACCATTATCATTATCTAATTCATCTGGATGTAGCCTGTAGAAGATTTGTCATCCACTTAACAGGGTTATGTTTTTGATATAAAATTGAGTCTAACTTGGAGATTTCTGTTGTTTTATTTGTAAATGCTGATTTTCTAACAGTTCATTTAAGATGCTATTGCAACAAAGGAGACCTGTCTCATTTAGGATGGGCCATTATTGATTTTATAGAACACTCATTTTTCAAGTGAAAACCTTTCCTTTCTATTGTCTGGATTGCCCTTATTTGTCTTCGTTTCTAATACTCATTTATTTCCCCTGGTCCTCCATAGCTTGTGGCCAATAGTGTTACCAATGCAAACACAGAGGAGTCTCTGGATTTTTTTTTTTAATTTAGCAATTGATAACAGTTGCACCTCTATTTTTATCTTCCATTATTCATTAATTTTATATTTTATTGAATACTTGCTTCTGCTATGAGGATGGTAATAAGGGTTAAATTACAAAATTTGCCTAGCCTAGCACAAAGGAGTTGCTCAAAACATGTGATGTGGGATGTGTGTGTGTGTGTGTGTGTGTGTGTGTGTTTATTTTTTATTTTGAAATCAACATAGGATGATGACTAAGAGCACACACTCTGGAGTCTGGCAGGGTGGGTCAGCATCTTCATGCAACCACTTACTATAAGCCATTCGATTTTTAGATGATTTTGTCAACCTTTCTGTGCCTCAGTTTTCTCATTGGCGAGATAGGGCTAATAATGCTACCAAACTCCTGGGCTGTGGTGAAGAGTAATTGAGATAATATATGTACAACATCTGCCACAGGATGTGGTTTGGAGAAATCAGCATGCATATTGGAAAATAGGATCGCTATTTGCCAACTGGGTAGTATATCGAGTAGGAAAGAATATAGGTTTTGGAATTCAGTAGACTTAAGTTCAAATCTCAGCTCTGTCATGGTGTGAATTGGAGCAAATTACTTACCTCTCTGAGCCCCAGTCTCCTCTTTGGTATCATGTGATAGTCCTCCTCACCTTGCAGGGTATTTGGAAGGACCTCATGGGAATATGACACTACAATATCTCACACGGTGCATCGCACGTTGAAAGAGTCAATAAATACTAGTTCTTCTGGATGTGGTGGGGTACATGAAGATGGATAAAGGAAACAATTCCTCTCCCTTGCCTTCCAGGGGTTCATAATCTCATTGTGGAGATAAAACATATCTACAAATAACTACAGATAACCTAAAATGCTGAGTGCAGTGCAAGAGATACAGCTTATGGGCTGTGGAAGTTTGCATTAGGTGAGTTACTATAGAAGGGTCATTTGAGCTGGGCTGTTGGCTTTGGCTGAGATACTTTAATTTACAAATATCGCTTGTTTTTCTTTCTCCCTCTTTCCTCATCAACCCCTTCCTCACCTCCAAACCCGAGAATACTCTATTATGCACCACTGATAAATTTTGCCCGGAGAGGAGAAATTCATTACCCTCCCTGCCAGCGCAGTTTGCTGATGCACTCTGTTTTCTGGTTGTGATATTTACAGCAGCTCAGTTAAGATTTAATTTTCTATTATTGCCTGAACTTTGCAGCCCTCATTTTTCATTTGCTGTCTGAGAGTCATTGCTTCAGCACCCTGGAACCACTGCCGGAAAGACTTACTTAACATTCAGAATCAATGAACAAACAGGAGAAACGTTTTACTAGAGACAGGGCTTTAGTGATGTGGGGTTTAGCTTTGATTCCTAGCAATAGTTTTAGTCTATTCTTTCCACTTCCTGTGACCAGCTGCATTTCTCCAACTCATTATCGCATAAGATGTCTCAGAGGTACCTGAGCCTGGGTGTTCTCTCCTGGAAATGTTACAGTCCAGGATCTTTCTGGATGTCATTATTATTTCCTTTTAATTTTGGCCTCTGGCCTTGCTTGATAATGTGGGAACCCTAATTTTCCTTTTCCTTTTCTCAGGTCTCTTGCTGGACTTGCCACATGACACAAAAACCTTGTCTAAAGAGATCTCAGGGCTAGCAGGCCTTTTCCCTGCCTCATTATCTGTGGATTCATTTAGTTGATGAGACAGGATTTTGATTAATGTGTTTTTCTACTCCAGAACTCACTGCTGCCTGCAAAATCCCTTCCCTTTTACCTCATGGGAGTGTTCATCAGGGATGTGGGTGTTTGGAGACTTTCTCACCCCACTGCCTTCCATCCTGTGGTCCTTCTACTGAGGCACTGGTAGACTTATGGTCATTCAGTACTTGTGACATTTTGGTACCTGCCTGCCCTCCCCAATATGCATATCAATCCCCTGGAACTGGGAGCAGCCGTTTTGTACAATTTGACTATGCCTTCCTAGAGACAACATTGGTAGAATGGGAGCTTAACAAAAATAGGGACAATGAGTCTTTTCCATGAGATATTGGATTTGGGACTGAGAAAGAATTGGTCCAGTCTCTTTATGAGGCTGTAGCCACAGATGCAAAAGTAAGGGGAGTTGGATGCCATTTTTCTTCTAGGTAGAGCCAGTGTGCAGTGAGAAAAATGGAGCAGGCAAGCACAGAGGAGATGTTGAGATGGAGGATCCAGAGGGCACATGGTTCCAGCTGTTCCTAAGGCCCAGGAGTGCCTTTCTTCTTGTGGGGTTGACACTTCATTGGGTACCACAAGATATCATCAAACCTTTCCAATAAATCTCCTCATTGGCTGTTGCAAGTTGTTTTCTGTCACAGGTAATCAAAAAGTCCTAACTGACACAGTGTTTTGTAATTGCTGGTTTTATGCTTCTGGCAATAGCTAACCAAGCATGAGTTTAGGTTATTATTTAGCACCCTTCTGATTGTAAAGGAAAATGTTAAAACTTCAGTGTGCTCCAAAAAGAGTCACCAAACACACACAAAAAGTTGAAATCAGGGTCTTGAAGAGATATTTGTACAGCCATCTTCCTAGCAGCACTATTGACAATAGCCAAAAGGTGGAAGCAACCCAAGTGCCCATCAATGGATGAATGGATAAACAGAATGTGGGATACACATATAATGGAATATTATTCAGTCTTAAAAAAGAAAGGAAGTTCTGGTATGTGCAACACCATGGATGAATCTTGAGGGCATTATGCTAAATGAAATAAGCCAGTCATAAAAAGACAAACACTGTATAATTCCACTGATGTGAGGTACCGAGAGTAGTCAGATTAGAGACAGAAAGTACAATGGTGGTTGTCAGGGGTTGGGGGAGAAGAAAACGGAAAGTTGTCGTTCAGTGTATACACAGTTTCAGCTTTGAAACATGAAGAGTTCTGGAGATTGTTTGCATAGCAATGTGAGTGTACTTAATATTACTGAATTGTCCCCTTAAAATGATTAAGAAGGTAAAATTTATGTTATGTACATTTTACCACAACTTTTAAAAAGAATCATCAAATTCTCCAAATAACATCTTTGATTTCTGGGATGTGGAGAGAGGATGAACGTGGGCTATGAATGAGAGGACCACATTCTATTCCTTGCTTTGAACTCAAATAAATGATTTGTCCAACGTCACTTCTTTATACCTCATTTCACTCACATGCTCCTTTAATTCATTCACACAAGTATCTGCTATGTAGGTTCTAGGTCCTGTGCAAAATCATGGGAACACAAAGGTGAATAAGAGGGTTGTTGAGGAAACTTGCTCAAAGCAAGTAATCTCTGTGTGGATTTGGAAAGATCAACCAAGAGGATTTCACCAGGTGTGAAAGTGGAAGATGGTATTCCAGGCAGCATGCAAAGAAGTTTCAAGAATTCTGAGAACTTTTTGTTTTGAAGCCTGGGCCACAGATGGAGGCAGAAAGAGGAAAGGGTGGTTGCAGTTGGGGCTGAATTGAGAGACAAGACTGAACTGTAAATGGGCTATCTATGGATTATTTTGGAGGTAGGCAGGGTTTCCTTCTGTGTGTTCTGTGGCCCGCTGGCCCCTTCAGAGGTTCATGAACAAATAATCTGGTTGATGGTCCATACTGTAACCCCCTTTTGGCTATGTTGAGTACCTCATTAGCATACAAAAGGTCAGAAAAATTCCTGCTGTAAAAATCTTGACTTTGTTTAACCCAACAGTTCCTAAACTTATATGACCATTGGGTTTTTCTGTATATCATTTAGTTGCAGACCTACATTTTTAAAAAAGCTTTGGGAAAATGTGTTGGGGCTGGGGCTCTGAAACATAGGGCTTACTTAATTTTGGCTTGTCTTTTTAAAAGGAGGGAATCAAACTCTGAAATGATTTCACATTCTGTATTGTCAAGACTTTGGTCTCTTAACTGCCTTTCTCCGCTAACATTCCTAAATGGGGAGCTGCCATATGGGAGAAGGCAGAGATGTAAGGGGCATCTATGTATATGTTCTGCTCCTAAAGAGTGTCCTGCTTCCTCCTACAGAATCAGGGCTCTCGGACAAGGATTTCAGGGCAAGTAATTTATTTGGGAAGTGATCCCAGGACATACTGATGGAGTATTGAGAAAGTGAAACAGGGAAGATAAAGGAGCCAATAGAAAATATATGTATCAAGCAATTTCCCACGGGGCAATGAAGTCTATTCTCTCTGGGGAGCTCTGGGAGGTAGTGTGCAATGTGTACCTCCAAGTTATTCTATCAGAGTGGCAAGGGGTCTGGGGTATTTACCCACCAGCTCCTGCCAGTGAGTGGTTGAGGGCTGCTTGGCTTAATGCTCTCACCCTTTGGGTTTGTGACCCACGTGGGCTCCAGGCAGAGGCAGGCAGGTGCTGGTCTCCTGAAGTCAGACCGACTAGTAAGGGCCAAGGGGATACAGGTGGAGCTCTGGAAGTGTCTGCTATAGTTTCAAAGCTAGCGGGGCTGGAAAGAAAATTGTTACAATGTCAATCCCTCCATTTTTTTATAGTGAATGAAGACTCATTCTGATAGTGTGGCAAGTTTCTTTTGACTACTTCAAGATTCTAGAATTTTCCCTGTATTTCCCTTCCTTTTGACACTATCCCAATGTTCTCATTTCTAATTATTTGTTAATTTAACTCTCACTTTCACTTTTCCTATTCTAAGTCCCCAATTTTTTATTTATTCAATTATTACTCCCAACCACATCAGCCCTTCTGAAGAAGCACCATTTTTCCCATCAAGTTCTTACTTGTGTTTGGACTGGCATCTCCTTCCAAATTGTCTTGAATTTTGTCTAGACAAAGACTCACTGTGCTCATGTCTCCTGGCTATCAAATAGGAGAAAATTCCATGAACCACTTTGGACTATTTCCCCAAATCTGTGCTTTTACTTCCCTCTGAGACCCCACACCAAGCTACATAAACATCTCAGTCTCAGGATTTACACTTCCATTAGTAACCAACACATGCTCAATTGTTATCTATGTTTCATTTATTCATTCAACAAGAATTCATTGGACATCTACTACCATCTACACAAGGCACTGTTGCAAATGACTTGGGAGTGGGAGATGATAGGCAAGGAGGCTGTGGAGATAGTGGATCCAAAGCACAGATTCTGGAATCAGACAGCCTTGAGCATGAGGCTCATCTCTGCCTTGGGCAAGTCACTTTGGCTTTCTAAGGCTCGGATAACTCATCTATAAGATGAAGATAATCATACCAATTTTATGGGATTATTTAGAATATTAAAGGTTATAATGGACATATAACACTTAGTATAGTCCCTGACACACATTAAATAATACATACATAGAATTATGTTTTGTTATTATTACAAATATAAACTGAACAAAGATGCCACCCTGAAGCTGCACTGTATCAAGACAGAGGAACATGGACTAAATATGTATAAAGCAAGATGGAAAGTGCTAAGTGCCAAAAAGAAGTAAAGAATATTCTATGGAAGTCTGAGGAAGCACTGAGAGGAGGAAGGAGAGAGCCAGAGGGAAGCCTGAGGAGGGTTTGATAGAAGGGCAGCGTTTGACCTGGGGTGGTTAGGATTAGCGCATACAGATGCCAGAACTAGGACACTAATTGTATTTGTGTGTTTATTTATACTGTATTATATATTGATATACCACATGCATAAATATTTATACTTGACTCGTATGAAACTATATTCATCCAATCAATAGACATTTACTGAGTATCTACCATAGGAAGGTTATATGACTGAATAGTTATCCATTCAGTCAATAGATATTGAGTATCCACCATAGGAAGGTTACTAGCCTAAATGCTAAGAAAACAGCACAGACACCTGCAAGCATATGTTTATTGAAGCACTGTTCACAGTGGCAAAGATACGGAACCAGCCTAAGTGTTCATCCACCAATGATTGGATTTTAAAAATGTGGTCTATGTACATCACAGAATAATACTCAGCCTTAAAAAAGGAATGAATTAATGTATTTTACAGCAAATTGGATGGAGCTGGAAGCCTTTATTCTAAGTGAAGTAAATCAGGAATGGAAAACCAAAACTCACTGATAAGTAGAAGCTAAGCTATGGGTACACAAAGGCATACAAAGTGGTATAATGGACTATGGAGACTCAGAAAGGGGGAGAGTGAGGGGGATGAAGGATAAAAAACTACGTATTTGGTACAATGTACACTACTCGGGTGATGGGTGCACTAAAATCTCAGACTTCACCACTATACAATTCATCCACGTAATCAAAACCCACTTGTACCCCAAAAGCTACTGAAATTAAAAAATAAAAAAAGACCAGGAAAAAAAAGAAAAAGAAAACAGCAATGCATAAGAACAAGCAAAATCCCAACCTTCATCAAGCTTCTAGCCCAAGGGGCAATGTTCACAATTGTTAAGAATAAAAAGATTCAGAAATAGTATGTGAAGTATGATCCTATTTTAACATATGTATGGATATATAAATGTACATATCATAAAAATGAGGCTGTGAATGCATAGTTATGTGTAAAGAGAAAGTGAGAGCTAAAGCAATAAATTTGGAGAGATAGATACAAAAGTATTAGCAGAGATTCTATTTTAGTGGTGGAATTATATTTTCTCTTTTTTATCTATATGTTCCAAATTTGGGGGCAATAAACTTGTGCTTTATGCATAATGTTAAAAAGTTGTGTATAATGTATGCAATTAAGCAACTAAGTGCTAAAAGTTAGAATTTAACAGAAATTGCAAAGAGCTTTTCTACTTTCCTTATTCCCATCTCCTAAAACAGCCATCATATTTCTAACCCCGAAGGCCTCTTGATGTTCAACTCTTTCTCCTACATCTGCTACCAACCCCATTGTTTGTGGACCATAAATCCTTTAATTTGACAAAATAAAATCTTCAGCTTGAGAGAAGTGCTTTCCCCAAAGAATGCTGTGCTCAAAATCGGAAGCTTTGGGCTTTTAGAGGGAAAAATACTCTATTGCTGCAAATGATTACTATTTCTATTTGCTTTATAGGTTGTTAAGTGTGTAGAAGATGTTCAAATAAAGCTGGCTAGAAAGTATAATAGCTCATGGATTTTTATAATGGAAAACAAACCCCAACTGAAATTAGGCCAGGCTCTCCCATTCACAGAGGTTTCTGATACATAAGTGTAATGCTCCCTCCTGGCCCCCAAATGCAGAGGGGATAGGTCTTGATTCACCACTGGGTGCACTGGCAGAGCCAAATTCTAGGCTGAGGTTTCGGAAAAGTTTGTTGGTCATGGCATCACTCCTGGCAAACACAAATTTATCTTTTTTCCGCTGAGGTCCCAGTTTGCTTGGCAAGACCTAGTTTATCTGGCAAAGCTAATTCATGGTGCTCCAGCTTTTCAGAACTGCCTGCCTCTTGCAAATTGGCTGGGTGTGGTGATTTTAATAGGCTCACTGTTTAGAATATATTTTCACATTTTCTTTCATCTGTTTATTCTTTGGTTTCCTATCCCAATCATTCCTGCCTTTTCTTCTTCATTTGAATGCTGAAAGTTTTAACTGTAGTTTTGCAGTGCATGCATTTATTTCCTAAGGATTTTTTCATCCTGATTGACTGGTCACTTGTAATTATGGACCCTGCTGTCATTTTGAATACAAAGTAAGCAATTTGTCTAGTAATTTTTGTTTAAAAGGTGAAGGTCCAATGGTGGTGGATATAATTTGAGAAATGCTTTACATGAATTTGGGGCAAATGAGAAGGAGTTATTTAAATATGGAAATGAATATGCATAGATATAATTATGTCAATAAGAAACCCTCAAAATTAAAAAAAATCTGATTCCTCATCAAGAAAACCATTTATATAATTGTTTCACTTTGTTACTTACAAGTCTTTGAAATTTTCTATTGCTCTTAGGATAAGCTTCAAGTGCATTAAAGTGGCTTGTAAGACCTGGCCCCAGTCTCTTCTCCAGCTCCCACCCTCACATTCTAATCACAACATAATCAATTTCTTTCATTTCCTCTAGAGTATTAAACTCTCTTGCCTCTGGATCTTCATGTTGTATTTTATCTTCCTGGAATGCTCTTCCTAGTCCTCCATCTGGGTAACTCTTCCTTATTTGTGAGTCTCAGCTCACAGGTGGTTTCCTCTGAGGAGCATCCCCACATCTGCTTGGTTTGGGTTAAGGTCCCCTCCTCTGTGCTGTGTCATCACAGCAGGTCGTTGCGGCTTAGTTCTCTGTCTCTTCTACCAATCTGTAAAATAGCCATGTCTTTCTGTTACCATTTTATCCTTGAACCAAGCACAGTGCCTGGCTGGCACATAGTAGGTGCTTAATAAATATTTCTTAACTGAATGGGTGCATTGGAATAATTTGTTGAGAAAAGGAATCAGGATTAAAGTGATTTTCTAGGTCCCATGCTGCCCTTGGGTGCCTGAATTATCAGGTCAATTCAGACTGAACAAATATTATTGAACACAGATATGTGCCAGCTGCTTCCACCTACCCTATTTCATTTGATCTCTTCCTTAGCTTTCTATTTTCCAGCTGAGGACAGTCGGACCCAGCGAGGCTAAACAACTTGATCATGGCAACCCATGAATAGAAAGAACCTTGAGTTTCAGAGACCTACCTCATTGCTCTTGGACCTATATCAGGGTGCTGTCTCTTTAAACATGTATGTGCCTGTTATTCTCTGTTGCCACAGCCATCCACTAGGCTATCTTATTAGAACATAAGAGCTCTTGAATTGCTGACATAAAAGTTACAACTGAGACCAAAATCAAAATGGAATCCTGGAAAGGAATTGGGGAAGGAAGCGCTGGTCTAAGATTCCAGACATTTGAGTTTTTGTCTTTCCTGTGTGACTCTGGGAAAGTTGTTTAGTCTCTGTGGGCCTTAGCTTTCTCATCTATACAATGAGTGGGAATTATTGGATAATTTTGTAGGGGCCTTCCCACTTTAAATTTAATGATCCTTGCAAGCTGGTATGAGAGTTAAACCTTAACACTTTGAGAAAATGCTGGAAATGTCGTATTAGGAATGACACCACAGACTGCAGCCTTATTTCAAGTTAAGTAAATCCTAGAAGTAGATGTCCACTTTTAATGGAAAAAAAATGATACATTTTATTTCCATACTGAATCAACTTCCTACCTTAAAATGGGATTTCTGCTATGAAAATGGCCTGACAAGTGACACTGTGGTGTGGGTACATAAAAACCAAACCCCGCAGAACTTAGATGTAAAAATTTCTGAGGACCTTCACCTGTGTGACAAAATGTAGAATATACCCCTTTAATAGATTCAGAATCAAGAGATACATTTCTAGTAGGGCTTTTGAAGTATTGAGACCTCTCATGGAAAATGGATCTCTTTTCTCTTTTAGGAATGCTGCACATTTTTTGAGAAGTTAATTAAGAACAGCATTGTTTTCTCCTTGACAACAAATCAATGATAACATTCTAGAGTTTTATAGCACTTTTCTCCAAAGTACTTAATATATTCAATATATCCAAGTGAGAAATCCTATTTTTCTTGTTCATAAAATTGCTAATTTGTCTCAGTGACGATGTAAAGACATGTATTACCTATGGATATAGAAAGTGTTTATTTCATCTATTGAAACTCAGAAGAAAACAAGGAATGGGTTGAACTTCAGTGTTAAATTGTGGAGAGGAGCTTCACTTGAGTTTCACAACAGCAGCAATGATATAGATTAAAGGAGCAGAGCTCATTTTGATGTTGAGTTTTGCTGTGGTCTGAATGTCTATGCTACCCCAAAACTCATACGTTAAAGTCCTAACCCCCAAGGTGATGGTATGAGGAGATGGGACCTTTGGGAGGTAATTAGTCATGGGGGTGGAATCTTCATGAATGGGATTAGTGCCCTTCTGAAAGAGGTTCCAGAGAGCAGCCTTGTCCCTTTCACCAGGAGAGGACACAGTGAGAAGGAAGCATCTATGAACTAGGAAGCAGGCCCTCACCAGACCCTGAATCTGCCAGCATCTTGATTTTGGACTTCCCAGCCCCTCCAGAACTGTCAGAAATAAATTTCTACTGTTTGTAAGCCACCCAGTATGCAGTATTTTGTTGTAGCTGCCTGAACAGACAAGACAAGCTTAAATTAGACATTCAGAGTGAACAGATGTCCCATAGTGAACTCCATGGAATTCCAGGATGAGCTACAAGAGCCAGTGGAAACATAATAAGGTAGGAGAAAAAGATAATAAGCAAGAAAAAAAAGGATGCAGTCAATGCAGAAGAAAATGATGCTGAGCTACGTGACTCAGGAGAAAGTGAGATGGAAAGTATATAAGAAATTGTAAATGATAAAAAGTTATGGTGAGAGCTTGTTGATATCATTTGGATATCTGTACCCTCCAAATCTCATGTTGAAATGTGATCCTCAGTATTGGGGGTGGGGCTTGGTGGGAGGTATTTGGGTCATGGGAGTAGATCCCTCATGAATGGCTCCGTGCCTTCCTGCGGTAATGAGTGAGTTCTCACTCCATTAATTACCATGAGATCTGATTGTTAAAAAATGAGTCTGGCACCTCCTCCTCTCAATTTTTCTCCCTCTCTTGCCACATGACATGCCTACTACTGCTTCATCTTCTACCATGATTGTAAACTTCCTGAGGCCTCACCAGAATCAGATGCTGACACCATACTTCTTGCATGGTTTGCAGAACCGTGAGACCAATAATTCTCTTTACTTTGTAAATTACCCAGCCTCAGATATTCTGTCATGGCAATGCAAAATGGATTAATACAATTGCTAAGACTAGAAACATGAGTTCGGAGTGGGAGAAACATAGTAAAATCAAGGGTGGTAATTATTAGAGGGTACACTTGACTTGCTATCAAACATGCATTCCTGAAAAGTTGTGTGAAAATCTAATTGTCATAAAGTAAAAACATATTTAATAGTTAATTATTTAAAGGAAATTTATGTCTGTAAGGGAAAGGGTACTTTTATATCACAAATACAAATCCCCTAAATTATTTCTTTTAAAATTCCAGATTTTTGTCTATGTTGAATTTTCTTAAGTTAATGGGCAATTGAAGCAGGCAGTTGAGAGAAATACACACTGTTTTAGTTTTGGGCGTGGCATCAAGAAAGGACAGAATGTTCCCAGTTGAAAGAGGCCCTTGAGATTATCTAATGCAACCCTTCATTTTCCAGATGAGAAAGCTGAAGATTAAATGCTTTGCTCAAGGCTAAGCAGCGGGTCACTGAGAGTTAACCAAAGGTTAAGAGATTTGTTCATAGTCCTCAGCTGCCTGGCTGAAAAATTAGAGCTAGACCCAAATAGTCCTCCTGCCCACTCAAGGCTCATTCTCTGCATGTCACTTAGCCTGGATGGTTTACTTTGTATACAGAGTGAAACAAAGCTGCAATGCAGCTGCCCACTTTTATTCTCTAGGGCCCTTTCCAGTTTCAGAATTCTGTGATTCTACATCATCGCTGAATCTCCTCTTTTTCAAGAATGTTGCCTAAAAGGATTCATTGTAAGATCAGGAGGCAGCCAAATAAGTAAATAAATAAGTAAATAACAGTTATTGGCTCCAAAATGGCCAAGGAGTATAGTAATATATCTTGTAAAAGGAGATAGATAATGCTAAAAGAAGAAATTTATCTCCCAGAAAGCAATAAAGCTTTAAAACTGAATGTAGAAAAAGAAAAAAAAAAAACCAGTTTCTCTTCAGTTCTTTCAGAATCTATCAAATATGGCACTTTGAATTGGTCCAAGTTTCACAGACACCAGAAAACCATAAGTGTGATGTTTTTGAAGATGCCATACATCTCCCAAAACACATCATTTTGTTCCAGCTCACCCTTCTTTGCACGCCATTTAACTTAGCTTCTTGTCATTTCCTCTTAGAGATACCACATGTATCTCTAGTTCCCCAGAAAAAAAAAACCCTTTATTTGTAACTGCAGAAAATGCATTATGTGAGAATTCGGTGAGAGAGAGAAGAGATTAAATTCAATTCTCAAGCACCACTTTTTTGTTCTCTGCAAAGTACCATAACGCAGGACCCACAGGTAAGGACTTGATTTAAATCTCAGGGTTTAAAAATTATTTTATTTCTAAGTAGCAGCCTTGCGTTACCTATTTCCTCTTTTGATCCCTTTTTTTTCTTTATCTAGCATACAGATTTCTTGCTAAAAATACTTTAGATCATATAAATTCATGTGAAGTCTTTAATGTAGCAAAATCTTAGTTGGGTTGCCCAAAGAAGAATAGGAATGACTGTTCTAAAAGAGAGATCCTAAATGAAACTACTGTTAAATAAAAATCATGCTCCATGACAACACTTTCTAAATTTTAAATTACATGTAAAATATCAAATAAACATTAAAATATCCATCATGTGCTTCAGTATAGATAAAGCCATAGAATCAAATAATGCTACAGCTGGAAGAGATCTTAGAATTTCTGAAAGTTTTCTTATTTTGTAGGTAAGAAAACTGAAGCGTATTATGGTCGGATTATGGGGATGGCTATCCAGGCACTACCTCAACTGCCAGTCTATAAAGAGCACAAAAACAGCACTAGGATAAATGGCAAATCAAAGCCAGATGTCTCAGGCTCCCATACATAGCTCTTTACTACTTTGTGTACAGTCACCTGAACATTGACAGTCTGCTAAAATACTTGGAACTAAAGAATGAATGATGTGGTTTCTTAACCAAGAGTATGTGATTTCTTTTATTATACAAATTTTAATTATCTTAGTGTATATCCAAGCACACTAATTTTTAAATTTACAAAAGAAAAGAGGACAAGAAATACAGAATAGGTGACATTTTCTTAGGTTTTTAAAAAAACACTGGTCTTACTTTGGCCAATGGAAAATGCACTGTTAAATTTCTTTCTGAAAGCAAACATTTTAAAATTCATTCTCTCTATTCCTACTAAATGACCAAAGTGAAAAAATAATGATTGACAGAATGTCAAAGCATTGGCTTACCTCAGATACCCACACATCTTAGCCAGGCCCTAAGACCACAAGGAGGGGTTGACGTTACCAAGATCATGGAGCCATTGCTGTGTTCATATTGATGGATCTAATTCAACAAATATTGATGGTGTGCCTGTGCTAGAATGCTGGGGCTACACAAATAAAATAGTGGCCCAGTCCTTTCCCCCAGGATTTTACATTCTAATTGTGAAAAGGACATTAACAATAGCACAGACTAGCTGTTTCCTGAGATAGCCGGAGCTCCCTGGGGACATAGAAGATGGAAAACTTGTGTTGGGTGATGGAAACCAAAAGGCCTCACCAAGAAGGTGACATTTGAGCTGCCAATTGAAGGACAAATAAGTGTTTTCAGGATGGAATAGGAAGGAAAGGGGAAGCAAGAGGTCATCTTGGAACATCAGCATATGCAACAATAGCCTAGTAGATTGGGAAACTTTTCTGTTGAAAATGTTCTGCAGAAACATTGATATGATTCTTAAAAAGCATCATCAAAAAAAAAAGGCAAGCGGAAGAGTAGTGGTTGTAATGATAAATGATACAGCACTCAGATCCCATGTTGGGCCTTAAGGACTTATTCCTCCTGCTGCTAAGGGTTATGTTGACACAGTCCTTGGCTATCAGCCTTCTTCAGGAATTGCCTCATCTGACAAGAGACCCCCTGCCAAAGGTTTCACCCTTTTCTGGGGCACATCCAATGACTGGTCAAGGAAGAACTGTCTCAAGACAATGCTGCTGAAGGGCTCATTCCTATTTCAGAGCTCCTTGAGGGATCAGCTGAGGCTGTTTGCATTGCAACCTGATTAATTCTCCTTCTACCCAATCTTACTTCCATCCTTTTTATCCTATGACTGTTGACCCCAAGAGTACTCTTTAATAAACTTCCTGCATGCTAACGTCCATCTTCCTAGACACAGAGGGATAGGATAACTAAATATTACAAGTTAGATGAAGACATAGAGTATTGCATTTCAACAAGCAAGAGCACAGGAGTCTTATAGTTCCCCAAAGGGTGGTGGGATGGAATGAGAGGCCAGGATTCATCATTAGTTTCTGATAACCCTGTCTGAACCTTTCCTTCTAGCACTGTCCATTTAAAATAACTTTGCCCTTTTTGTTCTTCTTTCTAACAACCTCCAAACTCATTTTTACCTTTAGGGGCTTCTAAGAGTTTCTTGGGCTTCAGCTCCCAGGTGACTTTTCTGTGAGCCTCTGGACTTGTTCTGTTCCCGGGGGTGCTCAGATAATTCCTTTAGCTCACTTAGAATGCTCTGATCTATATTTCTCAAAGTGTGGTCCTCAGAAAGCCCAAATCAGGTGCCTGTTTAAGATGTAAATAACAGACTCCACTCTAGTCCTACTGATTCAGGAGGAGAAGCCAGGGTGGGAGGCTGGAGGGAGGTGGGCAGAGGGTGGGAGGTGGTTGGTATCTACATTATAAAGAGGCTACTCAGAACATCCTTATGCCCTCAAAAGTTTTGGAGTTTGAGAATCTTTTCCTTAGATTTTCTGGAGAATGTAATGAAGAGAAGCAGTGGTATTTCTGAATTGCATGCTGAATCAATAGTTATATGTAATTTAGAGAGCTTTATAATTTAGTAATGAAAATAGTGAATGCATGCATTTATTCTCATTGTGATGCTAATCAGACTTCAGCTTGCTCTCAGTGGGTGGAATATAAGCTGTGTAAATCTAACCAGGTTTCAGGAATCAGACAACTCTGACCACATCTGGGGAGGTTCTGGATTTGTTTGGATCTAGAGGCGGGGTTGGGGAATCATTTTTCAGACAAAACATGGCAGCTTGCTAATAAAAAAGGATAGATGACTGTTGGGCAGTTTCCAAAGGCTTAACTTCAGGTTCCTATTCAGCTGGAACTGGGAAGGGAATACGTACGTGTGCAAGAGAGTTTTAACTAGGGTGGAACAACCAAGGATTTGCACTAAAACTTAGAAACTTCTTCAGTTGTTGAAAATAACTTGTTAAAAAGTCAACTTCATTGAGGTCTTCATTAATTAAATTTAATTAAACATAACTCTTTTGAACATACAATTCGGTGACTTTTTCACTAAATACACAGCTGTGCATTTAGAACAACTTTGCCCTTTTTGTTCTGACAACCTCCAAACCTTCATTACTAATCAAGATAAAGACAGCTTTCGTCACCCCCCAAATTCTTCAGTGTCCTATTCTCCGCCCACCATTCCTGGTGTGAGGCAACCATTGAACTACTTTCTGTCATGATAGATTAGCAGGGCCTTTTCTAGAATTTTGTAAAAATGGAAGCAGGTTGTGCTGTTTAGTTGAAGGAAACATTCACTAGATATAAAATTCTTGATTACAGTTTTTTCTTTCAGGACTTTAAAGATGTTCCATTGTCATCTCACTTGCACAATTTCTGATGATTTCTGTGATAATTCTCATATTTGTTTCTCTGTATGTAATGTGTCTTTTTTCTCTGGCTTCTTTTACGATCTCCCTCAATGGTTTTCAGCAGCATATGTGAGTGTGTGTGTGCATATGAGTGTGTGTGTGTATTTATACAGCTTGGGATTCATTGAGCTTCTTGGATCTGTGGATTTATGATTTTCATCAAGTTTCAAAATTTTTTGCCATTACATCTTCAAATTTTTTTAGTACCTCAGTGTCTTCATCTATGAGGTAGAGATAGTGACTGTCTGCTTGATAAAGTATTGTTTAAGATAATGCATATAATTGTCTTAGCACAGTATTTGCTGTGTAGAATATGCTCCCCAAAAATGTCTGCTTCAGTAGGATGTCATATAATTAATTGTCCCAAACTGATCATGTTTGAGACTGAATAGGGGCACTATTAATATTCATGCTGCCACAGGGATAGACCAAGACTATTGCAGGCAAACTGGCATATATGGTCATATATGACAATAACAGCTGACTGGTGTAGCTTTCATCTGTAACTTGGGACACAGCTCTGGTGTAGTGGAAGATTCCTGCTCCCCATGCCCCAATGAGGAATGAATATGCCCTTAAATTGGAATGAAGGTACCAGGATTGTAGCTTGGACCATGACACCAAACAGTGGTACTGAACAACCTCACTCAGTCTCAGTTTTTAAAAAAATTTTAATTACCAGACCTTGGTTTTTAGAGCAGTTCGAAGTTTACACAAAATTGAGCAGATAGTACAGATGGTTCCCACATATCTCTCTCATTCCTCATTCAGCTTCCTCTATTATTAACATCTTGCAATGATATGGTACACTTTTATAATTTGTAGACCAATATGGATCCAGTATTATTAACTAATGTCTATGGCTTACATTAGGGTTCACTCTTGTGTTGTACATTGTTTGAGTTTTGACATGTGTCCACCATTATAGCGTCAGACAGAATAGTTTCACTGCCCTAACAATCCCTTGAGCTCCACCTATTTACCTCCCTTCTCCAGCCCCTGGCGACTGCTGATCTCTTTGCTGTTTCTATGGTTTTGCCTTTTCCAAAATGTCATAGAGTTAAATCATACAGTATACAGCTTTTTCTGACTGCTCCTTTAACAGAGAAATATACATGTAAGTTTCCTCCATAATTTTTTATGGCTAAAAGTGGATTTCTTTTTATTGCTGAATAATATTCCATTGTAAGACTGTAATAGTTGTTTTTTTAATCCATTCACCTTTGGAAAGACATCTTGGTTATTTCCAATTTGGGGCAGTTATGAATAAAGCTGCTATAAACATTTGTGTGCAGGTTTTCATGTAGACATCAATTCTCATTTCATTTGGGAAAACATCAAGGAGCATGGTTGCTGGATCATACAGTGAGAGTATGTTTAGATTTTTAAGAAACTGCCAGACTGTCTTCCAAACTGACTGTCCCATTTTGTATTCCCACCAATAGTGAATAAAAATTTCTGGGGCTCCAGGAACTCCAAATTCTTGTCAGCATTTGGTATTGTCAGTTTTCTGGATTTTTGCCACTCTACTAGGTATATAGTGGTATTACTTTATTGTTTGAATTTGCAATTCCTTAATGACTTATGATGTTGAGCATATTTTCACATGATTACTTACCGTCTGTACATCTTCTTTGATGAGGTGTCTGTTCAGCTACTTCCCTATTATTTAATTGGGTTGTTTGCTTTCTTGTTGATTTTTATGAGTTCTTTTTACATTTTCAGTACAAGTCCTTTATCAAATATGTGTTTGCAAATACATCAGATATGAGTTTTGCAAAAAAAAAAAACAGACTGAAAAAAAAAACAGATATGTGTTTTTGCAAGAGCAGCCTGTGGCTTTTTATTCTCTTGGCCTTGAAATATTTTTATATCCCACCATCTTTCTGAGAATCCAATTACATCCATATTAGACTACTTGATATTTTCCAAAGATTATTGAAGCTCTGTTCATTTTTTCAGTCTTTTTTCTCTCTGTGCTTCAGTTTAAATAGTTTTGATTGGTTCATCTTCGAGTTCACAGATCTTTCCTTCTGCACTATCCAATTTGCTGTTAAGTTCATCTGGTGAATTTTTTTCCCCAAACATTGAATATTTTTATTTCTAGAGTTTCTTTATTTCTGTTGTTTTTTTTATATTTTTAATTTCTCTTCTCAGTTTTATGTTCCTTTATATATTTGAACATATTTACAATAGCTACTTTAATATCTTTGTCTGCTAATTCCATTATTTCTGCCATTTCTGGATCTGTTTCTATTGACTGATTTCTTCCTAAGTTATGGATCACATTTTGCTGGTGCTTTTCATGGCTAGTAATAATTTTTTATTGAATCCTGGACATTTTGAGTTTTGGGATATTGAATAATAGATTTTGTTTCCTTTCTATAAAGGGTGTTAGACTGTGCTTTGGTAGATAGCAATACTTGCTAATCATCTTTATCCTTCCAAAGCCTATTTAAAAGCTCTATTAGGGCAGGTGTGGAGTAAACTTTAGTCCAGAGCTAGTTCATTTTATTATTAAGATGTCGTTCTACCAGATGCCCTAGTATTGGCAAAGGACTTGAAAGGAACTCTGAGCAAATTTCTGGAATGTTTTTTTTGCCTCCTAGATGACAGCTGCCTTTGCCTACTTGAACTTCAATGTCTGTTTCTTCCACTCAGAGATTCTATTGTGCTCTGCTTGGGATCTCCTCCCCATGGTACTTTCAAGAAAGTGACACTCCAGACAGAAAGCAACTCCAGACAGAAAGCCAGGGCAATCATGCAACTCACCTCATTTATTTCCTTTTCCTGCAAGAGCATAGTCCTGTGCTGCCTGATGTTCAATGTCTAAAAACAGTTATTTAGTATATTCTGCTAAGTTTATGGGTTATGGTGGGGGTGTCATTCCAATTATTTTGCTGTGGTTGGAAGCAGAATTTCCAACGTTAAATATTTTAAATTATGCAATCTTTCCCCAGCTGTGGTTGAGAACTTATTCTAGCTCTGAGCCAGGCCCTTTGACAAGTGGTGAGAGACGTAGGCAAGAGGGGTCTCTTCTCTGGTCCCATACTTTAAAGGACCACCCCAACACACACATGAATTTATTAAGAGCACACAGACAGTGGTATCTCTGTTAGTTGAGATCTGATACTCAGCTCTGACTCAGCAGGACCCATAACCCAAAACACATACTTTGATTTAACTGATCAAGCCCCAGGGAATGCATCTTTACATCTCTTGCCTTATGTTTCTGAATCAAAATTGTTACAAAATGTGACTTCATTTGAATGCCATGGTTTCTGGATTGTGCTACTGGTGATTTCAGAGACAGACACTGCTTTAGGGTGCTGGGAGCATTTGAATGGTGGAAGCACATAGTGAAAGAAAAGACAAATTAACTTAACTTGTCAAATTCTTCCACTCAGACAACCTGAATATAGTAAATTCTTATTGATTATTTATTATTTGCCAATAGTACCCAATGTTTATTTTCTTGCTTCTACTTATGCTACAATTTGTGGTACCAGAGGTACTCACAAACTATCATAGTAGTTGCAGCAGTTGCATGTGGCACCTAAGGAATGCTTGGAAAGATTTTAAAAATTAATATTTCTCACAAATGTGCATATATGTAGAAATAGACATAGCATGTATAAAGTATGATGCTGATGGTTTACCTCACTATTCAGATAGAAATTGAATCCTAGAATTTTTTTTTTTTTGAGATGGAGTTTCACTCTTGTTGCCCAGGCTGGAGTGCAATGGCACAATCTCAGCTCACTGCAACCTCTGCCTCCTGGGTTCAAGCGATTCTTCTGCCTCAGCCTCCCCACTAGCTGGGATTACAGGTGCCTGTCACCATGCCAAGCTAATTTCTGTATTTTTAGTAGAGACAGGGTTTTACCATGTTGGCCAGGCTGGTCTGGAACTCCTGACCTCAGATGACCCACTCGCCTTGGCCTCCCAGATGAATCCTAGAATTTTGCATACATTACATTTTATTAAAATATTTATTGACAAATAAATTTGGCAAAAAGCAAATTTTATCATTTCTGCATTATTTAAACACTTAACAACACTTTGATATGAAGTATAATTTGTGTCTTGCTTTTTAATTTTAATAGAAAATTTTGAATATTTCAGTAGAAATGCAATTTCAAAGGCATAAAAATAATTTTAATTTTTAACATTTAATTTAAATGTTTGATAAGATATATTCAAGATTTGTGTACTTACGATAAATTATATTTTAATATTTTATATGATTGGGAATGAGTACAGGTTGAAATCATGATAAATGTAGAAAATACAAAAATGTAATTCAGTTAAGTAGCTGAAAAGGAAAAGCAAATGTCATTATAAGAGTGTGTATTTATCAAGGTGGGGGATAAAATGTATGTTATTTAACAGTTAGTTGATTTGAGTTGTAACTTTTAAATGTTTACATCAACAATGTGAGAGGCATCATTTGGCCTTTTGCCCTGGAACCCATGAATATTATGGGTAAGCCTGAAAGACAGGGATGGAAATGAAATCTCATTAGTTGAGAGAGGGTCCCATTGTGTGCATGCCGGGCTCAGACGTGGGTGGGTGAAGTGGGGAGTACAGGAAGACTGATTGGAGAAGGTCCATCTCCAGAATTGCTGGTTACGGCCCTGGTGTAATTTCCATCACCAGCAGTGGTTCTGTGGTAGGGGCTGAGAGGAAGTAGGCTTAGCTTGAGGGCAGGATTGAAGCCAGCAAAGGACTTAACTACAAACAGGATCATTGAGGCAAACATTTGTTTGTACAAAAAAGTCAGAGGCAGTGGTGGTGGTGTTTGGGGTAGTGGGGAGAGCAGACAGGAAATGCCTGCTCTACCTCCTCTCTGGAGGTTCCAGTGGCACAACGGCACCCGTAGATACAGGTTCCCAGAGGCCAATTGTACTGGACTCCAGGGAAGCTTCTGACATCGGTCAGGGTTGTCCCAGGCTCCGAGTTGGTGAAACACATCACTGATTCCTGCTCAATGGGATAGGAGGAAAAAAAATAATGAGAGATATTTTTAATCTATCCCATGTGATTAACAATAGCATTTGCAGTAAAGTCTTATAAACAGTTTAGTCATAAACACCTCGCCAGGCATGTCTCCTATGACAAAATTGATGTTCTGTCTGTGATCAGTTCTGCTGGGTTACTGCGGCTGAGCCAAGATTGATGGTGTGTTGTCTTTGTGCCAGTTGCTGAACTAGGGACTGAAAGAACTTTGGGCAGGAGAGAACGGCTATCAGAGTTGAATGGGCTGCTTCAGCTGAGAGAGAAAATTGTGCCTTTGAGAAACAGCCACTGAAACAAATCAGAAAAATTTAAAAATAACCTTGTGGGGCTATTCATTTGGCTAGCATAGAGTGCATGTTTTTTACCAAAGTGATCGCCATCGTTTGCAAACAGTGTCACCTAAGCCCAAATTGATGATTGCCTTTCCCAAGGTGAAACGTTAGTGCCAGTCACAAATTAGCCAAAGACCATGAAGGAAGGGGCTTGCCATGTTCATTTCTGTGCCTCCAGGACCTAGTTCAGTTGTTCTCAACCCTGGCAGCCCATTACAAACATCAGGGGAGCTCTAATGCCTAAATCCCACTTCAGACCAATTAAATCAGAATCTCTTAGACACTGGGTGCTGGCACATCCCTTTTTTTTTTTTTAAGTTTCCCAGGTGATTGTAAAGTGCAGTCATGGTTGGCATCTGCTAGGCCAGCTATCGAGCTATCAATTACATAGTAATTGCTCAATAAACATTCAATAAATTGAACCTGGCATAAGTAGCTTTTGCAGATTCCACTTTAACTTAGAAAAAGCAAAGGATGTCTGGGCATGTGGCTCATGTGTGTAATTCCAGCACTTTAGGAGGCAGAGGTGGGTGGATCACTTGAGCCCAGGAGTTTGAGACCAGCCTGGGCAACATAGTGAGATCCCATCTCTACCGAAAAAAAAAATGGGTGAGGAGAGGGCTGCAACCTTTATGGCCAAACTGCTGCAGACAGAACTAGAACATTTTATCTAGAGGTATAGTCTCATGGCTATTAAAAATATGTGTGGGGTGATTTCCAATGTGAGGTGATTTCAGGCTCTTTTAGGTAGCAGCAAGGTGATAGCCCAGGGCTGTGCTGAAAGCATTAGAATTTTCAAGTTGTACCGCATTGTCACGTTTTGTAGAATAAAAAATATCTGTTCAGATTTGCCCATCTGTGCATTTATCTAAGATAGATGCAGCTTCCTCTGGTACCTAGAGGAAAGTGTGGGCTAGGGTCCCTAGAAAAGGGACAAGAATGATCATTTTCTGTGTGTAAAAAAATGCGTAACTCCAGACTGCTCAGTTCTGGGAGCGTTGCATTTGTGCCAAAATGTGGGTCTGGGTTTAAGGGGGTCTCTACTTTATATACTTCGTAATTGTTCAAGACCAAAGAAATATGTAAGAGTTTGTGTACAAGATAAACATTAACACATTGAACTAACATTTCTAATGTTAATGAATGTATTGACAGCAAATGTTAATGGCTGTTACTTTTCCTTTCTCTTATTCCACGGGTAGGGGAATGAGTGTCTACCTATGCACAGATGGCTACATTTGGTAGTATTTTAAATTACAACTGGTTCTTTATGGGAAGTTTCCTAATTTGGATTATTGGCTGTGTATGGCTGAGTTCCAAGAGTGCATGAGTTATGACTATCAAAAGGAAGAACAGTACACCTAGTGTTGCAATGTTTTTCATTGTTACTTTGTACCTTCTAGTAACTTGTCTTAATAAAAAAAGACATGCTTAAACATTTTTGGGTTGCTAAATAACTTACACAAGCTATCTTAAGTTATAAAAATTATAAAAGAATAAACGCAAAAATGAATAGATGATAGATAGATGATAGATGATAGACAGATAGATGATAGATAGATAGATAGATAGATAGATAGATAGATAGATAGATAAATAGATAGATAGATGCATGACCCAACTGCAGACACCTTAGACACCTGTGGCTGCCCCATGTTATCTTCTGGGATGCAAAACTGGCCCATCTTAGTTATCATTTCATTCAGGTTTTGTCTGTGTAGAAGGAGCTGTTATCTACCTGTTGATAGGGAACCTAATATTGACTTCACTTAATGTAAGATTATGTTCTGTTGTGGACATTAGTCCATAATTTCAGATGTTTCTTGTGTCTTTGTGTCTGTAATGGACAGTGAGGATAGAATAAAATGAACTGTTTAGAGTATATCACAAGAATAGAAATTATTTTTCAAAAACATACAACTTTATCTTTCACTGTCTTTACTGCCTTATACATTTAATAAACAATGACAAGGTTTTGTTATAGAATTTTGCTGCCACTTGTAAGATCAGAAAAATGTTACTAAATATTGAGAATTTTAGAGTTAGAGACCTGGAATTATCTAGTCCACTTTACAGATGAGGGAACTGAAACCCAGAGAGACTGATTTGTCTTAGACCATGTAATAGCACACACACAGCTGGGGTCCAGGTGGAATATAACCAGGAAAGCTTGGTCAGGAAGCAAAGCCTCATGGGGGCCCCTCGTGACATACAGAATTGACAGAGTCCTACTTTTTTCTACTATGAATAGAGAAAATCTATTTATCAAGGCAAAGAGATTGGGGAGGTGGGGATGGGGAGGAATGAGAAGTTGGGGAAAGGGAGGGTAAATGTTTATCTTCGCTAGGAGTGAGCATAGCTGTAGATAATGTCTTTCCACTGGCTGTGGGCACTGTCAGGATTTCGTTGGGAATTGGCCACTTGGGAATTGATAGCATTCTGAACTTATTGGTAGCCCCATCTTATCATTTGCAGAACTGACTTAAGGTGCCTCAATTCTGTCCTCTTCACCAATTGACCCCTCAGCATGACAACAGGACCCTTCTTGCACTGATAGTAATCCTATGATTCTAAGTTGCAAGTGGTCTCCACTACAGTGTACCATTTGAGTCAATCTAGTTTTGCAACTCTCTCTGGGACTCAACTTCCAGCCCAGACATTTTAGGGATACAATACAAGGGATGTTCAAAAAGTTCATGGAAAATGTGTACTATGGAAAAATTATGCATGGCTTTCAATGTCTTTTTTGGCACCAAAATAAACTCATGCTAATTTGTTATAACATGTGTGAACAGGATCTTGCTTGAGGCACTAAAAAGGATAAGACATCAGTTTGAAAAGAGCCCATATAACAGCAAAATGAATTCTGCTGAAATTGAAGCAAAAACAAACATCAAATTGATGGTGAAGCTTGGTGAAAGAATGGTGAAAGCATTAACGATTTACAAAAAGTGTATGCCTCAAAGAAATCAGCAATTTACAAATGGATAACTTGTTTTAAGAAGCGTTGAGATGATGTTGAAGATGAAGCCCTCCGCAACAGACCATGCACATCAATTTGCGAGGAAAAAATTCATCTTGTTTATGCCCTAATTGAAGAGGACCAACAATTAACAGCAGAAACAATACACAACACCATAGACATCTCAACTGGTTCAGCTTACCCTATTCTGGCTGGAAAATTAAAATTAAGCAAACTTTCCACTTGATGGGTGTCAAAATCGTTGCACCTAGATCAGGGGCAGAAAAGAGCAGAGCTTTCAATGGGAAATTTAAACAAGTAGGATCAAGATCCTGATGCATTTCTTTGAAGAATTGTAACAGGAGATGAAACATGGCCTTACCACTATGATCCTGAAGACAAAGCACAATCAAAGCAGTGGCTACCAGGAGGTGGAAGTGGCCCAGTCAAAGCAAAAGTGGTCAAGAGCAAAGGTCGTGGCAACAGTTTTTTGGACTCTCAAAGCATTTTGCTTGTTGACTTTCTGGAGTGCCAAAGAATAATAACATCTGCTTATTATGAGAGTGTTTTGAGAAGGTTAGCCAAAACTTTAACAGAAAAACGTCTGGGAAAGCTTCACTAGAGAGTCATTTTCCACCACAACAATGCTCCCGTTCATTTCTCTCACCAAACAGGGGCAATTTTGCAAGAGTTTCAATGGGAGATCATTAGGCATCCACCTTACAGTCCTGATTTGGCTCCTTCTGATTTTTTTGTTTGTTTATTTCCTAATCTTAAAAAAATCTTTAAGGAGCACCCATTTTTTGGTCAGTTAATAATGTAAAAAGGGGCCAGGCATGGTGGCTCACACCTGTTATCCCAGCACTTTGGGAGGCCGAGGCAGTTGGATCACGAAGTCAGGAGTTTGAGACCAGCCTGATCAACATAGTGAAACCCCGTCTCTACTAAAAATACAAAAATTAGCTGGGCATTGTGGTGTGCACCTGTAATCCCAACTACTTGGGAGGCCGAGACAGGAGAATCGCTTGAACCTGGGAGGTGGAGGTTGCAGTGAGCCGAGATTGCACCACTGCACTCCAGCCTGGGCAACACAGCAAGCCTCCATCTAAAAAAAAATGTAAAAAGGACTGCACTGACATGTTAAATTCCCAGGACCCTCAGTTCTTTACGGATGAAATGAATGGCTGATATCATCACTTACAAAAGTGTCTTCTTGACCTTCATGGGGCTTATGTTGAGAAAGTTTATGGTTTTTATTTTTATCTTTTAATTCAATTTTTCCACTCAGTTTTTGAAGTCTCCTCATAAAGGTAACATGACAAATTAAACATTGATATCACAGTGATGAATGATAACAGCATTCCTCAGCAATTATATTTTA
The DNA here is from genome assembly GCF_000001405.40 of Homo sapiens. NCBI lineage: Eukaryota > Metazoa > Chordata > Mammalia > Primates > Hominidae > Homo > Homo sapiens. The sequence goes on from NC_000009.12 coordinate 70,011,034, forward strand.
TAGAGTGTGCAGAGGAAGGAAAGAGTGAATTATTTCATACCAATTGATATGTTACTAAGATTGACTTGAATGGGGTTCTACTGGATTGTCCACATGCAGGCAAGCTCAGGGAGGTTAGGTCATGTATTTGTAAGTATTTTAAACCTAGGGATTTGCTGCTCAAAGAAGGTTTTTTTTTTGTTTGTTTTTTGTTTTTTTTTTTTTTGAGTGAAAAGTGAATTTGACTAGGAGTCTGAAGACCTGGGTTTGGAAGCCAGTTATGCTAGGAGGGAGTTGCTTGAGGTTGTATTTTCCCTTTTTGGGCCTCATTTCTCCATCTGTGTAATCAGATAGTGACACTAGCTAGCAAGTCTCTGGATTTTCTTTTGGTTCTAACACTCTAACTAGTATCTTGTGATTCTAATTATTTCTTCTATCCTCTTTCCCATACATAGATCCCTGATAGCAGTATGTGGAGAGGGGGACTTGCAAGCTGGCCCATGCTTGGGAATTAAGCACTGGTCTATTTATGACTAGTCCACCAGCTGTGGCCTCTGTCACCAGGCTACTTCCTGTCTTGGACTTGTCACCTATAAACCTCACTGAGCGTGCTCATCATTCCTTTTTCTCTTGAAAAAGCCACTCACTTCTAAGAGACTTCAAATTTTTTTTCCTGAATCATAACCTCTCCACCCTCTAGTAAGGGAGAGGCTAGTACAAAAGTTTCCCCTTTCTGTGCTAAGTACCTAATTCTAGACCTCAGTCTCAAACTACGTAGGGGAAATTGTCTACTTGGAAACCTGTTAATATAGCCTTATGAGACAAGCCATATTTTTATTTAGTGATTTTGAGATCTGAAACATAAAAGATAACTTTAAAAATACTTTTGACACTTTAAATTTCATTTTTGGTTCCAAAAAAGCAGCTAGTACATATGAACTTACACTTTTAGAAATACGCTACATATGATCAGCTATGCTTTCTGCTGATCTTTACCCTTCTATAGTTCCTTGGGCTTTCTTTATAATGGGATTCTTTGGTCCTAGAGGAAGCATTTTACCCAGGAAATGAAAGTCTGCTGTTTTCTCTGACAACCTTTATTTTGTATTTCTTTGGGATAGATTCCTGAGTCATGTAACCAGTGAAAAAACGCCAAAGTCTTTTATTAAAATCTCGCTGGAGTCTGTGAGACAGCAAAGAATTACAGCAGCGTTAGAACACTATTTGACCTAAAAGGGTTTGACTGTTCTAGAATCCAAATTCTCTCTATACAGATAAGGAAACAGACCTAGAAAGGCAAAGTAACTTGTCTGGGGTCACAGAAGTTGCAAGGAACACAAAAGGAGAAATAAAACATTGGTCTCCTAATTTTTAGCACACACATGTTTAGGAGGGTGGGAAGGTAGAGCGAATGGAACAAATCCTTTTGGTGACCTCATGCTCTAAGGAAGCTCATTTTTCAATGTTGCATTTTAATGTTTTGTTATCGCTTTATATTTTAACATTTTGCATTTTAACATTTTGTTATTGTTTTATATTTTAACAAAAATCTCCAGCGTTATAAAATCATCTCCAACATTATAAAATATATCTAATATTTATTGCAAGAATATCTTCTCAGACCAGGATAGTAAACTCAAATGCCTCAGGGGTCAGGCAGGGAGTGGGGAACAAAGCCAACAGGAATGGGCACTTCTGGCAGAGCCTTCCAGTCTCCCTGCCCTCCCCCTTTCTCCTTCTCTGACACAGACAAAGCACTGGACCAATAGAACAGTGCTGCCCCTGGGTGACCAATGGACTCCTCCTAATGGTGACTGCAGGTTCTTTTACTGTAATATATACAAGGAAGGATTCCTTCTTCACCAGCTCATCCCCAGCACAGTACCTTCAATTTCATAGGTAGCCAATAAATATTTTTTCAGTGGGTTAGTGTTTAAATATGTATTGAGACTGGAAGTTTAAATTCAATGTAATCGTCTGCTTTTGTGAAGATAAACTAGTTCAGATCTTGAGGAAAATTTTTCTAAAATTTACTATGTAGAGTGTGCCAATTCTTAAACTGTGAGTACCTTGGGAAGGCCATCAGTCATTCACATTTTTTTTTTTCTTTTTGAGATGGGGTCTTGTTCTGTCACCCAGGCTGGAGTGCAGTGGTGCTATGTTGGCTCACGGCAACCTCCTCCTCCCAGGCTCAAGTGATCCTCCCATCTCAGCCTCCTGAATGGCTGGGACCACAGGCACAAGCCACCATGCCCAGCTAATTTTTGTATTTTTGGTAGAGACAGGGTTTCACCATGTTGTCCAGGCCAGTCTTGAACTCCTGAGCCCAAGTTATCTGCCCACCTCGGCCTCCCAAAGTGCTGGGATTACAGGCATGAGCCACTGTGCCCAGCCAGTCATTAACAACTTAATGTGAATCAATCGCATTTGCTTTGCTTTCTTCCTCAATTGCATTTGGATGGAGGATGAGGTAGAGGAAAAGAAGAATCTTATGCCTGGCATGGGGACTGGGGAGGCTGGCCTCACTGCAAAAATGGACGACAGGAAGAAAGGGCTTTGGAAGGCAGAATGAAAAGCAGAAAGAAAGATGAGGGTAGTAAACAGTGCCTATTTCACAATTTGGTTTAAGGCTGGCATTGCAGGATTCCAATATGAAGGAAATGGGTTCACTTTCAGATGCAGATGACTCATAAGCAAGCTCATTATAAATCCTTTGGAAAAAAAAGTGGGCCCAGTATTCTTTCTTTATCTGAATCTTTTTCTGCTTGCAAGCTCAATCAATCTCTTTCTCTTTCTCTCTGTCCAAACCACTATACCAGATAAACATATTTCCCCATTTATCATTGAGGCCAGGTATCTTCAGTTACATCACCATCATTTCAACCACAACACAGCCTGGAGTTCATCACACCCCATCGGGGCTTCAGGCAACCTGCCTGACACATGTGTTTGGTTAGAGGGAATCAGGAGCAGAAGTGCTCTGAATTGCACTTTTCAAAACCTGTTATGCACTCGTGCCAACAGATGGGGAAATTTTCCTTCCAAAGCTGCCAGGAAGAGCCTCCAGCTGTTTTCACTGAGCTAAAGTGCACCTGCACCAGAGGCTGCTTGTTATAGCAGCTGCCAGGATGTGTTGGGGAAGCAAGCCACACTTAGCCTCATGCAGTGGTGTCATGGTCAATTGGAAGCCAAGAAGATTCAGAGAAAAGGATGCTGGACTTCACACCAGATGACCTGGGTTTAGTTTCTAGGCCTGCCCTTTCTTCACAGGTGTTTTTGTTGTTGTTGGGTTTTTTTTTGTTTTTGTTTTTGTTTTTTTTTGAGACAAAGTCTTGCTCTGTTGCCCAAGCTGGAGTGCAGTGGCGCGATCTTGGCTCACTGCAAGCTCCGCCTCCCAGGTTCACACCATTCTCCTGCCTCAGCCTCCTGAGTAGCTGGGACTACAGGCGCCCACCACCACACCTGGCTAATTATTATTATTATTATTATTTTGTATTTTTAGTAGAGACGGGGTTTCACCATGTAGCCAGGATGGTCTCAATCTCCTGACCTTGTGATCCGCCCACGTTGGCCTCCCAAAGTGCTGGGATTACAGGCATGAGCCACCGTGCACAGCCCACGGGTGGTCTTGAGTAAGTCCCTCAACCTCCCCAGCTTTAGCCTCCTTGTCTATAAATAGATTCTTACCCCTGCACTGCTTCTCAATTATAGCTGCTATTTCTTTAGCTTCTGGCCTATGCTTTTGAGACAGAGTCTCACTCTGTCGCCTACGCTGGAGTGCAGTGGCGTGATCTCGGCTCACTGCAACCTCTGCCTTCCAGGTTCAAGTGATTCTTCTGCCTCAGCTTCCCAAGTAGCTGGCACTACAGGCATGAGCCACCATGCCCAGCTAATTTTTATATATTTTTTAGTTGAGATGGGTTTCACTATATGTTGGCCAGGCTGGTCTTGAACTCCTGACCTCAGGTGATCCACCGACCTTGGCCTCCCAAACTGCTGGGATTACAAACGTGAGCCACTGCACCCAGCCTAACATAAATTTCTTAAATAAGCAGCCAATAGAGTCTTTTCAGGCCAGTGTCAAAACTGAACCATGCAAGATTTTCTTCAATATTGTAAGGAGGTTTTAGTAATAGGGAAAAGAAGATGTGGGATTAATTTCTTCCATGCCAGCAAAGCATGCTTTTTTCAAATCCCTGTTTCTTCATGGCTTCCAAGGTATCTGCAAGTCTTTCTTCTACATACACCTCTCTGACTCATATGGCCAAGTGGAAATTGCATACTTTACAAAAGAGTTACCCAAACCTGGGTTGGAAACTCAGCTCAACAACTGACACACGTGTGTGCCAAGCAAGTTAGTTAACTTCTATATCTCCTGACAATGGAGGTGATAAAACCTAAAACCTACCTCTTGGGAAAGGTAAAGAGTTAATATATGTAATGTGCTAACACCAAGTAGAACCATATGTAGCTGGTGTGTGTGTGTTTGTGTAGCTACATGAATGAAATGCATTGATGGGGTTCAGGACATGTTACTCAAAAATATGGCAGCTTGGCATTTGGAAAAACAGCAGAAGCAGGAAGATCACTCTCACTTTCCCTTATTCTACTCCCCTAAAGCAGGTCATAAAACCTTCATTCCAGAGGTGCTCCCCTATACCCACAGGAAAGGAATGTCCTTGCCTCTAGAGACACAGAGGCACAGAGAAGAATCTGAACAAACAGGCCTTGCTAAGATCCTCCCAGTTTATTACCATTAGATCATACACTCTTTGTCCAAACATACTTTGCCACAGCTATCCACTTCTTCATTAAACTTAGCATAAAAATACATAGGTTTCCCTGTTTCTTTGGGTCTTAAGCCTCCTATATCATGTAAAACTTAAATACACTTGTATGGTTTTCTCTTGTTTCTACCTTTTGTTATAGGGGCCTCAGCCATAAACCCAGAAATTAGTGAGGAAAGACATCTTTCCTCCCCAACAGTAACCTTGTGTCTATATGGCTTTACATAATGCTGTCACTTCAGTTCTTCTCATTTTGATGAGGATATTTGATATAAGCATCTTTTTCTAATTGCAGGGACAACTTGGACTTTTATACTGATCCTCATGGTACAAATGGAGTTGTCCAGTTAAAAAAATAATTCCTAAAAGTGGCCTTTTGTTCAGACGTTGTAGTGTTACTGGTTTTGTTTTGATTGTGTGTGTGTGTATGTATGTATGTGTGTGTGTGTGTATCTCCTAATCTTTTAGTTCTTTCCATTGCCACAGTTTGTCTCCTGCAAGCCTCTACGAGAAGTGGTCCTGGTGGCTGTCCAGTTGGGCAGTTGATGGAGCTGCTCCAACTCCCTGATTTCAGAGTTTCCACTGGCCTCTCCACCATGCTCCTTCAAATATGTCCTTAGCTAGTTTAGTACTACATGGACTGCTTGCTCTAGCAAATACGTCTGAATGATTTCTTTTGCAAGAAAATTATATAAGATACTTTTTTTCCCCACAGGAAAACAGCCCCCTGGTGTCTGATGGTTAAAAATGTTATCCTAGATCTATCAATGAGTAAATTCTCTGTAAGTGAATGAAGCCTTAGGGGGAGAAGGGATATTCACTCTTCAAGGGCACCACTGAATTACTTTCTCATAAATTTGAGAGTCCTAAAAGCATTTTTTTCTTCGCATCCTGAGAGCATTTGAACTTGTTTCAAAAATGCATGCCATAAAAATTAAACGACAAAGGTATCAGATGTGGGTAAGAATTCAGAACAAGAGGAAAAAGCAGCCTTATATCGTTGCTATTGTCATGTGGCCAGTTTGTTCCCAAGCTTCTCAGTGGTCAAAATAGAGAGAGAAACTCTCTGTTTTAAGAGTTATAGTGTCATAAATGCAAACGAACTTTTTCTCAAGCCAAGAGGGAATTCTATGTGACCTTTCTCCTAAGGAAAGCCATTACAATAACTCTTAAAGTCCTAGTTTGACCCAAATTTCTGGACAACTCAAAACCCTAGAGACATTTTGTCACTTAGCTTGGGCCTAGGGAAAAAGTGTAGCAGCGTTTATGTACACACAGACCGAATGAGACTATAATCTCTAATCCCCTATGCTTGGGCGTCTGAGTGATGTGAGCCTGCCCTGGCTTTTCCATGTGGCAGCATTATGTAATGTGGTATAATTGCAAACAGTACAAATGTGATTTTAGGTCATTTTATTTTTTTTGAGACGTAGTTTCACTCGTCTCGCCCAGGCTGGAGTGCAATGGTGTGATCTCGGCTCACTGCAACCTCCACCTCCCGGGTTCAAGAGATTCTTGTGCCTCAGCTTCCTGAGTAGCTGGGATTACAGGCACCTTGCCACCAAGCCCAGCTAATTTTCGTATTTTTAGCAGAGATGGGGTTTCACCATGTTGGCCAGGCTGGTCTCAAACTCCTGACCTCAGGTGATCCCCCAATCTTGGCCTCCCAAGGTGTTGGGATTACAGGTGTGAGCTACCATGCCTGGCAGATTTTAGATCATTTAACTGAAGGGAAAGTTGTAATAGGTTGGTGCAAAAGTAATTGTGGGTTTTGCCATTGCTTTTAATTGCAAAAACCGCAATTACTTTGGCATCCACATAATATTTATCCTTCAAGGGTGTGCCAAAGTATCTCTGTCCTGTGAAGTTCTGGGGCATTTCAGAAATCCCTGGCGTAACCCCTAACAGAGTAGCAGAGATCTCCTATGGCCTCTGCATTGATATGTCTCAATGAAAGCAGTGCAGTGATTCACTTTCATGTCTGCTCCTCAGCTAGCCTGTGAGAGTCCTGAGGGGAGGCTGCCTCTTCTCTTCCATCATTGAATGCTGGCACCCAGCTTGGTGCCTTCTACCATGAACATGAAGCAGAAGAATGAAGATGATGTGCTAGTCAGTTCTAAGTGCTTTACATGGTTTTTCTTATTTAGTCCTTCTAATAGCTGTATGAGGTAGTTACTCTTATTATCCCTATTTTACAGATGAAGAAGCCATGGCCCAAAGAGTAATTTCCCTCTTTACCGGAAGTAAATGTTAGAAGAGAGAATTTAAGGCCATTCTCTCAACCAATACACTAGAATGAAGACCGAGTCTGAATTTTTAAGGAGGCAAGCCAGTCTCGGGCTTGGGAGGCTCTAAACGTGCCAGTGGGTTGTGTCACAGGAAAAGAGTAAAATCTTGTGTGTATTGAGATGCTTCTGTTTGAATTCTCTCTTATTCTCACAGTCCCAGGAATGAGGTCCCTCTCTTATGGCCAACAAGCATTATCTTCAGAAGCCGTGGGGTATTTGTAGGGGCAAGCATGGCTGAGCAAACTGAGCAGCTTTATAGATCTTTATTTCTTAAAGATTCTTTATTTCTTAAAGCGATATCATTTTAAAATTTAGTAATAAAGCTAAATAGGTGTGTGGATGGCACTGCATTAACTTATTGGAAGCTACCAGATAGAAAAATAGAGGCAATAATCTTTGCATCTAATTTCTCCTAAATGTTTACTCTCTCTGAAAGCAAAGTACCATTTACAATTTTGTGTTAATTCACTCTAAACTCAGCAGATTCTTAAGTGGTCTGACATCTTTAAATAGTTTTCTGGGGGAAAGAATGAACCAGTTGAACTAATCTAATGTTGTCATTTGCTCTAACATTTTGACAAATAACCCCTGTGCTGAAAGAGAACTATGTTCTTTTGATACGCTTCACGTATTTTTTTCCAAGGGCATCCCAAATGGGTTGACTGCAAATATTTCTACTAATGAGATGGTCTTGAAATATTACTGCTGTGTTATAGGCATAAATAGTGAGTTTCATTAGGTTTCTTGAGTCCCACTTGGATGGCATAGTAAATCTCAGAATAACTGTGCATGGTAAATAGATGAAGAGCTTTTTGGATATAATTAATTTGTTCTAACATACCTACTAGCTATCTTAACATTGCAGTTCTAACTCAGTCTCAAGCTACTTTAAGTACATAAAACAATTTAGAACTGTTACAGGGATTCTTCATGAGCCCAAAGGGTTACTACCTTAAAAAAAAAACTCTCCAGTTTGAGAGAGACATGAAGGTATCAATTAAATTCTTCCTTTACTTCACTAATATTCACTGTAATTTAGTTATCATCTCAGCTCTAACACCTGTCACCTAAAGTGCTATCACGCAGCATATTCACAATAAATCTAACTGAATCAAATCCTTCATGTTCTGTCCTAAATGATAGATTGTACTTTGTCAGTTCTTGGATGATTGTTCATTTAGGTGTAAATCCTGATGAACTCAAAGTTTTATGTGTAAATGTGTATTGGCACTGAGGTAGAAAGAGGGGTTTTTTGAAGTGTTAAGAATTCTCTTCTTCCTCAGGTACACTGATTATTCTTAGGTTTGGTTATTTAACGTAATCCCAGACTTCTTGGAGGCTTTGTTCATATTTTCTTATTCTTTTTTCCTTGTTTTTGTTGGATTGGGTTAATTTGAAGACTTTGTCTTTGAGCTCTGAATTTCTTTCATCTGCTTGTTCAATTCTATTGCTGAGACTTCCCAAAGCATTTCGCATTTCTAAAAGTGTGTCCAAAGTTTCCTGAATTTTTTATTGTTTTTTCTTTAAGCTATCTATTTCCATGAATATTTCTCCCTTCACTTCTTGTATCATTTTTTGGATTTCCTTGCATTGGGCTTCATCTTTCTCTGGTCCCTCCCTGATTAGCTTACTAACTTCCTGAATTCTTTTTCAGGTAAATCAGGGATTATTCTTGGCTTGGATCCATTGCTGGTGAACTAGTGTGATTTTGGGGGGGTATTGAAGAGCCTTGTTTTGTCACATTACCTGGGTTGGTTTTCTGGTTCCTTCTCATTTGGGTAGGCTCTGTCAGAGGGAAGGTCTAAGGCTGAAGGCTATTGTTCAGGTTCTTTTGTCTACAGGATGTTCCCTTGATGTAGTACTCTTCCCCTTTTCCTATGGATGTGACTTCCTGTGAGCTGAACTGCAGTGATTGCTGTCTCTCTTCTGGGTCTAGCCACCCAGTGAGTCTACCTGGCTCCAGGCTGGTACTGGGGGTTGTCGGCACAGAGTCCTATGATGTGAACCGTCTGTGGGTCTCTCAGCCATGAATACCAGCCTCTGTTCTGGTGGAGGTGGCAGAGGGTGCAATGGACTCCATGAGGGTCCTTACCTTTGCTGGTTTAATGCTCTATTTTTGTGCTGGTTGGCCTCCTGCCAGGAGGTGGTGCTTTCCAAAATCATCAGCTGTAGTAGTGTGGATAGGGACCCGCGGTGGGCATATCTGAGCTCAGACTCTCCCTGGGCGGTTCTTGCTGAGCCTGCTGTGGCAGATGGGGGTGAGATTTCCAGGTCCCTGGACTTGTGTACCTAGGAGGATTATGGCTGCCTCTGCTGAGTCATGCAGGTTATCAGGGAAATGGGGAAAAGCTGGCAGTCACAGGCCTCATCCAGCTCCCACACAAACCTCACTTTCACCATGCTCCCTGCAACAGCCCAGAGTCCAGGTAGAGGGCAATGGGCTTGAAAATTTGCCCGAGGCTATCCACCTCCCAGCTGCAAAAGAAAAGGACTTGGTTCTTCCCCGGCCTGTGAAGTCTGCACACTTGATTCGCACCCTCCTCCGAGGGCTTTTCCAGTGTTAAGGACCACATCATAGTTTCTCATTATTTTTCTGGGATTATATGGTTTTTGTGCTTCTGATTTATACCAGGAAGTGCCTTGGGCACCTGGAAGAAATCACTGAATTCTACTAAATTTTTCATTTGCTTATAAGGGCATCCTTTGCCCAAATAATTTTTTAATGCTAATTGGGCTATGCTCTTGGGAGTTGTTAAATCATCCAAGCTTATAGCAAAAATAAGAAGTTGGCTAACATGTATTGAATGTTTATTATGTGTTAGGCCTTCACTAAGTGCTTTATATACATTATCTCACTTCATTCTAGGAGACTGTGATTGTCACCATCTCTCATTGACAGAAGAAACTGAGGTTCAGTGAGGTTAAAGAACTGCTAAGTGGCGCAGCTGAGATTCGAACCCAGGCAGTCTGACGCCAAACCTTGCACTCTTGAAGCTATAATAACTTTACACCCAGTCAGCACCCCTCCCAGCAGGCTGGCCCAGAGCCAGTCAAGCTGAATGGACAAAGACTTGTTAATCATGAGAATTAATCATGTATTTCTCAGAGGAACAGACTGGGCATTCAGATGTCTCTTTGTTTTCTCTCTTTTCATTTTTGGAGTGACACCGTTGAAAGATATTTGGAACTCTTGAATGAAAAACACTTGGAACTTAAGCTTACTTTTTAGGAAAAAATAAAATCAGGGTATTTCCTTTCCATCACTACCATTCCAGTTCCTTTGGTCTGGAGTTTCCCTATGCATTCATTACTCAGAGCAGTTACTTTGAATTTGTCAGCACATTACAATGCAGTTATGCTCAAGAAATACGGCAGTTTTCCCCCACCACAAAGGCTGGATTTGTTTTGGTTTGTCATCAGTGTAAAACAAATTTCCCTTCAACAGGGTAATATAATAAAAAGCCACATAACTACAAAAGAAGATATAGTAAGTTAGACCTAGTCAGCACTATAATTCTTTCTTTCTAATTAATATTTCTGAAGTATCTGTAGCTGAAACAAGAAAGATAAATCACTAATATGACCCCAAAGTCTAAACAAAAGCTTATTGCCTTGGAGTATATTCATTTATTTTTGAAGCACATGTCAGATTTTAAAGGATGACCCTGTAAAAATATTTTAACTACTTAAAACATTAGCTGCAAAGCTGCCATTCTATCATCTTAAGTTAAATGCTGAATTAAACTAGAATTGCTTGTTGCCTTGTCTTTCCTGTAATGAAATTCATTAATGATGGTGTATTTATAGTTTATCTCGAAAAGGTTATCTTCTTTTGTATATTGCCCTCTTTTAATTAACTAAGGATGCTTGAAAAATAATTGAAGCCTAAAAGTCTTTCAGATAGATTTATTATTTTCCTGTTAAAGTAACAAGGTCACTTTTATTTAAAGGATCAAGTTAGCTTGCTTTACCTGCAAAGCAATCTGTAAATCATGCATTTGAGAGGTTCTTAGGAAGATACCTTTGAATTCAGGGTTGCAATTTAGTTGCGCTAAGATGAAGAAGATTGGGAAACAAAAACGGGAGTCTAGAGGTCTGGAAGACTGGCCCTCTTGCCCATTTGCTGAGTTATTTCCTCTCCTGAACATCAGATACCAATAAGTCACCAGGACAAGAGGCAAGATACGTAGGGTGGAGTTGCAGTGCAGCTGGGAATCAATGTGTTTGGACTTTTGAAAGCCGTAACATAGAACACTCTAACAGTTGTAAATAAAGTTCTAATTTTATTATTTGGATATTTTGTGTGCATCAATTGGACATTTGGTGATTCTTGCTCAACATATTGTTTTATAGATAGTCTATGTATTTGAAAGGAACAAAATGTCTGCCCTGGCTTTCTGCATACCATAATTTGCTTGACAGTGGTGAATTTGATGAATTTCCCAATACCTTGGTGAGGAAGCTATCATTTTCGTTGTAGAACCAGGGAAGCTAAAGAGCAGAGAGCTTAAGCGATTTGCTCAAGGTCAGTTGGAGATCAGGGAATATTTGGCTCCAAACTTCCTGTGCTAATTATTATTCAGTTGCTCTCTCTCTGATTTTTGCCCTTATTAATAACTGGTTTTTCTTTTTTTAGAATTGAAGAAAATAAATCTAAAAACCTTTCTAAAAGAAAACTAATTTTTGATATTTTTGTAGTCGATAAGCCCATTCGGCTATTCTTGATTCCAGGTTTCTTTTTTTTTTCTTTTCTTTTCTTTTTTTTTTTTTTTTGACAGGGTCTTGCTCTATTGCCCAGGCTGGAGTGCAATGGCATGATCTCAGCTCACTGCAACCTCTGCCTCCTGGGTTCAAGTGAGTCTCCTGCCTCAGCCTCCTGGGTAGCTGGGATTACAGGCACATGCCACCACACCCGGCTAATATTGATTTTTAGTAGAGATGGGTTTTCATCATGTTGGCCAGGCTGGTCTGGAACTCCTGACCTCAGGTGATCCGCCCTCCTCGGCCTCCCAAAGTGCTGGGATTACAGGTGTGAGACTCTGGCCGATTCCAGGTTTCCTAAATCTTTTTTTATTGCACTGAAATGGGGAGGCTTGAACATAGATGACTGTTATTCTAATGCCCAGACTTTCAATATGCTGTGCTGACCTTTGGTTGCAAGACTGTCTCTATGTTATCTGAATTCTTTGGGGTTCTACTCTCAACATTCAATTCTCATAACTCTGGTATAACCTGCCCCTTGCTGTGCAGTAGATCTTACACAAAAGATCTAATAAAAATCATTTTTTATTTTCTTTTTTCTTCTATCTCCCATCTAGAAAAACACCAAAGTACAGGGGTAATGAAATAAATTATCTGGTCAATTTCCATTTCATTTTGATTTCCAAAATTATTAATTAATTATATTTTTTATTGTGGTAAAATGTACATAATGTAAAATTTATCACTTTAGCTATTTTTAAGTGTACAATTCAGTGACATTAAGCTCATTCATATTGTTGTACAATCATCACCACTATGTATCTCTGCAAATTTTTTATCTTCCCAGACGAAATTTTTGTACCCATTAAACAATAATTCTCCATCCCCTTTAACCCTCGCCTATTCTACTTTTGTCTTTATAAATGTGATGGTGGGTACTTTATATATGTGGAAGCATGCAATATTTGCCCTTTTGCATCTAACTTATTTCACTTAGCATGATGTTTTCAAAGTTCATCCGTTTGTAGCATGTATCAGAATTTCACTGCTTTTTGAGGCTGAAAAATACTTCATTTTATGTATATACCATATGTATTAGTCAGGGTTCTCCAGAAAAACAGAACCAATAGGATATATATAGGAGGAGATTTATTATAAGGAATTGGTTCACACGATTATGGAGGCTGAGAAATCTCACAATCTGCTGTTTGCAAGCTGGAGCCCAGGAAAGCCAATGGTGAGCTTCAGTCCAAGTCTGAAGGCCTGGGAACCAGAGCAGCCGATGGCATAAATTTCAGTCTGGGTCTGAAGGCCTGAGAATCAGAAACACTGAGGGCAGGAAAAGATGGATGTCTGTGCTCTAGCAATCAGGTAAGAAGGGCCAAATTCTTCCTTTCTCTACATTTCTGTTCTATTCAGGCCCTCAATAAATTGGATGATGCCCACCCACATTGGGGAGGGCAAACTGCTGTCCTAAATTCCCTGATTCAATGCTAGTTTCATCTGCAAACAACTACACAGACACACCAGGGAATAGCGTTTAGTTAAATATCTGGGCATCCTGTGATCAGTCAAGTTGACACATAAAATTAACCATCACAACACATTTTAATTATTTATTCATCTATTGATAAACATCTATTGATTCCACCTTTTGACTATTGTGAATAAGGCTGCTATGAAAATTGATGGACAAATACCTGTTTGAGTCCTTGTGTTAGTCTGCCCTTACATGGCTAATAAAGACATACCCGAGACTGGGTAATTTAAAAATGAAAGAGGTTTAATTGACTCACAGTTCAGCATGGCTGGGGAAGCCTCAGGAAACTCACAATCATTGCAGAAAGGGAAGCAAACGTGTCCTTCTTCACATGTTGGCAGCAAGGAGAAATGCCTGGCAAAAGGGAGAAAAGCCCCATATAAAACCATCAGATCTCATGAGAACTCATTCACGACCATGAGAACAGCATGAGGATAACTGCCTCCCACTAGGTCACTCCTATGACATGTGAGGATGATGGGAAGTACAATTTAAGATGAGATTTTGGTGGGGAGACAGCCAAACCATATCATTCTGCCCCGGCCCTTCCCAAATCTCATGTCCTCACTTATCAAAACGTAATCATACCCTTCCAACAGTCCCCCAAAGTCTTAACCCATTCCAGCATTAACTCAAAAGTCCGAGTCCAAAGTCTCATCTGAGACAAGGTAAGTCCCTTCCACCTATGAGCCTGTAAAATCAAAAGCAAGTTAGTTACTTCCTTGATACAATGGGGGTACAGGCATCGGGTAAATACACCCATTCCAAATTGGAGAAATTGGCCAAAACAACAGGGTTACAGGCCCCATGAAAGTCTGAAATCCAATAGAGCAGTCATTAAATTTTAAAGTTCCAAAATGATCTCTTTAACTCCAAGTCTTACGTGCAAGACACACTGATGCAAGAGGTGGGCTCCCATGGCCTTGGGCAGCTCCGCCCCTGTGGCTTTGCAGGGTAATGCCCACTTCCCTGCTGCTTTCATGGCTGGCATTAAGTGTCTGTGGCTTTTCCAGGTACATGGTACAAGCTGTCGGTAGATCTACCATTCTGGGGTCTGGAGAACAGTGGCTCTCTTCTCACAACTCCCCTAGGCAGTGCCCCACTGGGGATTCTGTGTGGGGGCTCTAACCTCACATTTCCCTTCCACACTGTCCTAGCAGAGATTCTCCATGAGGGCTCTGACCCTACAGCAAACTTCTGCCTGGACGTCCCAGAATTTTCATACATCCTCTGAAATCTAGGTGGAGGTTCCCAAACCTCAATTCTTGTCTTCTGCACACTTTCAGGACCAACACTACATGGAAGTTGCCAAGGCTTGGGGCTTGCATCCTCTGAAGCAACAGCCTGAGCTGTCTGTTGGCCCCTTTTAGCTACACCTGAGATGCAGAGCACCAAGTCCCGAGGTTGCACAGAGCAGCAGGGGGGCCCTGGGCCCAGCCCATGAAACCATGTTTCCCTCCTAGGCCTCCCAGCCTGTGACAAGAGGTGCTGCTGTGAAGTTCTCTGAAATGCCCTGGAGACTTTTTCCCTATTGACTTGGTGATTAATATTTGGCTCCTTATTAGTTATGCAAATTTCTGCAGCCAGCTTGAATTTCTCCCCAGAAAATGGTTTCTTTTTTTTTCCCTATTGCATCGTCAGGCTGCAAATTTCCCAGACTTTTATGCTCTGCTTCCTCTTGAATGCTTTGCCGCTTAGAAATTTCTCTCCCCAGGTACCCTAAACCATCCCTCTCAAGTTCAAAGTTCCACAGATCTCTAGGGCAGGGGCAAAATGATGCCAGTCTCTTTGAATAGCAAGAGCGACCTTTACTCTAGTTTCCAACAGGTTCCTCATCTCCATCTGAGACCACTTCAGCCTGGACTTCATTGTTCATGTCACTATCAGCATTTTGGTCAAAGCCATTCAACAAGTCTCTGCTCTGGGAAGTTCCAAACTTTCCCACATCTTCCTATCTTCTGGGCCCTCCAAGTCTCTAGGAAGTTCCAAACCTTCCCACATTTTCCTGTCTTCTTCTGAGCCCTCCAAACAGTTCCAACCTCTGCCTGTTACCCCATTCCAAAGTCGCTTCTACATTTTTGGGTATCTTTACAGCAGCGCCCCACTATCTGCAGTACCAATTTACTGTATTAGTCCATTCTCATGCTGCTAATAAAGACATACCTGAGACTGGGTAATTTATAAAGGAAAGGGGTTTAATTTACTCACAGTTCAGCATGGCTAGGGAAGCCTCAGGAAACTTGCAATCATGGCAGAAGGGGAAACAAACATGTCCTTCTTCACATGGTGGCAGCACAGAGAAGTGTCGAGCAAAAGGGGGAAATGCCCCATATAAAACCATCAGATCTCATGAAAACTCACAATCATGAGAATAGCATGAAGGTAACCATCCTCATGATTAAATTACCTCCCACCAGGTCTCTCGCATGACATGTGGGGATTACGGGAGCTACAATTCAAGATGAGATTTTGGTGAGGACACAGCCAAACCATATCAGTCCTTGTTTTCAATGTATCTAGAAGTGAAACTGCTGGATCATATGGTAATTCTCTTTAAATTTTGAGGAACAGCCATACTGTTTTCCACAGCATCTGCACTGTTTTACATTCTCACTAGCAATACACAAAGGCTCCAGTTTCTCCACATTCTCATCAACACTTCTTTTTGTTTTTTTGATAATAGTGATCCTAATGGGTATGAAATGGTTAATCAGTTCTATTTTAAGTGATATCCATAATAGGCTTGTGTCACATTTGCAGTGGTCCATCGTCTTCTGAAGAGCTTTTCTAAGTATGGGAAACTTCCATGTTATACTTTCTGCCCTTGCAATACAGAACTCAGATTTCAAATCCCCAGCTTCCCTTTCAGCTAGAATAAAATCACGTGGCCTGGACTCTACTAATCAGATGCACCCCTGTGAGATTTAAATTCCCAAGTAACGAGCAAAAGATATAAGCTCTTTTCACTGTTTTCATTTTGTAGGATTGTGTGATGGCAATGGAGTCTTAGTTTTGGGGACATTAACAGTTGCAATAGGTCCAGTGCAGTCAGGTTCCAGGTCTCTAGGGTGACAGTAGCATTTGTTTATCAAGCCATTTCTGTGGCATGATTTTGGACTGTTCCTGGAAGCTTAGCATCAATCCAGTCTAGTTTAAAACTTCAATTGAATAACTAATTGAATATTTGTCTTCACCCTGCCCCATGCCAGCAGCTAGGCTTCTACTCTAGAGCCTTCGAGTGGGGAAAGGGCATTGTCTTCACATTCATTCTTCTCTCTTTTTCCTGTCCTCTTAGTTTCTGCAGTGTAGGGGCAGGGAGGATGGATGAAAAAAATAAAGAATATTCACCTAACTGGGTGTTATTGTAGTCCGCTCTCAGATATCATTTCCCTTCTGTATTTAGGCACATGTGTAAATACCAGCTCGCTGGTGGTGGACTTTTTTTTAATGTATGGAAGTGGCCAGAAAACTGTAGAATCTGCACAAGATATCATTAAAGAACAGCCAAGGGAGATTCATGAAAGCATGATTGAAAGCTGTAGGTGAACAAAAATCAAGCCAGCTTGCATTCACACCTCTCTGAGTTCAGTCTTTTTTTTTTTTTTTTTTTTTTTTTTGAGACAGATTCTCGTTCTGTCGGTCAGGCTGGAGTGCAGTGGCACAATCTCGGCTCACTGCAACCTCCATCTCCCAGGCTCAAGTAATTCTTTTGCCTCAGCCTCCCGAGTAGCTGAGATTACAGGAGTGTGCCACCACACCTGGCTAATTTTTGTATTTTTAGTAGAGATGGAGTTTCACCATGTTGGTCAGGCTGGTCTCGAACTCCTGACCTCAGGTAATCCACCCGCCTCAGCCTCCCAAAGTGCTGGGATTACAGGCTTGAGCCACTGCGCCTGGCTGCATTCAGACTACTTAACATGCTAATTACTGAAGGTGCAGCCATTTGAGGGCCCTGTTCTTACATGCGCGGGGGGCGGGCGTGTCGGTCTTGGTTCCAGCTGTTCACAGTCACTGGACCCATCTCCTGGCTTGGGACATACACTCAGACATGACCTTTGTCACCTCCCTCCCCCAGTTTTGTCCAGTAGTGGAATATCCCATAGCCTTCAACTACTGGAGTCTCTTACTTGATGGGTCATACTTTTAGGTGGGGCACTAGCAAGCAGTTTAAGCCTAGCTATTTGTGGATCCACATGAAACTTATGCATCTTTGTTCCACCAAATAGGGTAAGTATTGACTACTGCACATTTGCATTCTCTCTGTTCTGTCACTTTTTTCCCCTTTCTTTTTCTTCTGTACATAAAGATACAGGGCACAGATCAGCAAGGGCACTGTCTAAACAGAACCCAAACTAAAGAATAAGATGTCATAAGATGCTAGATCTCTAAGAGTGATAGATGGAGCCCTTTTTACATCGGGGGAATTTGGAAAAAGGCAGTTTTCTTTTTCTCTCCCAAGGGAAGAGGTGGGAAAAGCCACTATTCTCATCCTTCACCAGCAACACCCAACTTGCAGGATACTTTCTTCTCTCTCTAATCTCTCCTATACAGACTGGAGATGGTGGAAGAAAGAGTGGTGCAGGAGCTGTAGGAATAATTGGGGGAGCCCATTTGGCCACTTCTTTAAAATCCCTGGAAGAATTGGCTGGCCTTAATTAGTTTCACTTATCTTTAAAATCTGGGGCATTGCACACCTCTCTTATCCACGGGCAATAAGTCATATTACACTCAGCATTCTATTACATCCACTCCCTAGATCTTTTTTTCTGAGTAAAAGCCCATTTATTTATAGTCTCCTTCCAAAATTCCATATCTTTGAACAAGATTATTCTTGTGTCTCCAGTGTTTTATCTTTGTGGCTATAATTTTTGTGTCCAGGGGGGTATTAGTCTGTTTTCACACTGCTATCAAGGCACTGCTTGAGACTGGGTAATTTATAAAGAAAAGAAGTTTAATTGACTCACAGTTCTGCATGGCTGTGGAGGCCTCAGGAAACTTACAATCATGGCAGAAGATGAAGGAGAAGCAAGCACCTTCTTCACAAGGCACCAGGAGAGAGAGCAAAAGAACGAGGACGTGGCACACTTAAAACCATCGGCTTTCATGAGAACTCCCTCACTGTCACTAGAACTGGGATTATTAGGCTTTTTCCTATAGAGTTGTTCAAGCTCCTTATATATTCTGGTTATTAATCCCTTGTCAGATGGGTAGTTCATAAATATTTTCTCCCATTCTGTGGGTTGTCTCTTCACTTTGTTGATTGTTTCCTTGCTGTGCAGAAGCTTTTTAACTCAGTGTGATCCCATTTACTTTGCTTTGGTTGTCTGTGCTTGTGGGGTATGGCTCAATAAATTTTTTCCCAGAACAATGTCATGGAGATTTTCCTCAATGTTTTCTTGTAGTAGTTTCATAGTTTGAGGTCATAGATTTAAGTCTTTAATCCATTTTGATTTGATTTTTGTATATGGCGAGAGATAGGGGTCTGGTTTCATTCTTCTGCATATGGATATACAGTTTCCCCAGCACCATTTGTTGAAGAGACTGTCTTTTCCCCAGTGTATGTTCTTGGCACATTTGTCAAAAACGAATTCATTGTAGGTGTTTGGCACATATATTGAAAATAAGTTCACTGTAAGTGTGTGGATTTGTTTCTGGGTTCTGTATTGGTCTATGTGTCTGTTTTTATGTCTTACCATACTGTTTTGGTTACTACAGGTCTGTAGCATAATTTGAAGTCAGGTAATATGATTCCTCTAGTTTTGTTCTTTTTGCTTAGGATAGCTTTGGGTATTCTGGGTCTTTTGTGGTTCCATATGAATTTTTGGACTTTTTAATATTTCTGTAAAGAATCTTATTGGTATTTTGATAGAGATTTCATTGAATCTGTAGATTGCTTTGGGCCCTCATGCTTTTAATATAGTAATAGTGTAATTTTGCTTAGATCAATGATCAGTGTTTATATTATTCTAAGTGTAACTGGCTTTTGAGTGTGACTCACTTTTGCTCTTATAAAGCTTTTAACATCTCGTTCCCATTGTTCTGATATTTCACAATGATATGCCTTGCTATGAATCTATTTTCATTCATTGTTCTGAGAACTTAGTGAGACTTTCAGTCTGGAAATTCATGTATCTGAATTCAGAAAATTTCCTTAAATTATTTCTATTTTTTTCTTATTCACCTTATTCTCTTCTTAAATCCTCATAATCCAGACATTGATCTTCCTAGACTATTTATATAATGTTTTATAAAATAATGTTTTATATTTTCTATATAAAAACACAAATAAACATACATTTATATAACTTTTCCTTTTATTTTTCTTCTCTTTGCTTTTTGCTCTACTTTCTGAGAGGTTGGTTCAACCTCAACTTCCAACTTTTCTATTGAATGTTTGTGTTCTACTATCAGGTTTTTCTTTTCTTTTCCTTCCTTCCTTTCCTTTCCTTTCTTCTTTTCTTTTCCTTCCTTCCTTTCTCTCTCTCTCTCTGTCTCTCCTTCCTCCCTTCCCTCCCTTCCTCCCTCTCTCCCTCCCTTCCTCCCTTCCTTTTCTTTATTTCCTTCTTTCTTTTTTTTTAGACAGGTCTTACTCTGTCACCCAGGCTAGAGTCCAGAGGCATGATCTCGGCTCACTGCAACCTCCGCCTCCCAGGCTCAAGCGATCCTCCTGCCTCAGCCTCCTGAGTAGCTGGGACTACAGGCACACACCACTATGCCCAGCTAATTTTTGTATTTTTGGTAGAGATGAGTTTCACTGTGTTGGCCAGGCTGGTCTCAAACTCCTGGCCTTAAGCAATCCGCCTGCCTTGGCCTCCCAAATGCTGGGATTACAGGTGTGAGCCACTGTGCCAGGCCTCAGGTTTTTAATTTCTAAGAGCTCTTTTATGTTCTCTGAATGTTCTTTTTTAAATAGCATTCTGACCTCATCCCTGGGATTCAGTGTCATAGCTTCTCTCTTTGAAGATATTAATAATAGTTTTATTTTGAAGTTTTCTCTTCCCTTCATAATTTCCCTCTGAGTCATTTTTATCTGTTTGTGGTTTGTTTGCTTGATCTTTATAAGTTAGAGGCATTCTTCATCCGTCTCATAATAGGTGTCTGCTCTTGTTTACTTGTGGGTGAGTAAAAAGCTGATTGGAAGATCTGAGTGAGTTTTATTGGAGGGTGATCTGGCTGGGTCATTTGTTGGGGTTAACCTTAATATTGGTATGTGTAAGTTTTTCCTTTTGGGCTGGTCAAATCCCCCAGAGATGACTCTTCCATTTTTCCAAATCACCGTGGAAGCTCAGTAGATGAACAGGACTTAGCGCAGGGGTCTTGGCCTTCAGCGTCTACATATTCATTTACTCCTTCTATTCCTTCTGGCTTCAGTGTGGGATTCCTGCTCTTAACTCAGTCTTTGCCCTCAAAGTACAGGGTACCTCTGTTTTACCCTCTCCAGACAGTAAACATCCTTTTGCTAGGATGGGGAAGAGAACTCATGCAAGAGTGTGGGGTGTTGAGGGAATCTAGAAAGCTGGTGATTCTCAAACAACTTTTCTAATCCTCCTTATTTTAGGCCACCCTCTTTATTCCATTTCCAGTGTTACCTGGTGTCACCATTTCCTGGAGTTTAGATTATGTTAGGAAAAAAAAATAAAACTGAGTCAGCCTAGAATGTTTCTTTGACATGTTGGGTTAGTTTATTTACCCATCTTCTTTCCGGCTTCCAGAAGTCAGTTGTTGTCTCTTCTCCCATTTCCCATATTCTTAAAGGTTCATGCATTTCTAAATAATATATATTCATTGTAGTTTTATATGATTTCTGGAAAAGCAAAATTTGGATTTGTGGTTCAATCCACCATCTTTACTCAGAACTTTAATCTAAAAGTCTACATCAAACAGAAGTATCCTTTATGACTGATGTTTTTAAAAAGAAGGAGAATTGACCTCTCACAAGTCTTTGCTAAAAAAAAAGTTTCTAAAGGATATAATTTTAAAATAAAGGAATTGAACCTTGAGGGAAGGGGTGGAATGCAAGAATCAGTAGACTTGGGAACCTGGCAGAGATTCCTGTGGGTGCCACCTTTGGGGGAGCTATTTTCTCTTGGAAGAATTCAGTGATATTGCTGGCCCAGTATGGAAGCTTAGAGAGATGCAAAATGTAACCCCCCCACTGCAAGGCATTACCATGGCTAGAGTCACAGAAGTCATTGCAGTCCTATTGCCTTGTTTTGGAGTGAAGCCTACAGGTGAGGGAACAAATTTCCCCATGGAGCATCCCCATCCCCCACCACCATGGGAGAAATTCCGAGTGCTGTGGCTTTTTAGATAGCCAGGAGTCTATTTGAATTTGCTATGGGTGGCTGAATAAATAAACCTTCCACATCCCAAAAGAGTTTTAAAAATGTGTACGTAAAATTGTAAAATGCATAGTGTAAAAGTAATCTTTTCAGTTTGGGGAGGAGTTGTAGGCACTTCCAGCTGTTCATAAAACAAGATGCTCCACTTTAAAGTTCCCTCTCTGTTTCTTTTTTCAGAAGACACTTTTATTAGATACAGACAGACTTGCCCCTCAGGCTATAACCGGTGCCCAAGATAATTTCCTTTAGCCTCTAGAAAAGTAATCTTGTAAGATGCCTCTTCTTAGACACCGTTCCATTTTGTTTGCTCCACCTCGAGTATTATCAAATGAAGAATTCTATTTTAATCCTAAAATTATTTTCCCATTACTATTTTAATGTCCTAGTTGTTGGTATTTATAATAGTATGCATTCAATAGGTTAAATGTTTCTTCTGGATGGGTGTGGTGGCTCATGCCTGTAATCCCAGCACATTGGGAGGCCGAGGTAGGCAGACCACTTGAGGTCAGGAGTTTGAGACCAGCCTTGCCAACCTGGTGAAACCCTGTCTGTACTAAAAATACAAAAATTAGCCAGGCAAGGTGGTGTGTGCCTGTAATTCCAGCTACTCGGGGGGCTGAGGCACGAGAATCGCTTGAACCAGGGAAGTGGAGGTTGCAGTGAGCTGGGATTGCACCACTGCACTCCAGCCTGGATCACAGAGCGAGACTGTCTCCAAGTAAATAAATGAATGAATGAATGAATGTTTCTTCTAATCTGATAGAACACCAATGCTACTAATTGTCCAATTTTCATTTCTAGTTTCTGTGCCTCCCACCCTGAGGCAGGACACTATAGAAAAGGCTATTTTGGTGGATAGACTGTGTATCAATTTCAACTACAAGCCTGGACCTGTGAAAAACTTGAGTTGTTAGAAAATTAATAATAAATATTTATATAGTACTTGGCATGCCAGACACTCTTTTGAGCACTCTAACAATATAAACTCAATTAGTACTCATGATCTCCATGTGAGGTAGTGACTATTATGATTTCCATCTTACAGATGAGGAAACTGAGGCACAGAGAGACCAAATAACGTGCCCTAGGTTCATAGATAGCAAGTGGCAGAGCTACAAGTTGAACCCAGGTGGTCTTGCTCCAGTGGCCATGGTCTCAATGACAAAATCATGCTCCCATTCCTGGTATAACACTTTCTCACTCTCTTTAAACAGCTTTTTTTTCCTTCTGTTAATAGTAACAGTATTTAATTTTGTTGATGATGAAAGGATTAAGGCAGTGTGTTCTTAATCCCAGCTCAGTAGAATCACCTTCAAGAGACTTAAAGAAATACCAATACTTTGCTTCTATCCCAGAAATTATTATCTGATGAGTGCCAGTCTTTGTATTAAAAAGAAACAATTCCTCAGATGGTAGACAGAGCTCATGGACAGCTGGAGCTGTGATTTACTGGATTAGGTCATTGAGGCATCCCGCAACGTCTGGTAGTAGAGTTTCTTCATTATCACCAATTGTTTGGGCCTTGCGTACTGGGAAAATTGGAAAGAATTAGTGTCATTTGACATCTTTTAAGTCTCCAGTGTTCTACCTGTTTGCATTTCAGGCCTCCAGATTTAGCAGTAAGCCTGTGACTCAGCTTCTCAATGCTATTGTGTCTTTGCACACCATGCACACACCCCACACACCTGTTCAGAGCTGACATTCACTATCTGTCATCCTCCCAGTTGGTGTCCATTCTGTCTCTCAGTGCCAAGGCCTTTATTATGAATATCACCCCATCCGTGTTCATGTCAATCAAATCACTGTGTGTGGATCCCCACTCTAACGGATGAATATGTCAGAGATTATGAATCAGAAGCTAAGCTGGGGTTTCATTGCTGTTCTTGGAAATGTTTTTGGCTACAGAATGCTTTATTTTTCCTGTTTCCATGCCAAAGCACTCAAACAAAACTTGTAAAGGAGAAAGCATACCACCTGGGTTTAGCCTAAATTGCTCATGGGCCTCCCTAGTCTCTGGAGCCACCATTAGCTAGAATATGTCAAATTCTGGTGTGCTCTTCCTCACTCTTAACCCTAATAGGCAACACAGAGTGTTAGCGCCTGGGATCTGGGGGGTGTCCTAGGGGTGAACATGTGTGCACACAAACCAGCCTGTACCTCTGACACAGCCACGATGCTGCCCATTCTCACTGCAATGACCTCTGAAATGCCAAAGTCATGGTTGTTGGTAGCAAAGCGGGGCATGGCACTGCTGCTCACCTGCTTTCATTTTAATACTGTCACAATCCTTATTAATG
This sequence comes from Homo sapiens, assembly GCF_000001405.40. Lineage (NCBI taxonomy): Eukaryota > Metazoa > Chordata > Mammalia > Primates > Hominidae > Homo > Homo sapiens. The sequence goes on from NC_000009.12 coordinate 70,034,968, forward strand.
CAGGTTGTAGAGCCATTTGTGGCCCAGTGTTTTTTTAGAGATTTAGGGAAACAGATTTTTCTGGCTTTCCCAACAGCCTGGCGTTACTCTTGGACTCAGATAGGAGACCATGGAGCTGGGCTGGGACAGACTCAGGTGGCAGGATCCAAGCTGTTTCATAGTCTCTATTTCCCTCCAACATCCAAGGCCTGGCACTTCCTTCCAGAGGTTAAGTTCTCTCTCTGTGGCCTCATCTGCCTCTCAGGAAAGTGGATTTTTGAGAGTCTGCCTTTCTCCGGTTTGCCAAATGTGCTGCCCTGACCCCCGCAAGCCTGCTTTTACTCCCTGTTCAGTCTGTTGCTCCTCTTCAGATTGGCTCTGTGCTCCCAGAACACACCTGTGATTTCATTTTTATACATATTCCCCTGGGTAATTTAAATGTAGTTCTTTTTCTTCTACTCATAGGACTGCAGCTTAGGCTGGTTCTTGGGCCATGTGGACCAATGAGGATATGCTATTCCTTAGACTTTCCTTCAACAAACATCTTTTGAGCGACTACAATTAGCCATGTATAGAGATAGCACAGGAGCAGATACAAAGATAAAACACACTTGCTCTGCTTTCTACCCTTGAAACTCAGTCTCTATCGCAGAACACAGAGACATAGACAAAGTCATTGTCATACAGCGTTCTGTGGCATGAATGTTTATGTCTGCCCCAAATTCATATGCTGGAATCCTCACCCATGAAACGATGGCATTAGAAGTGGGGACCTTTGGGAGGTGATTAGGTCATGCGGGCAGAGCCATCATAAATAGGATTTAGCACCCTTATAAAAGAGGCCCAAGAGAGACCCTTGCCTCTTCTGCCATGTGAGGATACAGTGAGGAAATAGTTATCTGTGAAGAATCAGGCCCTTACCCAACACCCAGCCACCAGAATTGAGAAATACATTTTGGCTGTTGATAAGCCACCCAGTGTATGATACGTTGTTATAGCAGCCTGCACAGCCTAGGACACAGCATCATACATGCTGCAGCACAGGCACACCAACAACATAGGAGAGGGGCCATTTGAACTGGGTCTTGAGAAATGAATAGAAATATATTAGTTTGTAGTAACTAAGTACCACAAACCAGATGGCTTAAACAACAGAAATTTTTATTATCTCACTGTTTTGGAGGCCAGAAGACCAAGATCAGTGGCACTGGTGTCGGGGATTGTTCCTTTTGAGGGCTGTGGGTGAATCTGTTTGACGCCCCTCTCCAAGCCCCTGGTCTTCCTGGCCTCAGCACTGCCTGTGGGTAGAGGTAGGAGGCCGGGGACCTGGGAACCAGACATTTCAAAGTTCTGCTCACACCTTCCCTGTGTTGGGTGGATGGCATTGAGGTTATAAGGGCTTTGGTAGGAGCTTGAGCTGGCTCCCGCCCCAGCCCTGTACTTTTGAGCAAGTCACATCAAATCTCTGAGCCTAGTTTCTTCCTCCATGAATTTACCATGAAACCACCTGGCACATCACAGACACTTAACAAAACATGGTAGTATTATCACTGTGACTGGTCAGCCCAGAAAACCTCAATTTAAAAAAAATTAGAAGGTTGCATTCAAGCTGTAATGAAGGATGTCTGACTCCCAGCTAGGATCCGGAGTAAGCTGATGAAGAAAAGATTAATGATAGAAAGCATCTATTGAAGTATCTATTTCCTTTAAAATGCTCACTCTAGAAGATGTACCTACTTTATGGGTTCAGTCATTTGACTGTGGCAGTTTGAACAGTGGGCTATATATTTTGTAATAAAAGGAGATTTGTAAGGACTGATTGTCCCTTGGGTCTTGGTGCATCATGGGAGATGATTCAAATCCGTAGCAGGCACATGACTGCTCTTTGGGAGTAAGAGGCCAACAGTGCTGGACAGTAACCAAGGACCATCGCTGGCCTCGGGGCAGAGCCTTCAGTTACCTCCTGCTGGAATGCAACTACGGAGGTCACTGGCAGGACAAGCCCAGAGCCTGGAATGATTTTGCCATCTCGTTTTAGCCTGATTGTGTGTAATGAGTGGGGGCCTGTTGGGTGTATGCAGAGAGAGAGAGACGACATGGAAGCAACACAGACCACTGACTGCAGGAGTGCATATTTGGTCTTTTCTTCTGAATAAAATTAGAATAAAGTTGGTAAAATTCACATGAAGATATTTTTAAAAGTTTACTGGAAAACACAAAAATTTATATCAATGGACCAAGGTAAATATATCAATCTTTATAAATCAATGTACACATTTAATGTAATTCCAATAAACATGTCAAAGATTTTTTTAAAAACACTGAGTGTAGGCCAGGCGCGGTGGCTCACGCCTGTAATCCCAGCACTTTGGGAGGCCGAGGCGGGCGCATCACGATGTCAGGAGATCAAGACCACAGTGAAACCCCGTCTCTACTAAAACTACAAAAAAAAAAAAAAAAAAAAAAAATTAGCCGGGCGCGGTGGCGGGCGCCTGTAGTCCCAGCTCCGCGGGAGGCTCAGGCAGGAGAACGGCGGCGTCAACCTGGGAGGCGGAGCTTACAGTGAGCGGAGATTGTGCCACCGCACTCCAGTCTGGGCGACAGAGCGAGACTCCGTCTCAAAAACAAAAACAAAACAAAAAAAAAACCACTCAGTGTAGAGTGACAGAGATAGAGGTGAGCCCATACAAAGTACATCAGACAGTGAGAGAGAAAGGCAGAAACAAAGACAAAAATCCAGAGACAATGACTTGGCATAGATTAAAGGAGACCCAGGTATTAAGAAAAACAGATTATATATATGAGATAAATGAGAATGCAACAAGGTATAATAACTACAAAAGATGTTACTAATTTTATTATTAATTACCTTACATCTGTGCAAGACCTAGAATATACAAAGTCCTTTCCATGTTTCCAAATACTGGCCAACTAGGAGGTGAGATAATTAATGGCTTCTCATCCCACCACTGCCCTAGAGACATACAGCCTTGGTTAAAAGTCACCTAGACTTTTTCTGCCTCCATTTGCTCTACTGTAGAATGGCATTGCTCCCGTGTGCCTGGCTACCTCCTCTGGAGGAGTGAGGAGGGAGTCACCCTACTCTCTGTCTCCGTGGTTCTATCATAATGCTGCAAACTTCAGCTCAAGAATTGAATTTAACCTCCCAATAGATTTTGTTCTACCCCATGGGGATTTGAGTATATTGTTTTAATTTCTTGGAATGGAATGGAATTGAATGGAATGCAATAGAATGGAATGGAATCAACTCGAGTGGAATGGAATGGAATGGAATGGAATGGAATGGAATGGAATGGAATGGAATGCAAGAGAATGGAATGGAATCAACTCTAGTGGCATGGAATGGAATGGAATGGAATGGAATGGAATGGAATGGAATGGAATGGAATGGAATGGAATGCAATAGAATGGAATGGAATCAACTCGAGAGGAATGGAATGGAATGGAATGGAATGGAATGGAATGGAATGGAATGGAATGGAATGGAATGGAGTGGAAAGGAATGGAATGCATTTAAACTGAATGGATCCGAAAAGAATGGATTGGAATGGAATGGAATGAAGTGGCCTTGAATGCAATAGAATGGAATGGAATCAACATGAGTGGATTGGAATGGAAAGGAATGGAATGGAATGCAACGGAATGGAATGGAATGGAATGGAATGGAATGGCATCTGAAAATCAGGAGTTGTTATATACATATCTGAATATTGGGCTTCTTTTGAAACATGAGCAGTTGGGGTAGAGATGGTTTCTGTAATGCCCTTTAGTTGGACTTACTTACTCCAGTTAACCACAGTCTCCATCCCTCCCTATTTCTTCCGTGTTACCAGATCACTCCATTCATTTACGTGACTTCCTTGGCCTCTAGACTTTTTATATTTGCAGCCTTAATTCTATCTCATCCACATATTTTATTGAAATTATTGTCTCATGGGTCAGTCTCCTGTCTCAGCAGCAGAGGATGTGTCTTCTTGACCCCTGGATTTCCAGCCCCTAGCATAGTGTCTGGCTCACAGTAGGTGCTCAGGAAATGTTTGCTGAGCTTATCATGGCATGACACTGCGTGAGACTAACAAGGAGAGAAAGAAAACAGAAGGGAAAGTGGGCAGTAAAGACAGACTCTGAGATTGGCTAACCTCTGTAGTGCAGTCAAAGGTGCAATCATAAATGCTGGCTTTCTTGCTTTCTTCCCACAGATTTGCTCACACCCCCCAATGCCTCACCTGGCTATGTGGGAAGACACTGGATAGAGAGGAGCAGCAATGCTTCATCTTCCTCACCTTGACCCAGAAAATTAGAAGCAAGAACTTGGTGATCTCCAGGCTAGAAGTGGTACAACAAGGAGCAGAGCCCCTGGTGAAAGGTACCTGGAGGGCGCAAGGAACAGATTGGCAAAGAGCAGAGAGGATGGGCAGGCTCTGTGAGAGGTGAGCATCATACAGGAACCCACAGAGAGAGCAGGGCATAGTGTCTGTGTGTGGTGTAGGCAGCCCTCATTAGGAGAGACAGGCCTGTGTAAGGAGGAAGCATTTAGGGGCAGCATAGTGGATAGCCAGGAGAAGTGGGCATCTGGGATCAAATCCTTGCTGCATGCTGGCTGGACGTGTGACTTTGAGCAGGTTAATTGACCCCCTCTGGTCCTGTCTCCTAGTCTATAAAATGGGGACAATAATGATATTCACCTCATAGGGATATTGCATGGATTAAATGAGATAATGCATGTTAAGTGCCTGGCATGTGTTTACTTAATGCACTCTATATTAGTTTTCTATGGTTGCCAGAACAAATTACTACAAACCGGGTGGCTTAAAAGAACAGAAAGCTATTCACTCACAGTTTCAGAGGCCAGAAGCCCCAAATCAAGGTGTCTGCAGAATACAGTCTTCTGGGGCTCTAGGGGAGAATTTGTTATTCCTTGGCTTGGGGCTGCATCACTCCAATCTCTTTACATGCCATCTCCATCTTTACGTGACCATTTCCTACATGTGTCTGTGCCTTTTCTTCTGACTCTTATAAGGATACTTGCCATTGATTTAGGGCCCACCTGGTAATACAGGATGATCTCATCCCAAGATCCCTAACTTAATTAAATTAGCAAAGTCCCTTTTTCCAAATGAGGTCACATTTGCAGATTCTGGGATACGGATGTATCTTTTGAGCCACCATTCAACCTATTACAATACCTAAGTACTGAGTGCTTTCTGTAAGCCAGAACTTGATATGTGTTATTTGATCAGTTGCTTAAGCTAAATCTTGGAGAATAGCATTCTGGGTTCCTTGGGACCTGATCCTGTTTTCCCAAGTAATAAGAGGGTACCATGTGGGTGCTATGATTAGTGACCAAAGGAAGTTGGTTGACGTAGTTTCTAGATTCTCTGGCTTCCCTCCTCAGTCTTTTTCCCTGCATCCTGACTTAGGCCACATACAATATTTTTTCCTTTCTCTGCAAAACGTCTGTGGTAGGCATTTTTATGCTGTCCAGATCCCCCTTCAAGAAATGACTTTTAGTCCCAGCGGCTTGGAGTATTGTCATCGGCCTTCAACTTCTGATCCTCCCCAGTGCAGAGAGCTGCCTCACTGGAGATCACTTCTGTCCCAGCATAGGCCACAACCAGTGACAGATGGAGACAGCAGTACAAATGCCCTTTCATTTCAGCCTAACATGAGACAAGTTAGATAGGCCATTTTAACTCCATAGTTCCTTGGGGGATTGAAAGAAGCTTTGTGGGATTTGCATTGCAACTCCAATTCTCCCTCCACCCTTTCCTGCTTCCTCTCCCTCCCTTCCATGGCACTGATCCCAAGGTACTCCTGATTAAACACCCTGCACATTAAACTTCAAATCAGAGTCTGCTTCCCAGACATTCTAACTTGTGCCAATGTCTAAGGATCATATATTCTTGGGATCAAACAATTATATGCAAAATAGAAAATTTGGTCTGAGTTTGTACTTATGTATGATTCTGTTCCCATAGGTGGCAATACACAATGTCACGTTAAGGTTGTAAATCATATTTTAAATTTTGGAAGGATCTCTTTAGGGCTTTGAAGTTTTTCATTTTCCTATGACTTAGAACATACGACATGAATCTAAGGCAATTCTAAAACTTTGAAATACTCCTTAAGTATCTGGAAAAAGGAGCACCAGTTTGATTGTTGCTGAAAACTTCTTTAGTTGAAAATAATGTTTTGAGGTTTCGACTGAATGTATAACTGTCTTTGAATTTTTAGTTAAGTAGTGTGATGAAATTCATCAGATATTTAGCACCATCTGTGATCAAGAAGTCAAAAAAAAAAAGAATATAAGACCCAAGTGAGAGAAGTCCTGTACTGGTTGAGAAAATAGGCTTTTGGAATAAAGCAGATCTGGGTTTGAGTTTTGTCTCTACTGTCCACAGTCACTGAACTCTGTGCCTCAGTTTCCCCATCTATTAAATGGGGATAATGAACATATTTATCCTGTAGAGATTTTGTGAAGCTTAAATGAGATTATCTACATAAAACATTTATAATGGTAAACACAATAAATGTTATTATTAGCTACTACCTGAGGCAAAGCATATAAATAAAAAAAGATACATATACACCAAATAGCACACACTAATGAATAAATTTTTGACCATTTGAATCATTGTTTACAGAAAACACATGAAAATTTGTTCCTACCTTTAAAAAAGGATTCCAGATATATTTTCCTTATTAGGGAGAAGGTTACTAATTTTCTAATACTGAAAGTGACATCTGAGTGAAGACCTCATTAGGCGGTGAGTTGTGTGGCTCTTTGTGGAAGAGCATTTTGAGCAGAAAGAACAGCCAGTGCAAAATTCTGAAAGGATAGCTGGACTGTGTTTGAGGATCAGCCAAGAGGTCTGTGTGGCTAGAGAAGAGTAAGCAGGGTGATTGAAGTCAGAGAAATAAGAGGGTGGGGCTGGGTGCAGTGGCTCACGCCTGTAATCGCAGCACTTCGGGAGTCCGAGGCAGGTGGATCATGATGTCAAGAGATTGAAACCATCCTGGCCAACATGGTGAAACCCTGTCTCTACTAAAAATACAAAAATTAGCTGGGCGTGGTGTCACACGCCTGTAATCCCAGCTACTTGGGAGGCTGAGGCAGGAGAATTGCTTGAACCTGGGAGGTGGACTTTGCAGTGAACAGAGATCGCACTCCAGCCTGGTGACAGGGTGGGATTCTGTCTCAAAAAAAGAAAAAGAAGGAAAGCAAGAAAAGAAAGAAAAGGGTGGAGCAGGTCCTATAGGGCCTGGTTGGTCATCGTGAAGACTTTGGACTTTACTAAATGACTTGGGAACTTGTTGGGTCTTGAGCTAAGGAGTGACATGGCCCAATTTCTGTATTAAAAGGATAACCCTGACTAGTGTGTTCAGAATAGAGTAGGGTGGGCAGGGCAGAAAATGAAGGGAGACCGTGGTCAGGAGGCCACTGCGGTATCCCAGGTTGATGGCAAGGGCAGCTTGGACCAACCAAGGCATCACCACCATGGGCACAGAGCATGGTCAGCATCTGCTGTGTTTTGAATCCTGAGCTGATAGAAATTGGCAATGTCTGACAGGAACGGATGAGCTGAAGATGCCTCCAAGTTTTCTCTCCTGAACAACTGGAGGAAAATAGTTCTTTTACTGAGATGAGGAAGACACAGGGGACGGGCAGGTTTGGCAAGAAATATGCAGCCTTCATGTTGGGACCTGTTAAGTATGAAATAGCTCTGAAGCATCCGATTGGAAATGTTGAGGTGGCAATGAGATCGAAGAGTCTGGCGTTAGTGAGTAGTCTGGGTTAGAAATATAAATGTGGGAGTTATCAGGCTATCATTGGTATCTAAAACTATGAGACTTGAGGACAGCATTGAGGGGCTGGATAGAGAAAGAAACAGGAGTGACAGGGAAGAACTTGGAGGCACTCTCATGTTAAGGGGTTACAGAGGTAACGCAAAGAGGCCGAGAAGCGGCGGCCAATGAAAGACCAGGAAACCCAGCGGTCTGGAAGCCAGGTGAAGGCATGGGAGCAGGTTGAACTGATGGCTCAACTGGAGTTTGTTAGGCCAGTGGTCCTCAAAGTATTGTTCCAAACCCGCTGCGGCAGCAGCAGCCTCTGGAAACTTATTAGGGACGTGCAGCCTCTCAGGCCCACTCCAGAGCTACTGGATCGGAAACGGAGGGTGAGGCCCTTCAGCAGATTCTGATGCACCCTCAGGTTTTAAAACCACTGCCCTCCTCACAAAATTGCCTGCACAAAATTATAAATGGGAGAAAGGAGGAGGAGGAGGAGGAAGAGGAGGGGAGGAAGAAGAACTCTTTACAAGAAAAGAATATTGTTGGAGACCCACTTAGTGCCCAAAGCAAACAGCTTCCTCAGAAGTAACTCCCTCCCCAACAACCCCCTCCCAGTGTAAAGCCTCCCATTAATCAATCTATCATGGCTCTTTGGAGAGAAGGAATGCCCCCATTTCACCGGACGGAGGGAATGCTGAGCACCAGGCATGCCAGACATTCCACCGGCTAAAAAAAGTGGGGGTGGTATTCCAGGGTTAGCATTGCTGGACCGTAAACGCTGAAACTCCTTAGATATAAAGCTTATTCCACCCAACCGTTTCCAAATTTTCCTCCAGGCTGTCCTTGGAGAATTCCACCCTCTTTCATTCTGGGGAGAAGAAGTTAAAATTAGGGCCAGCCCTGCGGGACTGACATGCCAGATGCAGGGAAGCTGTCCCCAGAAATAAGCGAGTTCCCACCGCGGCTGGGCGGGGCGGGAGCCTCGGGTCCCAACCCAGCGGAGGGACTCCTGGAAGGCCTGCCCCTTCCAAGTGTCTGCAAGGGCTCTGGTCCCAAGCTTTAAAATCCTGAGCGAAGGCACTGCGGGCCGACCTCTCCTCTCCCAGCCAGTCGTGGCTGGCCTTTCAAAGTGTGCAGTTGTCTCCTCCCTGTCCAGCCCCATCGTCGCCCAGGACCAGCTGGGCCGCGGTCTGACCTGAGGCTGCTGCTCAGCGCCGGGGCGCTGGCGCTCTCCATTCGAGCACCTTCCAGCATACCGCTCGGCTCCGGGAGCCGCTCTGCAAAGTTGGGCAGCTCAGAGCGCAAGCTTTGCCTCTCGACTTCTCCCTCCTTGGGTCCCCGGCGCCCCCGCCTCCCACGATCCCTTTCACTAGGAGCAGCCAGTCCCAGCGGGCTGGCAACTTGCACCCCTTCCTAGTCATCCTCCCTGAAACGCGACCATGCTGTTAAGGGGCGTCCTCCTGGCGTTGCAAGGTAAGGCCTGGACCCCGGGACAACCCCGGGGGCGCTCTGACGACTCGCCCCCGCTCCTGCTGCCCCCGGGGGTCCGGCTCACCGTGCTGGGCTGGGCCATCCGAGGGCGCCTCCTGATCCTCCGCAGCCGCTAACTCCCTCCCCTGGCCAAGCCTGGGGTGGGGGTGGGGGTGGGCGTGGGGTCGCTCAGTGGAGGCGCCCGGGGATGCTGGGGGACAGGTACTGCATCCCTCTCCCGCCCCCTCCCGCTCGTCTTTCCCCCACTTTCACCAGGTAGTCCCCCTGGGGCTCCCCGAGTTGGTGCAAAGGCTCCTGGGTGGAGCTCGAACTGAAACTCGCTTTGTGCCCGCAGCCCTGCAGCTCGCCGGTGCCCTCGACCTGCCCGCTGGGTCCTGTGCCTTTGAAGAGAGCACTTGCGGCTTTGACTCCGTGTTGGCCTCTCTGCCGTGGATTTTAAATGAGGAAGGTAAGGAGGCTCGGTGGAGAGGGGCGCGAAGTGAACTTTCTTCCTTGATGGCTTGCTTTTTTTTCCCACATGGGTAATGTTATCTTGGAGTTAATTCTCCGCGGCAAGAAAAGTGTGAGTCATGGATCCTCCTTCAAGCCCTCAGCTGTGCTGCAAGGGATGGCCGAGGCAGGAACGGGGCGGGCGGGAGGCCGCCCTTTGTTTACCTGGCCTATGGGTAGAAGCTTAAAATTTGCGTCTCACCCCAGCACTCCTTAATGGAAGGGAGAAACGGAGCACAGCTAATGATTGTTCTCCGCTGTGGGCCTCTGCAGGCACACCAGCTGTGTGCCTCTGCAGGCCAGCAACCTTTCTGGTCCTCAGGAGACATGTCTGTGAGTTGGGAAAAGTTGCATGGGACTAGTTCTCCTTCAGCTTTGCAGAAATGGTTCCACAATTCTGTGATGGGACGTCAGTGCTAAGACATCACGTCTGCCTTGACCCTGACAGTGTTTTTTGCTGCATGATTTCATCCTCACACTCCTGTTTGTAATCCTGCCCTGGACAAAAGAAACCATGTACACTGCCAAATGCCTGGGGTCCCTGTCTCACTGGTGGTCATTGTCTTACTACTCTATACTGTTTGGGTCCCAAGGACAAAGTTTAAATGTGGGGTCTTCTGAAGTGTCATCTTGCCTTTATATAGTTTTTTTTGTTTTTTGTTTTAAAGTGTGGTTCTCAGTACCCAATGGCAGGCGGCACTGGGTGTCCCTTCTTTCCTTTCTCTCTCTTTTGTCACCACCAGTGAAGCCTGATGCCCACAGACTATTTGGATTGGAAAATAGCCTTCTTTAAAAAACATGGTACCCTAGATGAAACCAGCTCACCTCCTTCCCCACTCAATTGTCCTCAGGCCGCAGATCCTCCCACCTCGCTCCCTGGGGGAGGATGGAGCCCGGAACCCCTGGTTAGATGTATGAACTGTCACCACAGCTCACTCTGCCCCAGGCTTCTACTCAGGGTTCTGCATACATTAGCTTCTCTGACCCTCACAGGTAGGTGATGTTGGACCCGTTTTACAGAGGAAGGAATCTCAGCCATAGAATATTCAAATGGCTAGTCCATATCACAGTGTCACTGAGTGGCTAACTCTGAGTGTCTAGTTAGGAAGAAACAGGAAGGAACTGGTTCAGTAGTAATCTCCATCTTTATCCAACAATTGCCAAGTCTTGACTACTACAGTCTACTTAGGGGTGGCTGGGAAAAAGCAATTCTTGATTTATTATTCGAGGGATTCCTATCTTGCTGATGGCTTTAGGAAAGTCTCTGTAATCTTGCCACTCACCCTTTCCCTATACTGGCTGTATGGAAGCATTGCGGGAGATGGCCTTAGAAATGCCACGAGACTGGCTTTGGAGAGCACACTCCTCCAGCACGGGGCTTCTCAAACCTCAGCTGCATCAGAATCACCTGGTGGGCTTGTAAGACACAGATTGCTGGGCCCCACTTCCTGAGTGTCTGATTCAGGGGGCCTGAGAATTTCTAACAAGTTCCCAGGTGATGCTGATGATGCTGGTCTCGGGACTACACTTTGAGAACTGCCGACTTCCACAGTCTGTGTACACACACACACAACCTGTGCTGTTGTTGGCTCTGAGTAGGTCTGGCACTAGGGTGAAGGAGCTACTTGCAGGACCCGAGAGTGAACAGCTACTTAAGTCTTGTTCCCTAAGCACTTGGCTTGCCTCATCCTAGTGCTGGCCCTGAGAAAAGGAAATCAACATCATTCCTTAAGCCAGGAGCCTTAGTTAGTCTCTGAGTTCCTGCCTCCGGCCCTCTGTCAGGATGGGGGCCCCCTCACAGCCTGCCTCTGGTCAGTGGGCATGCCACAGCCTGCTGAACACAACTGCCTCCCAGACCCACAGGAAGTCTCTCTGCTGAGTTGGCACCTCTGCCCCAGGACAGCAGTTAAACCATCCCCCTTCAGGGAAAACAGGAAGATGCTTATAGAAAAAGGTGATTACAGTTTAATAGTATAACGAAGGCACTGTGGCTTTGCTTTCTGCATTCTTTCTAACAACCACTGCTTTCTGGCTCAGGACTGGGACTACTGGGTTGGCTGGCGGAAGTTAATTCATTCTCCTCTGAGCACTCCAGGGTGGAGCAGGCAGGTTAGGCTCCAGTTGTTCCAGCTTCAGTTTGTCAAAGGCCAGAACTTGGACGTAACAGTGTACTGCAGGCTCCAGGGCAGTGAGGTAGGTGTGTGGCAGTTGCTGTGGTTGCCTAAGAAGACATCGCTAAGAATTTCCCTTATAAGCCCATTTCTAGGTTGGTAAATTAAAGATAATAAAATTCTTCCAGGCTGAAATTTGGCAAGCTGTTCACAAGCTTCTCTGCAAATGCACTTCTTCCTGCAGAAACCCTTTGAAACTGGTTCCATGGTTCCATTCACCTTCATGTACTGGATCCACCATGGAAAGTAGTGGGTTTCAGAGACTTTTGCCCACATGCACTTCTTTTTTTTTTTTTCTTTAAGTTCTGGGATACATGTGCAGAATGTGCAGGTTTGTTACACAGGTATAAATGTGAATGGTGGTTTGCTGCACCTATCATCCCGTCATCTAGGTTTTAAGCCCCGCATGCTTTAGGTATTTGTCCTAATACTCTCCCTCCCCTTGCGCCCCACCCCCAACAGGCCCCGGTGTGTGAAGTTCCCCTCCTTGTGTCCGTGTGTTCTCATTGTTCAACTCCCACTTATGAGTGAGAACATGAGGTGTTTGGTTTTCTGTTCCTGTGTTAGTTTGCTGAGAATGATGGCTTCCAGCTTCATCCATGTCCCTGCAAAGGACATAAACTCACTCTTTGGTATTGCTGCATAGTATTCCATGCTGTATATGTGCTACATTTTCTTTATCCAGTCTATCACTGATGGGCATTTGGGTTGGTTCCATGTCTTTGCTATTGTAAATAGTGCTGCAATAAACATATGTGCCAGATGCACTTCTTATATGTCCATGGTCCGTAGGTTAATTTATTGTGGAGAGAACAATGCAAAAGGCCAGAGAAGGAAGGTAAGTTGGGACACAAATCTGCGAACTGGGGTTTCATCACAGGAGAATCAAATCTGGAGGTAGTTGGAAAAGTCTCCTTGTCTCTAAATATCCCCTTTGCTGCCTGAAATAGTTTCTGAGGTTCATGCCTTTGATTTACAGTATTAAGTCCCTAGATGTCCCTGATTACAGTTCGAGTGTCTCTATTTCATGGCCACTTTAAAATATGCTTTATCTCCACTGGACACAGAATAGGTAAGTTTTGACCAGGCATTGTGTTGGCTTGGGTTATTTATCCCAATGGCAGTTTCCCCCAGGGAATGCCAGGTGCACCATACAGGGCATCGGGCACTGAAACCCAGTTTTGTCTACTTTCTCATTTTGCCCATGGTTGTCCTGCTTTCTTGATCTCCCTCTATTCTTTTTGTAGAATATTTTAATTTTCCCTAACTTGTCAAGGGAAGTGATACTATGTCAGACTCAAATTTGAACTCACTTCTAAATCTTAAGTTTGAATTGAATCCGGCAAAGAAGGGATCTGTTTTTGTTTTTTGTTTTGTCTCTTTCAGAAGGAGTCTCACTCTGTTGCCCAGGCTGGAGTCCAATGGCGTGACCTCGGGTCACTGCAAACTTCGCCTCTCGGGTTCAAGTGATTCTCCTGCCTCAGCCTCTGGAGTAACTGGGGCATGCACCTGTAGTACCATCTACTCAGGAGGCATGTGCTACCACCCCAGGCTAATTTTTGTATTTTTAGTAGAGATGGGATTTCACCATGTTGGCCAGGCTGGTCTTGAACTCCTGACCTTGAGTGATCCACCCGCTTCGACCTCCCAAAGTACTGGGATTACAGGCATGAGCCACCGCGCCCAGCCAGGGTTCTGTTTTATCCTGTGAAAATCTTTCTCCATTCATTTATCCTATAAAAAAAATCATCTTTATTCACAGCTCAGAGGATCTGGAAACCCCTTTGAGCAGCAGTCCTCAGCTGAAATCGGGGCTGCTTATTCCATTTTCCTGATGCCAGCTGTGGGGGCAGAGGTCCTTTGCCCTGAGGATTCTTGGAGACCATGCGGTTGGCCTTGCATCCAAACAGGCACAATTCAAAAGAATCATTGAGTGGATATTGGCTTCATTCTCATTTTTGGACATTGTGGCTTAGCACCTTTAACTGAACTCTGTGAGGAAGCCACTTGAGGAGCTGAGGCAGGGTAAAGCCAAGTCTAGGTGTTGCCCCTTAATTAGGAGTTTGGAACACTCAGCTACCTGGAAGAGGAAGGCAGCTGCAGAAATGTCTCAGGTGAACAGGAAGTAAAAAGAGAAATTGAAAGCACTTGTTGCAGAGAAGACCTACATTGTTTTTCCATGGTAGGAGTCAGGGTTTGAGAAATCGCCTAATACAGAAAAAGGTTGGATGGCTTTTGTACCCAGGAGTGAGTGATAGCATCTGAGGCAGGCAGGTGGGCTACAGGGTTGGGCATCATGAAGGGGTGGGGTGGGGGCATGGTAGAATGTCCCGAAATCACGTGTAAATACATGTGTGTTTGTCTCTCTGATACCCTTTCCTTCACCCAAACTTGTCCCTTCTCTTTTAAGGACACTCTCAGCTCCTTGGCCATCTGCGTTTCAGTTCTGCACTCAGTCATGTGCCAGTTATTATTAACAGTGATGAATCCTGCCTGCTATTTCTTGAGGCTCAGCTAGAGCCACAAATCTGGCAAGGATCCCAGGTTCCTGGGAGAGGAGAACCAGTCTTCTTCCTGCAGACTACAGCTCCTTTCCTGATTTTGGAGGGCTGATTCAGCATCCCACCCTGGCATCACAAAGTTCATAAGGCCAGGGACGAGTTATGCTCATCTGCATGGGGCTACTTGGTCCTGCATTATGTCTGCAGGTTGTTCTTAGAGCTCTCTAAGCAGAAGTACAATCCCCACATTGTATGGGGGCTGGAAATCGGCACAAGTCAGGGATGTTCCTTGACACCCTCTGGGAGAGATGGTCGACCCCAGAAATGTGACCTAGTTACACTTGCAGTATCACATGCCATTTCCCGCTGCTGCCCTGGCTGTGACTGCTCTCAGGTTGAGCATGGCTGTGCTGTGCTGTGCCTGAGGGCAGCCTTGCTTCTGCCTTGCTTCCTGGGAACCCAGATCCTAGAGCTGGGCCTTGGAGGTCATCCAGTGCTGCCTCCTCCTACACAGACCAAGTCAGGCAGCCCTTGGACATTGCCTCAGCTCCTTGGCTCTCCACCAGTTCTTTTTCCTCCAGCATTGGAGGAAACATCCCTGTCTCCACTCTGGGTTCTAAACTCTGAAACTTTGTTGTGTTGGAAACTCTTCATCAGAGAGCTAATTATATTTCAGACATGTGGAAGAACTCAGATTCCAAAGATGCAGTGTTTGGGGCCAAACAAAGCCACAAAACACTACATTTTATGCCATACCATGTAACATGTATTCACTCTTTCAGATGTATAGGGATCCCACCCGTCTGTGATCTTCAGCGTGTAGAAAAGAGCCTGGCACATAGCAGGTGCTCGATATATATTTGTTGAATGAAAGAACCTGTTGAATGACTGTATTAGATCACAAACATATCCTTAAGTGTTTTCCTACGTGCTCCTGGTTCATTCTGCCCCTTCAAAGGTAGTTCCTTATCATGAAGAACGGCTTAAGCCTCGTGGTTAGTATAAGCTCTGGAGCTGGGTGACTTGGATTAGAATCCAGGCTCTGCTCTTTCAAGCTGTGTGGGCTTGGGAAAGTCATTTATCCTCTCTATGTCTCAGTTTCCTTGGCTATAAAATTGAGATAGTAAAAGTACCTATCACATGAGATTGTTGTGAAGACTATATACATTAATACGTTTAACACAGAGTGAGCACTTTATACATGTAACCTGATGTTATTCTTACTATTACTTGATGTGTCTTTTATCAACATCATAAACTTTATAAATAAACATTAGTTTTTCTAACTCAGACAGCTTTCCAAAACAGCTTTTGGGGACCTAAGGAGAGTGTGGTTTTCTTTTGCTTATAGTTATGCCATCTACTCTTCATTCCAACCAGAGAAAGAACCTTACTTTTCTTATTTGGCTCTAGTTTAAGCACTGGTAAGCCTTATCTCACTTTTGTGTGGCTGAACAAGGTGTGGATATAAAGTAATAACACTGAGTTTCATACTTAGTGTGTAGTCTATCCCAGCAGATGATACATTTTTCTCTATAAATTATTGGTTGTTGTCAAGAATGCTTTGCTTTCTGCTTCATTATTCTCCCACCCCAGCCTGCTAGTGCCTCAGCATCAATTGGCTCCATTAGTGATGGTGCTGGTGCCTTCTATGATCTCTCATCTCCTAAGTTCTTGGACAAGATCCTAACCCTTGGCCTTCCTGTCAATCAGTCTGGGTGCTTGAGTTCTCTTGCCTGACCCCTCCACTTGAGATTTAACCCAACTGGGGTGGTAATATCTGCCTGCTAAGCCTCTACTGGCTTCTGTGGATGTAAGCTGTGTCTGGGCAGCCTCCTCCTTATGAAGGCCAACACCCCATCTGGTTTCCTCCCTACTCAAATTAGAGTTGCTGAATGGGAAGTGGCTACCCAAATCCTGGCCTGATCCCTAATAAGACACCTAGGGATTTTTAGGATGTTTCCCATACCATAATTGCAGAAGTCAGCTAATATGTGGGGAGGAAAAAAATAATTTTTGTCAGAGGACTTTATGCTTTTGTTGCCATCTTCAAATCTTTTAGCCTATAGTTACCATGTTTTGGTAACTTGTATCTTGGGGTGTAATATTCATTTAAATATTTTGGTTCTTAAAATAACAGAACCTCTTTGGTAGATCACCCCAGCATCAGTCTTACTTCTATATCTTTTCAAACTATTAGGTTTTGAAGAAGTTGAGTGAAATCCATTTATGTTAGTAGAGGTGATGGGTATCCCAATAAGTAGAGCTAGCAGGTAGTTAAACTTGTCTTGGGTATCCTTGTTGGTCAACCCTGATTTTTGTGTCTAACAACTATCCCAGCACTCTCCTTCAATTTTTCTTATGCTTTTCTTAACCAACTAAATCATATAAATGTAGTTATGCATTCAGGTCTAGGTTCTTGGAGTGTTTGATTACATATCCATCTATTTATATCTATTTACCTATCTAGATAGATAGAGATAGATAGATAGATAGATAGATAGATAGATAGATAGACAGACAGATAGATAGATATAGTTTCACCTACAGAATGGTTCTCAGCCCTGGCTGGAAATTAAAACAGGTAAAAAAAAATTTTTTTAAAGCTATATCCAGGTCTTACTCCAAGAGGTTCTGATTTATTTGTCCAGAAATGGGACCAGACTTGGCATCATTAAAAAACAACACACACTAACAGACTCCCTAGGTGATTGTGATATGTGTCCATGGTTGAGGAATGTGTATTGGAATGGCTTTCAACTCCCCAGCTTCTCCAGATGTAAGAAAGAAGAAATGCCCTCGTCTTAAGTATCTTTTGATGATTAGCAATTACCCACAGGCTAATGTGCAAAATGCCTTGTTTGGCATTCAAGGCCCTTCACAGTTTGCTCCAAATTACATTTCTCCTCTTCCTTCCCATTAATCTCTAATGTGCTGTTCATTCAACATGCCCTTTACTTACTTGCTTCTTGTTTTATTTGCAAAGTTCTCTTTACCTGTATAATGCTGCTTTTCTATTCTCCTGTCCCATGCTCATCTATTTAGGTTCCACCTATGCTTTAAGGTCCAGCTTTTTCTTAAAACATTCCATAACTTTTCCAGATGAAAACCCTCCCTTCCCATGGCTCTCTGCACTTTCCACTGTGTAAGTCTTCTTATTGGCATCTCCTGATAAGAGTCCCCACCCTGTCACCTCATCAGACTGTTATGTCTCTGAGAACAGGAATCACATCCTCCTTACAATGCCTGATAATATGTGGCATCAACAAACACTTTGAATTTAACCAATCTGTAAAGCCATTGTTGAGATTGATGGAAAAAAAATAAAAAATCCTTAACATTTTTTTCCTGTAGTAAAAGAGGTTGTGTTTAGTAATCCTTCCTACCATGGGACTTCAAAGAGTTTGAAGGCTTATGCTGTAATTTCCAAATATAACAGCAAAGCAGTATTACAGCTTGTCTCACCAGTACATGGCCTGTTTCATCCCTAATTTGCCAATGGACAAAAAGCTCTTGGATTATTTACCCATCAGGGATGCCTAAGTCCCTTGACTCTCTGCCATCACAAACAACCACAATGCAACCTTGAGAGTGGCACTGCTGGGGCTGGAAAGTATTTTTTGGCAAGGGATGACCAGACTTTGAACTAGCTATGGAGAGCGGGTGTTTCTGAGGTACTCAGGTGTGAGATGTCCATAGCACCCACCTTGATGGTTAAAAGCACATAAGGATATTTGTCTGCTCTGGGAAGAAGTTCTTATATATGGTTATGACAAATGGAGAAAGCAGAGGATCAGGTTTGCAAGTCAGATCTTCCAGGATATTTGCTTTCTCTACTTTGTGAGAAATTTGCATGTGTTTTATGGGATTCTGAGGCTAAGAATAAGATAATAAAACAAGTGGTATCATTACCATAATTTCATTGCATCATGAATAAATAATATGTTTTACAGAAAACCCTACTGCAGACTATTCATACTGTGAACAAGCATCTAAGTGTCTACTATCCATCATGTTCTATGTTAGTAGTTGGAGGACATAGTACATGAGTACACACTCCATAGGGTTCACAGTCATGGTCCCTGCCCTTGGTGGCGGCCCTAGGCCAATAGAGGACACAAAAACCCACAATTGTGGTAGAAGGTAAAAGGAATTGTGTGCTAGTCAAGGCTTTTCATTTGATCAAGCAGTGAAGGAGGTATTGGAAGGTTGTCAGTTAGCTCTCAGAATCAACAGGAAGTATAGAGAGCAATATTTGGGCAAGAGTAATACAGAGATGCAAGGTGTAGGCAAGATACTTCTGGAAGAGGCATTTGTGTGACTTTATCACTGGACATTTGTTACTTCACTGCTGGACCTGCCTGTTCATTCAGGAGCTGTGAGGAGGCTCAATTTGAGGGAGATAGAATTGCCAATGGGGAGGCTAATTAGGAGGCTACCCATGTATCTAAGGAAGAGATTATGAGGGCCTGAATTAGGGCAGGGGTGTTAGGTGTGAAAGGCAAGCAGTAAATAAAGCAACTTAAAGGGGATTAAGTTGGTAGGGCTTGAGTACTGATTGATAGGAGTAATGAGTCAGAGGAAGAGTGACTCTGAAATTTCTAGTTTGGGCAGCTGTTTGGTTGATGGTGCCAACAGTTGGGAGAGTTCCAAGAGGAACTTCATGCTTAGGGTAGAAAAAGATATGATCAGTTCTGAGCTGCCTGGGACACATCCAAGTGGAGACTTCGAGCAGGGCATTGATGTAAGAATCTAAAGATCAGGTATAGTCTGGGCAGGAGTATGGGAACCTTTAGCAGAAAGGTAGTAGTTAAAATTACGAGCAGAGATGATATCACCCAAGGAGAATGGATAAAGTAATAACAGCAGGAGGCTAAGAAAAGATGCCTTGAGCTCACATTTAAGGATTAGGTATAGGAAGGAGATGGGGACATGAAAGAAACAGGAAGAACCGGGCATGTATGAGAAGAATTAGGAAAGTGGAAGATTGTAGAAGCAAAGGAGTTAGGATTTTCAAAAGGAGGACGTGATCAGTGGGGCCCCATGCAGTAGGGTGGAACAAATGGGAAATGTCAATAGTTGGTAAAGACTTCTCAGCAAAAAAAGTTTAGATGTGAGAAGAAAGGGGTTCAACCATACCTACAAAGAAACTTTGAGATGAAAGTTTTATTTTTTTTTTCGTTTTGTTTTGTTTTAGGAAGGGGGGACTTGAGCTTGTTTCTATAGTAAGGGGAAGGGACCAGCAAAGAAAGAAGATTGAAAAGAGGGGGGCTTCCTTGCTAGCTCTGGATTAGATCCAAGTTCCACTTTGATGATTCAGAAACCCTAAGAGCCTGGGAATTCCTTTGTACCCGTATAATTCCAAGTACCCTCCACTGAGTGGCTTGTGGGCACTGGAGTGTCGACTTCAAATGTGTGAAATTTTATTTCTACTGTAAATACAGGGGAGGTGGGAGCTTGGGCTGAATCTGTGGTAATTATGATGTGCCCTGGAACTTACTCATTGAAAAACAAAAACAAGGCCAGGCATAGTAGCTCATCCCTGTAATCCCAGCATTTTGGGAGGCTGAGGTGGGCGACTATCACCTTAAGGCCAGGAGTTCAAGACCACTCCTGGAGACTTAGCGAGACCCTGTCTCTTTAAAAAAACAAAACAACACAAAAACAAGTCTTTTATAAGCTGCAGGAGAATGTTTTAGGTCTATGGGAATGTTACTGTATAATATATTCTATTTCTGTTATAGAAGTAGTTCCGAGTGAGAAGTACACAGTGAAACTTAATGAGATAGTTATGCAATAGCTTCCTATGCAGCCCAGGTCTGTGATCTATAGGTAGCATTTAATAGTGCCTGACAAGCACATTTACTTTCATCATCTTTAACTTTCACAACAATCTTGAAGGTGGTTATTATCAGTATTTTACAGATGAGAAACTGTGAGACACAGAGAGATTAGGATAACGTGCCCAAAGCAACTCAGTTGGAGAGTGGGAGAGTGGGGATGTCAAGCCAAGCTCACCTGGCTTGAACTTCAAGTGGTCCTAATTCACTTGGAGTTGGATGATGCTTTTGTTATTCCAGAGGTCAACACCAAGGAAGTCAGACTTGCAAGTTGTACGCTTCTCTGCAGAAGGTGGGGAACCTCTGCCTCCATCATCAGTGTTGATGATGTCCCAACATTACAACTCCTTCCCTGAGTTCTAGGCCCCACCTACAACTAGTGTGTCTCCCGGGCAGTGGTGAGCCTTTGGAAGGCATCAAGTAGAGACAGAGAAATGTAGTTTTTACTAATTTCTTTTCCATAACAGATTAGAGTTTGCTCTTGGAACCATTTGAAGGATTCTCTTCTCAATCCTCAGCATAATCTTGGAAGAGAACTTCAGGGAAATTTTATAGCTTGACCTAAAATACTTTGGCAGTCTTAAGGAGTATTCCTAAACTTCAAGTTCATCTATTCCTACTGTGAAAGAATTAAAAGAGTACACAAATAAATGTGCTTTTGCAAGCTGGTTGCCCTTCTAGATAAGAATTTTGGTACTTCTTCATTCTATTACTCTTAATAGAATGGCAATGTTTCTATACAGTCCTGTGATATATAACTTTGCTAGATGCTTAGAGAAATTTCCATTCCTTATTTGAAAAACTTTTGCCTCACTGCCAAGGAGAGCTGAAGTGTTATTTGGGGCTATGCTTATAAAGAGGATGACTTTAATATGCTTTTGCTTCAGTGAGGAGCTGACTCCTTCGTTTACCAATATTTTATGACCAAAACAATCTATCCAAAACTACAACTCAGGAAGTTTTCTAAGTGTCTACAGATTTCTTCTATTTCTTTGACTTTATTAAAAGTGAATAATAGGGTAGACTGTTGGAGAATTTTCTCGTGAAGTATGTTTTGATCCTATATTAGCCAACTTTAAAGTATAAGCTTTATGGAAAGAAACTCTGGTTTTCCATTACAAATCCTGAAAATTGGCAACAGCCATCTGAAATCCCACTGTTGTTTCTAAAAATCTTTTTTCTTTTTCATAAATTCTGGTGAGGAAAATGTGAGTTAAACTTTAGTATCTTTGTTGTCAACTTATGTTGTCAATATAAAATATTTAAACTACTTATACATGGTTCTGTACTGAATATTGTATAATACAAGATAAGTGATGTTGGGGATAACACATCTGAAGATGCATTGTATTGGCACGCGGCGTGATTCATTTTCTCTTGGGCTTGTGGACTAGGACTTATAGTACTTGCTTTAAAGCAGGGGTCCCAACCCCCAGGCCACAGATCGGTACCGGTCTACTAGAAGCCCAGCCACACAGCAGGATTGAGCAGCAGGCAGGCAAGCGAGGCTTCATCTGTATTTACAGCCACTCCCCATCACTTGCATTACCTCCTGAGCTCCACCTCCTACCAGATCAGCAGCGGCATTAGATTCTCATAGGAATGGGAACCCTACGTAATTTGCACATGTAAAGGATCTAGGTTGCGTGCTCCTTATGAGAATCTAATGCCTGATGATCTGTCACTGCCTCCCATCGCCCCTAGATGCAACTTTCTAGTTGCAGAAAAACAAGCTCAGGGCACCCACTGATTCTACATTATGGTGAATTGTATAATCATTACATTATGTATTGCAATGAATAATAGTAGAAATAAAGTGCACAATAAATGTAATGTGGTTGAATCATCCTGAAAGCATCTTCCCACCCCCTGGTTTGTGGGAAAATTGTCTCCCACAAACCAGTCCCTGGTGCCAAAAAGTTTGGGGACTGTTGCTTTAAAGAGTATTGAATTCAAAAGAAAATTCTGCTAACTGTTAGAAATCAATCCCAGGTTTTTACACCATCCCCTATTAAAGAACATATCAATAATTACCAATGATGTCTTAATTTCTGTCATGATCAAGTTTGATCCAAGTGGCCCTCTTGCCTATCAAGTACGCTATTATGCAGCTTTTGAGAGAGGATGAGGGTGACCTATGTGTGTAACAGCTTAAAGCAGACAGCTCAGTTGCCTCAGAATATTCCTCAAGCTTCTTGTCTCTCCACAAACTCAGCTACTCACAATAAAAACTGCTAGAAGATGAAAAGGGTGCAAAATGGTTTATATTTTTAATTAACCCCTTTAATTTGTCAAGATGGTTATTAGGAAGTCATTCGTACTTTGGGGAGCATATTCCTGTCATAAAATAAGTTTGGACACATTTATGAGCGATCTCTTGCTGAGCACAATATTAGCCTAGTAGTCTAAGAATTCTTAGAAAATTAATTGGTCTTGGAGAAATAGATAATATTTGCCATTATTTCCATCCTAATGTGCAGTGAATCATAGTCATGCACAAAAGGCACCGGATTTTAGACTCAAGTGATTTAAAGACTTTTCCTTGGAGACGTTGACAAAGGAAAAAGCCTGGAGAGAGACCATCTGAGATTTCATTTCATTCTCCTTTAAGTTTCCATCACAAACCACCAGGTGTGCTGCAGAAGGACTTGCCATCCAGGTGCCCTCAGCTGGGAGCTAAGGGTGATGCCTGGAATGTTTTATTTCAGTATTTGAAAGTAGATACCTTGATAATCGTTTAAAAATTTTTATCCTTAGATTTCATTTGAGTTGCTAAAAATAAGCTCAAAGACCAAAGTGACATTTGCAAGCATTTGTAGAGCACTGAGTGGGCATGTTGGCATTGAACTTGAAGATTCAATAGGAATATGAATAATGACAATTATTTTATTGAACAATTATTGAGCAATTATCACCAAACACTGTGCTGAGTGCAGGACATGCATCATCTTATTTAATTCTTATAATCCCCCTATGAAGAAAATGTTCTTTACAGATGAAGAAATTGGGATTTAGAATTTTTTTAACATTCCCAAAATCATAGAGCAAGTTATTGGTGGAGCCTGGATTTTAACCTAGGTTTATCTCCGAAGACTAAGAACATAACCATTCTGCTTTGTCACCTCTCTGTTTACATCCTCTCTTGACATGGGGTCTCAAAGGGTCCTTGTGATAGAAATAATAATAGTTATAAAAATAGATAACCCATATGGAGTGGTTTCTTTTGGGTATATATTGTTCTCCGTGTTTTTTATTATTAATTAGTTTAACCCTCCCAAGGGCCTGGTGAGGGTGGGTCATTTTTTATCCCCATTTTACGGTTGAGACAGGTGAGGCAGACAGAAGCCTGCAGGTCTTCAAGATCCTAGGCAGCAGGGCTATATTTTGTAACAGATTTCCTGGCTCCTGCCTGCCTTCTGTGAGGGATACAGCAATTGCAACGTTCATTTATTTTCTGCTGCACTTTGAGGCAAGAAACTTTTCTACTTGAGTTCTGATGTGAGTGACTAAGAGAAGCATGTAGAAACATTAGTTCTTCTAGGTTCTCCCATACACAGGGAGAATTGAATTCGTATTTGAGGAAATGAGTTCTAACTTGGGAAAATTTGAAATCCATCATTTTCTTTAGAAATGGCACAGTGCCCTGGAACAACAAGAATTTTCTGCCTGGTTCCAAGTTCCAAATGAGATTAACTTGAGAACTCCTGTGAGAGTCTCACACTCAGAGGATCCCCACGACTGACCTACATTCTCTGGACAAATTCCAGTAGAACTATGTTTCTTGATCATCTTGATGGACTTGTTTTGAAAATGAGTGAAGTATCCTTATACAAAGAAAAATGAAAATGTAATATTTGCCTGCTTGGGTTTTGCAAAAAGGCATATGAACTCAAACGGGTAGCGAGGTGAAGCAGGAAACACCACAGAAGCCTGAGAAGAGGGAAAATCCTTCAACCGTGGGATAAAGGCAGAGGAGTGAGATCAGTCTTCTGTCTTTCCATCCTGTAGTGGGCAATGTCTCTTGACCCATGGCATACGAGCATGCGTCTCTCATTTAATTCTTACAACCCAGTGACGAAGGTACCCCTTACAAATGAAGAAACTAGGGTTTAGATAGTTTGTTTTAACATTTCCAAAGTTCATGCTATGGGACATGAACATGTGCATTAGGAAGCCACAGGAGAATAATGACCTGTGTTCTATTATCCTTCGTGTTAAGCTCTTCTTTCATGACCCCCTCCCCTCTTTCCTCCTCCCGCTGGCTCTTGGTTCTTTATGACTTGCTTTCCCAAGCCTAGAACAAGTTCTTTCCTCATTCATTCAGGTAATCTAGTGCCATTATCACAAAACCAACGCCATGTTCCACAGTTCAAAGACAGTTTCAATAAAGTACAGGTAGAGAGAAAGCTTCTGCTACAACATTCAGTTCTTTTTGGCCTCAATCCTTGAAAATAGATTTCTTCATCGTTTTTTCCAGAGACAGTGTAATGGCTGATGGCTATGTTAGGATCTATTAGAGGCTAAGGGGCTGAGATCAAAGGCTATGTTCTTGTGAAGCCTACACTGCCACACCCAAATACCCAATTCATGAGCTCCCTTGACTGGAGGCTCAGTACACTTGATTCACTGATGAATTAAATAGGTAAGGGTGTGCACTAGTGTCATTTCCTATGCATGTCTGGAACCCTCTTCCTTCAGACCTTCACACAACATTCTGTGTCTCTTCATTCAAGCCTTGGTTGAAATGTTAGCTTCTCTCCTGAGCTAAGATCGACCTTAAGTTCAACCTTCCTCACAGTCACCTGATTGTAATTCTTTCACTAGGACATTGGCTCTCTGATATTTTTCTTGTGGATTTAATTATTTGTTCATTGTCTATCAACCCTGCTGAACTCTAAGCTTTGTGTTTATTGTCTATCAACCCTGTTAAACTCGAAGCAAAGAATCCCTCTCACTTGTGTCACCAGATTCTCCTGTGCCCAACACAGTGTTTGGCACTGGAGAGACACTCAGAATATGTTTGACAAATGGATGAATGAATCTTAGTCCCTGTGGCAATTCAGCCTTAGCAATCTATGAAGGCTGACACCTTGTCAGGCTTTTTTAAATAAAAAGAAATAACAGATGAGCTCGAGCATCATGGAGACTTCCTGCCTAAGTGATGTGCTTCCCTCAGGGATGTATCTAGGCAGAAGCAGTGAATAGAAAAAATGAATTTTTCAGTTATGCTTTCATCCTGCTGTTATGGCACCCCCAACTGTCCTTGTCTGCTGGTTCGAATGAGTGTTCCACTGGGAAAACAGATTTATTTCCCAGAAACAGGATAGCATTTTCTTCTTTTGACAAATCTAGAAAGCAATTCCTGCAGCAAAGAAAAGATATATAACATGCAGATACTAAATTCCAAGACACTGCCCAGTCATGAGTAAGAAGGTGTGTGTGTGTGTCTGTCTGTCTGTCTGTGTCAGAGAGAGAGAGAAAGAGAGAGAGACAGAGAGAAATCCTTAACTAATCTGTGGCTAGGTCTTCCCAGTCCCAGATGTTGAATTGGTTGAATGAATTGTTTAAACAATTGTCTTAATTCTCTTCCCTTCCCCTAAGAGAAGCCACTGATACCTGGAACCCATCATGGTACTCAAACTTCAGGTAACATGGAAAACACTCTCTCTCATCATCATGGATTTTTCTTTTAGGATCCCAAATAACACAGAACTCAGTGTGGAGCTCCCAAAGCAGTTGGGAAAAAGAAAGCCAATGAATGGATGTGAGTGGCTGGCCCTAATTTTCATGCATCCTTATGCAAATGCACAGTGTGTTGCATTTCTATACCTGCCTCTCTATGGAGGTGTGGGATAGCCAGTATTACAACCAAGAGTTTACATCTGTGTTCTCCAGGCCCACTTAAATAGAACCACAGCTACCAATCACTGCCATTTATCATGGGCCCCTACAATTTTTGCACACTTTACCTTGGTTCACACAACCACCCTCTGAGGTGAGTGACATCCCTTCTAGTTCACAAATGAGGAAGCAGAAGTTTCTGTTGGTTAAATGGTGTCTGCCTGACATCACACAGCTAGAAGTGGCAGGGCTGGGGCAGGAAGTCTTGTCATGGTGTCTATCCTGCCTCCCAAAGCACTGTCATTATTTTCAGATCCCTCTTAAAGTACTTATCACTCTTTCACTGTATTGGTATTCTTTCAGAACATATCTTTCCCCTCCTATTAGGCTCTAGAGGTTGGCATCCATATCTCTTCCTTCTCTTCATCCCCTGTAGGGTCTTAGTGAAATGCTCTGCACATAACAAACCAGGAACTGGACTAAGGTGAGGAAAATGAGGCATTCTCCTTGGGTGCAAAATTTAAGATGGTGCCAAAAATCAAATGATCAAGATAAATAATATTTTAATACACTATTTAAAAACTCAAAATTAATGCAAAAATTCCATGATGAGCAAAATGACAAAATTTTAAATGAAAACAGAGATGGCTTCTGATCCTGCAGTTGGCTCACCCTAGTCCCAGTCCTGTAAAAAGCACTGAAAACTTGTTGAATGTATAGGTTGTAGAATTGGTGTTTGGCTCTCGTGAGCTAAACATGTGATTAAGTATCCAGTGAAATGCTGCCATTCAGAACTCATGGATGAATCAGGTGGACTAAAACCCTTGGCCTTTCCTGTTGTCCATCTGACCATGAAGATGTTGATTCAGCTGTAATGGGATTCAGCTGTAATGGGATTCAGCTGTAATGGTCACACCCAAGCCTTGAAGAATGGCCAGAGTCCAGCTTCCCTACCAGCCTGAGCAGCAGTCTACCCAATAGGGAGAGTTTTCTTAACAGAAGTTTAAATTAAAAACTGCCATTGGTTGTCTAAGATTTTGAAATTTCTATGCTTGCTGTTTCATTTTGTCATTTTTCCTCTTTTCTGATTTTTTTTAATTTCAAAAAATCAGAGTAGTTGTTTTGGAAGGATACACTTGGATACACTGATATATACATATGAGATGTATACACACACACACACACACACTATCTCTTTATATATTTATCTATGTCTCCTCTACCATTCCCAGCCCTCTACCAGGGCAATAGGAGCTCAGTAAATATTTTTGAGTTATTAATTGAAGGATCGTAAGAGATGAGCTATAGGAAAAAGAAAGTTTTTTAGGTTTGAGCATACTAAATCTATATCTAAGTCACCACCATAATTTATAGCTAACAAAAAGCTTTATACCAAACAAAAAGATCAGATCAGCAGGTCTAATTTGCTTCCATTTAAACCCATTTTTCCATGCTGTTTTCATTGTTTGTATTTGGGACACTACTTAGCCAGATGAGGGAATCTGTAAGTGAAATGGACTTGCACTTCTGCAAGTTAGAGACAAGAAAAGCCCTCAGTGGTGTAACAGCCAGGAACTGGGCACAACAGTTTTTCTTCTTTCCTGTAAATGTGGCCTTCTTAACTGGATCACCAGGGTTGGAGCTCTGGGTCTGGCTGTTGAAGAGAAGGAGCTATTTCCATCAGAATAAATTCTTCTACTGCCTAGGTGTACTCTATATAAACAGGCACAATCTACAAAAACTTAGCAGTTTTCAGCAAAAACGGATTTTTTTATTCATTCAACAAGTATCTACTGAGCATCTTCAGATGCCAGGTGATGGGAACTCAACAGAGAGCAAAATAATAACATCTGTCTCACATGGAGCATCGGTTATGGTGAGGGGAACTTAAAATAAATGACTAGGCGTAATTCTAGCATTTTGGGAGGCTGAGGTGGGTGGATCACCTGAGGTCAGGAGTTTGAGACCAGCCTGGCCAACATGGTGAACCCCGTCTGTACTATACATACAAAAAGCAGCCAGGCGTGATGGCAGGCACCTGTAGTCCCGGCTACTTGGGAGACTGAGACAGGAGAATCACTTGAACCTGGGAGGTGGAGGCTGCAGAGCCGAGATCACGCCACTGCACTTCAGCCTGGGCAACAGAGTGAGACTCTGTCTCAAAAGAAAAAAAATAAATAGGCAAACAACAGTAAGATGAGCCAAGTGGTATAAGGTTCGTGGAGATGGAGAGAAATATGACAGCAAAAGGTAGCTGTTTTGGCTCAGGTGGGCAGGAAAAGATTCTCTAAAGAGGAAAGTGCTGAGCAGAGGCCTGAATGAGAGATGGAGTGAGCATAGTTCGTGATGTGCGTGTCCTTGTTCATCTTTGTAGTGCCTCATCCAATACTGGGCGCATAGTAGATGCTTGGGAAATATGTATTTAATAAGTAAATAAA
This sequence comes from Homo sapiens, assembly GCF_000001405.40. Lineage (NCBI taxonomy): Eukaryota > Metazoa > Chordata > Mammalia > Primates > Hominidae > Homo > Homo sapiens. The sequence continues at coordinate 70,063,530 of NC_000009.12, forward strand.
AGAAAAATATAAGAACGTTATTTACTACTCTATTTCAGAACTAAGTATTTAGATAGACATCTTTTGAAAATAATGTTAATTTATCTTATAACTTAATGTCTCTTCATTTACCATTAGATGTTAAAAGATAAAACAAGAAAGTGATAATAGTATTATTAAGAGTTATCACTGGAACCTACTTTGTGCCATACACTTGCTAGGCACTTTATTCTAATTATTTATAATCTGTTGAACAGATTACAAGCCTGTAATTAGGTATCATTATTATCATTCCCATTTTACAGATAAGAAAATTGGGGCTCAAATAAGCTGCCTGAAGTGTATGTTTTTAAATATTGCATCTGGCATTTGTACCCAAGTGGGCTTCATTCCAAAGCCTGTTCTCTTTTAGATGTGCCACACCACTGATTAAATGGAAGCCACCTGAAAAAATAAAATTTTACTGAAAAAGATCTTTATTGATTTTTGCTGAATTACAAAGGGATAAGCATTCTTTATTTTTTTAAAAAAAGAAGTGTATGAAGAATAAATCAAATGTGATTCTCACATCTCTACTGACAATAAGAAAACCTTTTCTTTATAAAAATGATGTATATATATATAATAATTTTAAAACAATATAAGGACATATGAATTTTTTTAAAATTTTTTTTCCATAGGTTATTGGGGAACAGGTGGTGTTTGGTTACATGAGTAGGTTCTTTGGTGGTGATTTATGAGATCTTTGTGCCCCATCACCCGAGCAGTGTACACTGAACCCCATTTGTGGTCTTTTATCCCTTACCCCCTTTCCACCTGAGTCCCCAAAGTCCATTGTATCACTCTTATGCCTGTGCGTCCTTATAGCTTAGCTCCCCCATATGAATGAGAATATACAATGTTCAGTTTTCCATTCTTTCACCGGATATATGAATTAAAATTTTAAAACTCCCTTCTTTTCCTCCAAATCCCAATCCCACTGTCTGTAAGGAACCACTACAACCAATTTCTTGTGTAATTTCTGAAACTGCGTTTGCACTTGGAGACAAAGAGAAGGGGTGTGTGTGTGAGTCTGTGTGAGTGTGTGTGAGTGTTTGTAATCCATCTTTAGGAAACAGCTTTTACAGATAATTTTCTGTTTCCATCCATGCCATGTGCCTCCAACTTCCTAAATGGCAAAAATTTTACTGCATAACACATGTAAATGAGGAACTACAGAATGTGTATGCTGGAAGGTACTCCAAAGGCCTCTGAGCAGAACCCTCTAGTTGTCTAATGAGGAAACTGAGGTCCCAGAGAGTCAAATGACTTGTGTAAGGTAACACAATCAGTCCAGAGAGCAGCCAGCAGCCAGTCAGTAAGAAACCTGGGTTAGTAGTTTGTCTATATAACCTCGTGCTACAAAACAAAACAAAGCAAAATAAAATCAAGAATATGCCAAGCCATTGTAACTTGAGTGGAATCAACATTCAAGAGCTTCATGTGAATTAATATTTAGGGAAAATACTTAATCTTAGCTCCATCTGTCTATATGAAATATAATGAAAGAATCAATCAGTAAAACCTCCCTCTGTCAAAATCACACAGGAAACATACTAGAGAAACGACTAACAGGGATTACGAGCTACTTATCCAAAAACCATGTGTATCGGTTTTCTAAATCTTGAAGGCAAGTGTAAAATAGAACCTTATTATTGAAAACTCATTTTTGCCTTTGAAAAGGTGTTTTGTGGTGAACATTCTAGTACATTCAACTTCTCCATATTGATAAGATTTGCTATTTATGTTGCACAAAATGTCACGGATTAAAATAAAATATATTCCAGCTTAAGAATCCCTCTTTCTGTCCAGAAAATCAAGAGTTTTGATGACTACTAATCTATCCATATGTAAATATTTGGGTAGTTTAAAATAGTATTTTAGTCTATTTTAAATGGCTTTGCTTTAGGAGATGCCTAAAGCACATTTCTATTCTGGTGGCTTTGAAAAATCCTAATTGGAAAAATGATGTAATTTTCATCTAAGAGAATAAACTGTGTCTCATCCAAGCAGGAGTCAAAACCCCACGTCCTTTTTTTTTTTTTTTTTAATACATGGAGGCCCCTGAAAGTTAGAATAAGGCAGAAAAACCATGTAAAATTATGATGTTGCATTTTGATAGAAAACGTGTACTTCACTCCAATCCCTGGCCTGGTCATTGGGTTGAGACATTGAGTGGAGTACACTGTGTTTCTACCAAAATTATTTCACAATTTCACTTGTTATTTTTGTAACAATTACCAAAGCTCATGATTCTTACATTGCATAGCCCTAATGAACATTTTCCCATTGTTTTTTCCACCCTCCTATTCCTTGCATGTTTGCAGAAGTTTTAGTGGATGCCAAATGTTGTTCTTGAGCAAGTTTGTTTATTTAGTCATTTTTCCTTTCAAGAGAATCTATTGATACCCACAGTATTTCAAATCATAATGTAGGGCCTGGGATATAGTAGTGAATGAAACAAAGTTCCGACTCTCCTGAAACTTATATTCTGGTAAGGGGAAACATGACATTCACAAACACATAAATAATCATATATGGTATCGTGTCCTATGAAAAATTAGGGTAAGAGGATAGGTATGAAGGAAGATTGGGGCAGTTCAGAAAGACCTCTGTCACAGCTCAGCAGAGACCCAAGGGAATGGGGCAGCCAGACATGCGACTCTCCAGGTTCCAAGTGCTCCAGGCAGAGGGGAAAGCAAGGGCAAAATCCCTGAGGAAAGGGGGTGCTTGGTGAATATGAAGAACTGTCAAGAAGCCAGTGTGCCTGGAACAGAGTGAATAGGAGCAAGACAGAGTAGTAGAAAATGAAGCAAGAGGTAGCCAGGCCAGAGCACTTAGGAACTAACAGGATTTACCTGAATAAGTGGGAACTGGGTGACTTTGAGAAGAGGAAGGTCACGTCTCTTTTCCTTTTAGAAGAATCTCGCAGGCTGGTGTAGGTAGTATACTGTGCAAGGGCGAAGGGGAGGTAGGGGGGCAGCTAGAGGTTACAGTTCAGACAAGAGATCATAGTGGCTTAGGAAGGGTTACTGCAGGGCCATGGTGTATGATGGTACAGGTTGTTCGCTACCCAAAGGCATCTGGCTTTTCTCATCAAGCCAGGGGTTGTGCCAGCCAAAAGGAAAAGCTATCTTTTTCTAATTGGCATCCCAGAGTGGGGGTTTTTCTACAATTCATCTGTCTTTTGCTAAATTGCATGCTGGTGCTAAAAGTATGTACTAGCAATGGTGCTGATGGGTCACAGTAGAGATAAGTGGGAAGTGGTCTTATTAAGGATATATTTGAAGAATAAAGCCAATGGGATTTGCCGATAAAGTAACACATAAACAACTCAATTAATAAATTAATGAATTAAGTTCATCAATATCTGGGACCTCTGTCACTCCTCCTTGTTGCAGGTGGGTTCCCTAGAAGCAAACCCCAAGGAGATTAGCAAGTAGGAAGTTTATGAGAGGGTGCTCCTGGGATCAACACCTGAGGAAGAGAAAGGGAAGAATCAGGACTGGACAGAGGTAGAAATTGTGTGGCAATGCAACCTCAGTGAAGGCCTCAGCCTACTTCATGGATGTTCTAGCTCCGGGATGACACTTTTGTGTTTTTCCAAGTCGGGGAAAGAGGGTTAAACCCTGTGTCTAGTATCCAGAAAAAGGCATGTGATCTTGGATGTGCCAGCTATTTTCACTGAAGGCATTCCCCAGAGAGGGCTGACCAGGGGAGGCTGCTTTCCAGTGGCTGTCCCACCATCTGGAGTAATAAGCCCTTCAGTCCTGAAGAGGGATCTGCAGCACAGCATCTCCACATCCCATGGAGGGACACTCCCTGTCCCTCATCTGTGGCATAGATATTGTCAGGATACTCTTTTCTGCTTGCTCAGATACAGCTTCCAGTAGATTTCCGGGCAGCTACCAACAATCCCATCAAATGGCTCTGCAGTGGAACTCATTTACCTTACACATTTTAGGAAAAAGGTTGCCCATATCCCTACCTTCAGCAAAGTTATCAAGTACAGGACAAAAAGTGTACAGTGAGCAAAAAGTAATTGATTCCAAGCTCTTTCATCTGAAAAGGAGCTCAGGTGATCCTAGGGGCCAGTCATTGGCTGGTATGATCTTACATGTGTTTATTATCTAAGGATAGGATCTTTCAGTTCGGTGATGTAAGTGGGAGATGCAGCTCATTTGGATAATTTAAGAAAATCACATTGTTTATGAGGAAAACATCTCTTAGACACTCTTTCTAGGTGCAATAGGCCTGCCTGCCAGTATGGCCCACCAGTGTGGTGTTGCCATGACAAAAACTCCTCATTGAGTCACTAGATCAGAGAAGCAGACCTCAGTGTGCCACCTTGGGCAGCCCCATGCAGGTCTGAATGTGCTGAGCCATGTGATCTTATACAAGGACTTGTCTACATTTTATTTTCAACATCTTTAAAATGAAGAGAATCCCTAATCTGTGTATCCCATAAAGAGTCCTGTGTGGCTCAAATGAACTCGTCTGAGCTGATACAAATTACAAACTTTAAAGCATGCTACCATCGTGAGCTGGTATAGGACTTATAAAGAGAATCCAGAGAAGAGTTAAGCTTGATGGTTTTGACATCTCAAAAGTATGAGAGACTATAAAAATATTTATTTTGGTTAGCTTGTGAAATAGGCAAAGGGCTATTTTATGAGTATTCTGGGCACAGATGCTACTTCTTAAAAGGCACGATAATCACTCTGCATCTAGAGTAGCCTGTATTTGAGGCACAGCCTGGAGTTGGGGATCAAGTGCAACAGCATTTATTGAGCACCTCCTCTGTGGGGGTAGGGAGCACTGGGCTGGATAGGATTCAATGACAGTGGAGGCAGGGACCTTTTCTTCAAAAGACTAAAAGCCAATAGGGGGCCAGGTACAGTGGCTCATGCCTGTAATCCCAGGACTTTGGGAGGCCATGGTGGGTAGATCACTTGAGGTAGGAGTTTGAGACCAGCCTGGCCAACACAGTGAAACCCCATCTCTACTAAAAATACAACAACAACAACAAATTAGCCGGGCGTGGTGGCAGGCACCTGTAATCCTAGCTACTCGGGAGGCTGAGGCAGGAGAATTGCTTGAACCCGGGAGGCAGAGGTTGCAGTGAGATCGCACCACTGCATTCCAGCCTGGTTGACAGAGTGAGACTCCCTCCATCACAAAAAAAAAAAAAAAAAAAGGCAATAGGGAACAGGAAACAAACATCTAAATTCCAGGACAAATGTGATATGTGCAACAGGACAGATACAAGCATGTCTCCAGGTCCAAAGAACGGAAGAGTTTTATTAGGGGACAGAGGACAGCAGAAAAGTTTTCTTAAAGAGGTAGACATTACAATGCTGTAATGAATGGGTATGATTTAAAAGTTAGGTAAAGCAAGGCAGATATAAGGCAAAGCCTCAAAAATAGGTAACAAAATTTATTCCAATGAAAGAATGGTTCAATGTGATTGCAGCAAACAACAGTGTGGAAGAATTTGCTATTGCTTGGAAGGGGCAGAACCCGGTAGAAGGATTGTGTGTGCACAAGAGAGGAATAAGCTGAGGAAACCCGAGATTCAGCCTTGGCTTATGAATCCCCTGGACAGTACCTTCTCTTTCTGTCACAGATTTTTCATCTCATGTGTGCCATTTCAGTTGCATGCACACCAAAAGAGTTATTATTCTTGTTGTTCCTGTTTTGTTTTTCTGTTAACATAGTTATTACTTTCCTGGTCAAGTGTAAAGAGCCACATGATTATTAATAGTAATTATATTTATTATAGCCACAGGTATTTTAAGTGTTTCTCAAATTATAGCACAACTTTCTTATGCAGCTGTTATCTCCACCTGCTTTGTTGGCTAACGTAATGTTAACATAAGCCTCAGGAGCCTCAAAGTTTTTGTGTATCAAACAGCCAAGGCTTGTCATTGTAAACACTTTATAGACGATAGGGTCAAAAGCAAATTTTTAAATATGCATAGTCTTTGGATAATTTATTTAGAATAGGATACCTGATAAGTTTTAACATTGAAAGCTACTTTGTTCCTTAATGGCTAGTAGAGGCTAAAAATAGTCCAAAGTTTGTTTCAAAATAGAAAAGGGAAAAGGTTCCAACTCCTGAGATGGAGAACTTTTTGAAGATGATTGTCAATATTTAGCATTGGTCCCTATCCACACTTTAGCACCTGGGAGGGAATGGCTTTGCTTTCTGGAATTTCTTGCTCCTGAAGAGTTACAGGAAGAGTTGGAGAAGAATTTCAGCCAGAAACATTTGTTCTTTTGGTTGTTCTCGCCTTGTTTCCTAGGACATCGTTTTCATGTCAGCATGATCTTGGCTGAAGAAGAATTTATTCCTCTTGACATATTCCTCAACTAAGAATAACAGTCTCAATGTGTCTTTTTGCAACCCTGCCTGAAACTGCTCCAAGATCCCACTCAGGGGGAGGTGTTTGCAAAAGGGATGAGCTGAACTTTGGAAATAGCGTAGGGTGAGTGAGGTTGTATTTTCACTGTGCATTGTTAGAAACCAACATACTATGTGGGAGATTCACTAATACCTAAATCCTTCCTTGGCCAGTAACTCTGTGATTTCTTGAGCTTCCTAAGAAATATCCAGGCACAAAATGGGCATGGGCCTGACTGCTCCTTGGGAGGAGAAAAAGCAAGGTCTATCTTTATCCTATGGAAGACTGGTCCTGGACCTTTTCACTCCAGGCATGTGGAAAGAGAAAGAGAAAAAGGCTAACTCCATGTGGCCTTATAGACTTTTTAGCTCCACTGCTAAGAAAAGAAAATTTGGCTCAGTCCTTATCAACAGTTTGAGGAATCACCCTCTTTTTTGGAGAGCGGAGTTTCCTTATCTTAATCTGAGCCTATTGTTTTAAAGAAGTAAGGTAAAAGGTAGGGAGTTTGAGCCATCAGCTCTACAAAACCCCACTCACTGCAATGTAGTATAAATATCTGTAGGTGTTGAGCAACATCCAGAGATTTGCATCATTGAATATGCATGGCTAAGCACATAGTAGGTGTTCAGTAACTTCCTACTAATTGAATGTTTGATTGATTAGAGAGACAAGAAGATCTTATAACAATATATTTCATCTATGATATAGTCTTGTGGCCTGCAAGTTGAGTACTGAATTATATTCAAACTTCAGTCTATTTTGGGTCCATCTTTATAGGTATTGATTTGTCATAGATCCTTGCCTACTGTACTTACTGTCTTATCCCATTTCTTATTTGCCTATTTTCCTACATATATTCTATAGCAGAATATATTTTTCTGCCATTTCTACAGTCAATTTTTTCCTCCCTCCTTTTTAAGGTAAATATTCTGAGATATAAATATATAACATCACTAAAAAGTATTTCGATAAATAGTGTTGCTATTTGCAAGGCCTTCAAAAAATCATGATCAATTAAATATTTGCATATCAATGGTCATTTATTTATACTAACCTTTTAATGCCAAATATCCACCGTCCAGAACTCTATAAACAGGAAATGAAAAAGGACCTAGTGGAATTCCTCCACAGACAGTTTTCAGAAGGTCAGAATGAGAGGCCTTTTTGGTACTGGTTTTGATAGAGTTAACTTGGATTGTGTTGGGTTAATAGTGTGTGCTTTACCATATGTTTTAAGTATCTATTCCTTGTAAGGAAGACCAACCGTGAGATGAAGGAAAACTCGAGAGTAGTACTTGATTTACGTAAGATGTCATAGTTTCCTTTCACAAATCAGAAAATTCCCTGATTGAAGAGTCTGTGCTACAGCCCAGGGGTTCCAGAATTCAGAATTTACTCTATTTTTTTTCCATGCAAGTAGAAATAATTAGCTAAGGAACCAAGCATGAATCATAAGTCTAGGGTTTTGGTGAAAATATTTTTATGATCTTCTAATTTCGTAGGATTGAAATGACTGCTTATTTAACTTCTCTGAGCTGAATTGTCATATGCCTTACTTATTTCCCTGGATTGTGGTGAGGTTAATGAAGGCGGTGGAGACACAAAGTGTTTTGTGAACCTTAATATTCTATACATACGTGAGGTGTTATTTTTATTCTTATCAGTAAGATAAAGCCAAAGAAAGAGTTTGCATCATACAGCCTTTGGGTAATTTTTTACTTCTGCAGTGGTTGAAAGCATTTCCATTTGGGGAGTTGATGAGAAAGAGTATCAACAGCCAGCAATTCTGGAGAGAATGCACACAGACAATATTTAAAAAAAATTAATAAGTTGGGGGGCAGAGGGAGAGCACGTGAGCTTGGAGAATATTACTTATGAATAGATGAACAAAGGCTGAAGGAAGGGACCAAAAATGAAATTGGCGTTTCTCTTTAATTTACCTAAAAGTTTCTGGAAGCATATTACAAGTACATTACAAAATACAATATGAAGGAGGTAACTTGAGAGGCTGAATTTTAAAATTCAAATGTAAAATGTTTAAAAGAGCCCTCGTTTAGACTATTTGAGGTACTGCTCAGTATTAAAACCTTATCGAGTTTATTAAAGATCAGCTGTCAATTAAGTAGATGTTATCAATATGACTGACAATAATAATTTCAGATTTATTTATTATTAGAAAGTCTTTAGTGTTTTGGTAATTTGGGGAAGGTAGAAGATACTGACCCTCACCTAGTTTATTTTGTTTTAAATTCTGATGTAAAGTACAATGTATCATGTTTTCCTGACCATCAGTGTCACCTCAGCATAACCCGGGAGGTGCTCAAATAAATGTGGTTCACCATGATCACCAGTCCCACTGTGGGGTGACTGATCTGCCTAAAGCCCAAGTTTCCAATGAGTACATTCCTGAGTCTGGCTGAGGCTTCTTTCCTCAAGGTAAGAACTCAAGAATTCATCCTGAATTCTAGTCCTTTCCAACATAGATTACAAATGCTCTTAATTTTAGAATGGTGATACTGTATCTAATAGAATAATAGTAGTAGCTTTATACTTATCAATGTTTTCTATATACCAGCCATAATTCATTGAATCCTCACAACAAATCTATGAGCTGGACATTGGTATTATTATTATCCCCACCGATAGATGAGGAAATGGTGGCACGGTGAAAAAAGTTAAGTAACTTGCCCAGGCTATATTGAGTTGAATTTGAATCTAGGGAGTGTGGATTCTTCACCATGAGACTGTATTGTCTCTTTGAGCTAAATAATTGTGTCTATCTCTGCCATTTAAGAAAAGAAAAGGTTAAGACAAAAAAAAGTACACTAAAAATTAAAGGCAAAAAAAGCAAATTTTTTTTAAAAAAAGATGAAAACACATTTTCATTCTATTTTTTTTTCTTATTTGGAGACAGAGTCTCGCTCTGTCCACTGGAGTGCAGTGGTGCAATCTCGGCTCACTGCAACCTCCGCCTGCCAGGTTCAAGCGATTCTCCTGCTTCAGCCTCCCGAGTAGCTGGGATTACAGGCATGTGCCACCACACCAGCTAATTTTTGTATTTTTAGTAGAGATGGAGTTTCACCATGTTGGCCAGGCTAGTCGCAAATTCCTGACCTCAAGTGATCCCCCACCTTGGCCTCCCAAAGTGCTGGGATTACAGGTGTGAGCCACTGAATCCAGCCTATTATTTCTATTTAAGATGCAACAGAGATTTGTGTAAGGAAATGACAAATAGGCAGTGCAAGTAAAGCTTACATATCTGCAAATGTCTTGCCAAGCTTAAATATCTGAAAATACGTGGTTTAAAAGGAAGAAGGCTTTCACTTCTGATAAGCCAAGTTTGTTTTAATTTGTGGTACTTGTACATCTTGTACCTGAAGAGCACTGAATATTTATAATAAAGGTTCCTAGTTGTTTTAAAACCAAAACAAAAATAAGAGCTGGTGTAGGGGCTGATTCATCCCAAGAGGAAATTCTTGTGGAGTGGACTCTCACTTTATCTTGTCCAGATTCCTGAATGGTCACTTCAAATGTCAATGTGATCTCTGCAGCTTGGATACCTCTCCTTAAGCTACTAAAGGGTCTCATGAACTCTGGGTTTTGGCCGAGGACATTGAAAAGACTAGTTGGAAAAAACTACCATTCTGCAGTGATTCATAGGCAGTATGCTAGCAGCTTTCAAATAATGTGAATTATATACAGGATCCTAGCAATTTTCAAATAGTGATCAAGTAAAAGTTGTTGATGGTTCTGGTATAAACCATGAATCTCATCTCACCAAGACGAGTGCTGGGAAGGAAGGGGTTAGAGTTTCTCTCCTGGCCTGGCCACAAGCCCCTTCTCTCATCATTCCAGTCCTGATGGTGTCTTATCCATGTTTGTCTCTTCTACATCTTACATTGGTCTTAACAGTGCCTGTGATTACTTCAACATGTAAACAGCCAAAGAGAACTCTGTCTGCAGCTGTTCAAAGCTCTGTCCTCCAGCCATGTTTCTTAAACTCTTGGGGTCATGAGCCCTTTTGAGAATCTGATGAAAGCCATGGATTCTCTCCCCAGAAAAACAGACATGTAATAGTTTGTGTATGATGTCATGAACCTCTGGAATCAAATCCTCTACCCCAGGGTAAGAACCCTGCCCTTAATAGCTTTAAATGAAAGGATGCTGTTTGACATCCAGGCTCCTTCTAACTCATGCTTAGCCATTCCTAAGTGTGGCCCTTATCCTCATGGTCTCAGGCAGTGGCAAATTCTCCATCTATTATGAATGTATTTCAGGCAAGAAGATGGAAAGTAAAGATAATTTTTAAGGGCATTTCCTACAAGATGCACTTAAAACTTATGCAACTTTTAAGGTTCCATGGGCATGTGACTGCTGCAGTGAAAAGCAGACAGTTAAACCATTTTGAAATTCTTAAGAGATGTATGTTTGAGTCTGTTCTGTAACTGAAATCCAAGGGGACAATGGGGCATGTGCAAACAAAGTGGGCAATACCCTGAGGGTAAGTGGCTCTCTCACCTGGATGCCTCACCTGTCCCAGTGTGCAGAGGCTGCAGTACCCTTAAAGGTCACTGTCTGCAGGGGGTTGGGACAGCAAGACGGTAGGCAGAGGAGATGCCTGGCTTGCTTTCCCAGCCGCCACCAAGGCACTGAATACAGAGCTGGCATGTGGCAGGATGGGGAACCCAGAAGAAAACCCCAGAGGCTGTGTTTCACTGAGTCGCCAAAGTGAGGGACTCCTCTTGCCTGACAAGTGTCTGTGCGCTTGAGGGAGCAACATAACATGGCAAATAAAAATCATCATGACAGGTCAAGAGAGAGATCCTGGAAGTAATGAAAAAGCTTTATATTTAATACTGTTAACAGCACCCTTTTCCTACTTTTTCAGCAAAGAGCCCTGCATTTTCTTTTTGCATGGATCCCTTGAATTATGTAGCCTGTCTTGCTCTCTCTCACTGGCCAGCCACAAAGAGCTGCAAAGAATGCTGAAAAATACAGTGTTTATTCTAGTGGATGTGCCCAGCCAAAATCAGGAGTTCTGTTACCATGGAAGATGGGGAAAATTGATATTGAGGTTGATAGCTAGCAGTTTCTACCACATAAGAAGAAACCACCCATTATTGAAAGTGTTTACAACGTTTAGCTCACTGAATCCTAAAAGCAATAATACTATTAGCCCTAGTTTACAGACAAAACAACAGCACACAGAGATGAAGTAACTTGCCCCAGAGCACACATCTAGCAAGCAATGAAGCCATGGTTCAAACCTGGGCAGTATGGATTTCAAATCCAGGACCCTAACCCCTGCAACAGCACCACCTTTGCAGCTCAGCCTGCAAAACCCACAGCTGTGATTCGGCAGGGATGTTCTAGCCTCTGAATCCCTTATAAAAACATTGGTCATGAAATCACCTGCACCAGAATCGCTACAATATTTGTTTAAAATGCAGTTTCCCAGGCTTTAAGCCAGGCTACCAGATCAGAATATCTGCAGGTGGATTATAAGGATCTTCATTTTAAACAAACTCCCTCTGGTGATTTTTAGACACTTTAGGAAATATTACTTAAAAGTTTTAAGGTACAATAAACTTCCTGGGTTGAGGATTGTGTGGGAAGCCGTGAGGAAACAGACATTTATATTAGCACATTGATGGCAAGAAAGCAACAGTTTACAACCCAATGAGGGGGAACGTGGCAATGTCTACCAAGATTACAGATGCATTGGCCCTGGGATGCAGCAGTCCCACTTCCAGAAATCTAGCCTACAACTACAATTACATGTGTATGAAATGTACAAAGTTACTCATAGTGGCATTATTGACACCAGCAAAATATTGTAAGCACCCCAAGTGTCTAGCAAAGGAGACCAGGATGAGCCCATCCATGTAGTGGCACACTGTGCTGCTGTCTGGAAGAATGCAGGCAATCACTAAGTACTGATGGAGGGAAATCTTCAGCACATGTTGCAAAGGGAAAATATAAGATATGTAACAGTGTCCCTGGACATGCAGGCAAGAGAATTCCCTCTCACCAGGAACAGTGTGCTCCCGAAAATGTCCAGTGACGTTACAAAGGCTGAGTCTCAGGGCTGCGATGGCAGGTGGGGGCAGTTGAGTCAGCTCTGGCCCCTTTTCCTAAGCCCTGAGCTGTTGAAGGCTCCCTGATAGCTGTCTTTAAAATTAATGGAGGGGCTGGGTGTGGTGGCTCACGCCTGTAATCCCAGCACTTTGGGAGGCTGAGGCGGGCAGATCACGAGGTCAGGAGTTCAAGACCAGACTAGCCAACATAGCAAAACCCCGTCTTTACTAAAAATACAAAATTTAGCCGAGTGTGGTGGCAGGCACCTGTAGTTTCAGCTACTCAGGAGACTGAGGCAGGAGAATTGCTGGAATAGGGGTGGCAGAGGTTGCAGTGAGCCAAGGTCACACTAGTGCACTTCAACCTGGGCAATAGCATGAGACTCTGCCTCAAAAAAAAAAAAAAATTAATGGCGGTACTTAGGGCCTCTCTTCCCTAGGCAATGGATCCTGTTCACCAATTTGGTGGCAAAGAAAAACGTCTTATTCCATCCCTTTAGAGATGGTAAACCTAGATTTGGAGTGTAGAATGATTCTGAGATGGCACTGACTTCTTCATCCTTTTCAATTGGAAAACATGCTGCCTCAGTCCTAGACTGGATTGTTTTGGGGAACAAACTTTTTTTAAAGTGTTTTGGAGGATTGGTGCTCTTCTTCCGACTCTGTATGATGCCTCTCTCCTCTTGAATTTGGATCACTTGCTTGTGGTAGAATGTTTTATTTTGTACTCTAGAGAATGCTTATACTCTTGAGTGGAAACATGAGGGAGTTTCAATAACAGATTGTTCTCTAAAAATAGTCCCTTCAGCCTTTCCTATTAAACTAGGTGTCAAGGCTCAGGGTTAGCAAAGCAGTTTGTTAGAGCAAAAGCAGCACAGAGCGTTCCCTTGGAGATTGTCATATATGGCTGTGAAACTCCAGGAAGGCAGACCTTAGAATTCTTCACAAGTTAGAGGAGAGAAACCCAAATGCCAGGTCACTCTTTTTCTTTACTTAAATAATATGTCAGCATCAGGAAGTAGTTTAAATAATAGACGATCTGTTAGCACAATGAAAACCCTGTCATCTTCCTGTGTTTGGGGCCTGGATTAATTTATTCTAGGTTCTCTTATGGTTAGTAGTGGCTCCAGAATGTGGCGAGGGCTTGAGGCTATGTTTTCACAGACTTTTTGTAAGACTGAAAAAGTATAAATTGATCACGTCAAAGAATGAAGGAGTAGCTGATACGCAACAGAGGTGAAACCCTCCTTCTTCCTCCCTTCCTCTTGACACTTTAATTGTTCTAACTTGGTGGATGATTCTCATCATAAAGGCCCAAGGTTATATCCAAGGTTAAACTGGACCAGCGATGTCCAATAGAGCTTTCTGTGATAATAGAAATGTTGGGTACCTGGGCTGTTCTGTACTATAGCTGCTTGCCCAATGGGGCTATTGAGCAGTAGAGATGTGGCTGGTATGACTGAGAAACAAAATGTTTAATTTTATTTCCTTTCAGTTAGTTTAAATGTAAATAGCCACATTTAAATGGCTAGTGGCTGACATTTAGACAGCATGGCTCCATGATGCATGGAATAGGCATCAGGAATTATAATTTCTGAACTCTACCTTCATGAGAAATTGAGATGATGGTAGTGTCATGTTAGTGCTGTATGCATCACATGCCCATCTTAGAGAATAGTTATCATTGACCCTTGCTTCCTCTTTGGATGTTCTGAGGGGTGCAGGCCATTTGGACTTTCTTATTGGTTTTCATGAACCAGAGATGTCAATGCCAAGCCTTTCTTGACTGTGTTGGTCCATTTGCAAGAAACAAAGCAGGGATTCAGTCCAGGAGAGGCAAGCTAGTATGAAAGCCCAGCCCAAACAACAAAAGGTGTGAAGTTACAACACTGCACTGCATGTGATATTCACAGGTAAGAAAATTTCATTTGTATGTATGTGTCCCTTGAAACTCAGAATCAATTAATTAATTTCAGAGACTTCACTCTACCATTCCTACTTATAATTTTTATTAGGAAGTCAATTCCACCATTCCTACTTATAATTTTTATTAGGAAATAGAAAAAAAACTGCTATAGTGCACAATGTGTGAGATCATGACAATTAGGGGTTCATTTGCTTTTGCAAAATCATCTTGAATGCAGGATGGATATCCAAGGTGACTCTGTAAGAGCACACACCATTTAATCTGTGTATCTTACTAACCTTAAATCAATCTGATAACTCCCTCTTACCCCGTTTCTCTCCTTCAGAATGTTCATGTTTTACCTTAGGCCCCTTCAGTGGTATTTTTCAAAGTGCCCACATAATGTTTTATGCTACGTCAACCTAAAGTGAAGAGGCTGAGGCACAAAATATAATTTAAACGTTTCACAAGCCAAGTGAGGACAGCTGCCCAGAAGACTCAGACTCAAGCAACCTTGGGTATGAGCTCCATTGACCTTTGTTATAAGCAAGTTTTTAAAGGTGAAGAAAGGGGACACGGAGTGAACTAACACAAAGTTAGGAATTCTTATTGGTTTACAAAAACAATGTTGATTAGTGATTGGCTATATACATTGTTAAGGTATAGGGTGTGGGTTGTAGTACCCTGTGTAGCATGATTAGGTTAATTTATAGCTATCTGGGCAATAGCAAGCAGTTTCAAGACATGAAAACATAGCTCAAAGCCGGGAGTAGGATGTAATTGCTACCTCCTTTTAATATCTCTCTGGACCTGAAAATTTTAAAGGATTTGCGTTCCTCCAATGAAAATTCTTTTCTTTTCTCAGCTGTTAATTAAGAAACAATGGGTAGCCAAGCCTATCATGCAAGCTGCCATGTCCTGCCAACAAAAATCCTCATCCCCAGGCCTCGCACACTCAGAATTATTGCCCTCCTTCCCTTAGGAATTCTACCTCCTTAGGAAGTGGGGATGTTGGATGGCCCACAGCAAACCCAGCCTGCTTCAGGTGACCAGCTCCAATTGATCTTTACTTCACAAACTGTCCATCTGAGAATCCCAAGACCTCAGGGTTAGCACAGAGGGAGCCATCTTCTGGAATTTGTCTTCACTCCAGCCTCCCCCTAGCTAGTGTGTTTTGTTGTCAAGACACCCAACTGGGTCACCAACTCCTGGCCTCTGATGCACACTCATTGGTAATAAACCATGCTCTACCTGACCCTCCACCCCAAGGGGAAGCCCTGAGATGCTATAGATGACTATTGGCTCACTTACCGTGCATTATTAGCAGAGCTCCCAAAAGAATGAATCTCACTGGCACAGACTGTTGTGTACAAGTATGGATCTAGGATGATTTTCTGATGTTGAGACACAGAAGCTCTCAAAGGGCTTATTCAAGGAACAAATTCATGACATTATAAACTGCTATAAGAATGACCTTAACTATTCTCTCCTACTGAGTGAGCCACCCAGCAGAGCACCATGAGTATAAACAGCCCTAGACTGTCAGATCTTATTGTTTTGTTGATGAGCACACATGGTCCTTAAGCATACAGTGTGGGTGGTCTGCTGGGGGGTTATGAATCAAAGCCAAGGGGGTTTGCTTTCTGGTCAGCCTCCATGAGTTATTTGTGAGCACTGGACTAATTGCTTCTAAACTGCACATGTAATGGCCACTTCTGAGTTTTTGATAGGAAAATGGCTACTTGTTTATTCTCAGATGTCATAATAAATCTGTCCTTTGCAAACCAGAGACCCAGCATGAACACATGAATGGGTGAGTTTCAGAGGACTTCCCTGGGATCCACAGCTCACTGTGCAACCTTGCAGAAGTTGTTTGACAGGTGTGCCTTCGGCCTGTCCCCAACATAAGCAAAACACACCTGCCCTTTATCTGGCTGAGTGGGAGCATGTGCAGCTGCAGTCGATTAAAACTGAATGAAAGTTTGTCTGCAAACAGAGCTTCTTGGTGGTTAGATGTTGTGTAATTACAAGTGTTATTGCAAAATACTATTCTTATTTACTTTGTGTATGTTGAAACACTTTAAATGTATCATTCATTTTGTAGGGCAGATAGTATTTTCTCCATCTCCTGTTTTTGCTTTAATACACTATTGGTTATTTTAAATGACCAAACCATTCATGCCTTTATGACCATTCAAATAATACAGAATATGGGGGATAAATGACTAATTAATAGATTAATAGTCTTCCTCTTCCCATCTCCTCGAGGTAGCTAATATTATCAAAGCAGCGTGCTGCATGCATCTTTCCACAATCACTCTATGTATGTAGAAACATTATTTTTAAAGCTTATGAAAGTGTACCTATGTTTTTATATGCTGTAGCACTATACATGTATGTGTACATATATCCACACACATTCATGCATGTGACATTTCCAAGTCTATAGAGATCTGCACATTCATACATGTGACATTTCCAGGTCAACAGCGATCTAACTCATTATTTTAAATAGTTGCCTAACAGTCTGTAATATGGATCATAATCTATTTAATCATTTTCCTGTTGCTGGAAATTTTTATTTTTATTTTTTACCTTAAGGTCCTCTGTTAAGAAAAAAGGAAGAAAAAAGTGCCTTGCTCTGCAGTGGTGGGGTTTGCAGGGGCAGTTGGTTGGGCCGTGTGTGTATTTGGGAGTATTGTTTGTTTACACAGTCAGTTTCCTAGGTTTCCATGTGTCATTGCCAATCTGTGTTGAGTTAGCGGCCAACAGCTCTTCCTAAACCACGTCTTGTGGCCAAGTGCAAACTGAACATCGAGGAATGGAAAATATTGCAGAGTTTCTAAATGGTCAGGAAGGTTTTAATCCCCAAACAGGTCTAGTTCCTATTTTGTGAAAAACAGTGTGGAAACACCTAATTTTTAAAAATCCTCCACTGTCAAATGAAGAGAGATTTGGGGTTACTGGTCCGGTTAGGTGCCCTGACTCAGGCATCCCTGGAACATAATACTTCCACAGTAGACTGTCAGCTCACTGAGGTAGGCCCTTTGATGTGTTTTTGTTTTCTGCCTGGCATAAAGTAGGCACTTAATAATAAATGTTTGTTGAGCCAAATGGTTTACATAGGGCTGAAAATTACCTTTTTTTGTTTGATTTTTGAGAGTCTGGCTGAAGAGAGACTGTCAGCTGTTTGTTTGACACAAAGGAGAGAGCTTGATGGGACAGGGAAGGGGAAGAAGGGCAGGCCAGGAGTAAGATTTAATTTGGGAGTAGGCAGGGAAGAGGAAAATGAGGTAATGTGGTTTGGTCTAGTGATAGATGATAAGTCAGATCTTGAGGATGTTTATCTTGGGCTCAAGAGCAATGGAAAGCCACAAGAACCGTCCTGGAGGGGGAGGGAATGTCCAAATCTGTGAGTGGAGAGCTGACTTAGGCTTTGAATGTGTCATTGTAATTGATGACCAGGGAGGCACTGTCCTCTCCTGCCCCTTGCTTGGGATGAGTTTGTTATACCTTATTTTTATAGTCCTGCCAGGTCTCCATGCACCAAAGCATATTCAGAACAGCAGAAACAAAACTTTAATGTTTCGTATTATGAGTTTGTCTGTAGTATGGTTTGTGTGTGTGTACATACCACACATTTCCACAGATAGACCAACACAAGTAAAATTAGGGGATATTAAAAAACCCTTCAAAAACAATGAAACTGCCTTACAAATTCTCAGTCTTCTCCAGACTTCTCTGAAGAACTCAAGACTTCTCTTGAAGTCTTGGTGTCTTCGAGAGACTTTTAACCAATCTCCCAAAGAGTGTAGAAGCTTGTGGATAGATTCAGCAAATTGAAGGTCCCATAGTCATCATATGAGCTAGCCCCAGGCTCAATCCACTAAGCGAAAGAAATTTCATGAGATCTTTTTTTTTCTGGAGGCCCCCTGAGGCCATTACTTCCTCCTGGGAATATCTAAGGAAGCTAACCAATTACAATCAAATCACCTAATTCTTACCCGTCACCTACTGTGCCTATGCCAGATGTTCTTACCTGTGATAATCTTATTTCCAATAAAAATAAAAGACACCCTGCCTGGACAGAACAGACTGTCACAGCTCCAGTGTCATCCACAAGATGAGTGTGGCTTAGGCCTGTGGGGCAGGGAAAATAAAAGAGAAGAAACAAATGCATACAGGAATTTCCATCTTGCTTCTTGATACAGACTGTGAAGTGTTAGGATATACAGAATGTGGCTGAGTCCATGAGTTTACAACCAGCCTGGGCAACATAGCAAGACCCTGTCTCTATAAATAAATAAATAAATGATATAGAGAACATGGAATAATAATATCCTCTTAAATGATTGCTGGGGAGCTCAGATAAGATGGTGTGGGTAACAGCCCTTATGTAAGCTACAGAAATCTCTATGAATTATAGTTGTTCTGGAAATGTCAAATTCATTAGGTAAAAAAACTCTTTTAAAAAAGGCATCTTCAAAAGCCAAGCTTCAGTCTAATATAATTTGCCCATGGAAGTAAGTCTGTAATTCACATATTTAAAAAGTGAATGAAAGGATGGTCTTTCATTTAATATCACTAGTTTTTTATGCTTTTACTCAATTGTTCCTAGTTTGGAGTGCTATCATCTTCTAACCTCTGCAAGACTATTGGGGTATTTTTAAATATATATATCCTCTACCTTATAATCCGATAAATTAAAGAAGTGGCTGGACTTCTTATCTGAAAGGAAAGTCAGGTGTGATTACAGCCTTATGTCCAGAAAGCCTGCTACAAGTGACTAGCCCAGGTTTGGGTCTGTTTCTGGCATAATTACTGTTGGAGGGCTGATGAGAGAAAAGTGTCAATCATGGAAGTTACTTGCCTTTGAAGAGAGGCAATTCCTTGTTCTTTCAGACCTGCAAGCTTAAGGAGCAACTTCCTCTATCTGGTTCACTCTTGGCGCATAATACAATGCCACCTGCAAGTCAGAACTTTCTAATAAATGCCTCTCCCCCACTACATTGTCCAAAAGGAATGTTGAAAATGTAAAAAAAATTAAGATACAATGGAAATATTCTAGAAGACACTACCTATCATCTGTAAAATTTCAAAGCATGTTTAGCGCCTAGCATCTCCTGCTAAAGATGGAAAAAACAAAAAGGAATCATAGGACATTTTATTTTATAAGTAAAATCAGAAGGCATAATAGCCAACCTGGCCAACTTTTGAAAACTGTGGAAGGCAGCAGTGGCTGCTATTGTCTCATTTTCAGATATGAATGGGTGGTTTGCCCACTGTTGCCCTCCCTTCTCTCTTTATATTGTACCACTGATGTTTAGCAGTACTATAATAAATCAATATTTTCATTTTACAGTGTATATCTATGGGATTCTCTCATTTTCATTTTTTAAAGTTATATTTGTTTTGTACTAGAGTTTTGGAAAATAGTTCATATATCGTTGCTTTTATTAAAAAAAAAGTGTTGCTCATTCTATAGCTAAAGCAATTAAGGGATCCATAGTTCAGTGAAAATTTTTTTTGCATGGATATAATATGTCTCCTAAGCCAAAGCAAGTCCTGTCCAATCCACCACTTATGACAATCTATTCTGTATAAAAGCAATAAGTCACATGTCAGAAGGGAGTTGTAACTGAAGAGAAGGATGGCACTTCTCACTGAAAGAAGCCAGAGAGCTCCAGGTCAGGCACTGCATTCCATTCCCTTGGCTGTGTTCCTCTTTGCATGCTTACGCATGATTTCTTCCTTTCTTTCTTTCTTTTTTTTTTTTTTTTAATACCTTTTATCCCAAGCCAAAGTCCAGCCTATCAGGGGCCCAAGGAAAAATAAAAAATGAATGCCCTGTAGTACTTTAAGTTTATACATATTAATGTGGGTTCAATTTGCTATTATCAAGGAGATTCTTTAGCCAGACACAATTAAATGTGAGAGGGACACAAAGAAACATCTTGCCTCAATTTCAGTAAAGATGAGCATGTCCTGGCTTTACCACTAATTAGCTAAGAGACTTAAGAATAATTGAGAGAGGGAGTTAGTTAGCCTCAATGTCTTCTCAAGTCTTTTCCAATGTTAATGTTTTGTGATCTCGAGCCATACAAAGAAACCCAACTAAGTATCACCTATGTGTTTTCTAATGTATCAACTCCTCCTTGGCATCAAAATATGTTGGAATCTTCTTCTGCTCACCTGGCACTTCTCAAAGTATATACTGTGAGGTTTCTGTGAGACGGGAGACTCATAACCCTTAAATCTCTCACTCAGGTCTTTCATGTATCTGTTTGCAGGTCTGACTTCCTATTTAGCTACCTCCTTATGTTGTATCTTGGCCATAGTCTCTGAAGAATTGTCACCCAGACAGCTCTCACTCAAGGTGACCTGACTTAAGATTGCCAGAAAAGAATAACTAATGCCATGAAAATCTGTTTTGTTTACAGCTCTATCTCCAGGGACTAGAACAGTACCTGATATAGAGTAGATGCTCAACAAATATTGCAGAATGAATGAACTCAGAGCTGGTTCCACGTCATCATGCCATGGGCTCCATATAGTCACAATCACACGCTAGATAGGTATCCCCAGTGGTTCTTTTTTCTCACCTCACCCCCTGCCTAACCTTTACTCCACTAACAATGTCTTTATTTTCCTCCCTCTGCCTGATTCCTTTCCTAGGTTAATTTTATACAAATCTTTTATTAACTTGATTAATAATCTAAATGTGCTTTCAATTCAGTGAATAAGCCATTTGGAATGAGCTTGGCTTCCCAGTTATTATGATCCACTGAAACTATAAGGCAAGTACAACCAAAGGATGTTGAGATAAATGATATATCTTTGAACTTGAATTGTTAGGCTCTACCAGTGAGGAGTCAGCTGAAGGCAACTTTTCTCCACTGGTAACAGTACGTGGCCAGAAAGGGGAAAAGTCTGGCAACAGAGGCCTGAATGAATGTCAAACCCAGGGATTTTTTAAAAATCATGAACTTTACTATATCTGAAATTGCAGTGATGGGGAAAATTAAACTTGTTTTAATATAGAATTTTATTACATCTAACAGATACATAATTTACTATATCACACTTCCTTTAATCTGTAAATATAAGTACCCAAAATAGACAATAAGAAATCAAGGGTAAACATTAAGACATTAAAGCTGCACTACAGGGCCCCTTGTCATTCACAGCAATGCTAGTCCTAGGATGATCTTCTGTTCCCAAATTAGGTGCGATAAGGCATTTGGAAAACAAATTGTCTGAAGTTTGGGAAGACGATAACTCTCCTCAGTATTACCATCAACAGCCTTTTACCGTGGGGGCATAGACACCGTCCCTAGAGTTTTAAGTCCTCCAGTGAATGCTTGTAACTTGTTCCCCTAGGCTCCTGGGACCAAGTTCATTCCATCAAGGGGTGGTGCCAACTGGGAAGTCTGGAGCTTAGAAGATTAGATTCTTTACTTCTTAGGGTCTTAGTTTTGTCAAAGTACCTCTTACCCAGGGAGCTATCCAAGGTGCTGTCTGAAACTCCTTGTCATCTGGTAAAACTGAATCTTTTTTCCCAGTGTCAACATATATTCCTGCCTAGCTTAGTCTCGCCCTCCTGACTTTGTCTAATCCTGACGCCATCTGTGTTTCCCAGTTTGGATTTGACCAGACTACTGCTTGTTTCCAAATCCTGAGATGTGTTCTGAGGCATTCATAACTTGCCCTCAACTAACCCTCTGCCTGCCTCTTGTCTTGACTCTGCCTAGTCTGACTTAACTATTGCCCTCTCCTAAGATTGATTACCCTGCCCCCCATCTGGTTTTTGTGTATCTATGGTACATGTAAGCAAAATGATAGAGATCAGAAGTTAATCAACATGAGAAATTACACCTCAAGAAATTTGCAACTTTTTATTTTTTATTAATATAAATTACCTATGTTATATATACTTTTGAAAAAATAAGCTTTCTAATGAGAAAGCACCTAGTTATACAGAGACTATAAGGAAAAATAGTTTTTTTAGTTTATTATCTTTCAACATGTTTGTTAAAGTTAATTAAATATTCAGCTACTGTTGGCAAGATTAATATTATTATTGGAGTATATATTTGCATAAAGACTTTAGTCCCATTCACAATTTTTAGTTGAAATAAAGAAAAGAAAATTGTTTTGACTATAGTGGTGGACAACAATTCTGGCAATTGGTGCTAAAATTTATTTGTTAAGATACACTTTTTAAAAATTTGAAATACTTTAAACTTGCATACAGTGTCAAAACTTGCCTTGAAGTTAATATATTTTACTGTAATGATAATTTATATTTTATAAAAATACTGTTATATGCTTTCATAAAAATTATCCTCCCATCCGATTTCCACTACAATGTGTATGTTGTCTTTATAAAGAAAAGCGAATCCATATTAATTTAGAGGACTGTGGATATACATCAGGTGTTGTGCAGTTAATTGTGAAACAAGTGCTCTTTGTTTTCTCAGCTTTTTCTACACTGTCTTGAGGAGAAACAAAAGCCTTCAAGCACACCACCCTCTGTGTTCTAGCTATGAAGAGGTTGCTTGCCTTGAGCATTGGCAGTAGTGTTTGTATTGGCATTTAAGGCAGAGCTAATGACTATTTGGAATCATCCACATTCCTTTTCCCAGCCCCTTCTGTGATCAATGACCCACATCTCTAAGACAGCTCTCAAGATTGGGGATGCAGATCATTGTTATTAACAATTTTTTATGTCTGCAGAAAGCAAATAAACCCTCCAGGGATTGAGTTTTTGACCTTGGCTTCTGGCCAACTCCTATCATAGAGTAGAAAATATTATTAACCAGGCACTACATTCTTACTGGGCCCCAGCTGAGCCTTGATTCAATTTAGACTTTAATATAAATAGAACTGAAATGATCAGCTAATCCATTTTAACAGTGAGACCCATTCTAACAAAACCTTACAAGAAAACCTGGTATATGATATAGATAAGAGGAGAGCTAGTCCCTCAGAATGCAAGTCTGGGACTCTCAATCCCCATTACCCTCTCGCTGCTACAGAGTTCTGTCTGAGAACTAGTGACTGTCCACTAACTTTTTTTTCCAGATGGGGAAACTGAGGCTCGGAGTGGTTAACTCACTATTCAAGGCCACACAGTAGGGACAAAGTTGAGTCCAGATATTTGTCTCCTGACCACCTTCTACTGTCCTGTTCACAACCTCTGCCTCTTTCTTTCCCTTTCCCTGTTCCCTTGAGGTTGAAACCAGCACATCATGCACTCAGTCAGACTTTTGTATTGAGAGCTCTTTTGGACCCCAAGTGAAAAATACTCTAATTCAAATTGGCTTAAGCTAAAGAAGGACTTTATCAACTAATATAAATTAAAAGTTCAGGGATATCTGGCTTCAAGGGCATGTAGGGGCTTAAAAGTTCCATTCAATTTAATCTCCATCTCTTTGTATGTCTTAGCTCTGTGTTGTTGTGCTGGCTTCATTTTCATGGACCTTCTTCATGGACTCCAGCAGATGGAAGCATCCAACATTCTTATAGCTGATAGTTCTCATGGAAAGAAAACTTCTTTTTCCCAATTGCGCTAACAAAATTCTTATAATTGAGTCTCATTTACCTGAGCTGGCTCATGCATGTATCCCTGGACCAATCACTGTGGCAAAGGGTTTGGATGATCTGATTGGTCAAGCCTGGGTCATGTAACCATTCCTGGAAAGGGAGTTAAGGGTCAGAGTCAGCCCCATTCAAATCATTTGGACTGAAAATAAGGAAGGGCAGATTTTCCAAAGAAAAACCAGGATACTGTTAACCAGAAATGTCAGGGAATGGATACTAAGAAGGCACAGACAACATGCATCTACTGCAACATCCTCAACCCTTAGTTGGTTTCTGAGTTTGATACTTAGAAACAAAGGCAAGAGAACCCATTGCAGAGCTGCCTGCACTCTTGCTACTTCTGTAGGTCCCCAAACTGCTCTCTATTACGAACTTTTAAATTTTATTATTTCTCAATTAGGGAGTATTTAGGAATTTCTTGATTTTTTTAAAAGGCATAGAATTTAAACATATCTAAATTTTTGGAGGCAATGGGTAGAAACATCTAGAAGTCTTGACACACTTTAGAGTGTTCAGTTGGGAAAGTAAAATAAGATCAGACAACTTTTACAGAAGTCTCTAAGCAGGATATGATGTTGACAACCCCAATCTCTCTGCCTTCCTTGGTTCCATTCCATTTACCCCTGGGCTCCTACAGTTAAACCAAGAAAGGCTTATAGCTGGGTCATCTCAGGTATGCACTATTAGACATGTTCTGGGAAGAAAACCCTGCCTTTTAGGTCTCCTAGGTGAAGAAAGGTAAGAACAATGGGGGAAAAACAAGATTGCTTCAGAAAATCACCATTTTAATCCTGTAGTTTCGTAGAAGGATTCTAACTTTGGCTTCAACTAGAGGTATTTTAGGAGGCTGGCTGCTAGAAGCATGGGCATAGAGGTCCAGGTACTTTTCTCGATTCTGCATTGTCTGATTGACTTTGATCAAGTTTCTCCTCCTCTCTGGGCCTTAGCTTCCAAGTCCTGAAAAGGAAAGGTTGAAAATATAATAATAACAAACTTTCACGTAAATGAGTGTTTTCCAAAGTGTAGTAGGCATACAATGGTGGTTCATGAGATTATTTCAGGGGGCATGTGGCCATAGTTTTCTATTTTAATAATTATGTATTGATTTTTAAACATACTAGATTCACCAGTACAACTACTCCCAAGTTCATGGATAATATGCTAATTTTCCTGAAACCAACTAAAATAAATGCTACATTTTTCAAAGATGAGTACAGTTAAAGAAAAATATTAAGTAATATTAGTACCATTGGTGCACAGATATGGCAAAACCCCAAAAGTGGTACATGAATGATAGAATTTGAGGAGACTGCTATTTACGACTTAAATATAAAATATTTTGATAGTATAGTATTACAATGATTTGACAGACGTAAAATCTGAGACCATGCTTTACTGAGAATGTACACTACACCAGGAATTGTGCTGGGCACTTTCCATGCATGATGTTATTAAATTTACACAAACGTCTCTGTGAGGTTCATATTATTATCTCCATTTTACGCCTGAGAAACTAAGGCTTGGAGGAGGTTGATTACATTTCCTGAAATCATGCACTGATTGGCTGAGTTGTTATTCTAAGTAAGAGCTACCTGATTCTAAAATCCAGGCTCTTTCTGTCAGCTACACTATTACCCCAGGACTCATGGTTAACAGAGAGAGTAAACCAGGACAGCATCTTCTGACTCCAAATCCTGGGCACTTGTTCTCTAGAATTCACAATGCTTCAAATTCCAGAGGGGCTTTCTGATGCTCTTCACAGTCTAGACAGGGCTGAACATGTGCATTCAGAATATGAAGCTTCATACGTCATCCATTTCTGCAAATAATCCCTTGCCCTTTATCATATCAATGAGTTGTAGCTCTAATTTTATGCATATTTGAATTTTTTGCATCTTAAAAATTGCTTTTGTGCTCTACAAGTTTTGGGGAGCTGTTCAGTGTGCACTCTAGTAGGGACTGGCTGAGAGCTGGCAGGAAAATCTAGGGAATTATAAATAGGCTCTTCCTCAGAATGTATACAAGATACAAGGGGAGGGGAGTGGGGACTCTGGGTGGAGAGGGGAAGAGAAAAGAGTGAAGAAATGTTGTGGTGAGGAGAGAAGCTGGATGGAAAAGTTGGGAATACACCAAATACAAACTCCATATGGTTTAGTAATTTTATTTCAGGCTAGCTTTAGGTCCAAATAAATCTTAGGAACTATTGGTACAATGACTCAATTGTACATTTCTCATAGGACTGCAGTGATTACTTAAATAGATTAGTATTTAGTGATTAGCACATGACTTGACCCATAATAAGTCCTCCTGCAAATGGTAGCTGTTATAGTTGTGGAGATAATCATGTATGTTGTTGAAAATGAGCCTTTTTAACCTAAATATGTCTTATACTCATGTAAATAGAAGGTGTTTTCAAAACTCATTAAGTTCTGCATTGAAATGATTATGAATCAAAAAACGAATGAACTAGGGGAACATGACAACATGGATGACAGATATCCAGTTAATTTTCTTAATACATAAAGAATTTTTGTAAATCAGTACTAAAAGCCCAACAACCCAATTAAAAAAATAGGCCAAGGATGTCACACACACACACACACACACACACACATAAAAATATCAGTGGCTTTTAAACATACAAAAAGATGTCATCTGGGCATGGTGGCTCACACCTGTAATCCCAACACTTTGAGAGGCTGAGGCAGAAGGATCACCTGAGGCCAGGAGTTCAAGACCAGCCTTGGCAACACAGTGAGACAAAAAGTTTAAAATTTCTCTACAAAAAGTTTAAAAATTGGCCTGGTGTGGTGGCTCATGCCTGCAGCTACAGCTACTTGGAAGGCTAAGGTGGGAGGATTGCTTGAACCCAGGAGTTCAGGGCTGCAGTGGGTCATGATCACACCACTGCAATCCAGCCTGGGTGACAGAGCAAGACTCTGTCTCAAAAAAAAAAAAAAAAAAAGTTCAATTTAACTCATAGTGAGAGAAACCCAAATTACAATGGCACTGGGATACCATTTTTTATCTATCAAATTGTTTAAATATCAAAAAGTTTAGTAACATACACTGTATTTATGATGATGGGGAAAGTGCTCTAATACATTGTTTCTACCAACATAAATTGGCACAACTTCAGGAATGAAAGTGTGGGAACATTTAGCCAAAGTATAAATGGCACATTTCCTTTAACTCAGCAGTTCCCTTTCGAGGGTCTTCTTCCATGGTTATACTCAGAAATCCGTACTTAGTCCTAAATACAAGAAGATTTATCACCACATTGCTTTTAATAGCTTAAGATTGGAAAATTATGCATCACAAGGGCACCAATTAATTAAATTATGGTACATTTATACAATGGAAAGCTATGCTATGTGGCAGTTAAAGATATGAGGAAGCTTTAGATAGAGAAACAGATAGATAATATAACCATCTCCAAGATATATTCAGTGAAGAACAGCATGGCACAGAATCGCATATAGTATGTTAACTGTTTGTAGAAAAATTAAAAGGCTATATCTAAAGATATGTTTGTGTGTGTTTATACATGAATAAAGTATCTCTGGAAGGGTGTCCCAGAAACTGAGGGTAAGAGGAAGGCTTGGCTTCAGTTTCTTATATCTTTGAATTATGTATCATTCTGTATTACTTACTAAAAATAAACCCCACAGAGTCCACATGGAGAGTTGGCCCTGGAACACTGAGAGACATCATTTGTGTGGTTTTTGCCACCCTCTTTTCTTGCTCGGCTCAGCCCACTGCTATGCTGGAGTAGGTCACAGGCCAAGAGCTGGACATGTGCAAAGCCTTCAGGAAGACCTAATCTCAGAGTCAGGGAGAGAAGGCAGGAGCCACAGTGTAGCCCATTTAATCCAAGAGGGTCCACCATGACTTTCGAATCTAAAATACTCTTTTCACAGATAAAGAACTGGCCTGGAACCTGAGGTTGCAGGATGCCCTGTTACATTTGAATTTCAAATAAAAATCAAATAATTTTTTTAGTATAAGTATGTCCCCAGTGATATTTGGAACATATTTACGAATTTTTAAT
The DNA here is from genome assembly GCF_000001405.40 of Homo sapiens. Taxonomy (NCBI): domain Eukaryota; kingdom Metazoa; phylum Chordata; class Mammalia; order Primates; family Hominidae; genus Homo; species Homo sapiens. The sequence continues at coordinate 70,091,589 of NC_000009.12, forward strand.
TGCTTAATTTGGCAATCCGAATCGGATCCGGAATCTGGCTGCTTGTTAGGCAGCAGATACTCTCTGAGCCAGACCTTCCTGATTTAGGAAATGAAGGATGATAACTGTCCAATTGTATCATGGGGTTGCTATGAGGCTTAATTATGCCCCAGTGCTTTGTGAATAGTTAAGTGCTCTAAATTGGTCAGGAATGAACACAGTTGCTATCAGTGTTATTGTCATCAAAACCCTAGTCTCCATGGCAACCAACTTATTGAAACCTACTGCCTTGTTTTCTCCCAACTTTACTGTGATTTATTTCTCATAAGCCTTAGGCACATAGTCATACATTTATCTTTCTTACTTAAGGAAGATTTCCAAATAACGGGGACTTCATTTTCAGTGTTTATTGTTCTTGGACTTAAATTTATTGCCTTAATTTTAAAATATCTTTACCTTAGGTAAATGACTGGCAGGGTAGACTGCTTAATTCATTTGGCATGTATTTATTTAACACCTATTATGTTACTTGGCATTAAAGGTAAAGCGCTGAGTAAAATAGACAAAAACCTGCCATCAATGAATATATGGTCTGGCTGGAGTCCAGCTGTGTTAGAATAGAAGGAGGAGAGTAAGCAGATAAGAAGAGTGCTTATCAAATCTGGCTTGACTATTAGAATCACCTGGGGAGGTGTGTAGGCTTTACTGCAGACCAAGGCCTCCCTCAGTGATTCCATGTGCAGCCAAGGTTGAGAACAGCTGGATTAGAAGGACCAGAGAGCATGTTGGCTCTTGAACTCAATAAAGACTATTTTGCAAGTGATGACTTCTCAGCCAATGCGAATGTGGTTACTTACATAGACATGTAGAGAGTGAATACACAAGCCAGATCTGTAAACTGGGAAAAACAGACGGAAGGAGCAGGAGTCAGTTTTAGAGCAGGCAGGACATGGTATTAGACTGCAGTATTTGAGAAGACCCAAGACTGCCTAAGTAGGGGTTTCCAAACCATCCCTGAGTTCAGACATCAAGCTTCAGAGGCTCATGGAAGGAAGGTTAACTGGGAGGAAACAGACTTAATAGGCAAAATTGCCCTGGACAACAAATGGCTATATAAGACTATTCTGCCTACCTGGTGATCACAGCCATTCTTCTTTGCTCTGCTAATAGATGGATTTCTGTATTCAATTATGTTTGGAGAAAAAAATGTTTTATATTCATGAATCTAGATTAGATTGCTCATTTTACAGATATCATGAGGTTTACCTTCATTTAAACTCTTATTTCTAATCTTACGCTCCCACCATCGTAAGTCATATCTTCTCTATAATGCAATGAAATGAAATGTGTTTACCTCCACTGCTACGTTTTCTTTTTCAATGGAATATTCTTGTTCCTACTTGCTTTTATCCTTTATAATAGATGTAAAATGCAGAACTTGAAATGTGAAAGTCCAAATCAAAGCAAATATGTATGTGTACCCATACATACATACACACATATGTATATATGTGTGTGTGTATATATATTTATTTATGTATCTGTACTATAGTGAAATTTTCATAGGAACTCCTATTTTCTTCTTGCTTAAATGAAGCTGAAAGGTATATAACTCTTTTGTTTGACAGAATTGCCTTGCACAATACATGAGAAAAAATATTCAGCCATGCTGATGGCAGTGTTCTTAGCAAAACTGGTAAGATAGCATCTCTTGTCTTGTGAATGGACACATATTTTATGGAAGGAGAATACCTTTTTCATACCAGGTACACCTGGGGAACTTGCAGGGTGAATTCAGTTACTCATTATCTTCTGATGTCATCATCATCCACATGTATTTTAAATACAGGGACAGTTTTTTTTTTTTTTTTTCTTCAGATGGAGCCTTGCTCTGTTGCCCAGGCTGGAGTGGCAGTGGTAAGATCTCGGGTTACTGAAACCTCCACCTCCCGGGTTCAAGCAGTTCTCCTTCCTCAGCCTCCCAAGTAGCTGGGATTACAGGCACCAACCACCATGCCCGGCTAATTTTTTTTTTTTTATTTTTAGTAGAAATGGGGTTTCACCATGTTGGTCAGGCTGGTTTTGAACTCCTGACCTCAAGTGATCCACCCACCTTGACTTCCCAAAGTGCTGGGATTACAGGCATAAGCCACCGCACTCGGCCTAAATACAGGGACATTTCTATGTTTAGAAGGAATATCTTCCCTACCTGACAAATGATGTAGTGGAAAATGTGTTCTGAGAACTGATCTTTGGTAGAACAAACACTCTCTATCGGGTAATGCAGCCTTTTCTTATATTTTCATCCTTTGTTAAATACCATATAAAGTGAAGCTCCCTTTCCAAATATTATGTGACCTTTCATTGTGGGTTCATCACTTGGTTTTCTGTTGCTGGTTGCTAAGGTAAACTTCTCTTCTAAAACTGCCACTTGGGCCAGCAGGGCTTAAAGCTACACCCTATGACAGACCCTATGACAAAGGGTGGAACAAACATCTGTGGTTGTGGTTTCAAATGTTGGCAGATTGTTTACACTGGAGATTGCCTCCTGGCATTTGTTTTGTTTTTGCCAGGCTTAATGCTTTGTAATCTTTTAAGACTACTTTTGCAGTGTTAGCTATGATATGAGGATAATTTCCCTGTTGTCAGGGAGAACCAAAATGGCATTCAAGACGGCTAAGCAATGCTGACCTCACCATTTCTCCATGTATTGCTGATCTCTGCACTTTGGGACTCCTTGAAATTTGAGGCTGATAAAACTATAGCTCTCTTTAATCTAGAAATGTCACACACTGAAACATTTTCTAAATGCTTCCCACAAACTCTGCATTCCAGAAAGGCAGAGAATTGTGCATTTCAACAATCTTTTGTGTATCCTGACATAGTGAGAATTTGTATTTCAGAAAATATAACAGTAGAGGTATATGTGAAAATAATAACTGTGGTGTGAGTTGCCAGCAAAGTTACAGTTCTCATTAAATATTATATTTCCTTGAATAACAGCAAATTGAGTAATTTGCAAGAAATTGAAACCTAATAGGAGATTTCCATAATAAAAAAGAGTTTTAATGTAGCTTTATATATAAACATGATAAAACAAGACTACCATCAGGAAGAAGTTTACCCATTTATTTAAAAATATAGAAAGCACATACTAGGAGACAGGCAGATATAGTGGGTACCCCTATATGCTTAAAATCCTAATGAGGAATGTGGACAAGTAGTCAGACAAATAAAAATTAAAGTTATAATGCTGATATTAAAAGAAGACTTAAAAAAGACATCTAACCATGTTTGGAGGTAGAGATTAGCAAAGGCTGCCTGAAAAAAGCAGTATCTAAACAGGTCCACCATGTACAGTTGTATAGGTTGCACACTGCACAATTTTACATGGTAGATATGTTAGGCTAAGACCATAATGAAGTATAGAGTGAGCTAAGAAGGAAGTGAGCAGTAGTGGCATGGAATGTAGGAGGGAAGGGATATGAAAGAGAGTATCCCAGATAAAGGAAACAGCATGTGGGAAGGCCTGAAGCAATAAAGAGCCTGGCACCTTAGCTTAAAGGAACTAAAAGAAATTCTGTAGCTGCCATGTAGGCTGCAGAAAAGGGTGTGGTTAAATATGCGAGCCAGAACACCAAGGCCATGTAAATTGAGGACAATGGGGACCCCCTTCAGGTGTTTTAGGCTGGGAAATGATGTGAGCAGATTGGCATAACAGAAATAACACTCTGGCTGTAGTGTGGAGATTAGATTAGACTGGGGCAAGACTGAAGCAGATAGACGTATCAGAAGGGCATTGGAATAATCCAGACAAAAGATAGTTTTTGTAAGCTGGATCAGTGGAAGGAACTTGAAGGAATGGTTGACTTTGAGAGAAATTTTCAAAATTCAGTTATTGAGATTGATAGAATTTTGGAGGGAGATGGAGGAATCAATGAAGACACTAAGATTTCTTGATTGATCACTAGATAGCTGGGGGTTC